>NC_000006.12:84523261-85148261 GCF_000001405.40 Homo sapiens | reverse complement strand
TAGTAGCCTACCAACCAAAAAAAAGCCCAGGACCAGACAGATTCACAGCCTCATTCTACCAGAGGTACAAGGAGGAGCTGATACCATTCCTTCTGAAAATATTCCAAACAATATAAAAAGAGGGACTCCTCCCTAACTCATTTTATGATGCCAGCATCATCCTGATACCAAAACCTGGCAGAGACACAACAAAAAAAGAAAAAAGAAAAAAGAAAATTTCAGGCCAATATCCCTGATGAACATAAATGTGAAAATCCTCAACAAAACACTGGCAAACTGAATCCAGCAGCGCATTAAAAAACTTATCCACCATGATCAAGTTGGCTTCATCCCTGGGAAGTAAGGCTGGTTCAACATATGCAAATCAATAAATGTAATCCATCACATAAACAGAACCACATGATTATCTCAATAGATGCAGAAAAGGCCTGTGATAAAATTCAGCAGCTCTTCATGCTAAAAACTGTCAATAAACTGGGTATTGATGGACGGAACGTATCTCAAAATAATAAGAGCTATTTACGAAAAACCCACAGACAATATCATATTGAATGGGCAAAAGCTGGAAGCATTCCCTTTGAAAATTGGCACAAGACAAGAATGCCCTCTCTCACTACTTTTATTCAACATAGTATTGGAAGTTCTGGCCAGGGCAATCAGGCAAGGAAAGAAATACAGGGTATTAAAATAGGAAGAGAGGACGTCAAATTGTCTCTGTTTGCAGATGACATGATTGTATATTTATAAAACCCCATCGTCTCAGCACCAGAACACCTTAAGCTGATAAGCAACTTCAGCAAAGTCTCAGGATACAAAATCAATGTGCAAAAATCACAAGCGTTCCTATACACCAATAATAGACAAACAGAGAGCCAAATCATGAGTGAACTCCCATTCACAATTCTTACGAAGAGAATAAAATACTTACGACTACAACTTACAAGAGATGTGAAGGACCTCTTCAAGGAGAACTACAAACCACTGCACAAGGAAATAAGAGAGGACACAAACAAATGGAAAAACATTTCATGCCCATGGATAGGAAGAATCAGTATCATGAAAATGGCCATACTGCCCAAAGTAATTAATAGATTCAATGCTATTCCCATCAAGTTACTATTGACTTTCTTCACAATGGAAAAAACTACCTTAAATTTCATATGGAGTGAAAAAGAGCCCATGTAACCAAGACTATCTTAAGCAAAAAGAACAAAGCTGGAGGCATCATGCTAGCTGACTTCAAACCATACTGCAAGGCTACAGTAATCAAAACAGCATGTTACTGTTACCAAAACAGATATATAGAACAATGGGACAGAACAGAGTCCTCAGAAATAACACCACACATCTACAACCATCTGAACTTTGACAAACCTGACAAAAACAAGCAATAGGGAAAGGATTCCCTATTTAATAAATGATATTGGGAAAACTGGCTAGCCATATGCAGAAAACTGAAACTGGGCCCCTTCCTTACACCTTATACAAAAATTAATTCAAGATGTATTAAAGACCTAAACATAAGACCTAAAACCATAAAACCCTAGAAGAAAACCTAGGCAATACTATTCAGGACATAGGCATGGGCAAAGACTTCATGACGAAAACACTAAAAGCAATGGCAACAAAAGCCAAAATTGACAAATGGGATCTAATTAAACTAAAGAGCTTCTGCACAGCAATAGAAACGATCATCAGAGTGAACAGGCAATCTACAGAATGGGAGAAAATTTTTGCAACCTATCCATCTGACAAAGGGCTAATATCCAGAATCCACACGGAACTTAAACAAATTTACAAGAAAAAAACCAAACAACCCCATCAAAAAGTGGGCAAAGGATATGAACAGACACTTCTCAAAAGAAGACATTTATGCAGCTAACAAATGTATGAAAAGATGCTCATCAACACTGGTCGTTAGAGAAATGCAAATCAAACCACAGTGAGAAACCATCTCATGCCAGTTAGAAGGGCAATCATTAAAAAGTCAGGAAACAACAGATGCTGGAGAGGATGTGGAGAAATAGGAATCCTTTTACACTGTTGGTGAGATTGTAAATTAGTTCAATCATTGTGGAAGACAGTGTGGTGATTCCTCAAGGATCTAGAACTAGAAATACCCTTTGACCCAGCAATCCCATACTGGGTATATATCCAAAGGATTATAAATCACTCTACTATAAAGACACATGAACACGTATGTTTATTGTGGCACTATTCACAATAAGAAAGACTTGAAACCAACCCAAATGTCTGTCAATAATAGATTGGGTAAAGAAAATGTGGCACATATACACCATGGAATACTATGCAGCCATAAAAAGGATGAGTTAATGTCCTTTGCAGGGACATGGATGAAGCCGGAAACCATCATTCTCAGCAAACTAACACAGGAGCAGAAAACCAAACACATGTTCTCACTAATAAGTGGGAGTTGAACAATAAGAACATATGGGCACAAGAAGGGGAACATCACACTGAGGGCCTGTCAGGGGGTGGGAGGCAAGAGAAGGGATAGCATTAGGAGAGATACCTAATATAAATGTTGGGTTGATGGGTGCAGCAAACCACCATGGCACATGTTTACCTATGTAACAAACCTGCACATTTTGCAGATGTATCCCAGAACTTAAAGTATTAAAAAAGACTTTTTTTAAGTAATTAAAAAAACCCCTAAAGTTTGCATGAAACCACAAAAGACTCCAAGTAACTAGAGAGATTTTAAGAAATAACAAAATAAGAGGTATCACACTCCCTGATTTTAAACTGTATTTCAAAGCTATAATAATCAAAACAATATGGCACTGTCATAAAAACAGACACATAGACCAATAGAACAGAACAGAGAACTCAGAAATAAACCCACACATACATAGTCAACTAACCTTTGACAAGAGTGCCAAGAATATACGTGGGGAGAGAAAGTTTCTTTAATAAATGATGTTGGGAAAATTGGATATCCACATTCAAAATAATAAAGTTGGACCCTTGTCTTACACCATACACAAAGTTAACTCAAAATGGATTAAAGACTTAGACACAAGACCTGAAACCATAAAACTACTAAAAGAAAGCATAAGGAAAATGAGTCAGAGCAAATGTAGAGGAAAGGGAACCCTTGTACACTGGGTTCAGAGATAATTTAAATTGGTAGAGACATTATGCATATAGCTTAATGTTTTGCATATAATGGATTATTTTTAATACTGATTTAATAAATAAAATGAGGAGATAATGGTGATTTAGGAATCATTTATTCCTCATTTCATTGTAAATTTCAAAGAATATTTTGGATCTCATTTATTGATTAGGAGTCAGAAAAAAATAGCTATTTAAAGATGGCACTGAATTTCATAAGCAGAGATGAAGTTATTGCATTTTTGTCACCTCCGGCTATTTTCCTACTCTGTAAGCCTAACCTATTTCTAGCAAAGTGTCACTTATACTCATGTTTTCTCAGGAAGTTTATGTTATGTCAGAATTGGTTCATCCTGCAGAGTATAACCTCTTATTCCCATTATTTTCAGTTCTGCCTCGGTTTTACATCTGGAACCAAGTGGGTCCTCAGTTGGCCAGAGAAAAACACAGAGTTTCCTGTGGATCTCCGAGATTGACCCTTCCTAGTTTTGAAGAGATTATTTTTCATCATTTTAGAAGAGTGGCATTTTCTTTTTTGGATTTACCCAGAGATTACTGCCAGATCAAACTGTAAATTTTAAGGACAATCAAGGATCTGAAATACTTGCAAAGCTGAGGCAAGGAAACCCTTGAGTGGTGTCCCATAATGTTGGACGGTTCCTACTCATTTCTACCTTCTGCTGACTGAATTTTGAGGTGATGGTGGAGGAAGGAAAGGAAGAGATAGAAAATTTGTAGTTGAAAAACACAACAATGGGCTTGAACTTGTGTTTACTTTCGGCATATGTTTGAAGGAAAGTGGGGAGGAGCCTTCTTAAAAATGCCACATACTTTAAAACCTGAAATCTGACTAAGCTATGGATTGTTGTTATTGGGGATCAGCCCAAGTTGACACCTTGAAAAAATTCTGAGGTCAAGAAACTTCTAAAAACATTTCTTAAAATAATTCTCTTGGCACCTCATAGAAACTTTTCTGATGAGAATAATTGCTCAGGGAAGCTCTTTTGGTTGAGAAATATATTATTTATATGGACCCCCAGTCAATTGAAGTCAGTCTTTGAATATGAAAGAGGCCTCAGGTCCAGGGCAGCCGTTTCCCTCTGGCTGGATTTGCAGCTTGTGTTTTAATGTCCTCCTGCATTGAAGAGGTGTAGGAGAAGGTCACAGATCCAACACTGCTGAATGGTTTCCAGTCAGTGCAGAATAAATAGACTTCCAGAGGGAGGGAGAGTTGGAAAAGTCCAGTTGGTGTTCATCATGTTGGCTTCTGTTCAGAAACCACTATGCCCAAATTATCTTTCGGAATTTTGCTGCTGTCTTACTTTTCCTTTTATGGAATGGGCATTTCTATAAGGAATGAGATGAGCTGAAAAAGTCTGTGCTATTTTAGAAATAAAATCAGGCTTGGATATGGATGTCAGAGGAGTGAATGAGAAGTTGCATTTAATAAAAAGTTTCCCATTTTTTCTTCAGTCTGTGTTAGAAAAAGCTAGCCTAAAAAGTAATAGACAATGTCAGAACAACTGGAACAGTTGGTGCAAAGTATTTTACACCAACTGGAAATTTACAAAATAGAAAAAAGAGGAGTAGCTAATAATCTGCTTTTAGCAAATGTAAGAATCTACTTACTGCTGCTGTCAACATGAGGAATTTGCATTTATTAGTAAGGTTTAGAAAGCTTTCTAAGACATAAGGCTACATTGATGAAGATATTATTTCTGGCAGATAAGTTTGGCATCCTAGAATCCTAGCACATTTAGAATTGCATTTGGTTTCAAAATGTCTTCTTAAAATAATATTTCACATATAATTTGACATGAAATTAACTGATGGTGAGGCTGTTTCTTTTTATGCTGGATGGACTTGTTTTATTAATGGTTTATCTTCCTGATTCTAATATTAAGTGGAGTGGATTTGCACCATCACCAGAGAGGGCCCTGGGTTTTAGGGGTCAGACTTCTATTTTGCATTCTCAGGTTACCTGCTGAAAGCATTGAGTATAAGCAATTGCCAAGAATATATGAAGTACCTTCAAATACGTCCCCCAGATCATGGAGTTCGAGATCTTTGAATCCTTAGCTGTGACTTTGGTTAATGGTTGTCTGTAAATGCACATGTCTGGGTGTGCAACAGTCATTCCTTGTCTCTGTGGCCCAAAGTGGACCATAGAGTGAAAAGTGAGAATGAGACATTCATTTGCGGGATAAGGTTTGAAAATTTGGGAGAAAAATAAAATCAGTGATGCTGCTTATGGTGATCTGGGCCCTGCCTGGATTGGGGGAAGGCTTGAACTTTGGCCTTTAGGCTTTGCCCTTAATTTTAACAAGGTGTTCCATTTTTACAGCTTAAGTTTTTCTTATCATGTATAATTTCTTACTTTTCACACACCTTTTGGCAAGAACATTGTTTTAAGTTACTGATTAGTAGGTGCAAGTTTAGTAGTTGTGTAATGTATGAAGGTTATCCTTTTTGATCTACTAAGCCCTTTCTTCATGAATCAGTGGCAAACTTTAATGAGAACTGCTAACCACCAATGAACAAGAATTTTTTGTTCCATATGAATGTCAGAACATTTAGCCAAGTAATGCTGACTTGTAGTGCAGAGCAGTGTGCAAACTTCTAAAGCAGTTTTGGGGTAATTCTGGGTTATGTGGCACTATTACAGAATCATAATCTATGCAAGACCTGTGCTAATGCTCACTTTTTAGTTTTAGATTAAAATTAGAAAACCACGAAGTCATGTTAGAACCATTTAGTGACATTTAAGTTTGTTCTTCAGAAATGATGGAGAAGGTTGAAATTGGAAATTGTCAACTGGTTAACAATTTAAACCCAGAGTCCTCAAGTTGTCCCACCAGAAAACACCTGCACAGAGAACTCCATATTCCACTGGGACATTTTTCCTCTTCGTATTGGCATTAATTGTGGAGCCAGCCCCAGAGACAGTAATGCTACCTGTAGGTGACAATGCTAATTTTTCTTATTACTTTGAAGACTATTGGGAAATAGCCATTTGTGAGGTGGAACAAAGCATTTTGTGTATGTAAGTTTGTGTGTGTAACTATAGGTCTGAATAGTATCTAATGAATATTTGATGATGTAAAGGCAATAATTCTTCTGTTGTATTCAATAATTAATTCTTGATAATGCTAAATAAATGGGCTCCTAATACTTCTTAGTCATGTTCAGAGGACAACAATGGATTTCTTAAAGCAGTATTCTAAGTATAGAATGTGTTTTCCTCTCTGTCTAAGGCTTGAGCATAGTTAGAGCTGGTCTGGGTGAATTTAGGGACTGCTGGGCTTTAAACACATGGTCACTTTTGGTTTTCCAAACTTCTCCACTGCCCCACCACTGTAACCACAATAGGTCTGTTGCCTGATATACCTGGCAAGTCAATATACTAAGACAGCAGGTTGCAGAAGATAAAGAGGTTTAATCATAGAGCTGCCAAAGGAGGAAATAGAAGGAAACCTCAAATCCATCTCCCCAAGGAGTTTAGGGATAGGGTTTTTGAAGGTTTTGGAGTGAGCCTAAGTGTGGAGATGGTTGTTAAGTCAAAGAGTACAGGGTGAAGCCATGGGACAAGGAAATGAAACTGTATTCTCATGCTGATTCTGTTCTTCTGTGTGGATCTTCAAACTGGTTGGTGTCAGCTGTTTCACTGGAATTTGGGATGTGAAAAATATATTAAGCAATTCTTAAACAAAAGCCTTATGATTGTAATGTCAGAAGTCCCATCTATAGGAACAATGTTGATGTAAATGGTCAACATCTAGTGAATTTTAGTTACAAGGAAATAGGTCAAAGTGAAGCCTGATTAATACTTACTTATAACTCTATTTCTGTCCTGAATTCTTGTTCACCATGTGAGGATGGCTTCACCACTCCCATCTCTAAATCACCTGCCTCAGGAGGGTCCTTATGAAAGGATCCCCTCTTATCCTCAGAAACACATAACTTTTCTTATAAATACTTTCTATGTTTCCTCAGAAATGCACTACATTCTGATGTAGAGTATCTAATGCCAGGGGGTAAGAAATACTATGCTGTCCACAGAGATGCATGTGTTCTGTCAATCAAACACAAATAATCACTTTAATAACTAATTCTCACTGACTGTATAGTTCACACCTAACATGTAATCATCACAGACACTGGTTTCATAAGTAGCCTCCTGACTAACCTGGGCAGGAAGTATAACAATGAAAAGAGGCATGTTGTGTAGACAAGTTGCCAATGCTGTAGGCAAGTTGGTCCACCCTTCTTTGGTCTAGAGAAAAAGATTATTAACTCCTTTCATTCCCCTCTAATAAAACATGCATCTGCAAGCATTCAGACTGATCGTGACTATTTCAGGGCTTAAAGAATAGTCATCTCTGGTTGTTCTCTGGGAAGAGAGCATTCCTACACTGCAACATTAATACAGCAAATCATAGGATATATGGCCAATTTTGAAGTGAGAAAAAAAGAATCCAAGTTGTAAATTCTTGTTTCTTTAGAGTGACAAGTTAATTTTAAATGTGTAGACATCATTTTGGAAAAGGAAGGCCAAAAGCTTTCCCCAGGAATATCAAATGGTTCAGAGTCATGTCTAATGGTAGATACACTCAGATTCAGGTCATTTTGCACAGGGAGCACTGGACTGACAAGGAGGCTGTGGTCAAAGGCAGTAGGGACAAACAGCCACTTAGGCCTGACTCAGGTGTTCCAGCCTCTGACACCACTGCTCAGGGCTTCTGTGTCTGAGGACAGATTCCTGTAGAGTAGGCATCTAGCTTTCCTCCAGGAGCTTCCCATCTCTGTCCTTACCCTTTTGGGCTACTCCTTCCTCTAAATAGAAACACCATTATTTGCCTTTATCTTTCTTCCTCTCTTAATCTATCCTCTCATCTGATATATATTTACTGATGTACCAACTAGACCTATGCTATGCAATCAGGATACAAAGATGACAGGACAAGTTTCTGCCCTCAAAGAGTTCATGTAGGAGACATACATATTTAAGCAGATAATGTCAACATACAATAGAAAAGGCTGTAAGAGAGACATATACCAAGTGCTGTAGAGGCAAAGAGGGGGCATGGTAACTTTTCCTGGGAGAGGTGGAGTGGGGGAAGATTTAGCCAGTAGAGGAGTTGATGTTTGAGATGAATCATGAAGCAGAAATAGAAATAGCCAGGCAGAGAAGGAGGAAAATTAAGTATCTCATCTGGCAAAGTTTAGATTGTATTGTGTAGGCAACATAAATCCATTTGAAGCAGAAAGGGGACATGGTTAGACTATTAGCAAGATAACTCTAATGGTAGTTTAGAGGGAAACTTGGGGGGAACTCTAAGATAAGAAGACAATGAGGAGGAAAGTGTAATAATCTGGCAGAAAAATGAGTGCCTGAAATAAAGTAATTATTCTATGTATATATAAGAAGGTAGATAAAAGAGACTTCTCAGAAGTGCAGTTGACAGGTTTTGGTGATGAATGGGGTTTGGGACTCTAAGGTGTCTGGGTAGATGTTGTAATTGTTTATTCATTCAATACCTGACTCAAGATGCAATTACTCTTCTCAAGTCCAGAAGTTCTCAATTTTAACTGTGCATAAAAATCATCTGGGGGGATTTTTTTTTTTAACTTCCAGTGTCTAGGCTGTACCACATATGAATTAAATTACATTCAGGGGTAGAGTTGGGGGTGGAGTGGGTTCCAGGCATTAGTAGTTTTAAAATTTCCCAGGTGATTCCAATGAGTGACAAGGACTGAGAACCACTGCTCCAAAGGATCACGATCTAGTCAGTCAACACAAAGTTACAAAACAGTACAATATGAGCTCTAACAGAAATAGGGACATGGTACACCACCAGTAGAGAGAAGGACCATCTAACTCTGCTCTCTGGCTCAGAGTGTTCTTCCTAAAAAAAGCTCTGCTATAGCTGAGACTGGGAGAATTGTAGATGATTCCTGGTGTTGAAGGTGGGGTGGCAACTTCAGAGAGCAGTCCTTGCAAAAGATCCTGCTAATACAGAGACCAGTTGAGGAGAAGCAGAGTGAGAGAAAGAGGAAAGAAAATACGTTTCACCTTTAGTGCTTGCTGGGTCCATGGACTTCCAGGTAGAAATGCCAGCATCAGTTGGATATATGAATCTGGAGCTCAGAAAGAGCGAGGTCTGAAGATACAGATTTAGGAGTCTCGGGTTGATAGTTGCAGCCATAGGATGGTATAAAATAATTCATAAAAACTGGCATGCAACCCTAATGAGCATTGCCACTTAATTGGGGGCTGGTCTTAGAAGAAGAGCCATACTAAGAAGGAGCAGGAAGGATGTTTATTCATCTTTGAAGACATCTTCCTTTCTCTTACCTTTCACCTCTCTGTCATTAACACCTATTTGGTCATTGTCAGACATTTGAAGTTTCAACATTTTCAACTTCTCAGTATTTTTTATTGTTGGGAAAAATCTCCAACAAAGGCTACTCATTTATTATTACGATTATTTTCATTATAAAGATGGTACCGTTTGTTCAGACAAAGTCTTACCATTTTACAAGACACTGGGGAGGATACCTTCCTTGCCTATAGGGGCTCATAAATGTCAATCATAAGATATAAGCATTCTCCTTAACCACCAGTTGAAATGCTCAGAGTATAACATATCTCTTTTCTTAAACCTTTGTCTTCATTTTCAGTCTTTCCTTAGGTAGGAAGCCTTTAGATACTGTTTAGGGAAATCAATTTAAAAGAGCATACAGAGGAGGAGGAAGAATGGGGTTAAGAAGGAGAGATATTTATGGGTATGAGGGGTGCTCTTTGGATTAACTTATCAGGTATTTGTTAATCATCGACTATTTGGTCACTACAGTATAAATTCCTTGGTGGTGGAGAAATGATTTATACTCACTATTGAATCTCTAGCCCAATGTCTGGCACATAGTTTATGCTTAATAAATGTTAGTTAAATAAATAAATTTTAAAATGCAGGCCAACCTTGTCTCTGATTTGTCCCGTGAGGGAAAAGCAAATTAAATACAGACTTGCTCTCAAGCATTTTACAGTCTCATGAGAATGAGTGAATAAGAAGTCCCTAAATTGTTTAATATAAGTTGAAGCATAATAAATTCCTTGGGGTTGACATAAACTCAGTTATGAGGACTCATAGGAGGAAAATGTATATTAGAGTGGGTGAGGTCAGGGACAAAGATCAAGAAACATTTGATGGAAGAAGCAGCATTGAAGATGACCCTTGAAAAGATGAATAAGACTTAGACAAGTAGGACTGGATCAGTAGGACATAGCTTGAATGAAAGCAAACTGCAGTGTATTCAGAAAGGAGTGAGTGGATATAACGGAAATGGAGTAGGATTTAAGGCTGGAGAGATGGGATTGGGGCCACAGGTTATGGAGGGTTTTACCTGCTTTCTCTGAAGACATCATTCTCTTTCATGGCCTGAGCAGGCAAAGGTACTCTTAGTCCCTCGCAGGTAAAGGTACCTTCCACAGAGATGAACCATCCAACCCCAAACGGGACAAAGAAGAAAAGAAGGAGCTGGCATAGTAATCCCCTCATCCTGCCCACCAAAGTACACTTTGCCCATCCTGTGCCTGTCCCGCGGAGCCCTAGGGAAGAGTGAGTGACCCGGGGCATTGATCTAAGTAAGGAGGGAGGATGGAGAGGGGAGGGGAGGGGGCTAGAACACATGTATCTCTGCCCTTCAATATTGTGAGTTCCTGGCATATAGGCATTGTCTCATGTAGCTTTGTGTTCCCCCCTCCCCCGCCGCGATAGGGTCTAAGAGCTTCAATAAATATTTGTTAGATGAATGTGTGTGAATAAAGTTCAATAAACTTTAATATTTTCCTTTTGAAGTCCATTTAAAACGTAAAAGGTGCTTTGTTAGACAGAGGTGATTTGTGATGGTTGCCTTGGTATAAAATCTGGCTAAGGTGATTTGTGATGGTTGCCTTGGTATAAAATGCTACCAGGGATGGGTCTGTGGGATGTGCCTGACAGGGTTCTGTGTTCAGTGCTCATTTTAGTTATCCTGAAAATCATGTCAGAATATGATACATTTACCCAATCCTCTACCTAATAACTCTAATTACAGTTTCAAAATTGTTATCATTTGATCAAAATCTCTTCAAAGCTGAATTTACTTTTTTTAAACATGAGGACTTTAAAATCTTTAATATTTCATCAATGAGTAGCTATAACATGTCTTACATATTACCACTAAGCAGTTTTTGGTAGATAGTATTTTAATTCTGTGTAACTTCTTGTAAGTCAGGCGTTTAGATAATATGAGCACTTTCACTGATTATGTTAAACTTCATTTATCCAGAGTCCACTCATTTGTAAACCAGAAGGTGTCAAGTATGAGTATTAAAAATATATCTGTTAAGCACACTGTTACCCTGAGCAAGGTGAGGTGTATTCTTTCTGCTTAATAGGATGACTAAAAAAATTGACTTTGGAGGGTGCTTTGGGGCTCTGAATACCAACACTAAAGGCACCAGTGAATTCCTTTCTTTTGTTAGTGCAGCTCAAGGCCCTTTGAGTTGGAGGATTCCACACTTGGTCAGGGCTTGCAGTGGGGTGTGTACAGAAGGTGTGGAAATGCCTGCTTCGTGTACATAAGACATGCCGGAGCTGGAGATTGGGGCATTTCTCCCACAGCAGCATTGGAGTTCCACTTGGCCGAAATAGCAGCCACTCAACAGGGTATGAAGGTAGCTGAAGCCTGTCCCCTCCCTCCTGCTGGGAAATGCTCTCCCACCCTCAGGGAGCTGGAGAGAGAAGACTTTCCCCCTGACTTTGGCAAGATTGCCAATCCCCATTCTGATGCATAATTTGCTTTTATTTTATCCATATTCTGTGGAATAACATTGTATTTCTTTAAAGACCTATAATGATTTTAAAGTCAGATTGCCTCTTCAACCATGGCAAATAACAACCTTGTTAAAATTTGGTAATTCAAATGAATTATCTGTTCCCTTCATTGAAGAGAAGATGCATTCACGGCTTTAGTTTAATTGTTCATCTGTTATTTTTGTTGTCTCTAGAGTCCTTTGAACTTTGTTTTCCAATACTACACTACAACAAAATGTAGAGAGACACCCCTAGGGGTAGAGGGAGCCCCAGCATCTCCTGATAAGCAACATGAGTAAACCGAATTCCTCTGTCTCTGGTACAAGACCCATGAGGCCCTGCTGATATGATTTACTTTATGGCAGTGTTCAGAGCTTGTGTTTCTATTAATACTATTCTAGGGCACAGATTTATTTGCAAATGTTTTTATTGGATTCTCCTGACAGTCATCTGGTAAACAAAAGCTCCAACATTTCTGGGGTTACAAAACAAGTGTCAGAATGTTTATTAGTTTCTTTTCTTGGTGTTATTTCTACTCCCTTCCTTATCCTCATCTTCCCCTCAATTTCAGAAACAAACTTCAAAATCTCATAATCAAGTATTTATTATGAAATATAAAAGGATTACTAGAAAAACAAATATCTTGGAAGTGTCTCCCAAATCTTGGAAGTGTCTCCTAAATCTGACCAAAATCATTTGAGTAATGTGGATGACAAATACACTTGTAACTCAGATTTCTCAATCATAAAAGATGCAGGGCTTCCTTCTCAGAAGAAAGGTTTGAATCTACTTTAAATGGATGAAGCAATTGAGATTTGGAGAGATCAATTGTTTGCCTAAGGGGATTAGAGATACAGCTGTTGAATTTTCTTTTGTGTTTCTTTTCTTCTAGGATCTCAATGGAAGAAAAATGAAACCTTTTGCTTTTCACCTATGAATATTTTCCTGTCTTACGACCTGCAATTGCTTCTGGTTCCCTTCCTTCCTATCACATCCACAGGGATTTCTCTGCCATTACCTTTAAATCTTAGCCTGTTAGGCACTCGTGTCCCATTCGGAGATCATTGCACCCAAACATGCTGTTCCACTGCTTTTTCTTTTTCTTTCTTTCTTTCGTTTTTTTTTTTTTTTTTTTTTTTTTTTGAGGAGTCTTGCTCTGTTGCCCAGGCTGGAGTGCAATGGCATGTTCTCAGCTCACTGCAACCTCCCCCTCCCAGGTTCAAGCAATTCTCCTGCCTCAGCCTCCTGAGTAGCTGGGATTACAGGCATCCACCACCATGCCTGGCTAATTTTTATATTTTTTAGTAGAGGCGGGGTTTCACCATGTTGGTCAGGCTGGTCTCAAACTCCTGACCTCAGGTGATCCACCTGCCTCGACCTCCCAAAGTGCTGGGATTATACGTGTGAGCCACCGCACCTGGCCCTGCTGCTTTCTTTAGGAAGTGACCAACAGCCCATGTGAGGATCACAGGAATGTCTATTTCTCAAAATTATAACCTCCCTTTTATATCAAGGAAACTGATAGCTATTTTATAAAACTTTTCCAAATTGGTTAAATTGGTGACCATTAAGATCACCAGCTCTATTCATTGCTATCTTAGACTGCTTTTCCCTTAATAGGGAAAATCTCCCACCCACTTCTGTTGTCGTTTATGACAACAGCAGACTTCAGTTGAAGATAATTGTGACTTTTTGCTTTCAGGTTTAGATTAATGAACCCTTCCCTAAACCTTGTCTCCTGAGTTTCCGGCTGCATTTTTTCTCTCCTGGAAATTGTTTCAACAGAGTTCTGTTTTTATGTTTTGTTTTGTTTTTTAGTGAGAAGACAGCATAAAAGTTCACGTGACTGGCTCACTAAGGACACAATGCATATTTCAGCGATAACTCCCAGTGTCCAGTTTCCTCCCGCTGGCCTAAAACAACAGAGCTCTTCATTTTGGGATTAGAGCTTCTCTCTGGAATTATGGCACATTTCTGAGACCTGTAATTCATGTTCACTAAAGGAGAAATTCTCCTCTCGTGATGGGAGCCTGGGGAGTACATCTCAGTGAGACAACATACACTGATTTTAATCATGATGCTCCTGCCATGAAGTTTTTGTGGGTGTACTGGGGAGATATTGAAATTCCTCCTAGGTACTACTATGACTTTACTTGTGAGAACTGCCATGAAGAGATTGTTGGGGCTCCTCTTGGTTGGTTTTATCACATAGACCCTGACTTCTGCTATCTGTAAACTTTTCTTCTGGTACCTGCAGTGCTGCAAATCCCCTCTGGACAGTCATCCTTTGCCCTCTGCTTGCCTGTGTGGCTTAAGTGGTGCTGGCCCCAGGGGTGAGGGTAGGTCCTACACCTAAGTCAGCCAACTCTTCATAGCCCCTCAGCCACGAAGGTTGCTTCAAGGACAGCATGTGATACTAAACGAGTCAATGAACTCTATGAGACCTTTCATGGAGCCCCTGGGACACACACAGATGCTCTCCTTCTGAAGACTGACTTTGTGAAGAGAGGAGGGAGAACTACTGTGGATGTCTTGCAGCCACTTGGAGGCTGAATCCAAAGCCAACACCAAGGGTGCAGTGCTGGGGAATGAAAAGTGAGAAAGTGGTCCCAATGACGTTGTTTGAAACCCGAATCAAGCAATGTGAGCTGGCCTTCTTTTTTCTATTAGCCCATAAAACATCTTTTCTTGCTTAAGGTTGTTTGAATGGGATGTTTGATCACTTGCTACCAGAATCCTATCTGATATACTCAGTATGGTAGTCAAGAAATAGCATGAAGGACTCATCTACTCCGAAAATGCGTATCAGTAGATTTTAATAGACAAAAATAGAATTGGTAAATTCAAAAAAAATAAGTCATGAAAAAGTAGAAAATACTTTTAAATAAAGGACTTCTAAGTACTAAGGTCACTTAAAATCACAACAAAGCATCAACTTTTATTTATGTCATTTAATTACTCGTATCCACAGGCCATTCCAGGTCATTTTCATGATTTGACCCTTTCTATGTCAGCCATTAAATAATTTGGTACAAAATAGTTTGGTGTATTAAATAGACTTTGTTTTGAAATGTGGCTAGTTCTTTAACCTTGAGCAAGTTTCTTTGCCTCAACTTTTAGGGATATTTTTATGGTGATAATGTATGTGAAGTGCCTCGATCAAGGCCTGGAATAATGTAGGTAGTCAAAAGTAAGAGCAGTAATTTATTATTACTGCTATTACTATGACCACTTGCTAGAAACATGAGTACCCTCCCATGTGTTCTAGTTTTCATTACTCCTAGTCAGGGAGCCGCTCTACCCTCAGCTGCCTTCTCCTATTGTGGGTCCCTTCTGATGATTTGGAATACTAGCTGCCTTTCATATCGATTGTAACTACCAACTAAATGGCCACTTCTAGAAATTCTGTATTTCTCCATACCAGTTATTTCTGGATTTTTTATTTTGATTACAAACAAGGAAGAACATAAAATATAGTTACATATGGCAGAATGCAGCAATCAAACAACAATAGACAGTGATGGATTGTAACATCTCTCTGTACACACAGGCATGTCTATAATCCTGATTATTTCCTTTTGACCAATACTTAAAAAAATCTGTAATTGTACAAGAGTTAGCTAATATTATTTTACTATATGTTACCCCAAGAATGGCAAATAGAAGACATCTGTTGGTCCATCGCCCAATCTTCTAATCAATCTTAGCATTGTTTCTCACTGGCTCTGGATTAGCCTCAGAGTCTTTCTCAACACAAACCACCCAGCAGGCACTAATTACAGAATGTTGGTGCTTGAGCTGAAACCTTTCTTTACCCCCTCATCCCTAGGTTTCTACATTTTGAAATTTTATTATTGAAATTGAGTGCATATTTTGAAGTGTTTTCAATTTTTCCTTTAATTCTCTATATACTTTAGATTTGAAGGAGGGATTATTTATTTGTACAGTCACGAAGCTGGAGGCCTCTGGTTTCATGACTCAGATTCCTTTTTTTAATGGACAGGGACTACTTTTCTGGGATTGCTTTTATCTTATCCCAACTGATAAGAACAACTGCAAAAAAAAATACACAATGGAGGGAAAAAAGAATAGAAATATAAAGAAGCAAGATGAGCAGATAAGAGTCAGAGGGAAATCAGGAAAGAGATGTCATAATCCCAAATCCTAGACTTAGTTTGGATTAATCAATAAATAAGTATCAGAACTGCTGCTAAGGTCCACAAAGTGCTCAGGTGCACAGAAAAGTCAGTATGGTTCTTGCCCTTGAGGAACTCACAATCTGGTTGGGAGGAGGAGACATATAGAACAAAGTTTGCAGTTACCAGACACTGTAGCAAGGGCTGGAATATGTATGAAGAGAATGAGGTTCTAGGACTGAGTTCACTGACCTCAAGTAAAAGGGCTCCAGTTTGACATTGTCTCACATTTCTTGTTTCATAAACTAAAGATTGGGTATGTGAGTTGTTACTTGACTTGCCTTGCTAGTTTGTCCTGTGGGAAGCCCTAGTTTTCCTAACAAGTCTGAGAAACCAAGTGTGGTGATGAATAATTTAAAAATACAGGCTCTTGAATCAGACAGTCCTGACTTTGAATGCTGACCTGTTGCTTACTACCTGTGGGATCTTGGGAAGGTTAATAATCCCTCTGAGCCCCAATGTCTTGACTTAGTGGGTTGCTGTGGCTCTTAAATCTCATCTCTCTGAAGTACCTGGTGGCACACTAGGTGTTCAGTCAATTAAACTTTATTATTGGTTAATTTTATTGTCATTATTATCAGGTCAGTAATGTGGACCCTGCTTCAACACTTGTGTTTTATTCGTCCACTTCTAAATTGGAAGTTTACTCTTTCAAATCCTAAAGAAAAAGATGGGCTCAACCTGGGACAAGGAAACAAGGATTGAGGATGTTGGCAGTAGTTAGGGGAAAACTTCTGGACTTTATGTTTGGGGTAGAAAGATGTAAGCCAAGAGATGAATATCCCAATTGAAAGAGACAAACAATCAGAGTGCCAAACACAGAAATCCAGGGAACAGTGACCTAAATATGGGGCAAGGTGTGCAAGGAAACTGACACGGAGCAGAATTTGATTTCTAAGTGTTCTCCAGAGGGCCAGAGAAAACTATCTTAGAGTTTGGGAACAGTTTTGTTGATGTGTTGACAGCTAAGGTTAGAGTGGCATTTCCTTTAGAATATCCCAAGTGTGTGGAAAATGACCTCTTACTGAATATTTTAGTTTCAGTTTAACTTCTTCCTGCATAATGAAAGCGTTGCTTTTTTTTTTTTTTGGAGGGGAGGCTTGGTAATAAGTTTGTTTATTTTATGGTTATGTGGTTCATGGAGTCAATTACATTCCAAAGAAGAGAAATCTGACAGGACAGAAGAAATGGTGCTGCAGGGAGCAGATAACCACAGCAATAGTTTTATATTTGTTTCATGAAGAACCACAAACAGAGTTTAGCACGTGCAGTTAGTGTGTCGATTAAATGTGGCCAAGGTGGCTTTAATGAAATCAGTGTCCTTAATATTTGAAATCATCTCCCAACTGTTGATAGAAATTTGGGGTTGGGTAAATATTCAAGACAATAAGGATAGATGCTGTCCAAACTAAAAGCCCTCACCAACTTCACCAACTCCAAGTAAGTGATATGAGAAAACATCTAGCAGTGGCATTTTCACTTAACCAAATTTAAACGCCAACTTATCAAACAGGTAGATTAGGGTTATATAAAAATATTGGGGCTGGACGCGGTGGCTCAAGCCTGTAATCCCAGCACTTTGAGAGGCTGAGGCAGGCGGATCACGAGGTCAGATCAAGACCATCCTGGCCAACATGGTGAAACCCCGTCTCTACTAAAAATGGGCGTGGTGGCGGGTGCCTGTAATCCCAGCTACTTGGGAGGCTGAGGCAGGAGAATTGCTTGAACCAGGGAGTCGGGTGTTGCAGTGAGCTGAGATTCCAGCCTGGTAACAGAGTGAGACTCCTTCTTAAAAAAAAAAACTAGTTAATAATTCATTACCTCTTTTAATTCTCGCAATAAATATCTGACTTTTCTATTTTTATTTCCACCTAACAGGCTCAAAGGCATTGGGTAACTTACCCCAAGGTCAACAGCTGGTCACTTACCAAGGCTGAATTAGAACCAGGTCTGATACCAGCTTACAAGCTCTCAACCACTCAGCTAAAATGCTGTCTTGAAAATGACTCACGATAGTAGTCATTAAACACACACACACACACATACACATACACTCACACGTATTAGAAGCTGATAATGAAAATAAGATTGAAACGTATCTTTAAAGACAATACATATTGTGTAGAAAAAAATGCCACACTCGCTAAAGTGTTGTTTTTTCATTGGAATGTATGGATACAGGGTTAACTTTAGTAATTTGTATAATCTTGTTGGTAGAATGAAGACAACTCATCCTTCTAACTGAATTTCTCTGTTGCTAAAATTCACTTGAGCAACTCAGGTCACAGGGATTATTTAGCAGGGGATAAACTGAAACTCTTGCTTCTGCAACTTCTTTGATGGGAAGGCCATTTTCAAGCAGATGTTCTGGGAGGAGACAGGTGTGCAAAAGGTGAGTGGGGAGATGACAGTAACCCTTAGATTGTCATGGGTACAAAATGTCAGAAGAAGCAGTGCATATTATAGGGTAGCTGGGATCATTTTTTAAAAGGCAGGGGGATTTGAGTTACATACCAATGATCACTTTGAAAAGTCTGTCTTACTAAAACAGAGTTTTCAATAAAAAAATCAGAACACTGAAGGAGAGAGGCATGAGTATTCCACAACATTCTTAAATACACTGAATTTGCAGTATGTCTGTCTCTTCAGTAAGTATAAGAAGTGTTGGTCCATGCAGTCAATTGTGAGGAATTGTAGGCGGTCGACAGCACATAATATTTTGGGGTTCTGAGAGTCACAGAAGACATGGAACCCAAACAGGAGTCAGGACCTGGAACAAGTAGAGATGAGGCTACAGGGAAGCATGACAGTTGGTCCCTTCATTCCTCCTCAGTCTCCGACACAGCCTGGCTTTTGTGTCCAGGTGGATCAGAACCATGGACGATGGCAGCAAGGAACCTGTTCTAAGTCTCAGATTTGAATCCAGGGCTGAAAGGGTGAAACACTCTCGAAGAAGAACCACCCGGTGTCTTCAGGGAGCTCTGGCTGCTAGCAGGAGTCTGGTCTGGAACTCTGGAGCAGTGATTGCATATGCTGTCTTACAGAAGCTGCCTTCCCGCCATATCTTCTCCCCATAGTATATGCCCCAAGTGAGAGACAAGCCACAAATATTACGGATTCCTTAAGAACCATAATATTTGCCCCTCCTTTATGGTAATTCATTGAACATGTCATCAGTTTAGTTTAAATGTTAAAAATCTTAAAGTAATCTCTTTTCATTGTTTGCTCTGTATTAGTCAGGGTTCTCTAGAGGGACAGAACTAATGGAATATATATATATATATATACACACACACACGTATATATATGTATATATGTGTATATATATGTATATATATATGTGTGTGTATATATATGTATGTGTATATATATGAAGGGGAGTTTATTAAGTATTCACTCACATGATCACAAGGTCCTACAACAGGCCATCTGCACGCTGAGGAGCAAGGAGAGCCAGTCTGAGTTCCAAAACTGAAGAACTTGGAGTCTGATGTTCGAGGGCAGGAAGCATCCATCACAGGAGAAAGATGTAGGCTGGGAGGCTAGGCCAGTCTCTTTTTTCACATTTTTCTGCCTGCTTATATTCTAGTCTCTCTGGCAGCTGATTAGTCATGCCCACCAGGATTAAGGGTGGATCTGCCTTTCCCAGCCCATTGACTCAAATGTTAATCTCCTTTGGCAACACCCTCACAGACCCAGCCAGGATCAATACTTTGTATCCTTCCATTCCATCACGTTGACACTCAGTATTAACCATCACAATATCTAACTTTAGTATATCACATAGCTGACTATTTTATATGTATATATAATATAAACCTTCATACATATGTACATACATATGCATATAAATATGTAATCTCATGTAATCCCCATATAAACTTTTACTAAAATAGCACATGTATTTTATTATAAAGAAAGCTGGAACTCAAACTGACTCACCAGGCCAAGATTTTGGAGCTAGTGAGATGCACAGCAGATAATAACACAGGGCTCTAACTGTGAGTCTGGTGTCTTTTAAAATTCTGCCATGGTTTTTGCTCAACGTGAAGCTTGCTGGCTGCCATAGACATGATTGAGTCAGGACTTCCTGGGATATTTAGCCGTGGAGCAGAAGTCATCAGAATAGGAAAAAGTGACAGTGCTACAACAACACATGCAAAAAACATCCCCTACAACAATGACATCCTATTTCACTGTGCTTGACTTCATTTTTATAGGACCTAGGTTAGGCTTTTGTTGGCTGACCTTCCACAGTAGGGTTTAGTCAACCGTTCAGTAGCATATGAGACAGTGTAGTGTGGTAGAAAGAGTGGGGAGATTGCAGCCAAACTGACCTGGGTTTGAATCTTGGCTCTGGCATTTTTGTGTCTTTTGCAGGTTACTCTACTTCTTCGTGAATTTAACTTCCTAATCTGTAAAGCAGGAAAGACAACACCTTTCAGAGTCATGGTAAGGTGCTTGATATAGTGGCAGTTGATTAATTGATGCTAGTATTATAGTTACCAGTGGCGTACGTGGGCCAAGAAGTGGAGGGTGGGACCTGCAGAGCCATTGCAGAAGGGTCTCAATGGCAGCTTAGTTTCGAGGTCCTGAGTGATCTTCTGTTTCTCCTCAGCTGGGAAGCCTCTGGCTCTCCCTGCCTCCCTCTCCACCTTGCTGTAATTGTGTTATGAGGAAGAAGTGATAGCTGTGAGACTCTGAAGAGGGTTTCAGAGTTTGCCTACTGCTCGCAGGTTCCTGGTGGTTGCCTCTAAAACTGAGTTATCTAAAATAGGTACTTCCACTGCATGGATATTCAGAGTTTCCACAGCTGTCCTGGGAAGATTTTGGCAGTGGCTCATCTGCACCACAGTCCAGTGTCCCTCCAGTAGAAGCGGGATTTCCAGTCATCCGATCACTTCTCGGACTCCCCCTGGGGAACCAGCAGTGACAATGTCCTGGTGCACTGTGGCCGGTAGACAGCAGAGGGCACCTCTTGCCTGCAATGGAATGCAAACAGACCCTGAGAGCCAGAGATGTGAAAGACGCCAGCCCCATGGTGGCCACACTGACTGCTGCTCCCCGGTTTCTCTCACTCTATACCACTGCATTGGTTCTACCAGCATTTGTTCTCTACTCCCCCACATTCAACCCCACCCTCTGCTTGGGACAGCCTGTTGGTCTTTCATGACTTTTGAGTGAAGAGGGAGCTTTGGACTCGGAGGGGGTTGATTCTCCTGCAAGCTGGGGACTGCCGGCAGTAACTCCTCCAGGCCTTTGTTGAGAGAGGCCTTCCGATCGCGTGTGGAACTTTGTTTTATTAAATCTGATGAGTTCTATATTTTTGCCACATGTCACAGATCACCCACGTTGACTGAGCCCTGCCAGAGCTGAGCTGCTGTTACCCTGAAATGAAACCAGATTTTTTAAGTGGGTGGGGGTAATTCCAGTTTGGTGCAATAAATTATATGGTTCTGCTTGATTTGTTTTGCTCTGGGCTGGGAGAACTCACCATGGAATGTATCTGGAGATGTGTGCGTATGGGGAGGGGGAGCCAGCAGGAGCAAGGCATGGGGAGGAAGGAAGAGGGAATTACAATGTGCTATAGTGAACCAGTTGAAGAGTAGATACAAACATAGCCTCTGTCTCTTCCTTTCTGCCCTCCTCCCCAAGTCAGCCTGTTATTTCTATTTTTTTTTTTTTTTTTATCATTTCAAAACTTGGGGCTGTTCTTCTAAAATCCCAGGAAGAAATTTGGGGACTCAAGTTCCCCATGAAGGGTAAAGAATTTCTTGTAATCCTATCTACTTCTTTATCACAGAAGAAAACTCTGGGAACTTAGAATACTAAGAAATATGACTTGTAGAAATTCACTTTTCTGCTGTGAGTCTGTTAATACTGAAGGAGAATGCTGGAGGATGGCGATTATCATTCGTTCATGGCAATAATTTAAATATGGTTGGGTTTCTGGGAAGATGAGCCTGGAACCACATAGATAAGGAAATAAGATTTGAGCTTAATTGTTTTCTTAATCAATGGGGCGGGGTTTAGAATCATCTGGACCTGACAGGCAGGGAACTAGTATATAAAACATATTATAGTAGAGTCAGAGAGGACTAAAGTTGGAAAATCTGTGTTCAAATCCTTACTCTGCCTCAAATTCCTAATCTCTCTGAGACTTGCTTTTTTAATCAGTAAAAATGAGGATAAAATCAACCTCATAGGACTGTTATGAAGATTAGATGAGAAAATGTGGGTAAATTCTTCTGTGACATCAAAAGAGCTCAATAAACATTTATTTTTTACTTTTAAAACAGTTCTGTGTGCATGAGGGCAGACTCGGCTGTTGTCAAGGAAAGAAATCCATTTGTCTTCTGGGACTTCTCTTTGATGGGGCAGTGAGATCGCGATGGTGCAACTTTCCTGGTCTCACAGCTGGAGTAGAAAAGCCTACAGCTTTAAGAAGGACTTCTGTAGAGAAACTAGGAATCATATTTTGAAGACACACTGCATTTATAAAAAGTGCCCTTCATTTACTTCCAAAACAAATAGGTTTAAATAAGCCCAAGTTTTTATTCCTTATTTAGGATTACTTTGCATGTAATTCCAGGTTTGGAATCTTACAAATAAAGTTTTAGAAAATTTCAGTGAGCTTCAAAAAGCATCAGAAAAATTTCTAAGCAAAAAGAACACACTCCTCCAAGTTCAGAGAACTCTCAATTGTAGAAATTTGCTTCAAAAAAATCATACAACTGAAAAATTTTAGCTCACCAGAGGGATGAAATTTTTTTTTTTCACAGTGACATTTATTTGCACTCATACCAGCATGGGACTGAGTTGAGTTGCAGATGATTTCATCAGAATGACAGGAGGAAACCTTGGGCTTTCTTCTCCACTATAATATGATTCATTGAAAGCCAGGATTTTGTTGAGAATCATTGCTATATAAATACAATAAACTGACTCTCCTCACTAACTTGTTTTGTATTAGAGGATAAGTTCTCTGCTCTCTGGGTGGCATCTATCTATTATGAAAACACCTATCTTGGGCTAAAAAAATTCTCAACATTTCTGCTTCTTATAACCTTGTAGAAAAAATGCTTGAGCAAAGTTTTTAAAAAGCCACTTGAGGAAAAGATTTATAATACCTTGGCAATTGAGTCATGAGCTGAGAGGGCTTGCACATGACTGTGTGAGGCTGCCCTGTTGGAGAAGCATCCCTTTTGCTTATTCCCCATTGCCCTTCTTACCCACACCTCCCAGTTTTGTCCATCCTCCCTAAATCCTTTGGTCTTCCTAACCCAGGCACCAGCAAGCACTGTTTCTTCATGTCCTCTCCCTGGGCATGAGCTTTCTCCATCTAACAATCTTCCCAAGTCACATTACTATAGAAAATTAGCTAACAATAGTGTTGACACCTGTTTCTCTCAGCTCTATCTTCCGATTTCCCTGACTATACAAATATTCACTTTTCCTACTGAAACTTTCACAGTAATATTTTCTCTCCTGTTACACCTGCCAAAATGTAAACCTTATTAAAGGCACTTATTAATTTAAAATCTCTTTAGTGATAGCCTTAATCACATGGAATTTGCTAAATCCTTCTGGAGTACTTTACTATAGAATGTCATGTATATTTCTACTTGAATTTCCCAAAGCTGCACTATTAGTAGTACAAACATTGATGATTTATGATTTTGCAGAAAATAAATTGCTGTTAAAAATAAATAATTGTTTTCAAAATGAGAAAGCAAATTAGGCAAGTTTTGAAGACAACTGGAAGACTCTTATAGCCATCAAAATGAACTTGGATCTTTTAATAGCTCACTGCTTGTTTGCATCGTGACAGGATTTATATTATTCAATTCCTTCAACACTACTTTTCTTTCACACTCTTCTATTTTCTGCATCATTGTAAGTCAGTATTTATTGAGTCTCCTTCCTGTGCCCAAGGACAGTGTATATTCTATTGGGCAGAACTTGAAAGAGGCGAGAAGAAGGATGGGACATCATTAGCTCTGACCACATCCCTGCTCTGGTTTTGAGAATTATTAGCTTTTTTTCTAAGTGAATCAGCATTGAAGGTAAAAAGGGAGATCAGGGTGGTATGTTTCAGAGAGGTTAGCATCTTTTTTGACAGAATTTAAGATATAAAGTATAATGATATTCTAACTATATTTTTGTCTTTCACATATAATTTTGGGCAGTGAGTAATTATTTTCCATCAAAGAACTTTCCTCCTGACTCTTACTTATTCCCCCTCATTCATTCAATATATACTTGTTGAACATCTTAATGATCACAGCATTGGTTTAACTATAGGAGAAAGCAAAGCCATAGAAAATACTCTTTCCCCCATAATTTGTTCACAGTTGCAACCAGGATGAAAAGTATAGAGTGGAATATATTAGGTAATAATGAAGCAATAAAAAATTGAGACATTAAATACAATAAAGGCAACATCAGTGCATTTTCAAGGAGCCTAGAGGGACAAGAGAGCACAAATGTGGAGATGGCAATTTGGTTGGGGAAGGAAAAGAGTTTTACGTGTTGATTATGAACACACACACACACACACACACACACACACACACACATATTTCTTTCTCTTTTCTGCCCTGCCCTGAGTCTTGGAATGCTGACCTCCATGGACTTCTTCACCTAGCTTCCTTGCCATCTGGCTTCCTGTTGGTTCTACCAATGGTAGGTAAAAGCAGGTGAACGGAGAGGCTGGGATATTTCTTCTTCTGACCCCTCCCTTCTTGGCTTGGCCTTGGCAGCAGCTGCATTGTCCCCTATCTTTGACCAAAGCTCTTGTTGGACAGCCCCTCTTCCAGGTAACACTGTTCTCTCCCCTTGCTGTGCAGGTCAAAAGTGGCTAACAGGTTTCCCTTGTTGTGATTCACTAAATATAGACCATATCTCTGTAAATAATTTGTTAAGGCTTTTGATTTCATTGGTCGTGTCTTCTTCTGGAACTATGACTGACATAGCAGTCTTTCTAGGTGAAGAAAACAACATGCAGGGAGGCTAAAAGCAGGAATATGCTTGGGCAAATGCAGATGGATCAAATGGAATAGTTAAGTGAGAAAGTGTACTACATAAGTTAAGTTTGGAGAGAATGGTAGAGGTCAGGTGGAGAAAGACATCAAGTACCAAGATATTTGGAGTCCTTCTCTGAAAAGGGAAGTCATGGAAGGTTTTTGGTTAAAGAAGGCATATGAGAAAATAATGGTCGAATGTGGATTAGAATAGATAAAGGGGAGTGACAGCAAGATAATTTTTTTGGAAAGCTATGACAAAAATCTCAGAATTCTTATTGGGAAAGTGTCTTGGTCTGTCATGTAAGCAGCATGCTTGAGAATTTACTGCTCCAGCCTTGAGTCTTAAAGGATTGCAAATGTGGGTGTCAGTTGGAACTCCCAATATTCATGTAGATAGGAAATAACTGTTGGCTTATTTTGGGTGACTATGTGAGTTAGAGATCCCCTTAGCAGCTGGTAACACACCTTTGCACAGGAAAAGGACTAAACAAATGACAGAGGACTTTGCAGCAAGAAACATTTTAAAGAGAACATGTTTCCATCTTAGTTATATTTTGAATTAACGATCCAAATATTTCATTTCTTACAGATGTTGGAATAGCATCTGCATTTCCCAGATGGGTTTCTGATGGCTGCAGCTGTGCCCCTTCATTTAGGTGGAGTTCTGAGAATCCTGAAATTTGGACGATACCAGTGGTGAAGGCATAAGGTTGTTGGGCTTTCTGTGTGCATAGTTCTTTGGATAATATGGGATCCTTCAGGGCCAGGTCTCAATTTTCCTGATAGAGGCTAATTTGAAGTCCCACAGTTGGAGATAATATAGAGCAAAATCTCTGAGTGATAGTTTTGGCTCATCCTTCTCTTTTGTGTGGATTTGCTTTGATATTGTATAGTTGCCTTTGATAATAAATAAGACACATAAAGATACTAAGGAGAGGGTTTCTTAACCTTCGTACCATGTTAGTCTATTTTATGCTGCTATAATGGAGTGCCACAGACTGGATAATTTATAAAGAAAAGAAATTGATGTCTCACAGTTTAGGAGGCTGGAAATCTAAGAGTGAGGGACTGCATCTTGTGAGGGCCTTCTTGCTGCATCATAACATGGCAGATGGCATCACAAGGTGAGACAGAGAGTACCAGTTTAGGTATCTCTTCCTCTTCTTATAAAGCCACTAATCCTATCATGAGAGCCTCACCCTTGTGATCTCATCTAACCCTGTTTACCTCTCAAAGGCCCCACCTCCCAATATCGTCAACATATGAATTTGGAGATAAAGTTACCAGTGCATGAAACTGGGGGACACATTTAAACAAAAGCATATTTTAGGTTGAATAATTCTTTCTCATAGGAGAAGGAGCTGTCCTGTATATTGTACGATGTTTAGCAGTATCCTTGGCCTCTGCTTTCTAGATATCAATAGGATTGCACCCTTGTCCCTTCTCCCATCAATTGTGACAACTAAAAATGTTTCCAGAGATTGTCAAATATTCCCTAGTGGCAAATTCATACCTAATTGAGAAGCACTGTTAAGAGAAAGTAATAGTAAAAGTACTCTCTTTGGCAAGTTAAAACAATTTTTTCCAAGTGACCAGTGATGCAGCTGATACAGCTAAGAGCTTTGGTGTGATACAAATGGAGTCGAGGAAAATTAATTGACCCATGCCCTCAGCCACATCAGCATGATGCTCTCACTGCCTAATCAATCAACTAAAGACAATGGGAAGCAATATATTTCTAGCTGTGTAGGATAGCCTCAGCTTTAATTGTTAGTTGGACCACTTCTGACTATTTCACTCCAGCTTGGGACTTCCTTAATTGGTATAATCATAGAGGCTACTAAATGTGCCTTGTTGCTGTTTTATTGTATAGTCTTGGACATTTAGAGCAGGAAAAAGAATCCAGAGTTCTCTATCTTTATATGGTTTTAGAGATTCTTTAGTAACTAGAAATGTTTAGGAACTTGCAGATAATGTTTATCAACAGCAGCCCATTAGTTGATTATGTCCCATTTGTAGGTCACAAAATCATTAGTGGGCTATAGTGACTCTTTTTCTAGAAATGAGATGATATAAAATGGAAAACATTGGATTGCATTACACAAAGTATGGGTAAATACTAAATTGAGAACTATGGTTTTAGTTATGTGCGTGTGGATGTGTTTGTGTGTTAGGATGTGATTTCTTATGAGTGATAGATAAATTTAGAAAATATCCCTCTATATAGATAAAGAAAGAAAAGCTCTGATTATTCATTATTAGCAAATCATTTGGTTTTGAACCACTGGGTGGAATAACCTTTGAATTGATTTCATCTATATTCAGCTGCTATTCTTTAGTATATTTCAAAGCAAAAATGATAAAATATTTGATGATTGCACATTATGAACAAGTCATGATGTAAAGATTATGAGAATGTAACACATGCCTTCAAAAATTAAGAAATGCAAATTTTAAATACTGGCTATGATGGCAATGAATATTTGCAAGGAATGGTTGACAAATGTGTGGAACACATATCTCTGCATAACATCAAAGATCTCTGAAGGCTGAGGTTACTAGTGAAAGCTGCATGAGGAAGGATGAGGCTATGCCTGGTCCCATAGCCAAAGAAGATGTGTGGGTCTGGGTGGGAAGAGGAGGGAGGTGGGCAGTCCAGGCTGGTGGTAAAATGTGGTGGGAGACAATAAGTGGATTATTTTGCTAAAGGATTTTTTTCTCGATAGTTTAGGGTAAGTTATAAAGACATATGGGGGCCAAATTTGAGGGGTCTCAAATGAAAGTCCAAGGGGTTTTGGATATATTCTTAATCCAGGTGAAATCACAGAAGGCTGTGGAGCAGGAAATTCCAAAGATAAGCCGGGTATTTTATTCATTCATTCACTGAACCGTGTGTTAAACACCTCTTGCATAACAGTGAAGGGGTGGATGAGGCCAAAAGGTGCATAAGATCTTCTTCTTTCTCAATTTTCTTGAAGTCCAGAAGGAGAACCCTACATACAAATAGCCTCAGGAGTAATACAAAAACAACAACAGAACAAAATGGCTACAAGTAATCTGGGGAGAAAGAGATTGATTTTGCTTGATACTTACGGCATTTTTATTTGTATATATGGGCAAGGACTTCATGAGCAAAGTCACAGAGATGGGAAAGAGGAGCTGGTAATTAATCCAGTTGGGCTGGGGCACATGCATGTGAAAGGGAATGTTTGAGGGTAAGACTGGTGAGGCTGGTTGGGACCCCAAGGAGGAGGGCCTTGAACACCATTAGGTATGTATCCTCCTTTTGGCAGGCAGGGGCACCTGCCAAGACTGTCAACCTGGAGACATGCCATCAGATGTCTGCTTTAACGTGAGCAGTCTGGAGGTCATGTGTGGAATGGATTAGAGCAGGAAAGACTGAATTACTTAGCATTGCACTAGGAAGTTTTATTTCACCTCATTCCTCATCATTCTGTGAAATCTAGGGTGAGCCAGGCTTTTTGTATTTATGGGATCGACAGGGCCAGGTGAGTGTCGGCAAGTGTCAGTGAGTTACCAAGGAGTAACAAACCACATTGCCCACTGCTAAGCATACTCTTCATTGAGTAAAAGTCAAATAAAAATAATAAAAGCGTTTTTTGTTCCAACTTATTTTTTGACCAATTTTTAAATTAGTTTAAACATTGAAAAAAACAATAAAATGACAATATTCAAACAGCTTTTAAAACACAACATCAAGTCTCCACTTTATTTCTAGGGCTCAGAGCCCTGGAAAACAGCTTGTACAGTACCAGATTTCTAGAGTCTTTGCATTTCCTTCTCTCTGTGGATCAATAAATTAAGTAACACGTCAATACCGAGATAGCAGATGAACATCTGTCAGGGAGAACTGGTCCTGGGGGCTTTATGCTGTGGTATGGAAAGTGTTTGATCTTGGTGTGCCGTCATAAAAGATGGGAGAGAGTTTATTATCTTTTATGATCCCGACTTACTAACAATACCTGACAGGGTGATTGTGCCTTAGCCTCTAGTTGGAGCTTGGGATGTTCGCTTTGGTTTGTCCCTGTATGAGGCACAAAACTTGCTGGTGAAACATCAAAACGAGCTATAATATGCCTCTGGCAATGGGATTCAGAACAGCTGCAGGGCTTTCTCCTGTAGGGGCTGGCAGGAAGAAGAAAAATGAAAGTAGAACAATCAATCTCTATAGCATTCTATATATTAATAATGTTTGCCAGCTCCAGACATTGTTTAATCAATACCGGATGCAGGAGTTTGCAATGTTTTGTAATAGTAGTTATGCCTTG
This sequence comes from Homo sapiens, assembly GCF_000001405.40. Classification (NCBI taxonomy): domain Eukaryota; kingdom Metazoa; phylum Chordata; class Mammalia; order Primates; family Hominidae; genus Homo; species Homo sapiens. Next base: position 85,118,754 of record NC_000006.12, on the reverse strand, counting down.
TGGAAACAGCCTGAACCCATGGTGTAGGGAAGTGGGGAGGGTTCAGAAATATCCACAGTGTTATGTCCTTTCGTATCTGGGCAGTAAAGGGTGCTGGGAACTGAATAAAATGACATAAAAAAGATTATGTCTCAAACTCAGAAAACTAATTCTTGAAATTTTGTTACAAGAACGGATTCCAAGAGAAGCTGTATACCCCACTGTTTCCCTTCCTCTTGACTGTCTCGGCCTCCTTTTCCCGGATGTCTTTAGTGAAATCTGAAGAGGGATTCTCTTCTGAGACCAGCAGAGGAGAGGCATGGTGCAACCACCAGGGGGAGCCCATCAGGCTGAGCCCACAGGATGCTGTGAGCCACTGAGGCCCTAAAGAGAAGCTTTAATTTCATGGAATTTGGGGGTAAGAGAGGATTGCATACACGGAGCCTCACTGAACTCAGATATTTGCAGAACAATAAAAGTTCAAACAAAAGTCATCTAATGCCATCGAAGAATGTTATTTGGTTTAAGCTTGGAGGGCAAAAGCATAGAGGATTTTCCTTTTGGGAAGGTTTAATTGATGGAAGGCAATCCTGAGCCTCCTAGATCTTCCTGCTAGCATGGAAAGGTAGAATGTAGCCTAGATGGGACTGCTGTGAGAGAGGCATCTCAGCTTTCACCAAAAAACTTCAGTTTAACAAAACAGGACGGATTTCTTTTGATGCAGTCAGCTGTCATTGGCCACCTTTTGCAGGCCCCTAGGTCTAGGAGTGTGCCCTAATGTACAATAACAGCAACAACAATGAAAATCAAAATCAAATTAACTCTTCAAACAAAAACCAAAAACCAAAACTCCAACACAAACTTCAGTCCTTTTATTTTCTACATCTTTCCCCTGCCCCCGCACCCCCGCCCCATTATGTTTTGACATCATTTAAACCCTGAGTCTGTGGGAAGTTTGCCATGCAAGACAAGGGTGTGCACACACGTGCATCTAACAAGCTGAGAACCAAAGCTGAGGTGGCAATTTGCTCATAAACCAGATAATTAAGGATGTACCAAATTACCTGTGGGGAACCCGGGATTTATCAGTGGTTTTTATTTACTGTTTAATAGTATAGCATGTTACATAAACCTTTAAGTAAAACAATTTGATTATAAAAATAGCCTTTTCAAAGTCACAGCACCTCCCCTACAGAGTTCTAAAATCAGTGGAAAATGGGCAGCATCAATAAACACGGTGACTTATGTCAATAAATGTTCTGCCCACCCGGGCATTTGTTAACCAAGACTTGTATAAGGGCAAGGTGTAAATATGAAAATGTATCTCAGTTCTCCTTCTTCCATCACTAGAATTGTAGAAGCGTAGATGTCTTTAAGCCACACTTGAAAACTTCTTTCCTTCAGTGAATCTAGTTCAAGAATAGTCTTTTCTACTCTTTTTTGTTTAAGTATTTTTGTGTTTTTTAAGGTTGATTTTTGCTAACGCGACTAGAACAGTGGTTCTGAAACTTGGCTGCATATTAAAACCATGTGGAGAGGTTTAAAAAGTACTGGTGTCTGGGTTCCAACACCAGAAATTTTGGTCTAATTGGCCTAGAATTAGAAAAATTCCCCAACTTTAATGTGCATAGGGATGACTTGGGATTTGTTGCAGAATCTAATCAATAGGGGTGCATGTTGGGGAGCAGGGGAGGTGGATGGATGAGATTCTACATTTTTGACAAGCTTCTGGGTTAAGCTGCTGCTGTTGCTGCTGCTGTCTGAGAGTACATTTTGAGTAGTGAGTGTCTGGAGGAAGCATTTTGGGTATGGATTTTTTTTCTGAAACAACCTTTATCTTATGAAGGCCAACATGGAAGGGAGAAAGAAGGTACGGTGGAAGGCCCTTTCCACCATTCACATCAGTCTTTCATGTGTGGAATTTCTGAATACATTGGCCTAGACCCTTTCACTACTTCCAGTGTAGGTAAATCCTATCAAAAGCTAAGATTTTCCTAAAACAACAAAAATCTGATCTCAAACGCACCATGCTGAGTGATGGTTTATGCTGGCTAGGGTGTTTCTAGGTATGGGTTGAGTCAGGGAAGGGAGAGAAAGCACATGTTCCAACCTTGATTGAGTACTTACTATGTGCCAAGTCCTACTCAAATTCTTTGCACTCACTCTGCTATTCAATCTGGGAAGGTGAGGTTATCACTCCCTTTTCACAAATGAGGAAACCAGAGCTAAATGCGAAAAGGTACTCGACCAAGATCATAGAATTAACTCTTGGAGGAATCACATCTGATTGTTGCCTATTTATGTTTTCAGAGTCCAAACAGTTCCCCTGCCCCCACCATATCGCCTGTCCCTCTCTGTAAGCCTGTCTTTTCCTGTTTGGATGACCTGGTTTTCTTATTCTTTATCAAAGACTATAAAGTTTCTTTTGCTGGGTCACAGCTACTCTGATTAGCCAATTTATGTTCACATATTAATGGGTTCGTGGGCTACTATCATTGTCTTGTGACATAATTATTAAGTGTTTTCTCTTTTATCTTCATTCTGAAATGATAAAGTTTTTCTGATTGAGTTTCACTGTTTGCCTTGCAGCTCTTAAGTGATGCCAAAGTAACCAGTCAGTTCATTAAGAAAAACAAATCTGTCAAGGGATGTGGAACAAGCAGCTGCTTGACTGACAATGTTATTTTCTTTCCCCTGGTTTGGTTGGCATACGATGGACCCAACCACAGAATCTTAAGTACTTATTTTTAAAAATTTACCACTGAAAGGCATCCAATCAGGGTGGCTTTCAACGTGCACACAGTAATGCCATTCATCACATCTGGCTCTGAGAAGGACACAGCACTGTGGGGTTTTAGAGACTGAAGTCTCACACAGGCCCTCCCACTCCTTAGCCTGACCCTACACCTCCCCAAGCTACATCCTTCTGGTCCCCAGAGCTCTCTTGGGAACAAGATGGAGACTTTTCTTTTTCTCTACTGAGACTTTCCAAAGCTTGGGGCACCTACTGTGCCGGGTATCTGTGTTAGGGAGAGGACCCTGGATCTGATAGACTCAGGAAACAGGTAGCAGGGCCTTCGGTTGCTTCTCTCCACCCAAAGCTGCCTCTCCCAACAGCTGCAACTGCTAAAACAATCTTGTTCTTTTGTTTTCCACACTTAAAGAAAGGCCTTCAGCCAAACTGTCGCCTCTGACCTTGTTTTATATTTCCAATGTGCATTTTATTAACTCCTTTTTCATATGGTACATGTGGAGCCTGCCACCAGATGAAAAGGAGGCACATTTCACAATTCTGATGGAAACAGCAGCTCCCTAGGAACAATTTTTGTAACAAATATATCTTTCGTGTCGATCCAAGTTTCATTTGGGTAAATGAGCTCAATGCATACGTGATAAAAATGCATTGAAGTTGTGCAAATCAATTAATTAAAAAAAGATACAAATAAACCTACCATTAACCATGCATTTGCAGCCTTCTTAGAAGTTATTTTGACCAGTAGATAATTGAAGAGCACTAAATGGATATATTCTGTTGTCATGGTCATGGTGGAACTTTAACTTTTATTCTTCAACTTGGCAATTGACTACGGCTGAATTAGGAAGAAACTGGAGTACTGTATAGCCTTAAAAAACTGAGCCAAATAAAAATTCATCTTGCATACACTTTCATTGATTTCTAACAGCCCTGTTCTTTATAGAACAACAGCCGGGAAAATCATTTCTGTCTATGGAGGAATGATATACTGCCATTAAAAAAAAAAAGTTAGCCACCCCCCGGCGCCCCCGCCCCCGCCCCCGCCCCACTTTCTTCCCCTAGGACTGTGTGCCTGTGTGCAGGGGTGTCTACCTAATTGGCCACAAGAGGGAATTAAACTAAATAAAATCACTATCCACGGGGGGCCTCTAAATATGCCTTTTTAATTTGAAAATTTTTGTGGGTTATAGTGTAATTCAAGCTTTTCAAGGTTTATTAGTGCATAGTTGTTCACAGGGCTCACAGAGCTCAAGACTCCAAGTCTGATACACTCTCCGCTGCTAACACAGAAAGCCAAAGTGCCTTTCATCTGCCGAACGCATAAAGTGACACAACTCCTTAAAAAAAACTCCCTCAAATAAAATGCATATTAATAAAAGTGACTGAAGGGAGTTGAAGTTGGTAATTTGTGCTGCTGACTTGACACGGTGTTCGTCATTGCCTGTCTGAGGAACTATGACAATTCATTACCTTTGCAGGGAACGCACCGTGCTGATGATAAAGACGTTGCTCTCAGATACGCGTAAATGCCCGTGACCTGACGCGTTTGCTGTGGTCCGCGTCAAAACACGCCGCTCTGTGTAATTAATTGCTGCGAGAGGAAGCGGACCAATGGCGCCTTCTGCTGTGAAACTGTTAATGGAGAACTTATGGAGAGAAAGTCAAGTCCTCCTATCCAAATTGGAATGTGAAAGAAATCTGTTGGAAGGTGATGACAGAAATGAAGTAAAACAGTTGTTTCCTGATCCGCGTGCCAGGTGTGTCACATACTGTGATAAATAAGATCTGCGTCTTACACTCCAGAAATTGGGGAATATTACAAGCGTTTATTATAGTAAGGTACAAAAAACGCACTTGAAATGCTTTGTTTCTCCTGGCACCAAACAGTGAGCAGTTATTGCACAATGCCTGGAGCTGCTAATTCCTTTGTTTAGGTTTAAGCCAACACGGCCTATTAAAAGCTTAAATTCAATTTTATTGTTAAGGTATTTATTAACTGATTATGAAAAGACATTAAAAGACTCATAATTAAACTACTAAGTTGTTCCTTACCTTGGTTAATTCTCTCCTTTTCTTACACAATAGAAAATATCCTTGTGTTTTGAGGTAACTGTTCACTCCCTTGACATTATTTGCTTCAGCTCTCACCTCTGCGCCAGCCAGAGCCTTAAATTAAAGATATCTGTGAAAGCCAGTAGGTTATGGTTACAAGCATTTCCCCATAGCTACGGTGTGTGCAGTGCTTATGTTTAACTTTAAGACCATTGCCATGTTTCACCCGAGGAGGGAATGTGAATGATTCGTGGCAACAATTTTTAAATTGCCTTACTGATGTTTTACTTGTTAAAAGTCTGTTGCCAAATGGTACATGTGTACGTGTGGGCACATACACAAGCCAGGGCTTCACCAGGGTACCCACCTCTGTCTTCTTCATGGAATGATCTTAGTCTTGCTAAAATGATAATTCCACTGAAATTACTTTTCTTTCTTATTTTTTTAAAGCCTCAAAGTATTTTAATGTACTGTATTTCATTTACCAATTGTTTTATCTAAAAACTGCAAAAGATATATGACATTTTCTTACTAAGAACAAAAGAAAAATTTTATGAAAAATTATTGGAAATCCTGACTATACATTATAATCTTTTTGACTATATAAAAATCTAAATTTATTTTATGTGTATATATATATATATATATATATATATATATATATATATATACAATATTTTGATAATGGAACTTATGCATTTAAACTGTTTACTAAGTTTGTCAATAGCAATGATTACTCCTTGAATAAACTTCATTGATTGCAATACCACCAGTAGTCAAAGCGGGATTTAAAACTTCAAAAAAAAAGGGGGAATTGCAGTAACTTTGAAAACACAAGATATTTAGTTACTGTTGAATTATATATTTTATTAAAATCTTCCATTTCAGAGCCATATCCCCCTGCTACTGTGCAGTCATTTAAAATTGGTTTGAAAGTTGAGGAAGCCTAATTCTTAAAGGGGCCCCCTTACGCATATTAAGGAAGTTAAACACAACACTTAAGTTAGAATTGCCGGCATTATGAGTCAAAAAATTATAAAATGCCAACTACAGCTGTTTCTCTTAAAGGTATCAACTATAATTTTTGTAGTTTATGCATATTATCACAAATTTATAGACAGTACTGAAATTTTGAAGGAGATCTCAACTTCTTTTAAAAAATTATATGTGTGGGGCGAGTTTGAGATAATTGAAAACTTGATATTTAACTTTTTAAAAGTGCTGAGTCACTGCTAACTTCCAAAATTTAAAATTAATGCTCACTAAAACTAATATCTTTACCCTGCACAGCAGACTCAGTTTAAAGTTATCAAGATGAGAATTTCCTGTTTGCCATTTAAAGTTGTCTTATTTCATGAAAACATTACTTGAGAAACAAGTAACTATAAGCTTTTCTTTTTAAGTTGTTTCTCATAATCAATAATATTTTAAAACATAATTAATATTTTAGATGATATTCTTTGTGCAGCATTTGTTCAGAAAAGGTTAAAATTATTTTATCTAAATTATTTTTGTTTTAATCAATCATTTTCCTTTCGTTCATTAAAGAACCTATAAAAGTGGGATTTTGTAGTTACTTGCATCTTGAAAATGTAACATTAGCCTGTTTATTTCTCAGTCTTTCAGTAGGGAAGATTTCATTCGTTCATTCAGTCGCTGCTTCCACAGTATTGGTTATTTATAATGGGTACTTCCAAATCCTGCAGACTTACAATAGTGAAAACACAGTTCTTGTCCTTGAAAATCTTGGCTGAACCGAGATTTGGATATAAAAAAAGGACTTGGGAGAAAATATGGCCCAATTACCTATTTTATTTCTGCAAACTTAGAGAGGGAATCCAGAAGAAAATAATCTATAAATAATTCAGACTTGGCTGTGGATAAAACCATCTACCAAACTTTTTAGTTTCTCATTCCACTAATTGGTCTCTGGGCCTCCCTTTTGTGCTTTTGTCTACCGTCCTTTCTCCAACTCTCACACCACATGAATCACGTTCAATGCATCCACAGCCCGCAACCCTTCTATAATTGTTCCTGAAGTCCAACCAGTGTCAAACCACAGCCTCTCTGCGTCTAGATGGTTTGCTTTGGCCAGAAGAAAACATAATTCCCACAAAGAGATGTATCTATTTCTGTGACCTCCCCTACTGAGTCTGTGTTGTGTTCCATGCTTAAAGAAGGCTTTTGGACAAAATAGGCAGCTGAAGAACAGCTCCCACATCCCTTCAGAAAGGCCCCCCCATCCCCGGCCCTGGGGGTTTAATGGGAAGAATGATGCAACCTAGAGGAGCTGTCTTTTTACAAGAGCACCTCCCCCTCACTGCCCCAAGCCAACAGTATTTGCCAGGCAAATATTATCCAGTGCCGGGCCTCAGCCAGCCTACCTCCCACTGCCTGAATCAAGGCCTGTTGGCAGCTACAAAAGTGAGGTGTCGCTGACTGATGCATAATTATGGTGGACAGAAAAATGTAGACGTGTTAGCAAAGTCAATATTATGGAGACCCCTGTCTTCCCAAATATTGTAAGTAAAAGATATTTCTAGGGTATAGCCAATTACATTCTCTATTTTTACGACCAGTCACAAATGTATTTTTTATTAGCTGGTGTGTTCAATGTTTTGAATGCATAGCCCTTATTTCAATCTCATTTTAGTTTGTAGTAAGTGCAAAAAGATTTTTGCTGACTTGAAATAGTGAAGCTGCTCTCTTTTAACTGAACTTCAGGGCCTGTCACCCTGAGAGTTTATTCCACAGCCTTCTGCGACTCTTGCCTGTAAATTAGTCTGTGAAGTGGTGTTTATTGCTGAATGGGGAGGTTAAGACAGCCTAATTATATGTTTGTGCAGGAGAAAACACCATGCCCCACCGTGAGCAATTATATTGTCCCCTTTTTATAGTTTAATCTAGCTTCAGCTAAGAAGAATGAGGAGATACCCTGTCTTCACCAGCAACTTAGCTACCACACATTTTCAGTGTTAATTAGAAATTTTGTTCAATGAAAGAGTGACTTCTTAGCATAACTCAGCCTTCAGCCAATCAGAGGGCATCTGGTAAGGCAACTTGAGGTGTCTTTGTAGATTAGATCTCTAATTCCACCCACGAGGCAACACATGGGTGGGACTCTTGCCACACTCTCAAGTTTGTTTCATGGTGCAATTTTCCTTTTTTATACATTTAAAGCAGTGAATGTTCTATATGGCAGGAGAGAGACTATTAGGATACTGGGGCTCTGTGTAGATTTTTTTTTTTTGGAAATAAAAATCTTGCTTTTCCTAAGGGATTTTTTCTTATGTTAAGAAGGATGTAGTGAATAAAAACCAGAACAAGATCAACAGGTCAATGTCTTTAAAGTTGGTCATAAAATGTATCACAACAAAGAGCCTGTAGGATAGGAATTGCATGCTGAAATACCTCTGTCTTTGTTCTTGGACACTTCTCTGTCACAAGGGCAGAATACTTCTGTTTCTTTTCAAAAGCATTTGGCTCATATTTTTCATACACAGGCACATGCTGAAGTCTTACGATGCATAGGTTCAATTTCCTCTTAGGAAAATAAAAGATGCCCTTCATGTCTTCTCGCACTCAACTAGAAATGCTCATTGTCATTGAAACGAGCTGAGGGAAGAACCAGTTCTCTAGGAAACAGCATCTCAGTCTGGTCCAATCTGCCTGATGTGATGGGTTGCCTCTAGGGAAATAGACTTCTCGTTATTAGCAAATTTCCAAGCTATCACTCAGTTTCCCTTCTCCTTATCTCATTTCTATGAGTTTTGTTTCTAGAATGATATAATATCTCTCTTCCCAACCCCTTCGAGCTCTCAACTTTCTTTGCCTCTTAAGACTTAAGCAAGATCTCCTTTCCCCATTGGCTAGCTCTTCTGGGCTTTTTATTAGCTTAATTTAGTTTCTACCTTTCTTTTGTAAGGCAAGTTATTCAAACACTGTGCTTGAGATACAGACATAAAAATCTGGGAGCAGTATGGAAAGGCAATTTAATTCTTTCCCACTTATTTTAAAAACTAAAACCTTCCCACCATGTTGTAGAACAGCTAAACACTTTAGGGAAATCTTTAATAAGTATATTCCGTGTTTCTCTTCTTCTCTGCTTATCAAAAGAAAGTGATTTGGGTGGATGGAAGCTGGCAGAGCTGTTTGTAGTTTCTTCATTATTTTAAGCTTCTTTAAAAAAAATTATCAAAAGACTATATACTTATCCCAGTGAAATCATATGAGGCTCCCCAAACACTCTCCTCCTATTCTATGAAATGCCATTGTCTTTTTTTTTTTTTTTTGCTGGAAGCACTAATCTTTTGGCTGGCCTATCAGATTGTAAGCTCATTTATTCAGCAATTATGTGTTGAACACCTTCTGTGTGCCAGGCTTTATTCACATAAATGACATGTGCCATGCTGCTGGTTTCTTAGGCTTCTTCCTCCTCTGCTAGAGCACATTACTGTTTTTTGACATATTAATTTTTTTCAATTACCAATTTCAAATTTCTTTGAAGCAAATAGTTTTAATCTCATGAAGTGGTATTCTATTTTAACCTATCACTTCCAGAGTGAGAAAGTGAAGGGGTGACTTTACATTGACTTCCCAAGGGGTGTGTTGATATTATTAAGGAATCTGATAAATGGTGATCTGCTGGGTGCTGGGGTGGAGGGGCAGCTCTGTGACAATACTCTACACAGAGGTCTATGTAACACTTTAAGCCATGACTGCCTTTAACATACATTCTGCTTTAATTTAGCTTTCCCTTTATTTCAGGGAGCCACAGGAAGATGACAGGAGAAACATTTTTAATGATAATCTATTTTCTGATCAATAAATTTGAAAGGAGCCCTTTTGAGTGTTAGAACTCAAAATTTAGTCTGGCTGAAGAAAATACAGGTTTAATCTCACACTATATCTTCTCTGTGAAGGGCAGAGAGTTAAAATCCCTAAACTCAAGGTCACACAGCTGGTTAGTGGCAGACTGGGGCTAGATCTCAGGGTTTCTGAGTTTCACTTCAGCACTCAAGCTACGCATCCTACTAGGTGACCTTGCATGTAGCCCAAGGCACCATCTACCATATTACTTATCATCTTCTGGTTTTGACTTTGCCCAACAGTCAATTCCCTTTAGAGAGTTTTTATCAGGATTGTCAAAACATTCTTCCTCAAGTCTATCTGAAAACCTAGAAATAAACCTCGAAATAAAATTTCATAGCTTGTTGTATTAAATTCTTGCTTGACTTCCACAGCCTCATTTCTGCTTTAAATTACAGCTGTGCCAGCTTCATTGGGGTTGTTGAGTCTGAATTAAAAGCTAGCAGACTCTGTCTTATGTAAAAATGTGCAGCTACTACCCTTGCATTTGAATTGAGGAGAGAGAGAATGAGTGTATTTCTGCTAAAGCGGTCTATAAAACAAGAAGGCAGCAGCTACAGGCCTTAAGAATTCCCAGGAAATAAGCCCTGGAAGAGGAGGCTGCTTCCCCGAATGCTGGCCTGGTGACTGGAGGAAGACTTAAAGTCTGGCTTTAGGAGGAGGTTAAGGAGGAAATGAGAGAACCCATCACAAGGACCTGGGCATTGCGGTGGAGAGACTCAAGTTCAAATACAGGTTGTGTTCCATATTACCCATGTGGTCTGGAGGCAATTTTCTAGCCTTTCTGAAAAGGCTAATACATGGCCAACATGTTTTAACAAATGAAATAAAATAGCAAATGCAAGGGCAGTTTCAGTTTGTGTGTGTGTGTGTGTGTGTGTGTGTGTGTGTGTGTGTGTGTGCCTGTGCATGTGACCGTACCTACCCACATACATGTATCTATAGCCACGTATGCACTGGATTGCTGTAGTATTGCATGCTATTTCCTACTGTGGCTTATGGTCAAAAAAGAGTGAAAGCCTCTGGCCAGGCAACTACTATACCCCTGGATGTTTCTGGATCGAGACTCCTCACCCCTCTGGGCTGTGCTAACAGCTTGGGTAATCTTCCTCTCAAAAGTAGCTAAGTTGGCAAGACCATCTTGCCTTTCCCAAATCTGAATTACTCTTCACAGCCAAAGCCAAATGGGAGTCTGGCTTATATGAGACATATGGAGAAAGTGCTGATTTGGGCTGGAGAGCAACATATGAGCTCATCTACAAATCATGAGGTTGTGTCTGACAGCATTCCACATTAAAATTGGGAGTGGTTTTTCTGTTGGTGACATGAGCCAAATGTGAGGTAAACTGAGGTACAGTAGGAATCAGCTGCAGCTAGAGGAGCTATATATATATATACATATATGTATTTGGCACATGGTAAGTGTATTGCTGATAGATTCTTGCAGGAAATAGACTTTAAAAATACCAACACCAACAATAACTGGATTTTGTATTTGCAGGTGCAGCCTGTAAATTCAGAATGTGTTCTCTTCACGCTGCAGACATAACCTTCATTGAAACAAAAATGCTACTCCTGAGTGTGGAGTAAATCTAAGGTCTAATGACGGCAACTGCCAGCTAGCTGAGCCCTTAGTGACAGAATTTCTACATCAAACTTAACTTCATACTCAAAATTTCAGGGCAAATTTTGTCAATGACACCTTCTATGTCTCAACATAAGTGGTAGGCAAGACTTTCCAATAATAACATCTCCTGCAAAAATATGGAAAGTAGGCCCTAGTCCCACTAGAACTTAAAAAGCCTCAAGAGATCTTATATTATTCTGCTGTAATGAAGGCACATAATGGCTTCTCCTAGGTCGCCTTCATACCCATTATCTCCCTTCTCTACAAATTAGGTACATTATTGGGTTCTTGTTCATGCCTGGTGACTTGATCAGGTCTTCAGGAAGCAACATAATGTAAAGGTTAGGCAATTAGACCTTGGCATTAGAGTGCATGAATTATATCACTTGCTAAACATGTGGCTATAACAAGTTACCTTCCCCAAGCTTCCGCTTCCTCACTTACACAATACAAATGATAATAGTATTATGTAATGGGTTTTTAGAGGATTAAATAAAACCACATAGAAAGTGCTTATTATAAGGTTGTTAGTATTTTCCTCTTATGCTAAGTTTGGATAATGGAAATGTAAAATTATACATAATAATTATTTTTATAATTTACTTTTTTACTATTTTGATATAAAGAGAAACAACAAAAAGCTTAAAAGTGGGAAGATGAAGTTAAGATGTACAGTTTTTATAGTTTTCATTTTTCTTATTTGTTTATGCAGTCCACATTAAATTTTCATCCACTGAAAATAATGGGTTATAAGAGAGTGTTTGAAAGCTTTATGGCAAACTCAAATAAAAAACCATGCAATGAATATACAAAATATCAAAAAGCAAGAAATTAAATAATACCACCAGAGAAAATCATCTTTACTAAAAAGAAGACAGGAAGGAAGGAAACTAGGAAGAGAAGATGGTAAAACAACCAGAAAACAAATAACAAAATGACATGAGTAAGTCCTTACTTATCAAAATAACATTGAATGTAAATGGACTACTCTCCAGTCAAAAGATAGAGTGGTGGGATGGATACAAAAACAAAATCCACCTATCTGTTGCCTACAAGAAACACTCTTCACCTATAGAGATACACATAGACTGAAAATAAAGGGATGGAAAAAGATATTCCATGCCAATAAAAACAAAAAAAAAGCAAGAGTAGCTATAATTATATCAGATAAAATATACTTGAAGACAAAAATTGTAAGAAATGACAAACAAGGTCATTATATAATGACAAAAGGGCCAATTCAGCAAGAGGATATAACAATTGTAAATTTGCATGCACCCAAGACTGGAGCAACCCAGTCATATACAGCAAATATTATTAGAACTGAAGAGAAAGATAGACCTCAAAATGATAATAGCTGGAGACTTCAATAACCCACTTTCAGCATTAAACTATCTTCCAGACAGAAAATCAACAAAGAAACATCAGAATTAATCTACACTTTACAACAAAAGGACTTAATAGGTATTTAAAGAACATTTCATTCAATGACTGTAGAGTACATACCCTTCTCCTCAGCACATGGATTATTCTCAATGATACACCATATGTTATGTAACAAAACAAATCTCAAAACATTTTTAAACTGAAATAATATCAAGCATCTTCTCTGACCACAATGGAATAAAATGAGAAATCAATACCAAGAGGAATTTTGGAAACTATATAAATACATGGAAATTAGACAATATGCTCCTCAATGACATGTGTCAATAAAGAAATCAAGAAGTAAATTGAAAATATCCTTGAAACAAGTGATAATGGAAACACAACATACCAAAACCTACGGGATGCAGTGTAACTAATACTACGAGGAAAATTTATAGCTATAAGTGCCTACGTTAAAGAAGAAAAAAAACTTGAAGTAAACACCTAGCAATGCATCTTAAAGAACTAGAAAAGCAAGAGCAAACCGAACCCATAATTAGTGGAATAAAAGAAATAATAAAGATCAAAGCAGAAATAAATGAATTTAAAATAAAAATGTGAAATATCAATGAAATAAAAAGATAAGCAAAATTGACAAACCGTTAGCCATACTAAGGAAAAAGGAGAGAAAACCCAAATAAATAAAATAAGAGATGCAAAAGGAGACATTACAACTGATATTGCAAAAATTAAAAGGATTATTAGTAGCTACTATGAGCAACTTTATGACAATAAATTGAAAAATCTACAGGAAATGGATAAATTCACCTACAAATATTGAATCACAAAGAAATCCAAAACCTGAACAAACCAATAACACATAATTATACTGAAGCTGTGATAAAAAGTCTCCCAGCAAAAAAAAAGCCCATGACCTGATGGCTTCACTGTTGAATTCTACCAAACATTTAAAGAACAGTTAATACCAGTCCTACTCAAACTGTTCCGAAAAAATAGAGGAGGAGGGAATACTTCCAAACTCATTCTATGAGGCCAGTATTACCCTGATACTAAAACCAAACAAAAATGCATCAAAAAAAGAAAATTATAAGACAATATCTCTGATGAATATTGGTGCAAAAATCTTCAACAAAATACGAGCAAACCAAATTAAATAACACATTAAAAAGATCCTTCATCACGACTGAGATTTATTCCAGGGATGCAAAGATGTTTCATCATATGCAAATAAATCAGTGATACATTATGTCAACAGAATGAAGGATAAAAATCATACGAAAATTTCAATTGATGCTGAAAAAGCATTTGATGAAATTTAATGTCCTTCAGGATAAAATTCCCTCAAAAAACAGGAGATTGAAGGAATATACCCCAAGATATTAAAAGTCCTATGTGACAGACCCAGAGCCAGTATCATACTGAATGGGGACAAACCAAAAGCCTTTCCTCTAAGGCTGAGAACATGACATAAATATCCACTTTCACCACTGTTATTCAACATAGTACTCAAAGACCTAGCTAGAGCAATCAGACAAGAGACAGAAATAAATGGCATTCAAATTGGAATGAAAGAAGTCAAATTATCATTGTTTGCAGATGATATGATCTTATAATTGGAAAAACTTAAAGATTCCACAAGAAAACTACTAGAACTGATAAATTCAGGAAAGTTTCAAGATACAAAATCAACATAAAAAATCAGTAGCACTTTTATGTGCCAAAAGTGAGCAAGCCGAAAAAGAATTAAAAAAAAAAGGAATTTTATTTAGAATAGCCAGAAATAAATATCTAGGAATTAATGTAACCAAAATGAATAATCGTTATAATGAAACTATAAACCACTGATAAAAGAAATTGAGGAAGACACAACAAAATGGAGAGTCCATGTTCATGAATTGAAAGAATTAATGTTGTTAATATGCCTATACTACTCACAGAAACCTACAGGTTCAGTACAATTCCTCTCAAAATGCCAATGACTTTCTTCACAGAAATAGAAAAATCAATCCTAAAACTTATGTGGAACCACAAAAAGCCCGGAAGAGCCAAAGCCATCCTTAGCAAAAAGTACAAAATTGGAGGAGTCACATTACTTCAAATTATACTATGGAGCTATGCTAGCTAAAATAGAATGTTACTGGCATAAAAACAGACACAGAGACCAATGGAACAGAATAGAGAACCCAGAAACAAATTCACAATCGTACAATGATCTCACTTTCCCTTTCTTTCTTTTTTCTTTCCCTTTCTTTCTTTCTTCCTTTCTTTGTGTCTTTCTTTCTTCTTTCTTTCTTTCTTTCTTTCTCTTTCTTTCTCTTTCTTTCTTCTTTCTTTTTTCTTCCTTCCTTCCTTTCTTTCTTTTTTCTTTCTTTCTTTTTTCTCTTTCTTTCTCTCTCCCTTTCTTTCTTTCTTTCTTTCTTTCTTTCTTTCTTTCTTTCTTTCTTTCTTTCTTTCTTTCTTTCTTTCTTTCTCTTTCTCTCTCCCTCCCTCCCTCCCTCCCTCCCTTCCTTCCTTCCTTTTTTCTTTTTCCTTTCTCTTCTTTTTTTTCTGAGTTGTAGTTTCACTCTTGTTGCCCAGGCTGGAGTACAATGGTGCTATCTCAGCTCACCGCAACCTCCGCCTCTGGGCTCAAGTGATTCTCCTGCCTCAGCTTCCTGAGTAGCTGAGATTACAGGCATGCACCACCATACCCGGCTAATTTTGTATTTTTAGTAAAGACGGGGTTTCTCCATGTTAGTCAGGCTGGTCTCGAACCCCTGACCTCAGGTGACCCGCTCGCCTTGGCTTCTTTCTTTTCTTTTTTTTTTTTTTGAGAATTGACAAGATGAATGCCTTATTTTTAAGAAATCATAATTTTATGACAAAAGGCATTTGTTATCTGTACTTTGAAATGGACTAATGTGATCTCTTCATTAGTACTAATAGGAATATTATTTTGAGAAAGATACTTTTTAAAATTTCAATAGATTTTTGTGGAACAGGTGGTATTTGGTTCCGTGAATAAGTTATTTAGTGGTGACTTCTGAGATTTTGGTTCACCTATCTCCCTAGCAGTGCATACTGTACCCAATATGTAGTCTTTTATCCCTCACTCCCTCTCACTCTTTCCCCCAAATTCCCAAAGTCCATTGCATGATTCTTATGCCTTTGCATCCTCATAACTTAGCTCCCACTTATGAGTGAGAATAGACGATGTTTGGTTTTGCATTCCTGAGTTACTTCACTTAGAATAATGGTCTCC
Organism: Homo sapiens; assembly: GCF_000001405.40. NCBI lineage: Eukaryota > Metazoa > Chordata > Mammalia > Primates > Hominidae > Homo > Homo sapiens. The sequence continues at coordinate 85,102,842 of NC_000006.12, read as the reverse complement.
AATTCCATGCAGGTTGCAGCAAATGCCATTTTTTCTTCCTTTTTATGGCTGAGTAATATTTAATGGTATATATCATATTTTCTTTATCCACTCATTGATTGATGCGCATTTGGGCTGATTCCATATTTTTGGAATTGCAAATTGTGCTGCTATAAACATGGGTGTGCAAGTATCTTTTTTGTATAGTGACTTCTTTTGCTCTGAGTAGATACCCATTAGTGGGATTGCTGGATCAAATGGTAGGTCTACTTTTAGTTTTTTAAGGAACTGCCACACTGTTTTCCATAGTAATTGTACTAGTTTACATTCAATGTAACAGCAGTGTAAAAGTGTTCCCTGTTTACCACATCCATGCCAACACCTATTATGTTTTGATTATGGGCATTCTGGCAGGAGCAAGGTGGTATCTCACTGTGGTTTTGATTTACATTTCCCTGATAATTAGTGATGCTGAACATTTTTTCATATGTGCGTTAGCCATTTGTATATCTTCTTTTGAGAATTGTCTATTCATGTTATTAGCCCACTTTTTGATGAGATTCTTTTTTTTTTTCCTGCTGATTTGTTTGAGCTCCTTGTAGATTCTGAATATTAGTCTTTTCTTGGATGCACAGTTTGCAAAGATTATCTTCTACTCTTCGGGCTGTCTGTTTAATCTGCTGATTATTTCTTTTGCTGTGCAGAAGCCCTTTAGTTTAATTAAGTCTCATCTATTTATCTTTGTTTTTGTTGCATTTGCTTTTGGATTCTTGGTCATGAAGTCTTTGCCTAAGCCAATGTCTAGAAGAGTTTTTCCAATGTTATTTTCTAGAATTTTTATGGTTTCATCTCTTAGATTTAAGTCCTTGATCCATCTTGAGTTGAATTTGGTATAAGGTGAAAGATGAGGATCCAGTTTCATTCTCCTACATGTGGCTTGTCGATTATCTCAGCACCATTTGTTGAATAGGGTGTCCCTTCTCTACTTTATATTTTTGTTTGCTTGTCGAAGATTAGTTGGCTGTAAGTATTAGGGTTTATTTCTGGGTTCTTTATTTTGTTCCATAGATCTATGTGCCTGTTTTTATGCCAGTACCATGCTGTTTTGATGACTATGGCTTTATAGTATGGTTTGAATTTGAGTAATGTGATACCTCTAGATTTATTCTTTTTGCTTAATGTTGCTTTTGCTACATGGGCTCTTTTTTGGCTCCATATGTATTTTAGGATTGTTTTTTCTAGTTCTGTGAAGAATGATGGTGGTATGTTAATTGGAATTGCATTGAACTTGTAGATTGCTTTTGACAGTATGGTCATTTTCACAATATTGATTCTACCCATCCATGAGCATGGGATGTGTTTTTATTTGTTTGTTGGTATATGATTTCTTTCAGCATTGTTTTGTAATTTTCCTTGTAGAGTTCTTTCACTTCCTTGGTTAGGAATATTCCTAGGTATTTTATTTTATTTTGCAGCTATTGTAAAAGGGGTTGAGTTCTTGATTTGATTCTCAGCTTGGTCACGCTTGGTGTATAGCAAAGCTACTGATTTGTATACATGAATTTTGTATCCTGAAACTTTGCTGAATTCATTGATCAGTTCTAGGGGCTTTTTGGATGAATCTTGAGGGTTTTCTAGGTATACAATTATATCATCATCAAACAGCAACAGTTTGACTTCCTGTTTACCAATGTAGATGCCCTTTATTTTTTTCTCTTGTCTGATTGCTCTGGCTAGGACTTCTAGTACTGTATTGAGTAGGAGTGGTGAAAGTGGGCATCCTTGTACTGTTCCAGTTCTCAGGGGGAATGCTTTCTACTTTGTCCCTTTCAGTATAATGTTGGCTGTGTGTTTGTCATAGATAGCTTTTATTACCTTAAGATATGTCCCTTCTATGCCAATTTTACTGAGGGTTTTAATCATAAAGAGATACTGGATTTTGTCAAATGCTTTTTCTGCATCCATTGACATGATCATGTGATTTTTGTTTTTAATTCTATTGACTTGCCTATATTAAACCATCTTGCATCCCTAGTATGAAACACATTTGATAATGGGGGATTATCTATTTGATATGCTGTTGGATTTGGTTTGCTATTATTTTGTTGAGGATTTTTGCATCTATGTTCATCAGGGATATTGGTCTGTAATTTTTTTGTTTTGGTTATGTCCTTTCCTGGTTTTCGTATCAGGGTAATACTGGCTTCATAGAATGATTTAGGGATGATCTCCTTTTTCTCTACTTCATTAATAGTGTCAATAGCATTTGTACAAATTCTTTGAATGTCTTCTGGAATTCAGCTGTGATTCTGTCTGGTCCTGGGTCTTTTTTTATTGGCATTATTTTTATTACCATTTCAATCTTACTGGGTGTTATTGGTCTGTTCAGGGTTTCTGTTTCTTCCTGGTTTAATCTAGAAGAGTAGTATCTTTCTTTCTTTCTTTCTTTCTTTTTTTTGAGATGGAGTCTCGCTCTGTCACCCAGGCTGGAGTGCAGTGGCACAATCTCAGCTCACTGCAAGCTCTGCCTCCTGGGTTCACGCCATTCTCCTGGTAGTATCTTTCTAGAAATTTAGCCATCTCCTCTAGGTTTTCTAGTTTATGTATGTAAAGGTGTTCATAGTAGCCTCAAATGATTTTTTTGTATTTCTTTGGTATCAGTTGTAATGTCTCCCATTTCATTTCTAATTGAGCTCATTTGGATCTCTCTTCTTTTCTTGGTTAATCTTGCTAATGGTCTACCAATTTTATTTTTTCAATAACTAGATTTTGTTTTATCTTTTGTATTTTTTTAAATTTTAATTTCATTTAGTTCTTCTCTGATCTTTGTTATTTCTTTTGTTCTGCTGGGTTTGGGTTTGGTTTGTTCTTGTTTCTCTAGTTCCTTGTTGTGTGACCTTAGATTGTCTGTTTGCACTCTTCCAGACTCTTTGATGTAGGCATTTAAGGCTATGAACTTTCCTCTTAGCACTTCCTTTGCTGTATCCCAGAGGTTTTGATTGGTTGTGCCACTATTAATATTCAATTTAAAAATTTTTTTATTTCCATGTTGATTTTATTGTTGATGCAATGATCATTCAGAAGCAGGTTATTTAACTTCCATGTATTTTCATGGTTTTGAGGGTTCCTTTAGGAGTTGATTTCCAATTTTATTCCACTGTGGTCTCAGAGAGTCCTTGATATAATTTCAATTTTCTTAAATTTATTGAGACTTCTTTTGTGGCCTATCATATGGTCTATCTTGGAGAATATTCCATGTGCTGATAAATAGAATGTATATTTTGCAAGTGTTGAGTAGAATGTTCTGTAAATATCTGTGAAGTCCATTTGTTCTAAGGTATAGTTTAAATCCATTTTTTCTTTGCTGACCTCCTGTCTTGATGACCTACCTGTCTAGTGCTGTCAATGGATTATTGAAGTTTCCCCCTATTATTGTGCTGCTGTCTATCTCAGTTCTTAGGTCTAGTGGTAATTGTTTTATAAATTTGGGAGCACCAATGTTAGGTGCATATTTATTTAGGATTGTGACATTTTCCTGTTGGACAAGTCGTTTTATCATTATATAATGTCTCTTCTTGTCTTTTTTAACTGCTGTTGCCTTAAAGTTTGTTTTGTCTGATATAAGAATAGCTGCTCCTGCTCAGTTTTGATGTCCATTTGCATGGAATATTGTTTTCCACCCCTTTACCTTAAGTTAATGTGAGTCTTCTTGAGTTAGATGAGTCTCTTGAAGACAGCAGATACTTGGTTAGTGAATTATTATCCATTCTGCCGTTCTGTGTATTTTAAGAGGAACATTTAGGCCCTTAACATTCAATGTTAGTATTGAGATGTGAGGTACTGTTTTATTTATTGTGCTATTTGTTGCTGAAACACCTTTTTTTTTTTGCAATGTGTTATTGTTTTATAGGTCCTGTTAGATTTATGCTTTAAGGAGGTTCTATTGGTGTATTTTGAGGATTTATTTGAAGATTTACAGCTCGTTTTAGCAGTTCTTGTACTTCTGGCTTGGTAGTAGCAAATACTCTGAACATTTGTTTGTCTGTAAAAGACTGTGTCTTTTCTTCATCTATGAAACTTAGTTTCACTGGATACAAAATTCTTTGCTGATAATTGCTTTATTTAATGAGGCTGAAGATAGAACTCCAATCCCTTCTAGCTCATAGGGTTTCCGCTCAGAAATCTGCTGTTAATCTGATAGGTTTTCCTTTATAGGTTACTTGATGCTTTTGCCTCACAGTTCTTAAGATTCTTTCCTTCATCTTGACTTTAGACAACCTGATGACTATGTGCTGAGGCAATGATCTTTTTTTGTGATGAATTTCCCAGGTGTTCTTAGAGCTTCTTGTATTTGGATGTTTATATTTCTTGCAAGGGCAGGGCAGTTTTCCTTGATTATTCCCTCAAATACATTTTGTAAATTTTTAGATTTCTCTTCTTCATTAAGAACACCAATTATTGTTAGGTTTGGTCATTTAATATAATCCCAAACTTCTTGGATTCTTTGTTCATTTTCTTTTTATTCTTTTCTCTTTGTCTTTGTTGGATTGGGTTAATTCAAAAGCCTTGTCTTCAAGCTCTGAAGTTCTTTCTTCTACTTGTTTTATTCTATTGTGAGAATTCCCAGATTGTTTGCATTTCTCTAAGTGTGTCCTTTATTTCCAGAACTTGTGATTGGTTTTTAATTATGTTATCTGTTTCTCGGGAGATTCTTCCATTCATATTCTATAAATTTAAAAAATTTCTTTAAGTTGGTTTTCAGTTTTCTCTGGTGCCTCCTTTAGTAGCTTAATATTTGATTTTCTGAATTCTTTTTCTGACAATTCAGTGATTTTGTCTTGGTTTGGATCCATTGCTGGTGTGCTAGTATGATCTTTTGGGGGTGTTAAATTGCCCTATTTTGTTACATTACTAGAATTGTTTTCCTGGTTCCTTTTCATTTAGGTAGACTATGTCACAGGGAAGATCTGGGGCTCAATGGCTGCTGTTCAGATTCTTTTTTCCCATGGTATACTCCCTTGATGTGGGGCTCTCCCCCTTCCCCTAGGGATGTGGGTTCTTGAGGGCTGAACTGCAGTGATTGTTATTTCTCATTGGGATCTAGACAACCAGCAGAGCTACCAGGCTCTAGGCTGGTACTGAGGATCATCTGCAAGAAGTCCTGTGATGTGATCTGTCCTCAGGTCTCTCAGTTGTGGATACCAGCATCTGCTTTGTGGAGGTAGCAGGGGAGTAAAGTGGATTCCTTGGTTGTATTTTCATTTAATGTGCTATTTTTGTGTTGGTTGGTCTCCAGCCAGGTGGTGGCACTTTCAAGAGAGCATCAGCTGTGGCAGTAAAGGGAGGATATAAGCTTGCCCTAGGGTTGCCTGGAAAAGTATTCCAGTTTCTCAGACAATGCACAGGACCATAGATCTCCCAAGAGATTATGTCCTTTGTCTTTGGCTACTAGGGCAGGTAGAGAAAGACCATCAGGTGACTGCAGGTTTAGGTGTGTCTGAGTTCAGACTGTCCTTGGGCGGGGCTTGTATGGCTGCTGTGGGAGATGGGGATGTGGCTTTCAGGCAAATGGAGTTATGTTCCCAGGGGGATTATGGTGGCCTCTGCTGCATCCTGTAGGTTGCCAGGGAAGTGGGGGAAATCCAGCAGTTACAGGTCTCATCCAGCTCCCACGCAGCCCAAATGACTCGTCTCCTACCATGCCCCGCTAAATAGCATTGAGTTTATTTCCAGGCAGCCAGTGGTCAGGGCTGACAACTTGCCCCAGGCTACCAGCCGTCTTGCTGAGAAAGCAAGCAGGGCTTTCAGGTTTCATGCCTCCTTGCCTACTGAAGCTTCTGTGCTCCTATCTACACTCCCAGTTTGCCCTATCCCCTGGGTTCTGTTCAGGAAACTTTGTGTTCAGTTGAAATTATTACAAAGTTCAGCTGGTAGTTTTCTTCTTCCTGTGGTCTTTCCCCAATTTCACTGGCAGTCCCCCTCCCCCAAGAATACCTGTGAGACAAACTCAAAAATGGCTTCCCTGGAAACCAAGAGTGCCCACAGGAATCTTTCTGCTGCTTCCTGTACCACTGTGTTTCACTCAGCTCTCTAAATTTATCTCAGCCAGGTAAGGTCAAATCCTTCTTCTGTGATCTGGACCTTTGGGTTCCCCAGTGAGGATATGTGTTTGGGGGCATATGATCCTTCTTTCACACATTTATACTTTGGGTACTCACAGTTTTTCAGCTGTCTCATGGAGCTTGCAGTGGAAAGCCACTTCCTTCAAAGGGTCTGTGGATTATCTCAGCTTTCCTGGTATGTTTCCCTCCACTACGTTTTCTCCCAATGAACTCATTTTCAACATGCCAAGAACATACATTGAGAAAGGACAGTTTCTTCAATAAATGACGCTGGTAAAACTGAATATTTACATGCAGAATAATAAAATTGGACCCCTAATCTCTCACCATATACAAAAATCAAACCAAAATAGATCAAAGATGTAAATTTAAGCCCTTAAACTATGAAACCATGTTCGAAGTTGGTTCCTGCCGGTGGGCTTGTGGTCTTGCTGACTTCAAGAATGGAGCCACAGACCTTCTCAGTGAGCATTACAGCTCTTAAAGATGGCACGGACCAAAACAGTGAGCGGTACCAGGTTTATTGTGAAGAGCGAAAGGACAAAACTTCCACAGCGTGGAAGGTGACCCAAGTGGGTTGCCACTGCTGGCTGGGGTGGCCAGCTTTTATTCCCTTATTGGCCCCTCCCTTGTTCCAGTTCTGTCCTATCGGAGTGCCTTTTTTCCAATCCTCCCAGCATTTGGCTACTTTTGGAATCCTGCTGATTGGTGTGTTTTACAATACTCTTGTCAAACAGGAAAGTTCCTGATTGGTGCATTTTACAATCCTCTTGTAAGACAGAAAAGTTCCCCAAGTCCCCACTGGACCCAGGAAGCCCAGCTGGCCTCACCTCTCAATCCCCCCACTAAATAGGACATTGCTATTGGGAACTGGGCGATGACCACTCTAGCTAATTATTGCTGGATAGGGGCGAAGAAGGGGACTTGCAGTTGTAGTGTCCTTCAGAGGGGAACTCTCTAGGCCAGTCAGAGAGCCTGTGGGTCAGTCCAGGGGTCCTCGGTAGAAGTTGTGAGTTGAGCTCATTTGGGATTTCATTTGTAAGACCATCTGTAGCTTGATGGCCTCAATCCTGGAGGAAACAAATTTGACAAGGAGGTTAAAAATACAGGACCCAAAAGCGAATAATAGCAAGATGGCTGTCATGGGACCTAGAAAGGGGAGAAGCCATGTCGTCCAACTCCAGAGGTGGGTATAAGAGTTTGAAAGGCATTGTCTGATTTCAGAAGCCTTTTCCTGTAAACTCTGGGCAGTGTCTTGTACTATCCCTGACTGGTTAGAGTAAAAATAACATTCTTCCCCTAAGAAGGTGCAGAGTCTTCCTTTCTCAGCAGTGAGGAGGTCTAGGCCTTGGCGGTTTTGGAGAGTCACTGCTGCCAAAGAGTCTATTTGGGATTGTAGAGTAAGGATAGATCTTGTTATTTCTTGCCAACTCTCTGAGAAATCCTTTGAGAGTGTGTGGTAGTAGGATAATCAAGTAGATAAACTGGCTATTCCAGTTCATGTAGCAGTTGCTATTCCTAACCCCATAAGTAGGGGTATTAGTTGTATAGCCCTGCGCTGATGGACTTGAGCTTTGAGGGGTACTGATAGTGTCTGATGTCCTGGGGCAATGTTAATGTTGGGACTTAGAAGGACTAAGGTCCAGGTGCCTGTCCAGTTCATGGGGAGGCAGATATAGTTTGAAGTTCCACATAAGAATAATATGCCTTGGCTGGGTAGATAGAATCAGTTGTGTATGTTAAAAAGGTGTATGAGTTTTTTGTTTTTATTTTCCCATACTCCTATAGTACTTGCCAAGGTAGTTCCTGTGAGCAGCTGGAAAGGGGTGTTGGGAGCAAACTGAGTGGCTCCCTGTGTTCTATTTTCCCATTGGAGAAAAAATCGTTTTGTGTCTAGTAGGAACCATTCAAGAGAGTAATTGAAAGAGGGGATGATAAGGCATTCATTCATTGAAAGACCGGATGATAAGGGGCACTGCTGCAGGGGGTCTGGGGTGAATGGTCATGCAGGGAGTATGTTTGCCATTACAAAACCCGGACTCTTTGTTGAGCAGGGAGGAGGTAATGATTTCTGGGGGCCCTGAGAAGTGGATAGGCCATCTGAATGGAGCTGTTTGGGTGACTTGGAAGTTACTATGATCAGTTGGGGCTTGAAGTTGTAGGGTGTAATTACACTGATGGGATAATAGGTGCCCCAGGGGCAGGCCTGATAACAGGTTGCGTTGGATGCATAAAGGTGCCTGGAAATTTAAGATGGCGTTCGTGGTTACAGGGCCGTGTATGGGCTTTTCATTGCTCGTGTAATAGGTGAGGTTGGAAATGTAAGAGCGTAAAAGCTGGATTGCATGTCCTATTAGGGTATTTTTGGTCCTATCAGAGATGGGGAAGTCAGCTAATGATTGCATATTTAGAAGTTGGAAAGGGTCTTTTCCTTCTTAACAGGAGTGGTAGGTTAAGTTAATAAAGACCCAGTTTTGCGGGAATGGGAGTGGCAACGTAAGCAGTGGTTGATAGAGAGGTACAAAGCCAACAGTCATTTGCCAGGGAAGGACTGAACTGGCTTAACAGAGAGTAGGTTAAATTGAGAGTCTCGTAGAGGTAATTAGGAGCTAGTGGAAAGGGATGGGTGACTATGTAGGGTATCCAAGGAATCAGGAGGGATAGATAGGCAAAGAGTAAGTAGGAAGGTAAAGAGAGTGCCCTGGAAGATGAGATCATTTTATCCAGTCTGAGTTAAAGGTAGGAGTAAATTGCTGTCAGAAGGAAGGATGATAGAAAAAAGGTTGATGTGATTAAGACTTTTGTCCTGGCAGGAGGTACAGATATAGTCCTACTGCAAAGAGTATGGTTAGTATGCTGCTTAATAATGTGATGAAACAGTAAAAGGATTCCATTAAATGGGCAAGGAGAGGTGTTAAAGATTATGTAGGTTTTCACTTATCTTTTTTAATTAGGAAGGGGTTTTTCCTCAGGATCAGCTGTAGGAGCCTTTTTAGTCTGGGATGTTTCCTTCCAAAATAGGAGATGCAAGTCCTCCAGTGGTTCACAGGTATATCGAGGCTGATCTGGCTGATCTTGGGGCTCCTGAGCTGACAGTCCCACAGGTTCCTCAGGGGTTGTCCAAAGTTTAGCTCCGGTGTGGTGAATCCAAGATTCCACTCCTGCCACCTTAACTGAAGTGGGGGTAGAGAGGATTACTGAGTATGGTCCTTCCCACAAGGAACCCATAGATGGGGAGGAACTTGACCAACACTAGATCTTCTGGTTGGAACAACTTTGTTCCCTCGTCTCTGTGACATCCTTTGGGTAGGTTTTTAAGGTTTTGTTAATATTTTGCCAAAGAAGTTATATCTTTGACCAAGTTGGCTGTTTCCTGATCAAGTAGGAGGTCATTTGTGAGAAAAGGTCATCCACACAGCATTTCATATGGACTAAGCCCCATTTTGTGAGGAGAATTTCGTATTCTCAACAAGGCCATGGGCAAGACAGTAGGCCATGGAGACAAGTTTCTTTTGTTAATTTCCTTAAGTGCCTCTTGTGTGTTTCATTTGCCTTCTCAACCTTTCCTGAGGATTGTGGCCTGCAGACACAGTGAAGGTGATATTGTATCCCTAGCACCCTGGAAATTCTGAGTTACCAGGTCTTTAAAAGCTGGACCATTGTCACTTTGTAAGCTTTGGGGAAGCCCAAATCTAGGAATTATTTCATGAATTAGGACTTTAACCACTTCCTAAGCCTTCTCTGTCTTGCAGGGGAAGGCTTCTAGACAATTTGTAATATTCAAATATCCACATGGAAGAAAGTTCTAAGTTTAGGAAGGTACCCTGAGGAAGCCAACTTCTGTTTATCAGAGGAGTCAAACATGGTTGTCCCTCACAGTCCTTTTAACTCTAATATGAGTAGCTGTGATCCCAGGGCAATAATAGTTGACAGTCGCCATTTCTTGGTAGTGTGGATCTTCTCCTTCTGGAAGGAGGTGGGAGACAGGGCACATTATAAAATGTATTTCTTATTTGAATTTACAGTTACAGGAGGACTTTGAGAAAGCAAATTGCTTAACAATAACAATGGAGGAAAAATCAATACCTTCTACATTTTGTGTCTAATATAAGTAATTAGAAATATTTGTGGTTTAAACATCCTATGTAGAGGACTTTTGGTTTCAAACCCTTACAACTGGTACACTAGTACCATTATGGGTTCTTTGCCACAAAACTCTAGCAAGATTTCAGGGCGTGAGAGTCTAAAACTGCAGAGTCCTTGTGGTAGCCCTAGAGAACTGTTATCTTTGATGAAACATGATCCTGCTAGCAAATGGGCCTTAGCTTCATGTTACACCAACCCTCTGTTTTCTGGGCTCTGTCTTGTATTCATGGCCTCTTATGAACCATAGGACCAAAGAAGGAATTTTTGGATTGAAAGGGATTTTAGGAGCCAGTTATTCCAAATTTTTGTCCAACAGCCTTTTAGCTGATATCCCTGCTTATACTCTTGTCCCTACAATCCATTCTCCACACAGCAGCTGAGGTTCTCTTTCTAAAATGTGCATTTGAACCTATCATTTCACTGGTTAAAACTCCTCAGTGGCTTCCCACTGCATCTTGAATAAAATCCAGATGGTTCTCTGCAATCTCAGATGACCTTCTTGAACTAGTACCAACTTACCTCTCCAACTCGTTTCCCTCTAGTTCAGCCACATTGAATTCTTTTTCTTCCTGAAACATGTCTGCTTCATCTTGCCCTAAGGTTTTTGTTCTTGTTATACTCTCTGCCTGGGACACTCTACCCATCATGCCCCATCTTCATATGCTGAATTCATTCTTGTCAGCCAGGAATCAGCCCCACAGAATCTTCTGTGTTCCATCAAGGGAGTCCTAACCAACCACATACCATCACAGCACCATCTTTCATTGTACTCATGCCTCTTCTCATCACTGAAAATGATCTTTTTCATTATTTATTTACTAGTATATTGTTTGTCTCCTCTTTCAAGGATAGAAGACTGATAAGAACATAAACCTTTTCTGTCTGGTGTACTAAGGCATATTCTTCACACCCAGGATAGGAGCTAGAACATACTAGGGTTTTGGTCTTAATCTCCCTGAAAAGGGGGAATTAGAGTCTTGGAAGAGACTTTGAAATCATGTGGGCTAATTCTAGAAGTGTCAAAGGAAGAACAAAAATTCTAGGGGGTATCTGGAATAGATGCTGCTGTTGTCACTACTGATATTCCTTCTCAGTGAAAATTCAACTGAACTACTTTCTAACACTGGTGTTTGGGACTGAGGTCAATTGTGAACTGATCAGTCTATCAGAATGCACTTGTGCTTTGGGGAAAATTTTACTCATGCTCTAATTGAACAGGAATAATAATGAATCATTTGGTGTTTTTCAATGAGATTGCTCCCAGCCTTTTGGGATGAACACTAGTTGGTTCTGCCTGAGTCTCCCTGTCATCAATCGGACATTTAGCATCCTTGGCCCCTACCCACTAACTACCAGTAGCATACACCCATCACTGGGACAACCAGAGCACACCCACCCTTTTTCAAATGCCCCTGAAAGTAGTAGTGGTTACTGAACCTGATAGAGAATCTTAATTAGAAGGTATTCTGTAGTGTGATATTAACCAACAATCTGAATAAATTAAGACAAAAGGAAAAATGTAGTTGAGCAATCAAACAAAAACACGCCTGTCGTATGTGCACGTCAGTGAGGTGCTTCTTTATCCTCTTCTATTACTTCAGAGCCGGTGAAGGCTACTGGAAAGGATACTGTTGATGCAATTGGGTCTGGGAATGTGATTAGCCTCTACTGGAGCAAACCCAAATTCCTGTTCACATAGTCAAATTCTCACTAAGGTACTGGGGAGAAATGAATTAGGATCTAGGCCTGAAAGCTCCTCAAAACAAATTGCCTTTCTCTCCCAGGCACCTATGGGGCCATTGCTCTGCTGTTGTTCCTCCTTTCAGTATTGTGTTCATCTATTTCCTCCATAACACCTCCATCATATACTGCTGATGCCTTCCTTCACACACTTTGAGGTTATCAGGGTTGGGCAATGATTACTTTTTGTTTCTGATATTTTGCCTTCTCTTTGTCTAGTCCATTGTTTGCCTCACCATAGAATTGTAATAAAGATTATTGGCATGGTGTTCTAGATAAAAATTGTTCCCAGACCATCTTTATTATAGACTGTGTTCCTGGTGGTAATTACATTGCATTCACCACTCCACTGGAAGAATGAAGAAACCCAACTGGGTTATGTTCTCTAGGCAGGTGGTGTTGATGATGATGATGATAATGATGATGATGATGGTAGAGACCAGTAATGACTAAACTTATCAAGTACTTATATGTCAGGCATAATTTTAAACAATTTACAAGTTTTAGCTCATTTAATTCTCACAGCAAACCAGTGGGTGGATACTATAACCCCATTTTATATTAAAAAAAGAAAGGAAAAGAAACTGAGGGACAGAGAGTTTAATTAAATAACCTGTCCAAGCTGGTAAGTTGTAGAGCTTTGAGTTCACCCCGTAACTACAAGGTGTGTGCTGTGAACAAGAGAAGTGAGGCTGGCTCAGGAGGTGAGGCAAGCAGAGACAGCTGGGAGGGAAGTGATGTGGAACACATATTCACTGTGTACGGCAGACACTACTCATCTTCAGCCGTGTGACCATACGGGAAAGTAGACCCACTGTTGCTAAACTTTCTGACTTCTTTTCAAAGGATGCAGACAATTTGCAAAATTTCTTTATTTTAAAAGGTTGACTCAATTTTAGTAAATATTCTGTGACCTGAGCAAATAAGGATGTCTGCCATAGGAGAACTCAATGTTTCCACCATAAGTTTTTTCTATCAAAACAAAAAGTGTAGGCTCATGTCAAATATAAAACTCTGTAGATTTCAGATAATTAATCAGATGGGGTGTGCAGGATTTTCTTTATTCTCTTTTGGCTCCAAGAATGTTCTCTTTCTGTTTTTTCAAGTCACAAACTTTTGTTTATGACCATCCAGCTAATTGGGCCCCACTGAAGCCTAATGAGGGCAGAGTGAGCAAGTGAGTGGGTTTAGTGCCCATGGAAATGCATGTTTCTAATTGTGCATCCAGTGAAGGTGGAAAGGTTAAAGTAATGAGCTGCTCTTGAGAGTTCTAATGAAGAGAGAGAGGGCTTTGTACATTCCATCTTTATTTTTGTCACTGAGATGTGCTCTTATTTCCATGATGGCATTGATTGCCAAGACGCTCTACTACATTCTATTATCCTGCCATTTCTGAAGGGGACAGATCTGTTCTTACAACGCAATGACAGTGTGCAGACAATCATAACCACCCCCTCCACTGCACTCCTTAACATCTTGTATACAGCTGTGAATGGCTTGTATCAGTGCCAATTAATCTGAGGGTAGATTTAGTGAAGGAGGGGGTGCTGTCAGTACTTAAGGATTGTCCCTGGGTTTTCCAAGTGGTGTTTCTAGAGAAGGAATGGTAACTGAAAACAGTAGACAGATGAGGAGGCTGTCAGGTTATATGTTTCAGTGGGGATTGGTGTCTGTAAACTGTTCCACTCATCCTGCATTCTCACATAAGCAGGGAGGAAGGGTACAAATCAAAGGGCTGCATTTCATTTCTAATCCAAGAGATTAGATCTGAAACAGTGTGGCTGTTTGAAGACGATGCGAAGACCTTCTTTAGTTGAGTCACACTTAGTTAATTTAGCGACCATTGGTGGTGAAGATGATAGGCCATTTTACAAATGAAGGGCTTCTGTCTCAGTGAATCTAAAATATTTGAGCCCTGGGGTCACAGGGTAATGGGTGTAGTGGGCAAAGATTTTACTTTCAATGTTGGCGAATATCGTATATTGTCAAACTTTCACACAATAAATTGAATCATGGCTTTGATTTTAGAATTCAAAGTTCTGACTATTAAAAAAGAAAATTTCCCCATTATGCCTGCTCCCTACCACCCTCCCCAGTCATGCTGTGCTGACAACCACTGTCTCCTTAAAGTTGACAATTTGAAGAGTGAGTATCCTACTTAGATGGTTTGGGGTTAAAATATACTGTCAATCCTGGTGTTTGACTACATTTTTAAACACAGAGGATATGACATGAAATGCCAAACTCCTTATCCATGTTTGGTCTGGCCTGATTTGTCCCCTGTTTCGTCAACTCCCCAATGCTGGCTGGTGCCACTTTGAGGCCCTCTAACCCTCTTGTAGACCCTAAATCTCCTTGCAGTTTCTTGATCCTACTTACCTTGTTTTTGCCGCTGAGATTTAGCACCTTCCCTTCCAAAGTGCTCCCTATCCTCACTTCTTTGCTTAGTCATCCTCTTACCTGTTTAGTGTTAGCTTAACTCCTCTCCCATTTTGACAATAAAATAATAATAAAATAGACAAGCAGCAATTTTCTGTTTGACAATAACTTTACCTTAAAAAATTCTTTTAAATCAAAATACCCATTTCATCCTATCTAGAGGCTATAGAGTGATGTATAAATAGGCTAGACCCTAGAGCCAGCCTGCCTGAGTTTGAATCCCAACTCTGCCATTTCTTAGCTGTGTGACTTTGGGCAAGTCATTTGAATCTTTGTAGTTTGGTTTCCTCTTCTGTAAAATGGTAATAATTTTATTTACAGAGGTAAATTGTATTTTCAGGGTTGTAGGAATTATGTGAGACTGAGAGTCATGTATATAAAGCTTAGTGCCTGGAATATTCTCTTAGCAAATGTTAGCTATTATTATTATTATTATTAGGTATATCTGTAGACCTACCTCCCTAGCTAGATTGCTAGCTCTGTGACATTAAATGTGAATATTTTGCACATTCCAGGTAATCAATAAATATCTAGAAGATTAATAACATGGTCCCTTTTTCAGTGTTGAGTAAGTTGTTTTGCAAGTGAAAGGTTCATTCTTCATAGTAGACAGAGGGGTATCCTAGAGACAATAGTCTCTAGGTCCAACCAAAGGTCATATTTGTGCATACCTGTGCAATATGGAGGACATAGATTTTGTCTTATATATCTTGAACCAAAAAACGTTTACAAACATGAGAAATATACCCTTGAATATTTCATGATTTAGTATGTGTGCCCTTGTGGGTTGTTGAATCGTATTGATATTTCAGTTCTTTTGCCCTAGCATGATGTCCTCTTCATCTGGCTCCTTAGATGGTGAAAGGGGGTGATGAGTGGAGCCTTCAACAAACTCCAAGCAAGTCCACTTAAAAGATACACTGCTATATATTAGTAGGTATTATTTGGATAATGCAGAATTATTCAAACATCAAGGAAAGCAAGCCATATTTCTTATTTTACAAAGCAAGTAACATTTCTGCCACAGAAGCAAAGAGCACAGGCAAAGCCATTTAATAATCCTGGTGGCAGCCTCCCTGTAGGATGAAGTTTCTCTGGCATTTGTGAAAGGGGGGTCAAGTTTTCGCAGACCTTTTAGTTGCTTTCTCGCTTATGGGTCTATCACCTAAATCCACAGATGACCTATTTCAGGTTCATAGATTTCCATTTCCCACTTTCCACCCAGAGGAGGAAGGATGGTAGCATCACATTTCCTGCTCCACACATCAGCTTGCCTTATGCTTAAGCAGCAGACCAGGAAGTCAAGGTGGAGTCCAGAGGGAGGTTATGTATGGCAGGCCCCGCATCCACCGGGGAGCTGTCACCACTGATAGCAATGCTGTCTCTTAAAAAAATTAAAAAAAAAAAGAAGAAAACCTTATTTTTGCTATGTGAGAAGGTGTTTTCTGACAAATTTCTCCTCCATGAAGATCTTATTTGAACACCACTCTCAAAAGGGGAAAGCAATCCCCTATGAAGAAAATTACCTGAGCAGAGTCCTCCAGAGCAATCTACAGAACCACATCCATGCTTAGTACCTAAGCCAAAGACTTTTCCCTCTGTTTTATTTCCTTTTTCTTCTTCATTGCCCCATTCCCATTACTCTTCTCCCTCACTACCCTGCCTTTTTTTTTTTTTTTTTGAAAGAGTAAGGTGTGGTTATTAAAACACAGGCCTAACAGGAGCTGGCCTGCCTGGGTTTGGATACAAGCCCCACTTCGTACTAGCGAAGTGACCTAGGGCAAGATACTTACTCCCTTTGTGCCCTAGTTTCTTCACTGTACAATGAGGCCAATAAAATGATCTCCTTCATGGGACCTAGCATGTGGAAGAATGACCACTACCTATTCCTTGGGCAAGAATGGTGACCTTTCCAGGACCAAACAGCCATTCCTATATCCTCTGTAGTCATCCCACAGGATGGTGTGCTATGAGGTATTCTGGCGTTTTACAGTGTGATCAGCAACCTTCGGGGTTATGCAGCACATCTTTACTGTGTAGTATTGTTGTGATGATTAAATGCGTGAACACATCTACAGCTGTCTGCACAGTACCTGGAACACAGTTAATCAGTATCCATGCTCACCAGGCATTGGCTATGGCTCTCACTTCCTTTCTCCTTGACACCTAGCCCTCAAATGCCCATGGCAATCAAGAATATGTTTGCTCTCATTGATGGTGCTTTTTTGTCATTTAAACCCAGTTAAATTGAATCAAATTAGGTGCCCATCAAAAGTGGATTGGATAAAGAAAATAGTACATATACATCATGGAATACTATGCAGCCATAAAAAGGATGAAATCATGTCCTTTGCAGCAACATCGATACAACTGAAGGCAAATTAACACAGGAACAGAAAACCAAATACTGCATGTTCTCACTTATAAGTGGGAGCTAAACATTAGGTACTCATGGATATAAAGATGGCAACAATAGATACTGTGGGCTACTAGACGGGGAAGGGAGGAATAGGGGAAAGTGTTGACAAACTAACTATTGGATATTATGCTCCATACCTGCGTGACAGGATCAATTGTACCCCAAACCTCAGCATCACATAATAACCCATGTAACAAACCTGCAGACATACCCCCTGAATCTGAAACAAAAGTGGAAGTTATTTTAACTAACTAACTAACTAACTAAATCCCGTTAAGCTTGCTTTTCATCTGGGAGCTTTCAGTCCTGCTGTCTTAGTTATGTTCAGGCTACTATAACAAAATACCTTAGACTAGGTAATTTATAAACAATATGAATGTATTGCTTACATTTCTGGAGGCTGAGAAATCCAAAATCAAGGTGCCATGGCGGAAGGGGCAAGGCAGCTCCCTTCGACCTCTTTTATAAGGGAATTCATCTCATTCAAGAGAGCAAAGACCTCATGATTTGAATAATTCTCAAAGGCCTCACCTTGTAATATGCTAATATTTGGGTGTATTAGGTTCCAAAACATAAATTTTGGGGGGACACCAACATTCAGACCACAGCACCCACTTTTTGTCCTTCCATGAGTTGGTTATTTTCACGCTACTGATTACTTTCTGTACTTTGAGAAGCCCTTGTTTTCCTAAGCCATTCCAGCTTTAGGGAAGAAAATCTACTTGTGCTGTGCTCCTAATGCAGGGGGATCTTCCTCCTTTCCTCCCCTCCCCTCCCCTCCCCTCTCCTCTCCTCTCCTCCTTTCCTTTCCTTCTTCTTTTTCTTTTTTATTTTTCTTTGAGACAGGTTTTCACTCTATTGCCCAGGTTGAAATGCAGTGGTGCAATCACAGCTCACTGCAGCCTCTACCTCCCGGACTAAAGAGATCCTCCCACCTCAGCCTCCTGAGCAGCTGAGACAACAGGCACATACCACCATGCCTGGCTAATTTTTGTATTTTGTATTTTTATTTGCATTTATTTATTTCTTCTAAAAATAACCGGGATACATGTGCATAATGTGCAAGGTTGCTACATAGGTATACGTATGCCATGGTGGTTTGCTGCACCTATTGACCCTTCCTCTAACTTCCCTCCCCTCACCCCCCACCCCCATAGCAAAGACATGGAACCAACACAAATGCCCATCAATGATAGACTGGATAAAGAAAATGTGGTACATATACACCATGGAATAATATGCAGCCATAATTTTTGTATTTTTTGTAGAGTCGGGGTTTTACCATGTTCCCCAGGCTGGTCTTGAACTCCTGGACTCTAATGATCTGCCTGCCTTGGCCTCTCAAAGTGCTGAAATTACATGTGTGAGCCACTGCATCTGGCCAGGGAGAGCTTTCTTTTTCAATGATTGCATATTTTTAAAAAAAAAAACTTTGAATTTTCTGTTGACTTTTTTTTCTTAAGGCTTTGGTGGCCTAGCTCTTAGAGCTTGTATCTGCCATTCCCTCACCCGATATGTTTTTAATGAGTGTCTTCTGTATGACAGTGCCATGCCTGGCAGTAGGGCTAAGCTGTGGGGCATTTGGTGAAGACCCTCTAGCGCCTCACTAGGGTTTCTTCCTATTCAGGATCAACACACTAAGGCTCAAAGACCTTCCCTTCTTCAGGAGATTCCCACCGAGTCCATTCACCTCAGGGGCTGCGATCCACCGTATTCTTTATCTTTAGAGGCAGGAAGAGGCAGTGACCCACTGGTACACTCTGGGGTCAGGGATGTCGGCTTCACTTTGGCATGTCCCTTCTATATCAATATCCCATTGTCTCCCTCCAAGTCATCCAAGTAAGCACATTGGATTTTACTCAGAAACAGCCCTTATTTTCTGTTGTATTTAGGAGGTGAGCATGCAAATTGTTTCCTTTGCAGAGAATATTTCCTTCTGTGGCACTAATTATAAAACAGGAGGTGGTCAACTTTTTTCCTTGATTTTACTATTTTATTTTATTTTATTTTATTTTAGGCAGTGCCTCACTCCATCACCCAGGCTGGAGTGCAGTGGTGTGATCCTGACTCACTATAGCCTCAACCTTCCTGGCTCAAGTGATCCTCCTTCTTTAGCCTCCCGAGTAGCCGGGACTACAGGTGTGCACCACATCTGGCTAATTTTTTAAATTTTTTTGTAGAGATGGGGTCTTGCCTTGTTGCTCCGGAGTTTTTCTTGATTTTAAAAATATCGTAATTTAACTACATTTTAGAGATACCAAAAATAACATATTGTACCTCAAAGTGTACTCATGAAGACTATTTGACCAGCTGAGATTTTGGGAAATATCATGAGCATAAAAAACTAGTTTGATGATTCCTTTTTGTCATCTTTACTCAGCCAGTAAAAATCTCCAAAAGAATGAAGTAGCACCCACAGTGCTAGTAAAACAAACCTCAAATCAAGGTTCTCAAACTTTTGGCAACATAGTTTTCTGGACAGAATAAAGCCAACAAATAAATTCAAAAACAAAAAAAATTATTATTCTTCTTTTAATTTGATTTTTGCTTTTATCAATGGTATTTCCCACCTTTTCCACATATACCTGCTCCCAGTGAGTAATAACTTTCCACTTATAACGAATTTTTTTTTTTTTTTTGAGACGGAGTCTCCCTCTGTTACCCAGGCTGGAGTGCAGTGGCGTGATCTCGGCTCACTGCAATCTCCGCCTCCAGGGTTCACACCATTCTCCTGCCTCAGCCTCCCAAATAGCTAGGACTACAGGCGCCCACCATCACGCGCCCGGCTAATTTTTTGTATTTTTAGTAGAGACAGGGTTTCACCGTGTTAGCCAGGATGGTCTCGATCTCCTGACCTTGTGATCTGCCCGCCTCGGCCTCCCAAAGTGCTGGGATTACAGGCATGAGCCACTGCACCCGGCTTTTTGTGTATTTTTGTGTTTGTGTATAACATGCTGCAGTGTTCTCACTTGATTTTCCAGTTTTAGACATTTCTACTGCCTTTCAGCTATGAAAAATGGGGGTTCACTCTCTTCACACACTCCCACTCCCTAATACATGCACGTGTGCACACACTCTTGCTGTCCCTTCATTCTCCCAATATAGTTAGCTCTAATTTTGGCTAGATCTTTCAACAAATATTGTAATTTACATTTGGATAACAATATTCACACA
This sequence comes from Homo sapiens, assembly GCF_000001405.40. NCBI lineage: Eukaryota > Metazoa > Chordata > Mammalia > Primates > Hominidae > Homo > Homo sapiens. The sequence continues at coordinate 85,082,823 of NC_000006.12, read as the reverse complement.
ATTAAAACTATGCAAGGTTTTGTCTTTCTTTTCCTTTCTTCCACATTTTTGTTTTATTTTAATTTTTAAAAATTTCAATACCTTTAGGGGTACAAGTGGGTTTTGGAGGAATTGTGTAGTGGTAAAGTCTGGGCTTTGAGTGTACCTGTGACCCGAAAAATGTACATTGTACTCAATAAATATTTTTTTATCCCTCAGCCCCCTCCCTACCTTCCCATTCTGAGTCTCCAATGTCCATTATGCCAATTTTTATGCCCCATGTGTACCTATAGCTTAGCTCTCACTTATAAATGAAACATGAGGTATTTGGATTTCCATTCCTGAGTTATTTCACTTAGGATAATGGCCTCCAGTTCCATCCAAGTTGCTGCAAAAGACATTATTTTAGTTTTGTGTGGAGGATCTTCCACATTTTTTATTTTCTTGGAAGTTATAAATGGTCTTTTTTTCATATTTTAGTTTTCTAGGTACATACCACTAATTTATTCCCAAACTCCTTCAGCCATGTAAACTTCCTCAGGATAGATTAAAACCTATCTGGCAGCCTGTCTCTTTTAGTTGATTGAACAAATCTCAGCAGAGCAGTCTTACTTGGACCTGTTGGATTTGCTTGCTCTCGAGGGCTCTCTCTGGAACAGTTATCATTTTGGGATATCTTTTATCATTCAGTCATGCTGGGGGTTCTCTTTCACATTGTCCTGAGTTGAAGCCCCCATGTCCTGAATTCCATGTTGTTTACTGTTTGGTGTTTTTTTTGGTTTGGTTTTGTTTTGTTTTTTGGTCTATTCCATCATTTTACTTATGCATATGCTGCAGTTGATTCCTAGGAAAAAATACATGAGTGGTAAATTTTATGAGACCAAGAATGTCTTTATTCTACCCTCATACTTGATTTAGAATTTGGCTGGGTATAAACTTCCAGGTTTGAAGCAGTTTTTTCTCTCTTAGTTTAAAAACTTTCTTCAATGTCTACTAGTTTTCAGTGTTTCTATTGAGAATCCAAAACCATTTTCATCCTTGTTCTTTTGTATGAAACCTGCACTCCTCCTCAGTCTCATTTCCTTTGTACCCCCATTCAGAAGGCTTTATGGATTTGTTATTTTTTCCTTTTTTAAAAACCTCAAGCATTCTGAAAATTCAGAGTAATGTGTACTACAGGTTGAATTCCCAAGAAACAGACTCTAAGATGGAAATTAGTGTGTGAGAGATTTATTAGGAAGTGGTCTTGGAATCAATACCTGTGGAGGGAGCGGAAGGAAGTATGAGAAGGCATAGGGAAAAGTTGAGTTGTGACGTACTTTTCAACTGCCTCACCCCAACATTCACTATTAGGGACTGTATTGGCTCTATAGCTGGGGTAACCCTTCAGGGTTGTCCTGAGTTGGGTCAAGGAGGTGAGTCCTTTATCCCCATGTTGACTAGATATGAGCTGCTCCTGGAAGGAGTGACCTTGGGAAAGGCAATTTTCTTCTGTTAATGCAATCCCCAAAGATGGCTGGCAGCACTCCCAGCAGCTGGGGGAAAGAGTCCTTCATTCCTGAATGGAAATCTGAGGATTGCATGACAGCACTTGTCACAGTGTGCCTGTGGCATGGGTCAAATTTTATCCATTATGCTAAGCACATGATAGATCCTTCGGATTAGAAACTCACCCACTGGTCTGACTGATATTTTTGAATCAGTTCTTTGATTTGCTTCTTTCAATTTCTTCATTTTCTCTTTCTGAAGCTGCTAATATTTGAATGTGGAATTACTGGAACTAGCTTTCTAATTTCTTAATTTTATGAACTTCTGTTGTCTTCTGTTTGTATTTTTTGCTCTCCTTTCTGTGAGATTTTGTCAACCTTATTTTCCAACTACTCACTGAAATTTTTACATATACTATCTTCTTTCTAATTTCTTTGAGCTTTTAAAAAATTTATCTAATTTTTTAACATTATACTACTGTTTAATGGATGTAATACCTTCTTATCTTTCTGAGACTATTATTCATAAAAGCTATATTTAGTGATAGCTTTTATGATTTTTTTTCTTGCATTTTTTTACCTCCATGTGATTTTTAGATGTTTATTTGGCCCTTCCGTTTTTCATATTAGATGCACTGCTAAAAGTTTGGAGAGCCATGTCCTTCTGCTCATGGTTAAGAGTAGGACACTACAGAGCTACCTGTAAACTCTGTACATGTAGCTGAGGGGAACTATGGGCTGAAGATCAGGGTGATCAGCTTGGGTGGTTTCAATGAGGCAGATCCAATGTCCATATCTTTGGGCCCTTTTCTTGGGATATTCAGATTCCCTAGAGAAAGACATTACAATATCTTATTGGAGGGAATAGTTCATGTTTCTGGAAAGCAAATATAGAAAGAGAACTGGAGAGCAGAGGCTCTTATTAATAGTTTTACCTAACCACCAGCTTTCAGTGTATCTTATCAGTTGAGCTTGGTGTTTTTCTGTTCAGAGACCCCTTGCCCTACTATCACTGGAGAATAAACTTCTGTTTTTTGCCATGGTTAGAAGTATATCCACCTGGCTGTTGGTATCAGAGTAGGTACAGTAGTCTCCTCCTTACCTTTGGGGGATACTTCTGAGACCCCCTGTGGATGCTTGAAACTAAAGATAGTGCCAAGCCCTGTATCTACTATGTTTTTCCTATACATACGTACCTACCAGAAAGTTTAATTTAGAAATTATGCACAGTACTCTTGTCCTTTGGGGCCATTAGTAAGTAAAATCAGGGTTACTTGAACACATGCACTGTGATAGGGGACAGTAAATTTGATGACCAAGATGGCTAGTAAGTGACTAACATGTGGGAAACATTTACAGCATAGATATGGTGGATGGAGGGAGGATTCACATCCTAGATGGGACAGAGCAAGATTTCATCACGCTACTGAGAACAGCATGCATTCTTTTTTTTTTTTTTTTGAGACAGAGTCTTACTCCATCACCCAGGCTGAAGTGCAGTGGTGTGATCTCGGCTCACTGCAACCTCTGCCTCCTGGGTTCAAGCGATTCTCATGCTTCAGCCTCCCAAATAGCTGAGATTACAGGTGTGCACCATCACACCCAGCTAATTTTTGTATTTTTTAGTAGAGATGGGTTTTTGCCATCAGTCTTGAACTCCTGACCTCACATGATCAGCCCATCTGGGCCTCCCAAAGTGCTGGGATTACAGGCATGAGCCATTGTGCCGGGCTTAGAATAGCATGCAATTTAAAACTTGTGGATTGCTTCTTTCTGGAATTTTCCTTTCAATATTTTGAGACCACAGTTTACTGTGGATAACTGAAACTGTGGAAAGTGAAACCAGGGATAAGAGGAGACTACTGTATTTGGAAATCTCATGCAGATTATCAATCAATCCTTCTTTTATTAGTTCTACCTTCACCCCTATTTTCCAAAGTCCTGGGTGTTGTCAATTTCTGAGTCTCTTGGGTTTTTTGTGACATAAATCTGTTTTTTTCTTGCCTTTCTCTACTGCTGTTTTAGCTGTTTGCTTTCTTGGGTATGCTAAGTCTGTTGCACTCATTCATTTGCTTTCCAGAATTTAGAATTTTGTTACTTCTGTTTTCTTTTCTATTCTCTTGGTCCTGTGGGTTTATGACTTTTAAAAAATTCTCCTTGCTGTATTCTAGTAGAATTTTTGAAGGGAACAGAGATAGTACCACAAGCTGTCATTCTTAACCAGAAGTAAATACAAAACAGTTTTGATCTTTCGATTTCTCTGAAATTCCCTTGAAGTATTTTAAGTGAAACCAGATTGATTTCAGTACCCATTAAAATCCTCAGACTAGAATTTCCTTCTCTTTAGTTTTGTAATTAAAAATTTAATGTTCTACAATTTAATAATTTCCTCTCTAAATGGGAACTAATATGAGAAACATAATATAAGTACCAAATTATAGACTGAAAGTAAGAACACAATAAGAGATACTGTATATTGTGCCTGGTAGCATTTTGTGGTAGAAAGAGTAAAAGCTTGTGTCTCTATCTTGCCTCTGCTACTCAGTAACAGAATAAAACATAATCCATTTGAGGACTCTGTAAAATAGGTAACATAAACGGATACTGCACTTTGCTGAAGGCAAGAGAGAGTAGAGGACGGAAGCAGGGCATCCAGCAATGTCTGACATATAGCTAGTGCACAACGGAAGTTAGCTCTCTTCTGTGGCATCAGGGGGTAGTGGGCAGAGTGAATGAAGCTTGAAGACACTTTTTATTCCTGTGGGCCCTCAACTAATCTTTGGAGCCCCTGTGGAACTTACATGTTTACTGCTGTAGTAAAGAATTCAGGAAAAGGAGGCCCTGGAAGAAGGAAGGATAGCTGGTGGTGAACAGGAAAAAGAGAAAAAGAAAAGAAGAAGGTGCAAAGGTGAAGTGAAGGCTGCACTGATAGACATATTGCTGACAGGAGTGGTGGTGGTGTAGGAAATCTGGTCACCCTGGGTATTCACATTCAGAGTAAAAACATGCAGTTTCTAAATTAGCCTTAAAACCAAGGAGAAAGCATGTTCAACTTTATTGACTCAGAGGTGATTATCCAGTTAAGGGATTATGTGGTTTTCTTCTCCCTGGATCTCCTTTCCCTATTGCCTGACTCCGGTGACTCATTCGTCCTCTCACTAGAGAAACGGTAAGATAAATAAAAGAGGATGAAGCTTAAACCAGTTCTCTCAGATACTGTAACTCTGGTGAAAGTTTGATAAAGAGAATGCAAATGAGCTTCTTTCATCATCATTGGAATTAGGTTATGTCTGCTGTACCTAGTTTCCATTATTGGGGATTGTGAGTTGGCTCCCTATCAATTTAAAGGAATATGTCATTTAAATAAATGATCTACATCTGGAAGTTTCTGTTTCTAGAAAAAAAACTCTAGAGCTGAGTTTAAAAGTTAAATCACTTTCAAAATTTTAAGTTTGTCAGATTATAGTGGTGATTAGTGGAGGAGCAGAAAGAACAGCGAAGGGAAGGTAATTTGTTACCTGGGGACAGAGCCTATTGAAAAAAATTGTTAAGGTAACAATATGTAACTCTGCCCAGGTAGAAAGAAGTTTGAGTCTGGCACTGTTCTATAAAGGAGGCTGCTGCTTTTTCATTATTGTCATCCAGAATTCTAATTATAGCCCTCAGTTGGGGGTCTATAATTCTAATTACAGCCCTCATTCTAAATATTCCACCCTATCTAAGTACTTCTATAGAGATTGCTGAAGAAATTTCTTTACCAGGAAATTTATGAATATAACAAAGGGGTTTGAAATCAACTGAACTCTTGCTGCTGAATGAGCTCAGTAGCTTATGAAACAGTCAAACATAAACTTATGAGAAAATATACTTAACAAACCAATACTGATATGCAGCAGAACTGTGTCTGGTATTGTTTCCAATTCCTAGTCCCTAAGCCATCAGAACCCTTAGCCAGGTGTGATTAAGGGAATGGTCCATGCCTGGGTTTTGTTCAAACCACCCTCTTCTTTCATCATCTTGTTCTGCAGCGTTTCTGATCTTCAGTGTCCCATGATGCTCTGCATACCATCTGAACAGCCACATCATCATAATGAGATGAATACCCTAATTGTGGCAATTCTCACTGTCACTGCTGCTGTTGCTCAGAATTTGTACTTTTAAAGTGTCATCACTAGCTGTATTTCTACAATGAAAAGAACTTCTGCTTCTAATTTGCTCACAGAAGGCAGATTCTTACAAGGCTTGCATATAAAAGAAGACCGCTTTCTTTCACCACGCTGCTCTCAAACCCTTGCCAGATCCTCCACTGTCTCTGGGCCCTGTCCTTGTGCTGTGTACATGCCTAGGAATGGCAGGATTTTTATACACAGCCACAGCTTTAAAAATAGATAAAATAATAATTTTGCTAAAATTTCTACCATCTGGAAGTTTCTCTCCTACTTTGTTGAAGTTGTTGATTGAAGTATATCTCTTGGGCTGTACCTTCAAATATCTTTCTATGAAACCACAGTGTTTGCTATTTAACCGCTTGGTGTCTATTCTGCATGGCCACAGGACCAGATTATAGCTTATATAATTACTGTGGTACATAATGTAATATAAAAATGTTGTGAGACGTATCATATATAAAAAAAGTGCACATGAAGAATATGTACAATCTGGGGAAGATTAATAACATGAATTTTCATTCACCCACCACTTATCCCAAGAAATACATTATTTTCAGTCCTTATAAAACTTTGTTTATTGAATCCCTTCTTTTTTCTTTCCATCAAAGGTAATACTAGCCTGAACTTTGAGTAAATCATTCTCTTGCTTTTTTTCATATTTATATTTCTAAGCAATGCATTATTTTTTAAGTTTAAATAAATGAACCTCTATTGTGTACATTCTTCTGTGAGTCTTTGTTTCCATTCACTGTTACATTGGTATCATTCATATTAATGCATATAGCTATAGTTTGTACATTTTCATTGCTATACAATATTCCATTTTATGAATATATTATACTGTTTGATATGGTCTGGCTGTGTCACCACCTAAATCTTATCTTGAATTGTAGCTCCCATAATTCCCATGTGTCATGGGAGGGACCCAGTGGGAGGTAACTGAATCATGTGGGCCAGTTTTTCCCTTGCTGTTCTCATGATATTAAGTCTCCTGAGATCTGATAGTTTTATAAAGGGGAGTTTCCCTGCACACGCTCTTCTAGGCTGCTGCCATGTAAGATGTGACTTTGCTCCTCATTCACCTTCCACCATAATTGTGAGGCCTCCCCAACCATGTGAAACTGTGGGTTAATTAAACCTCTTTCCTTTATAAATTACCCAGTCTTGGGTATGTCTTTATTAGCAGCATGAGAACAGACTAATATACAGTTGATAGACATAATTGTGGGTTGTTTTTTTTCTCTGACACTCAGCGATGCTCTGAACTTCCTCAAGCATGTCTCAGTAAAATCTATGAGAATTATTGCTCAGAAATTATATGCATGTTCAGCTTTCCTTTTAATCTTATTTTTTTAAAGTGCTTATAACAATTTATCCCCTATCAGTAGTTTATTATTAGAGTCTCCATTGGTACATATTCTTGCTAATATTTGGTGTGGTCAGATTTTTAAATTTTTTCTAAACAGATAGCAGTGAAATATATCTCATATTTGATTATTATCTCATTATCAAAAATGTCATAAAATATCTCATTTTTGATTACTAAATTAATTAAAAGTCATTTCAAATATTTGTTGGCCATTTCAGTTTCCTGTTTTGAAGTGTGTTTTCAGGTCCTTTGCTCATTTTTCTATTTGTTGGTTGTTTTACTAATGACTTGTAGAAGTTCTTTATATGTTTTGAATGCAAATCCTTTATTGTTAATTGAAGTTAGAAATGTATTTTTCTACTCTGTGGATTACTTTTTAACTTGCTTAGTTTGTCTTATGATTAACTACTTTCTTGATTTTAATGTAATTGAATTTATCAACGCTTTTTTTATGACTCTTATATTTTAAGAAATTCCATGAGGTTATGAAGACATCTAAAATCTTTTATTTTTCTATATTTAAAAATTATCTTCTATATTGTTATATATTATCTTATAAAACACAGTTTTGCATTTCATAAATAGGTATCTAATACTCCTGGAATTAGCTTTTGGTGTGGTGTGAATTATGGGTTCTCATTTTTCAGACTGTGCATAAAGGTAGCTACTTTCCAAACATCATTTATTAAAAAGTCAAATCTTTCCCCCAATGATCTGCAGTGCTGCATTTGTTTTCCCTCCAGAAATGAAATGTCCATATATTCATAGTTTTCCTCCTGGGCTCTCATTTGTGTTCCACTGGACTACTTGTTTTTTCCTGGGATAATTCCAGTCTGTCATGTTTGCTATAGTCTTATGAGTATTCATATTTAGTGGAGCAATTTCTCCCAACTTCCTTTTCTTTCTCAAGAGTATCTTGGCTCTTTGAACATCTATTTAAATTTCAGAATCAGTTTGTTGAGTTACACACACTCATATACACACACACACACTACTTATTGTAATTTTGATTAGAATTTTGTTGAACCCATAAAACAATATGGAGTGAATTGATGGTTTTATAAAATTGAGCCTTTTAATTGATGAACACAACATCCTACCATGAGGCCACTAGCCTGCAAGAAGTCAAACACATAGGAAACCATGTGCAGGTACTTCCCACAGCAGTCCTTACTTTGAGTCCTCCCAGCCCAGCAGCCAGGTGTGTGAGTGAACAAATCCTCAGATGATTCCTGTTCCTCACTGGAGGGTGTTCATATTTAGTAGAGCACTCCCAGCCTTAAAGTCTTACCAGCTCTAGACATCATGAAGCAGTGACAAGCCATCCTCACTTTTCCTTTTCTGAAGTATTTACCATGGAATTCATTGTCAAAATAAAGTGATATCTGTTTTAAACCTCTCAGTTTGGTGGTTAGTTATGTAACAATAATAAATTGTAATAGAGAATTTTAAAATTTTTCTCTGCAAGGTTTTATAAATTTTCACTGTCTTATACATCTTTGTTAGGTTGATTCCTAATTATTTAAAAATGTTAGATCTTATTGTAGATAGAATTTATTAACATTCATTAACTGTGGAATATGTTGTTTTAGCTCATTTTCCAATAGCTTGTTAATTGACTTGATTTTTAAAATTTGATTTTGTACCCACCTACTTTGTTTTTCCTTTAATTAAAAAAGTCTTTGCACATATTTTTATTGTGTACATAAACTGTCACCTATAAATGTTGCCAATTTTGTTTCTTCCTGTTTAATACATGTAAAATATTGGAAATATATAGATTTTTGCATTATTGTTCTAGCTAGCACCTCCAATACAATGGCGATTAGAAGTGGTGATAGACAAAAACCTTGCCATGTCCTCTGATTTGAAAGGTCAATGTTTGTTGTAGGTTAAGAAAGTCATTTTTAGTTTACTAGAAGGTTTTATTAAATGTTTAAAAATTATTTAGTGCTTATTCTGCATGTATTGAGATGAGTGTATGTTTTCCATACATTTCTGAATTTGGTTTGCAAACATTTTATTTTGGCTTTTTGAATTTATGCTTATGATAGGCCTGTAATATTGCATTCTTGTTATGCCTTTGGTTTTCATATCAGTGTTGTACTAGCTTCATAGAATAAATAAAGAAATATTTTCTCTTTTTCTATTCTCTGAAAGAGTTTGTAAAAATAGAAGTGTCTTCTTTCAAAATTGGATAGAAATCATGTTTGAACTAATCTGGTCCTGGTGTTTTCTTTTGTGGGTAAAGATTTATGACTTTGAGTTCATTTTCTGTAATGGATAGAGGACAAGTGAGTATTTCTACTTCTTCTTAAATTACTGTGTCAATTTATATATTTGTAAAGGATGTTTTCTTGTCATTTATATTTTAGTTAGTCTATTTGCTATAGATTCTTTGAAATTTGTAGAGATTTGTTTTGTGGCCTAACACTTGTTTAATTTTTATAAATTGGCAAAAAGTTGTTCATAATATTCTTTTATTATCCTTTTAATCTGTGCTGCATACATGGTGTTATAATCATTTTTGTTTTTAATACTGTTCATTTGTGCTTTATTTTGTTCTTAATCTTGCAAGAAATGTATATTAACTATACAGTATTGAAAAATAAACTCAAATGTTTAGTTCTGTTGATTTTCTCTAACTTGTCATTGTTTTGCATGTCACTAATTTCTGCTTTTATATTTATTCTCTTTCTTCTATTTGGAGGGGTTTATTCTGTTTTTATTTTTCTATCTTTTTAACTTGAATGCATAGGTCAGTTACTTTCAAACTTCTATCTTTAATAAAAATATGTAATGCTTTAAATTTCTTTTAAAGTATTTGTAGATGCCACCGAGTTTTTTAAGAAGCATTTTTTCATTGAATCATTTTAAAATATTTTTTACTCTATATATTGTTTAGAAATGTTTTTCAATTTCCTAATACATGTGTAGTTTTAGTTTCTATTTTCTTCCTTATTTCTAACTTAATTGTATTGCCATAAACTATGATCTTCACACTATAGCATCTTTAAAAATTGTTGAGAATCATTGAGCCTACTACTTGCTTAATTTTCATTAATTTTCATCTTCTGTGTGCTTGAAAAGAGTGTGTATTCTCCAGTTGCTGGATGTCATGTTCTATATATTGTCTATTAGATTGAGGATATTATTTGTGTTGTTCAGGTATTGTATTGCCTTGTCACGTTACAATATGTTATCTACTTGATTTATCTATTATTGTTAAATCCCACTGTGACAGTGCCCTTATAAGTTTCTCCTTACAGAAAGCTTTTTACATTTTTAAACTATAAATCCATCACATTTTGGTGTACTTCAAAGTAGATTGTAAATATCAATGTGCTTCTTCCTGAACACCCCACTCTGACTATTTTTAAGATATTTAGCATTACGAAGTTTCTAGATGTATAAAAGTTTGAATTTTTTATAACTCTCTGGCGAACTAAATCTTTTTTTTTAAATTATACTTTAAGTTCTGGGGTACACGTGCAGAAAGTACAGTTTTGTTACATAGATATACAGGTGCCATGGTGGTTTGCTGCATCCATCAACCCACCCTCTACATTAGGTATTTCTTCTAATACTATCCCTCTTCTAGGCCCACACCCCCCGACAGGCCCCGGTGTGTAATGTTTCCCTCCCTGTGTCCATGTGTTCTCATTTTCAACTCCCACTTATGAGTGAGAACATGCGGTGTTTGGTCATCTGTTCTTGTGTTAGTTTGCTGATAATGATGGTTTCCAGCTTTATCCATGTTCCTGCAAAGGACATGAACTCATGCTTTTTAACGGCTGCGTAGTATTCCATGGTGTATATGTGCCACATTTTCTTTATCCAGTCTATCATTGACAGGCATTTGGGTTGGTTCCAAGTCTTTGCCATTGTGAATAGTGCTGCAGTAAACATATGTGTGCGTGTATCTTTATAGTAGAATGATTTATAATCCTTTGGGTATATACCCAGTAATAGGATTGCTGGGTCAAATAGTATTTCTGGTTCTAGATCCTTGAGGAATCACCACACTGTCTTCCACAATGGTTGAACTAATTTACACTCCCACCAACAGTGTGAAAGTGTTCCTATTTCTCCACATCCTCCCCAGCATCTATTGTTTCCTGACTTTTTAATGATCACCTTTCTAACTGGCGTGAGATGGTATCTCACTGTGGTTTTGATTTGCATTTCTCTAATTACCAGTGATGATGAGCTTTTTTACACGTTTGTTGGCTGCATAAATGTCTTCCTTTGAGAAGTGTCTGTTTATATCCTTCATCTTTCATCCACTTTTTGATAGAGTTGTTTGTTTTTTTCTTGTAAATTTGTTCAAGTTCTTTGTAAAGGGATTCTGGATATCAGCCCTTTGCCAGATGGATAGATTGCAAAACTTTTCTCCCATTCTGTAGGTTGCCTGTTCACTCTGATGGCAGTTTCTTTTGCTGTGCAGAAGCTCTGTAGTTTACTTAGATCCCATTTGTCAATTTTGGCTTTTGTTGCCATTGCTTTTGGTGTTTTCGTCATGAAGTCTTTGCCCATGCCTATGTCCTGAATGGTATAGCCTAGGTTTTCTTCTAGAGTTTTTATGGTTTTAGGTCTTACATTTAAGTTTTTAATCCATCTTGAGTTAATTTTTGTATAAAGTGTAAGAAAGGGGGCCGGGCACGGTGGCTCACGCGTGTAATCCCAGCACTTAGGGAGGCCGAGGCAGGTGGATCACAAAGTCAGGAGATCGAGACCATCCTGGCTAACATGGTGAAACCCTGTCTCTCCTAAAAATACAAAAAAAATTATCCAGGCATGGTGGCGGGCACCTGTAGTCCCAGCTACTCGGGGGCCTGAGGCAGGAGAATGGCATGAACCCAGGAGGCGGACCTTGCAGTGAGCCGAGATCACGCCACTGCACTCCAGCCTGGGCGACAGAGGAAGACTCCCTCTCAGAAAAAAAAAAAAAGAAGAAAGGGGTCCAGTTTCAGTTTTCTGCATATGGCTAGCCAGTTTTCCCAGCATCATTTATTAAATAGGGAATTCTTTCCCCACTGCTTGTTTTTGTCAGGTTTGTCAAAGATCAGATAGTTGTAGATGTGTGGTGTTATTTCTGAGGCCTCTGTTCTGTCCCATTGGTCTATATATCTGCTTTGGTACCAGTACCATGCTGTTTTGGTTACTGTACCCTTGTAGTATAGTTTGAAGTCAGGTAGCATGATGCCTCCAGCTTTGTTCTTTTGGCTTAGGATTATCTTGGCTATGTGGGCTCTTTTTTCGTTCCATATGAAATTTAAAGCAGCTTTTTCCAATTCTGCGAAGAAAGTCAATGGTAGCTTGATGGGGATAGCATTGAATCCATAAATTACTTTGGGCAGTATAGCCATTTTCACAATATTGATTCTTCCTAACCATGAGCATGAAATGTTCTTACATTTGTTTGCGTCCTCTTTTATTTCCTTGAGCAGTGGTTTGCAGTTCTCCTTGAAGAGGTCCCTTGCATCACTTGTAAGTTGGATTCCTAGGTATTTTATTCTCTTTTTAGGAATTTTGAATGAAAGTTCACTCATGATTTGGCTCTCTGTTTGTCTGTTATTGGTATATAGGAATGCTTGTGAATTTTGCACATTGATTTTGTATCCTGAGACTTTGCTGAAGTTGCTTATCAGCTTAAGGAGATTTTGGGCTGAGACCATGGGGTTTTCCAGATATACAATCATGTCATCTGCAAAGAGCGACAATTTGACTTCCTCTTTTCCTATTTCAATACTCTTTATTTCTTTCTCTTGCCTGGTTGCCCTTTTTCCTTCCACCATGATTGTGAGGCCTCCCCAGCCACATGGAACTGTGAGTCCATTAAACCTCTTTTTCTTTATAAATTACCTACTCTCTGGTATGCCTTTATCGGCAATGTGGAAACACACTATTACAGGTGGGTTTTATTCTACCTCACCTAAAGAAATTGCCTTCCTGGGATTTTGGCTTTTAAATTGGTGTCTATGATCTGAGGCTTGTCCTGCTTAGTGCATCAAAATTTGCAGGTATCTCCTGGGAAAATGCTGACTCCAGCATTTACTTATCCATGAGGATTTGTGCTTTCTCATTGTTTCTGATTTCTGAGGAATCTCTTCTTTCTGGCCAACTTCTTCATGCATTAATATTATGATTTTGAATTTTAACTAGCATTCTTATTTATGTAATACTTGAAGGCAGCATCAATGTTGCTAGAAAGTTAAGTCTATAATGTAGTTTGAAAACCAGAGCAAGTTACAGCAACCCGACATTAAATTATAATTTTAAGTGAAAATCACTCTGGATTTAATTTCTAGTTGGACTATTCTAGAGTACAGGAGGAAATAGTGTAGTTAAAAGGACGAGTGGAAAAAGAGTTAGAGGGCATGGAAGAGTTTTCATAATAAGTTATTTCCTATCTGCCAAACCAATGCAAAAGTTTCTATTTCCTCTCTCTGGACTTTTATATATATAATGAAATTAATTTGTTTCTTCTCAGATCTGTGAAGCTGTAATAAGGAAACACATACAAAAATTCTGTGTATGCGATTTGCTTATAGAAAGCCTTCAGTCAATGTGGGTGAAGGTCAATTCCTAATAAGACTTTGACAGATGCTACCCAGAGTTTGCCTAGAGACATGGTCAATTCCCCTATGCATGAAATAGTTCCAAAATGCAAACTTCTACTCAATCTAATAGAATGACAAAAGGCAATTCTAGGGAGAGAAAAAATCACTTTAAAGAAAAAATTCCAGTGAATGCCCTTTAAATACAGGCCTCAATGAATTCCCAACAAGTTCCAAGGGACATGAGCTCACAATAACTTAAAAGACTTCAAACTTGTTAGATTTTAGACATCGTTTTGATCCTTTTTATTCTTAACAAGGTTGCTCATTCAGAACAGTGGTAAATGTACAACACTTCCTTGGGTGGTACGATCAAGGATAAAATGCCCTAATTTACTGCCTGCATTCTATTTGATGTTTTACATGTGTAATTTTTTTTTTTTTTCACAGAGTGGATTTTAATTATTGAAAGGCAGGAGAACAACTTTGGGTCATTTAGGTAGACATATTGGGCATCTCTGGAGGCCATAGTGTCAGGCTAAGTGTAGGGGCTTCGACTTGGCTCAATCCGGGTAAGCTCAGATTATCTTTGACATTTACTGGGTGGGGACATTCTTGCCGCAGGAATGAACTGCTTTCCGGTTTATTTTAAACTGAGAACTCTCAATTCACTGTGATAGTTGGTTTGGCAGAGCTAGTTACCATTAAAAACTCCCCCCATCTTAAATGAAACTTAAAATGAGTTTGAGCCCAAGTGAAATAGGAAAACTTGATGAAGAAACCCCTGGGCACTGCTGCCTTGTGAGTCATAGCAGAGGAAAGACATCAAAGGTTTCTGTCATTGCTTGTCCCAAAGACCTTGACTGATGTGGGGAATGGACTCCAGTGGTCATCTGGTGGCACTCATGGCTTGCTCTCTGGCTCTTGAACTGCTTCTCATGTTACTTAACTAAGTTTCTTCTTCTTTAGAGAAGAAACTGCCTTCAGCATATGCACACCGTCAGACCCTTTCTAATCTGTACCACACATACTCATGTTAAAAAGGGCAATAAAGACAAAAGAATAAAGATAAAATGAGGTATTTTCATCAACGGGAAATTTCAAAGCAGAGAAAGAAAGGAGAGTAGTACAGCTCAAATGAAGACCTGGGTGAAGGCAAAGTTCATTGAAGAAACATATTATGGTTTCACTTGCACTGCTTTTTGCCTCCGGGCATGAATTAGTTAGCTGATAATGGACACTATGCAACAGTAGGCTCTTAAAAAAGGCTTGTTATCTAAAATACTTACATTATTAGATTGTTATAAGTATGCTTAGTTTCTGATAACAAAAATGAGACCCATAGAATATTTTCAATTACATCTATTGTTTGATTATGAAAATAACAATAATTATTCCTATGACTTGTTTGACTCTAATACTGGCAAGAAAAAGACACATGCTTAGATTATTATGTCACCTTTCCCCATCAAGTATACCTTTGTAGCAATGATTAAGAGCTGCATTCAATAACAGGCCCTGTAGCAAGCATTTTGGTCCTGTGAAATGGGATACCTTTATTTTTCCTGGAATATAATAAACAATTAATAAAGTTTAGGTCCCCATGAAAAATTGAATTTGATTCTAATCTCCAAATCAAGCATTAGTTTTTTTTTTTTAGTTGATCAAAATTAGATGTAATCTATGTAAAAATAAGGGAAAGGTTCTTTTGTTTTTTTTAGATGCCATTTACATCATTGGGCAATGGAGTCATGAATCCCCTGAAATATATAAAATTTCATATTTGAGAAGTAGAGAGAGAAAGAAATAGATGTTGCTTGTTGGTGGCATTTTATTTTTTCCTGAGGCAAAGGCCTTGCATCAAATTCTGAAAGAGGACCATGGTCCATTCACAAAGAGGTCAACAACTTCCCAAGGGTAAGGATACTTTTTCAAGTGAGCTATTTGATTATAAGTGTCTTTTTCTGCAGAAGGAAGCAGATTTTTTCATATTTCTGACACTGTCTTCTCTAATAACGTTTGTTCTCAAAAATCTAATGTTTGAGAAATTAAAATGTTAAAGTTTAAGAAAAAAGTGTTCAAAAATATTATTGTGGAGCTCCCCAGTATTTTCCAATATTCTGTATCTATTGCTTGTTTTCCTGAGACATTAATAACCAAGATATATGGATCTATTTGACTTGACATCTTAAGGCTTACATTTCTGTTGTTTGATTTTACTTTGTCACTTGCCAAGTGTTCACATTCATAGTTCTTCAACAGTATCTAAAATTATGAAATTCAATTATGAAGTGATTAGAACTTTGGGTTGCACGCAAATAATCCTTCCCATCCCTCCCTCCCTCCTTCCCTCCTTTCCTTCCTCCTTTCTTCCTCTCTCCCTTTCTTCTTCTCCTCTTGTTGTTGAATTCTTTTTACTCTTCCAGTACTCTAAAAATGAAAGTGTTTTGCAAATAATATTGTGCAATATTTAAAATAATAGTAACAACAATAATAATAAAGCTTGACTACCTAAGCACTTTCTCTATTTATTGCTTGTGATTTATTTCTATAAGAAATAGAGAAAAAGTCTCTTACCTCATTAAGTGGCAGAAAAAAAAAGCTGTCCTCATTAAACTAACATCTGATATAGTGTAGTTCTGACTTTCATTTCAAAGCATTAATAACTTGTCATTTGTAGAAATATTTTGAATAGTAGAGGCCCTTGATTGACTGCAGGGCCGTATTTCAATCACCAGCCTCTACTGACATCCTTGGTTCCAAGGGTGCGGCTGGAGGCTTTAGGAATGTCAGGAAAGTTCCAAGTCTGAATTACAACTCCGTTATTCAATCCAGAGCCACGCTTTGTTATTTATAGTACTTAGAAAAAGTGTACGGACTTTTCAAAAGAGGAAAACAATAAATCAAACTAACAAGATGACCAACTCCAATATTAAAATGTAAAACTCTATGATGTAGAGGTAGAAAGAGTAATGAACATGTGATGTAGGCTTATTAAAGGTGTGATGGCCAGGAGAGAGGTGGATTATGGGGAAATTAAATTAAGTATTTCATTGGAAAGCTATCAAGTTCTGTGGAAGTTGTTAAATGACCAGCTAATAGAGCCAGTCTGATTACCACAGTGACCTCACCCAAACAGCCCCTTTCTAAAACTCCTTCTAAAATTCCCTGAGTCTCACTGTTGTGACATACAATAACAATAGAATACAAACACTATTAATAGTTGCAGCATTGCTGTGAATGTTTTCTTGCAGTTATTGCTCTCCTGGGATGGGTAGTCATGACATTTGGGAAGGCCTGAGACAAAGGAATCATAAAGTGATGGTTTTCAGGAGTGATCAGCAAGTTATAAAGTTACCATTCAAAGATTATAATATGGGTTTGAGGACTGAGAAAAAAACATGCCTTCTGATGGCATTGATTGAGATAGTATACCAATTAAGATACTTACGAGCTAATATCAGAGGAGTCCAGATTATTGGCTCCCGTTCCTGTGTAACAGAATCAGTTGCTAAAACCAATTTCTTAGCTCACACCCTTCGACCTTTTTTGTGGTGTTTTTGCAATCCATTTACCTGATCCCTCTTTCCCCTCCCCCTCATCATCCCTTCAATACTTTAAGCCTCATTTCCTGTCTAGCAGTTAATAAAAGAAAAATGTCACTCCCATCACTCTCACCCAGGCCACCCTCCCTTTCCTTCAGATTTTAGGTCTTTGTCTTACAGTTAGTTTTTTCACCTTTGTTTGAAGTTTGTCAGCCTGTCAAAACTAGCCAGGTCAGAAATCTGCAAGCAGACACTCAAACATAATAATTGAGGTATCATTTGTTTAAATTCAGATCCTTGAGGTAGTATGAGTAGAACCACTATGAAATATGGAAAGGGAGACAAACTTGTTAAAAAAAATGAAACAAAAAATTGAAAGTAAACCAAAAACCCAAGTAGATGTGTTTTCCAAGTTTTTTTTCAGGGCATGTGAACCTCACCAGCACACGTTCAGTGGGACCATGCCTGGTCCATGTTAGCTGGACCCTGACCCTGGACTCTTTCTGTTCCTTCAGCCACTTGCATGGGGTCTAACCTGCTGCTCTGCACAATTTTACTCCAGAAATGTAGTTAAGTAAAATTTCAGGAACTATTTAATGTAGTTGCTTATAGAGAAGCAAATACCTTGAAGTTCATATACAGTAGTAGTTCAGTACTAGTTCATGTACTACTAAACAACTGAACCTTAAAAAATAATTTTAAAAAGTGTGTTATATAGGACTTGGTTTGCTACAGTTAATCAGTTAATTGTTTGAGAACTAATGTGATACAATACATTTTAAAAACATTTATATTGTTACTTAAACAGAGGATTTGATATTTTTACTGCCCTTGAGGGAAGAGATGATCCCAGGAGGGTAGAACTGAAGAGGGTCTTAGCTAGATATCTGTATTAGTTCTAGGGCTGCCATAACAAAATACCAGAAACTGGGTGAATTAAACAACAGAAATTAATTTTTCTTACAGTTCTAGAGGCCAGAAATTCAGGATGCTGGCAGGTTTAGTTTCTCCCGAGGCCTCTCTCCTTGGTTTACTGATGGCTATCTTCTCAACATGTCCTCACTTAGTCTTTTCTCTTATGTACGTCTATGTCCTAATTTCTTTTCTTTTTTTTTAGACGGAGTCTCACTCTATCACCCAGGCTGGAGTGCAATGCCGTAGTCTCGGCTCACTGCAACCTCTGCCTCCCAGGTTCAAACAATTCTCTCACCTCAGCCTCCCGAGTAGCTGGGATTACAGGCGGGTGCCACCACACCCGGCTAATTTTTGTATTTTTAGTAGAGACAGGGTTTCACTATGTTGGCCAGGCTGGTCTCGAACTCCTGACCTCGTGATCCGCCCACCTCGGCCTCCCAAAGTGCTGGGATTACAGGCGTGAGCCACTGCGTCCAGCCAATTTCTGCGTCTTACAAGGACACCAGAACTACATTTCTGGGGAAAATTTAGCAGAGCAGGTTAGACCCCATGCAAGTGGCTAAAGGAACAGAAAGAGTCCAGGGTGGGGGAGCCACAACTAACATGGACCAGGCCCAGTTAGGGCCCACCTGTATGTCCTTATATTACCTTAGTTACCTCTGATGTCTCTTCATGTGCCCAAATTTTCTCTTCTTGTAAGGACATCAGTCAGATTGAATTAGAGCCCACCCTAAGGGTCTCATTTTAATTTATTTACTTCTTTAAAGAACCTATCTCCAAATAGAGTCTCATTCTGAGGTACTGGGAATTAGGGCTTCAATATATAAATTTGGAGGTATGGCCACAATTGGGCCCATAACAGTATTATAGTATCTTTATTTTGGACAAGAAAAAACTTAAGACCCAAAGATATAAATTGTCCAAAGTCATACAGCTAATTATTAGCAAACCTGGCATTTGGATTAGAGTTCAGACTTTCCAAAGATTAGTGTCTACCTGGTCAATGTTTAAACGAAAACAAATAGAAGTATAAAAGAGAAGACAGTGATATGCCAGCATTTGGCAAATAATAGACATTCAATAAATGTTTGCGGAATCATTTACAAACTCTCTTTAATTGGAGATAGAGATTCATTACGGTTTTGGTGGCCTTTTAAATACGTGTGGAGATGATAAATGGATTGAGAAATGAACAGACATAGAATAGAGAGACAAAGAAAGAATTGGCCAAGAACTATGGATTAGGAATCAGTAAGTAGCAGAGTCCCAGGTCAACTGCTTTCTAAGGGTCTCTTTTGGTCTCCATTTTACTTCACAGCCCCTGTCCTGCAACAGACACCAGTTGGCAGGGAGAGCTGGGGTGAGTGCAAAGCATTGAGCTGCAGAGAAAGCAGGGTGAGTAAAGAGGCTCCTGCAGATAACTCCCCTTCCACCACCAGGCTCTAGTAGTTCTCCCAGTAACACAGATGCAGAGATTTTAGGTTTCCTCTAGCAGGAGGGGCAGCTCGATGAAGGCAGAGGCTAAGACTGGGCATTGACACAGACACTAGAATAGGGAGCCACTCATGAGTGAATGAACGGGATAAGTGAGTAAAAAAATAGTCATCAAACACTGAATCATGGCAGTTATCTAAGACTGAAGCCTAAAACAATTCCTCATAAAATCCCTGGCTTATACTCAGGGATGTGTCCTCAGACACAGAAATCAGAGAAGACAATGCATATACATTGCTCAGCACTGAACTGGAAAAACACTGAACAGGAATTACACTCACGCCTGTGTCCTACCCTTAAAACAACCTTTCTATGACCTACTCATTAGTTATCTCATGCATTAATTTAAACATTTATTGGACAACCTGTGTATGTGTGGACCATATTATTCATTTTAACTTTCTAAAATACAGTTTCCTCTTAGTAGGGATCGCATGAGGTCGATCACGCCATAACTAGGCACATCACAAACCTATTATGAAAATTCTAAACATCTTTCTAGAGGGCATAGGCTGAGCACCAATGTCCTTCTCCTTTCGGCTCTTCCATCCTCTACGACCTTTAGTCAGTTGTCCCTCTCTCTGTATCTCATATTTAAATTTTGCTCATTAGAAATAATAACCCTGTCTCTTTGCTAGTTCAGAAATTATTAAACATTGGAGGTTTTCTGGGAATGAATCTAAAAGAAAAGAATGTGAATTATAGAAATCGAAATAGTAATTATGATGATTATTATGCCATTCTTCTTTAAAAGTTAAGCCTTCTATACATCTGATCCACTTCCCTTGCAATCTTTTTAAAGACTATCTTTCCTTTCCTTTCCTTGCCGTTGTATAACTCCTGTAGCGTTGTATATGTAAAACACTTTTAGTGTAAAACCATGCAAGAGTTACATCAGATTTTATAGATAAAATGGCAACTAAAGCTATTAAATAGAAGAACTGTAATTGGACTACCAAAGAACAAGAAATCTCTACTAAGAAACATATCAAGACATTATCAACAAGCCCAAACTGAGGTCTTTCCTGCTCTGTGTGTTATAATGTCGCTCCTCCCATCTCCTCAATCCTCTTCTCCACCTTTCCTCATCAGGGGGCACCTTTTGCTGCAGAAAGTGCAAGCCCAGAAGACACTAGAGCTTCCTTAGGCTCCCAAATAGTGCAGGTAACTATAATGCGACACACAAAGCCATTTTGGAAAGCAACTTGAGAGAAAAGTGAAGTTCTAACTTTCATACCTTTTAATGGCAGGAAATAATTTTTTTTACTTGATACTCAAATCCTCTCGGGCTATTTTTTCTTTTCTTTTCTTTCCTTTTTTTTTTTTTTTTTTTGAGACGGATTCTCACTCTGTCGCCCAGGCTGAAGCGCAGTGGAGCGATCTCCGCTCACTGCAACCTCCGCCTCCGGGGTTCAAGGGATTCTCCCGCCTCAGGCTTCCAAGTAGCTGGGATTAAAGGCGCCGCCACCACGCCCAGCTACTTTATTTAGTTTTTAATAGAGACCGGGTTTCGCCATGTTGGCCAGGCTGATCTTCTCCTGACCTCAGGTAATCTGCCCGCCTCGGCCTCCGAAAGTGCTGGGATTACAAGCGTGAGCCCCAGCCCCCTCTCAGGCTGTTTTCAAGCAAAGACGACATTATTTATGAGACGCTTTGTATGCAACATAGCAGATACCCTTTCTTCTCCTTAAAGAATGGGTGAGTCTAAAGTTGACAGGAGAGGAGATGTTGATTAATGTAGCAGGGAGTTGGGTGGGGAATTTGGGGAGGTGCACACATCAGTTTTGTTGAGAGCTAAGGAGTAGCCTTGCCTGCCCTCCCTATTCTCTTAAAATTGTCTGGAGCACGTTTGCACATACTCTCTAAATTTAAATTTCCCAAGACCCAATCATCCTCCCACCGACTGGATCTGCTGACTCTTACAGCATGTCATTTGAAGGGTAGTGACAGCCAGTCTGGAGGCCAGGTGATGTAAATAATGTATGTGTTTCCCACCTAGAGTTATTCCTCCCCTTTGAACTCCTTTGCATCTTTCCATTTCACACTCAATAACCCACCATCTTGAACTGCAGTCTGTTTCTTTGGCACGGTTCTTGTCTCTCCTACAAATTCCAAGCTCTTTGACATCAGGAGTAAAATATATAATTCTTGTCTACACCAAAAACATCAAGCCTACTGCTCAGTTAATTTGATTTAATTGTTTGATGAAAGAGAAGGGGCAAATAATTTGATAGACAAGTGAAGAGAGAAAGAAAAAACTTGGCAAGATTTCTAACATTTTAAAATGTGAATGTCCTCTTATGTTCTCATATTATATGAGAGTGGAATTGTTCACAAAAATCTTAGGTCATTCACAGGGACCATGAGGATCGCTCTAAATGCTGATTCTTCAGGAGAAGTCTGATCAAACAGGGTACTCCAATGTATACCACGACATGAAAAGGCTTGTATGACCGTGACTCCTGGAATTTCAAAGTCTTCAGGTGAGTGGACTTTACCCATCAGAAATTAAGAGCTAATTATGACCAACATTAATGGACTGAAGGGCAGTACCAGACATGGTGTCAAATGTTTGACATGCCACGTGCAATCTTCACGATGATTCTATATGGGAGGTCCTGGAATCCCCATTTCAAGGATGAGAAAATTGAGCTCCAGAGGGCTCAAGTAACTTGTGTGAGGTCACATGACTCATAAGTAGTGAACTTTACCTTTTTAACTCAGAGGCCTGAGACTTAACCAGCTGCAACAAGTATTGCTTCTTGAGCTAGGCTTGTTGTTTTGTTATTGTTGTTGCATCTTTTTCTAAGGTGCGATGTAGAAATGCAGTTAAAAGAATAAGAAAAAGGACAAAGACTGGCAGCATCCCTAGAAAATTACTTGGAAGGATCTAATAAGAAGTAAACATTTTTAAAAAGCCTTTTATTGATAAAATATAGTCATTTTTGTAGTGGAAGAATTAAAATAATTTGAGGGATAAATATAAGTAAGAAAAAAGGTTATGCTATTGAACAGTAAAGCCCTCTATTTCTCTTAAAATAACTCTTTTATAAAAAGATGTCAGAAAGGAATTTCTGAAGGGTTGGTTTTATTTCGCTTCTTCAAACATGAATAATGTTAGAATATTATATTCTGTGCATCTGTCATGTTCAACAATGTCTATGTGCACATTCTAAGATAGAACTGAGACAAAGGCAGTTATTCACAACAATATAAACAAAAATTTCTACTTACACTAGAAAGATCCATCTATGTTGAGAAATTACTTTGAAATAATTTCCCTTATTTTTAGTCACTTAGAGTACTGTTACTTTAGTACTATTACTATTAGACCTGCTTTTTCTTTTTGCAAAATTCTACTTGCAGACTCAGTTTGAGTCTGGAAAGTTATTAGAATTGCTTATGTCTGTATATATTTTTTTTACCTCCGGTTCAGGGAAAGACATGTTTTCTTACTATTGTTGTCTTAGTGTACCAAATTCACACATATCCTGTGTATTCAGTGGGGAAATTTAAAATTTTCTATAAAGGAGATTATACCCTCTGATGGAAGTCTTTTTGAATAGACTTTTGGAGCTATTTATTCTAGTTTTAACAATTATTAATAGGTATAAATGGAATGGAGTGGTAGAAAGATCACAAGCTTAAGAATCAGACCTACCTGAAGTGTAATCTCTGGCTCTGTCCTTAGGTAAACTCTGAGATTATGAGCCTTGATTTTCTCTGTATGATAAATAATTCCATGAATTTAAATGATATGGTATGTAAAGTACCTGGCTCTTGGTAAGCACTTAATACTTTTAGTTTCCTTTCTCTTTCTAACAAGCTTATTTCCCATTCAAAAGTAAAATTCTGGTGAACTATAAGGACACTTGGAAACAGAGTTCAAGACTGAGTGCTATTATTTAATATATTCATTGGTTACTCCTACTAATCTGAACCCACCGATATCCCTGTGAAATCCTGCCAGGGGACCTTTGGAGGATGGCATTAGTATGTTATTGACAGCTTAGGGAACTGGAAATAAGCCAACGGTCATAAATTGCAAAGCCTTTTACAATCCAAACATGATGGAAACGATATGCCATTTTGAAGGTGATTTGAAAAGCACATGGTTTGGAATTATTTTGATGGATTAAGTATTTTCCCCTGAATCATCTAGTTTAGAAGATTAAAACTTGATTATGAAATACCAACATGTTTTTAGATGTGGAAATAGTTGAGCATAAATCAAATACTCTAGGTTCATGAGAAAATAATCAAGAAAACAAGTGATGTGGCATTCCTTAAGGTCGGATATTGGAACTAAGAAACACTACGATAGTTTATTGTTCATAGAATAATATATTCTTGCACAATTGTTTCAGAATGCAGGCACTACTCAGAGTTGATTGGTGCTTGGCACTATACCAAAATAATGCCCATGAAGAGGGAAAGTTATAAGAATGTAATTTTTTTTCTCCCAGTACCTTATGTCTCCTTTACTTCAAATCCAGATAGAGGTGGTTTTGCAATTCTGTGGTCTAAAGGCATTCCAGGATAGAAGCACTGTGACAGAAAGAGTTGCATGATTGTCCAGAGCAGTGGGGCTTAACTTTTTGGGTCACAGACCCCATTAAACAGATTTAGTGGCAGTATTTAAGGTTAATGTAATAATATGGAGCCTCCCAACATGGCTAAAGGTGCCATTTAGGGTTCATAGCAGTTATAGCAGTCTCTGTGAGACTTGCAGTGTGATGAGAGAAATCCTAACTCTTGTCCCAAAGCAGTTCTTTCCCCTCTTCTCCTCAGCTGCTGCTTCTTATTTACTCTTAGTTTCCATAATTCTTTCTCATATTCAGGTTCAGCAGGGATGCTTTTTCCTTTCACTAAAAATAAGATGCTGCGGAAACTAGCCATCTTAACATCCTTCCCACCTCCATACTTTCCCTTCTTCCCTCCTCAAACTCAACTATCTATGCTCCAAACCCCAAGCCCTTCTGCTTCTTCTGAGACTTTGCTGTATCGCTGAGCTCCTCCATTTCTGTGACCTTTAACCTCTCCTTTTTTAGTGGCTATAGTCTATGCTTTAAATAAGCACTCTCATATCTGCCTCAAGTTACACTAAGGAAACTAGAAACAGGAAAGCCTTACACATACAAATTATGGAAGGTCCAGAGGGGGAAAGGGTGAGACCTCTGCCTGGACAGCCTGAATGACAACAGCAGAAGGAACAGATGGGTCTTCTGTTGCATGGATATGAGAGAAATATCCTGGCCACTGTCAAAAACCAGATCTGGCTTTGAGGGTACAGGCTAACGCTGGGGATGGAGTGAGCTAATGACCTAGGAAAAGTGTTGCGAACTAAGACTCAAAAAGAAGCCCTGGAAATTGGGGAGAATGAGCACAGGAGCACTGAATGACACTAAGGCCCTGCATGCCAGCCCAGGAGTAAAATAAAATATCTCGGGTTATGGTGAGGCAAATAGGTGGTATACATTGAAGTCACCAGGAACTCTCAGTGTTTCCAGGTTGTCCAATCATGGACAACTTAAGATATCTATACAATGTGACATTTCGATCCATAAGACTTTTAAATATGTCCTTGTAGTAAGAATGTTAATTCGGTATTTCAGGTGTTCCCAGGAGTACTGGGAAAGGATTAAACTAGGAGAAGGAGGAATTGAAAGGTAGAAAAGAAATGCACATGGTTTAGGTCTACCAATTATATTTCACACACTGATAACCAGAGGAAGTGAATATGACAAATATATTGATTGAGTGATGTTTGACAAGTAATTGGCTAAAAGGAAGATTCACACACTAACTGCAAAGTCCTGATTTACTTGTCTAAGAATTCTACCAAAAATCATGTACTCCAAAAGCTTTGAAGTAAGAGATGCTCCTTTGCTTATACATTGTTTTTATTAATTATTACCTGCCACTTAGTTGAGTAAGGGTGAAAACTTTCTTCTTCTTTAGTGGATGAAAAAAATTATTGGTCAAAGCAGTAAAGTAGTTTGATCAAGGAGGGTGCTATGCTTTAAATGTTTGTATCTCCACAAGACTCATATGTTAAAATCCCAATCCCCAAGGAGGTGGTATTAGGAGGTAGGGCCTTTGAGAGGTGATTATATCTTGAGAGTGGAACCCTCATGAATGGAATTGGTGCCCTTATAAAAGAGACCCCTGCAAGAGACCCCTCACTCTTTCCACCCTGTGAGGAAACAGCAAAAGGGCTCCACAGTGAATCAGGAAATTGGCCCTCATCAGACACCAAATGTGCTGATACCTTGATGTGGACTCCCCAGGCCCTAGAACTGTGAAAAATAAACTTCTCTTGCTTTTAAACCACCCAGTTTATGATATTTTGTTGTCTGGACAAACTAAGAGCGAGGGAAGAATAGAACTATCTCCCATTTACCTATCCAGAGTTCTACTCACTAGAGCCCAACCTCCCTATAGCCAAAGCATGTAATGCCATAATTTGCCAGTGTCTGGAGCACACGTGTCCATACAGGCTACAGTGCTCTCACCCGCTATGTGGCCAGGGAGAAAGCGTTAGCCCCACCAGGTCCTGCTGGCTATTGAAGACCTCTCTCCTTTTGCCTTTAAAGGACTACTTGGTGTTCTCTCTCTTAATAAGCTTCAATTAGATTTCGATTATGAAGGGCTTTTTAGAACAGTTTTATTGATGCTTTAACACCTTTTCTTAGCTGGAAGCTAGTTTAGGAACCAGTTTGAGAAGCTTGTAAATGGAAACTACAGGGAGTGGTCTTTTCCTAACGAATTCAAACTAAGTGACTTCCTAATGTTACATGGGTTTTTGTCATTTTCCTGGTAGACTTTTCTTCCTCGATGAATTTGAGCCCTGCTATCTTGTAGGATGGTAAACTATGAAAGAGTATGTAAAATAATTATTTTCACAGCCTTTTGAAAGCCTTCCAGCCCTGGGTAGTGTTCTGAGTATATAAGTGTTGCCCTGAAGCACTGTCAGAAGTCCAGCAGCCTTGAGGCCTGGGAGCACACTGGGACATGCAAAGTCCCCATCCCCAGGATAGCAGAGTCTGTAGGAGCTGGGTACTTCATCCTTCCATCTCAGGCCTGGAGGCCTGAGACTTAACTTTTTAATTAACTATTAATATCTATTTTAGAATAATTTTAGATTTATAGAAAAATTGCAAAGATAGTACAGAGTTCCCATATACTCCACACCAAGTTATCCCAATTATTAACATCTTTTGTTAGTATGTTACATTTGTTACAATTAGTGGTCCAATATTGATTAGTTATTATTATTATTAAATAAAGTCCACAGCTTATCCATATGTCCTTCGTTTTCCCCTAATGTCCCTTTTCTGCTCCAGAGCCCCATCCAGAATGCCACATTATGCTTAGTCATTTAGTTGCCATGTCTCCTTAGTCTCCTCTTGGTGGTGGCAGTTTCTCAGATTTTCCTTGCTTTTGATGACCTTGACAGTTTAG
Source organism: Homo sapiens (assembly GCF_000001405.40). Taxonomy (NCBI): domain Eukaryota; kingdom Metazoa; phylum Chordata; class Mammalia; order Primates; family Hominidae; genus Homo; species Homo sapiens. Next base: position 85,055,841 of record NC_000006.12, on the reverse strand, counting down.
GGGAGTGCTGGTCAAGTATTTTGCAGAATGTACCTCAGTTGGGATTTGCCTGATGCTGTTCTCATGATTAGAATGGGGTTTCAGATTTTTGGGAGGAAGACCACAGAGGTAAAGCAACATCATTATCATATGTAATCATATCATATCAAGTACATATTATCAACATGTTTATCAGTGTAAACATTAACCTTGATCTCCTGGCTAAGGTAGTGTTTGTCAGGCTTCTCCACTACTTTCTCCCTACCTTTTTATTTTATTCTTTTTGGAAGACAGTCACAATGTGCAGTCCATACTTGAGTGGGAAATTATGCCCCCTCTCTGAGGGCAGAGTATCTACACAGTTATTTGGAATTCTAGTGCATGAGATATCTGATTTGTTTCTTCTTTCCCAGTGATTTATTTATTCAGTCATTTATTTACATCAGTATAGATTCCTGGATGTTTATTTTCTACTTTGGGCTATAATTTAATACCTCTTTATTTTGTTGCTCAAATTCTTCTATCTTTGACCATTGGGAGCACTTTCAGTTGGTTCCTGTGCCCCTTAAACATACTCCCATTATTATAGGTTTTACAATTTGTTTTGAGCATTTGGTTGCTTTTCTAGCACTACAAGATACTCCAGACTCATTTGTATGTTTCTTGCCCCAGTCCTGGAATCAGCCATTTCTTCAAGAAGCGTGGTTCCTTTTACTGGGGAATCGTATTAGAAACTAAAATCTGGGTGCCGAGTATGCTCATGCTACTGGTGTGTCATTGGTGGTAGGCCCTGTCAGCTGAAGGAGCAAGGAAAGGTTTGATTTGATATGGTTTGGCTCTGTGTCCCCACCCAAATCTCACCTTGAATTGTAATCCCCATAATCCCCACATGTCAAAGGCTGGACTAGGTGGAGGTAACTGGATCATGGGGGTGGTTTCCCTCATGCTGTTCTTGTGATAGTGAAATCTCAAGGGATCTGATGATTTTATAAGCATCTGGCATTTCCCCTGCTTGCGCTCACTCCATCCTGCTGCCCTGTGAAGAAGGTGCCTGCTTCTCCTTTACCTTCCACCATAATTGTAAGTTTCCTGAGGCCTCCCCAGCAATGCAGAACCATGAATCAATTAAACCATTTGCCTTTATAAATTGCCCAGGCTTGGGTATGTCTTCATAGCAGTGTGAGAATGGACTAATACATGTGCGTATTATAACACATGCATGTAGATACAGCTATGGATATTTCTATAGGTAGTCATCTACATTTATATTAAGCTAAACATAAGTTTATAGTGATGTCTCTAACTCTAGAAACCTAATTTTTGCATATGGTTAGATCTTAATGGAGACTTAAGTTTTACATGTGATGGTGGATTGTCTGGTTTGTTCTGGAAAATTTTAGCATTCTCCCAGTTTTTACTTAGAGACTGGAGGGGCAACAGACAGCTAGTTGGGAGGAATGGTTAGAATTGTGGCAGCTCAATGGCAACATGAGAAACAGCAGTGGAAAACAGAAGCAGCCACATTTGGTAGAAATAGAAGCAATATCAACCAGAACAGTACCACTTTCCAGGGGCTGTTTAGTATAGGAGCAATAGTGTTCAAGTTATCTTAGCCACCTAGAGAGAAATGTCAAGAAAAAGAATCAGAACTGCCACAGATTTGAACAGCATAGTAGTCTGGGGGCCATTAGAGAAATGATAAACAATGCCTACAATTCAGCAGTCACTGCTATTCAAGATAGAGGTCCTGGTCACCAAAAGAAGGTGCAATGTGTTTACTGTGTTTATCACAGCTGCAGAGCATCTCATACATTTTAGAAAGGTTTCCACTAAAATAGTTAAAAACAGTTGTGGTGCTTTACGCATCATCAGCTTTAAGCATTATCTGCCTTAGAATCTACATTTGCTATAAACCCAGATATCAAATCCAAGGCCTCTCACTGAGATTTCTGGAAATCCAAATTTGGGCATGGTGGCTCATGCCTACAATCCCAGCACTTTGGGAGACAAAGGCGGGCAGATCACGAGGTCAAGAGATCAAGACCATTCTGGCCAACATGGTAAAACCCCGTCTTTACTAAAAATACAAAAATTAGCTGGGTATGGTGGCACGTGCCTGTAGTCCCAGCTACTCGGGAGGCTGAGGCAGGAGAATCGCTTGAACCAGGGAGGTGGAAGTTGCAGTGAGCAGAGATCGCTCCACTGCACTCTAGCCTGGCAACAGAGTGAGAGTCTGTCTCGGAAAAAAAAAAAAACAAAAAAAACACAAGCTGCTTAAAAGGTGATTTAAATTTAATGAATTTCTAGACAACTTTCTTTAAACTGAAGTCTTATCTAGCTAGGCTTTGTCTTGGCCTTGGCCCTTGGCCATCAGAACTCCCCATTAACTAGTCTCCCCATTCCCAGGGCTGAGAAGTTGGGCTTTTTTGGATGTTCACTTTTTTGAGATGTTGCTAATGAAGCCTGAGGCAGCTGCTCCCAGCTGGAGAGAAGGTCTGAACAACTGGGACCCCAAAAGATTTTTTCAGGGACCAGAGAAGTGTCTCTTCCACCTCAGCTACTTTACCCTCTGATCTGAATAGTCAGGTGTGGGAGCAGCAGTGCTGAGTACACAGAGAAGAGGTTCTCTGTTTTTGCCTCTCTTCCTCTCCTTTCCCCTTCCCCTCAGCTCACCCTCTCTCTCATTCATGCAACAAATACATATGACACCCTGATATTGTTTAGAGGTTTATCCTTTCCAAGTCTCATGTTGAAATGTGATTTGCAGTGTTGGAGGTGAGGCCTGGTGGAGGTGTGTGGGTCATGGGGATGGATTCCTCAGGAATGGCTTTGTGTCATCCCCATCCTTACAGTAATGAGTGAGATCCCCCTCTGTTAGTTCACAAGAGAGCTGGTTGTTTAAAATGGGTGCGGCACCCACTCCGCTTCCTTTTTCTCTCACCATGTGACATGCTTGTTCCCCCTTCCCCCTCTGTCATGAGTGGTAGCTTTCTGAGGACCTCACTAGATGCTGATGCTGACACCATGCTTCTTTTTTTTTTTTTTTTTTTTTTTTTGAGACGGAGTCTCGCTCTGTCGCCCAGGCCGGACTGTGGACTGCAGTGGCGCAGTCTCGGCTCACTGCAAGCTCCGCTTCCCGGGTTCACGCCATTCTCCTGCCTCAGCCTCCTGAGTAGCTGGGACTACAGGCGCCCGCCACCGCGCCCGGCTAATTTTTTGTATTTTTAGTAGAGACGGGGTTTCACCTTGTTAGCCAGGATGGTCTCGATCTCCTGACCTCATGATCCACCTGCCTCAGCCTCCCAAAGTGCTGGGATTACAGGCGTGAGCCACCGCGCCCGGCCGACACCATGCTTCTTTGTGCAGCCTTTATAACCATGAGTTAAATAAACCTCTTTTCATTATAAAAGGTATTCCTTTATAGCAGCAGCACAGATGGACTAGTACAGAAAAATTTGCTTTATACCTGGTTCAGTGCTGACCCTGGGTGCAGCACTGAACAAAGAGACATGGTCTGTGATATAGTAGAACCTTCACTCTATTTGGGAAAACAGACATCAAACAACTTATTTACTAAATTATACAATCACAGTCATGTTAGGTGCTCACAGAAATGGGATTTTATCTATTTGGTGAGGATGGGATGAGGTTTCTCTGTTTGGTTAAGATCTGAGGGATTCCTCTGCTCACTTAATGGTAGCTGATGTTTCTTGACCCTCTGTGTCAGGCCTGTGCTAAGCACTTTGCTTTTGTTATCCTACCTAATTATTATACCAATACCTAAGGATACCTATTGGCTATTCTTATTTTCATTTTGTAGATGAAGATCCTGAGATTTAAAAAGGCTAAATAACTTGCCCAAAGATACAGAGCTGTTAAGTGAGTGTGTCGTGACTTGCAACCAAGTCACGATACAAAGGCCATGCTGGTTGCCTCCTAGCACCTGCCTGCCTCTTTGTGAGGCTAGTCTCAGAGTGAAATGCAAGAAGGAGCAAGTGATCAAACAATTAGTAAAGGTAACCCTTTGACTGACAGTAAAGCCACCTGGTCGGCTCATTTTGCCAAGTGCCATTGAACAATGTTTAGTTACAATTATTAAAGATTATTTTATTTGAACCCCACAGGTAAGTGATGGTCTTTGCCTGTCTTTCAGGAATTTGACCAGAATAGTCTTACCTGCTCTGGCCCCTGGAAGTTGTTATGTCACGTGGAGTGTTCACTGCATATGCATGACAAAGCTTGTATGTTGGCTAATTCAGTTCCCTTAAGATCTTTTACTCCTCCTCTCAGTTCCCACTACCACTGCTTTTTTTTCCCCCCTGTCATTATCTCTTGCTTAGATCATTGCAATAGAATCGGAATTGGATTTTATACTAGTGTCTTTTCCATCTATTTTCTATCCGTGGCCTCTTCTTCTTAAAACCCCATGATGAATTTCCACTGCTGACATAAAAGAATTCAGCATGGCCTATCATGGCCTACTGAGACCTGCCCTTTCTCCCTCCTGGCCTTATTTCCCACCACACCTTTGTTCTTCCACTCCTCCATTACCTAGCCATCCTCAGGAGGACCCTATTGATTTCTCACCTCCAACCTTTTCCTGATGTCCTTTTGGCTTTACTGCTGCTATCTGACTGGTCCTCTGCTCACTCAGTGCACGGCTTAAGTACTTCCTGCTCTGTGAGAGTGTTCCTTGGAGCTCATCCTTTCCTCTGTGGGCTGTTGACTATGGACATACCTCTTTTTCTTCTCATCACACCACATTGTAACAGTCAGCAACTTTTTCTGTAAAGGGTCAGATAGCAAATATTTTTGGCATTGTAGGCCACAGGGTCTTTGATGCAACAACTTAGATCTGCATTTGTAATTTAAAAGCAGCCATAGACAATATGTAAGCAAATGACAGTGTCTATGAAATTTTTACATATAAAAACAGGCAGCATTCATAATTTAGCCCACAGGCTGCAGTTTGTCATCCCCTGTTATATTCCAGTCAATTATTTATTTGATTCTCTCCCTCACTAGACTGTGAGTTCCCTAAAATGGGAGGATTTGTCTTGATTATCTTTCTATTCTCAGCATCTAATCTGGGTCTGACACATAGAGTACTTAATAAATGCTGCACAGATTAATGTGTGAATGAATACACGAATTAAGTTGGGAATTAAACATTTAATGGTGTCAGCAAGTGAATCATGGCGAAAATAGAAACACATCAAATCTGCACAGGGCAGGATCCTTCTGTATATGTCAGGGAACTCAGAGAGGGCACCTTTGCTGTTATCTGGATCACTGGCTGGAAAGCTTTGCCACTTCCATTGTTAGGCTTCCAAAAAGTAAAAGGAAACTGCAGCCTTGAGCTGATGGAACCAGTTTTCCACAATCCAAGTATCTGTAAACCAATAATGTTAAAGCCCAGGAGGGTTTCTGAATGTGGGTTTTGCTTCATACTCACTCCTTTCCATAGAGGAATTCTTAGTCACTGGGTTTGCTCCAGGGAGTCTCAGGGTTTGGGGCTACAGCCACTCACTTTTACACAATTTAAGATTGGCAGCTTCTATACCCATGATTTGTTGATCAGGCCTTATTCCTTTAGTTCAAGGTACAGCAGGGTGACTAATTCCTGGTAGGAGAATTTATGGGCTTTCTAAGTAAAGTCCTCTGAAGAAGGAGAAGCTATCTAGATAATTCACTTATTTTGAGTCCCTCATTCTCTAACAAAGCTGTATAGGGGAGAAATTAGCGTGCTACCAGGGGAAAGCCAGTAACCACATATTAGGGCTTTAACATACTTTTTAAAGAAGAACTTTTCAATGTTACAGACATTTTATGGAACCAAGGCAATTAAATAATTATGTTGAGCAGCATTTTGGTATTGAATTTTGATTTGGTAGGAGAAAGGAAAACTGTGGGCTCACAGTACATTTAGAAATTTTTTCCCTTATGTAAAATGGAACAGAGGAACACAGGATAAACAGTTTGATTGGAAAAGGGAACAAATGACCTGTATTTAACTGAATTGCATTGATTTTCCTTTTTACTGAATACTTTCCTCTATTTTGTTCCACTTCTGTTTGCTTGTGCCAATTTCTTCCATAGAATTTTATACAATGAAAAAAGGAAAATAAAGAGCCATTTTGTCAGAATCCTAAAAACATAGTTTGATAAACCTGGCCCACAAATATTTTTCCCATACTGTTTCCAGTCCTAATATGTAGGTTTCCAACACTTCATATAGTTGAACACATCTACAAAAAAAGACAGCAGACATTCGGTCTTTCAGTTACAACAGATATTTGGTGCGTGCCTTCCTCCTTCCCCAGGTATCTTGCTATAAACTAATACAATGAGTGATACAATGATGACTAAAGCTTTCCTTCCTTTCAGAAGCCCACAGTTTGGTTGGGAACTGTTCCAGCCACCTATTGTTCAGTAAAGAACTACTCCAGACTTTGTGACATAAAATAACAATCACTTTATCTTGCTCTTAGATTCTGTGTTTCAGGGGTTTGGACAGAGCTCAGTGGAGTTGTCTTCTCTCTGTTTCACAAGTCTAGAGGCTCCACTAAGAAGACCCCAGTGGGCTTGGAGACATTTGAGTGGTTGGGGGCAGAATCATCTGGAGATTTTTTAACTCCCATGTCTGGTGCCTGGATTGGGATAATCAGCTGGGCTTGGCTGGGGCTGTTGACTCGAGCATATACATGTGACCACTCCATGCAGCTTCAGTTTCTTCTAGCATGGTGACGAGGTTCCAAACAGGAGTACCTGAGATGGAACGTCCAAGAGAACAAGGTAGAAGCCAAAAGAACTAAACTTGGAAGTCATGCAGTGCTACTTCTTCACTGTGGCCACTTCAAGTTCTAGGAGAAAGGAATTGGACTCCATTTCTTGAAGGTGGGATGGCAAGGACACACAGCAAAAGGGCATGTGGCATGGGAGGTGTTGGTGCAGTAATCTTTGGAAAATCCAATCTACCATAAGGAATTAGACCTGTGAACGTGTAACTATAATATATTCTGTTAAATATTTCAGTTATATATTACTGGGAAATAACCCATCCCACAGCCTGATCCCTTGAAACAACAATTATCACTTATTAGCTGGACAGTTCTTTGCCACATGGCATTGAATGGGGTTGTTCACATGGCTGTATTCAGCTAGAAACTTGGAATGCCCAAGATGGTGTCACTCATGTTTGGGAATGTCTAGGAGCTCCGTGGTTCTCCAAATGGTCTGTTGTCATATAGTAGCCTGTTCCCAAGCTTCTTTGTGAGGTGTCTGGCTTTTATTAAGGCTTCATAACTGACACAGGGTTACTTCCACTGGATTCCATTCAAGTCACAAGGCCAGCCAAGATTGAAGGAGTAGGAAATAAACTAGTGGAGTGGCATGTGCATATGGGGATGGGGACCATCATTGGTGGCCATCTTTGGAGACAATCTACCACATTAGAGGTATCATGAAAGTGCTCTGGGAACACAGATGAAGGATCAGACAGCTTTGCCAAATTACCTCTAAGAGTTTCTGTATTCAGTTGTGGGGAGATTCAGGTTGGGCATGATGGGTGGTGCGGTATCCAGGGAAGATATGACATTTGAACTCTTGAGTGTTCTAGGTAGACCAGATGTGGAAAGCATTATAGACAGAAGAAACTGCATGAGCAAAAATGGGGAGGCTGGAAAGTGCATGGGAAATAGAGGGAGATGAAGTAAGAAACACACACATATAATATATAGTAGGTAATATATACATATGATACATATGATATATCCATATATGAGTCATAGAATTGGGATAGAAAAGAATGCCATTAAATAAGCCTATGCTTAGGCATGTTTGTGAAGGTTTTCTTGGCGTCTTGCCAAGGTGTTTGAACTTCATTAAATTGGGAACATGAACTGAGAGGTTTTAAAAGACAGAATCATAAGAAGTAAAGTGGAAGGAGGAAAGGTTAGAGGTAGGTAGAACCATTATGATGGTGTTGTGACAGCTTAAATGAGTTCTAATGACAGTTCGTACCACAGATGAAATGAAGAGGAACCTCTTTGGGGCAAGATATAGAGAAAACACAAAACAATTTGTGCAGAGGAATGGGGCCAACAGGATCATTTTTATATATAATCGAAGGGCCACTGGAAGGGTAACCTGCCCAAATTCTCTTCCACATTTTGTCATTCTGGAATTTTGCCATTACAGTTTGCACATTTGTATTAAGACTTTCCCTGTTCCTTTAGTCCCCAAAGCAGACCCTACTGTTCATGACTTTATCAGAACTATTTCCTTGGAAAAAAAAAAAAAAACCCAAGTAGTGTGCAACCAACATGAAATTTTTAGAACCACTGCCTTCAAAGCACTGACATAGTAAAAGGCATATTGGAGTTAACTGGATACTAGAGGAGTTTCTTTGTGATATAAGGTCAAACTTCTTACTATTTAGAGGCATTTAGGTCAAACTTCTTACTATTTAGAGGCGTTTACAGTAGAAAAGACTACCCATTCATTCAGCCAATATTTATCTAGTGGCTTACCACATGCAAGGCATTATTCTAGGGGGTGGGATATAGCAGTGAATGAAATAGTCTTTGCTCCCATAGACCTTTTTTTTTTTCTTGCAGTAGATATTGATTTGCCAAACCCAGAGATGTCTTTAAAAATGGAGTTCATCTGGCTAACATGGCATAAGTGTAGTCCTCACCTAAGTGGGATATGTATGCATTATATGGCATCACAGACCATAGATTTTGCTGTACTTACCACTTATTAACGTGGACAATCACTTATTACTAACAAGGAGGCTGTTCCAAGAGATTGAGCACACAAGTGATAGTGAGTGACCTTCAAGAGAAGGAGAATGACATGCTCAATAGTTGGGACCCAAAGTGGTTGTTTTTTGTGCACCTATTCAAATTTTGATATTTGTAGAATATGTTCATTCTCATAGTACATTTGTTTCTATCCTGCTTGGTTTGTTTTTAACACCCATTAGTTTTCATGCCCTTTGCCACTGAAGTGGATCTCCAACAACTTCTCAGATGGGAAGCATTTTGGCTGTGAGGGAATGTGTTTCCAATTGCTGCCTCCTCTAATAACACCAGCAAGTGTATGGGAGAGGTTTAGGAGCCAAGTGCCACAGAGAATTATATCAACACTCATTCTGGGGTTGAATTTAGACAGGCACTTTAAGGACTCCAAGCCTTGCTGTTAACAAAACTTAGAAGGACTATATCAAAAGGTAAGTATCTCTCTGGATAAACCTGAATTTCATCTACAATATATTTTCTGTTATTTATCAGAATTCTATTAGTTTGCACTTGCATGTAATTATAGTAAAGTGATAATTCCTGCTAACTATGGTGACCATAAGGACCAGAAATAACTTGAAGAAGCCTTAACTGACTCATCAAAGAAAGGTCATGTTCTTTTTAGAGTACTCAGTATTAAGCCTATTTTGTTATGGTCTATATTGCTAATTCATGTGTGGATCATATATAACTCTTTATTAACCAAAGCACCTCTTTTCACAACCAGGCAAGATAATAATAATTTATAATAATTAAAAAAACTCAAATTCTTTTATTTATTTATTTTTTTGTTATACTTTAAGTTCTGGGGTACATGTGCAGAATGTGCAGTTTAGTTACATAGGTAAACACGTGCCATGGTGGTTTGCTGCACCCATCAACCTGTCACTCACATTAGGTATTTCTCCTAATGCTATCCCTCCCCTAGTCCCCCACCCCCTGACAGGCCCTGGTGTGTGATGTTTCCCTCCTTGTGTCCATGTGTTCTCATTGTTCAACTCCCATTTATGAGTGAGAACATGCGGTGTTTGGTTTTCTGTTTTTGTGTTAGTTTACTGAGAATGATGGTTTCCAGATTAATCCACATCCCTGCAAAGGACATGAACTCATCCTTTTTTATGGCTGCATAGTATTCCATGGTGTATATGTGCCACATTTTCTTTATCCTGTCTCTCATTGATGGACATTTGGGTTGGTTCCAAATCTTTGCTATTGTGAATAGTACCACAATAAATATATGTGTGCATGTGTCTTTATAGTAGAATGATTTATAATCCTTTGGGTATATACCCAGTAATGGGATTGCTGGATCAAATGGCATTTCTAGTTCTAGATCCTTGAGGAATCGCCAGTGTCTTCCACAATGGTTGAACTAATTTACACTCCCACCAATAGTGTAAAAGTGTTCCTATTTCTCCACATCCTTTCCAGCATCTGTTGTTTCCTGACTTTTTAGTGATCACCATTCTAACTGGCATGAGATGGTATCTCATTGTGGTTTTGATTTGCATTTCTCTAATGACCAGTGATGATGAGCATTTTTTCATATATTTGTTAGCTACATAAACGTCTTCTTTTGAGAAGTGTCTGTTCATATCCTTTGCCCACTTTTTGACAGAGTTGTTTTTTCATGTAAATTTGTTTAAGCCCTTTGTTAGACAGATAGATTGCAAAAATTTTCTCCCATTCTGTATGTTGCCTGTTCACTCTGAGGGTAGCTTCTTTTGCTGTGTAGAAGCTCTTTAGTTTAATTAGATCCCATTTGTCAATTTTGGCTTTTGTTGCCATTACTTTTGGTATTTTAGACATGAAGTATTTGCTCATGCCTATGTCGTGAATGGTATTGCCTAGGTTTTCTTTTAGGATTTTTATGGTTTTAGGTCCTACGTTTAAGTATATAATCCATCTTGAAAAACTCAAATTCTTTAACTTCCTTTTTTAGCCTGCTTGCATTTTGTTTGGCTGTGTTTTCGTTTGATCATCTATGCAACTCTCAATAATAAAAACTGTCCACAGTTTATCTAAAAATCACACAGCTGCTGTTTTCACATTTTTATTAATATGTATTAATATTTTCAAACTAATATTGCTTTTGGAATGAAAGTGTGTGTGTGTCATGTGCAAGCGCGCTGCACACACACACACACACACACGCACACACACTCTCCTAATTCTATCTGCATTTCTATCTCCTAATTTCTATCTGCATTTGATGGCAGATAGAAAAATGATCTAAGTAGCAGATACATGATATCATTTTTTCCCTTGGGTAGTTTACAATTTGGATTTAGGTTCAAAGAATTAAGTGTTTTAGCCTACGATGATTTCATGGATGCTAATTTCCTAGAACTTGTAATCTGCATCCTTAAGATATTTAGTAATTTCTAAATATAGAAATTACAGAGGACATTGTTGAGCCCATTCTGCTACAATAGAAAGGAGTTTGCTGCTTGCATATTTGGAACATTACTAGAGCCTTTGAAGCACTTAATAATTGCTTTAAACAGTTTGTTTTTCAACAAGAATACTTTGGAAGCAGTAGCAGCTGGAGTTTACTCTTTTTGGGCCTTTGCTGTAAATTCACTTTTGCTGACAGTTTTTGATGAAAAACACACCACACGTAATATTATATGCATGACTATTTAAAATGAGAATGTGAGGGTTATTATTTTTTAGCTGAGACTATCAAGGCAGTTTCTAACTATTGATTACTCAATCATCCAAATAAAAAATGAGGCAAGAATAGCAGAGATCAGACGTTGGCACAGCTTCCCATCTGTTGTGTCATGTTGTCTTTTCCTGTTCATTCATCCTAAAAATCTTGATTTAACACCTGTGATGTGCCAAACACCTTTTTGGGGATATGTCATTTAACAAGTAAAGATCTCCTTTCCTATGAACCTTACTTTCCAGTGAGAGGAGATGGGCAATATAAAATAAACATAAATTGTATGATACTCTAGAAGGGAATAGGTGCTATTTAGAGAGAGAAAAAGGAGAGCAGGATAAGGGGGATCCAGAGCTTCAGGACTGGTGGTGGAGATTTGCAGTTTTAAATAAGGTAGCCCTGTTAGGTCTTATTGAGAAGTTAGCATGTAAACAGACTTAATTGAACGGGTGAAGCACTAGTCATGCATAAATCTGGGAAAGGAATGTTCTACGCAGGGGAATAGCCAGGGTAAATGTCCTAAAGCAAGAGCATGCTTGGGATGTTGGAGGAGCAGCAAGGAGGCCACTGTGACTGGAGATAGTAGGCAATAGCAATAGCAGATAGGAGGTCACAGCAATAGCAGAAGTCAATCCTGGAGGATCTTCTGGACTTCTGGGCCATCAGAGATTTTTGGGTGCATGAGCAGGATGATCTGCCTCATATTTTAAAGGAACTCCTCTGGCTGCCTTGTCGAGTAGACTGTGGTGGGGTGTCTTCATTTCCCAGAACTGCTGTAACAAAGTACCATAAACTGGGTGGCTTAAAACAACAGAAATTTATTCTCTCACAGTTCTGGAGGCCAGAAGTCCAGAATCTGTTGGGAAACTGCATTCTTTCTGGCCAGCAGAGTCCCCCTTCAGTAAACCAAATTCACTAAGAAATTGTAAAAAGTCGACCCAAACATGCAGGGTTAAAGTTTGATTGAAACATAATACTTACATTTTTCATTGTTTTCTTCAGGAAAACATTTTCTGGCATTATGTAAATTTCTTTTACCAATTTCCCTTACTTTTAGTCCAGGGAGAAACTGCACTTGAATCTGTGATTTTTTTCTGGTTGCAGGCATGCCTAGTCTAAGTTTTTGACACCAGTAGTCTCTGGTGTCAATATATTATCTAGTCACTATGTAGTGGCCACTATTACTGGCATCTGGTTTGAAATCTTCAAACCAGATCTCAAGCATGAGGAAGCCTCATGGGATTGAAAATTGTTCCAGTTGTTTTTCACTTTTATTTGATATCTTAATTTTAGAATTGCTTTAGTATAAGATACTGATATAAAAATTATGGAATATTAGTTATTTACTCAGCAAATATTTCTAAGCAACTGATTTTCAAGATGGTAAGGACACACAATGAACAATGTGGACACAAAAAGTCCCTGTTCTTGCATAACCTTCATTCTAGTGGGTGGAGACAGAAAATTAACATAATGTGTAGTAAAATATATAGACTTTCAGTTGGTGGTTAGTACTACAGAAAAAAATAAGATAAGGCAGTAAAATGATGTGGGGAGTTTTGGGGGCTGGGGGAGTTTTAAATAGGGAGATCAGGAAAGACATTAAGGAGAGGTTACTGGAGCCAAGACTTAAGGAGGTAAGACAATCACATAAATATGACAGACAAGCATTTCAAGCAGCAGAACAGCAAGTGCAAAGGGCCTGAGACAGGAGATGGTCTGGCATGTTCAAAGAAGAGCAAAGAGATTGGGGAAGACAGCAAACAAGAGTAGGAGATGAGGTCAAAGAGGAAATGGAGACTTTCTGGCTATTGTGATAACTCTGGCTTCTTCTCATAGTGGGATAGGAAGGCATAAAAAGCAGAAAAGTGACACAATTGGACATACATCAAGCAATATCACTGACTACTCTGTTGTGAACAGACTTGAGAGGTCAAGAGAAAAAGTGGGGGAACCAATAAAGAGACTTTTGCAATAATCTAGATGAGAGATGATGGGAACTTGGGCCTGAGTGGTAGCAGAGGAGGAGGATCAGTAGGCAGATTCTGGATGTGTTTTGAAAGCAGAGTCAGCAGGATTTGTTGATGGGTTAGAGGTGGAGGATGAGAGGACGGACTTAACGATGAGCCTAAGGTTTGGGAGAAAAGAACAGAATTTTGATTGGAATACGATGGGTTTCAGATACATTCTAGTTATATGAAGATGGTGAGTAGGGAATTTGGAGTTCAGAGGAGAGGCTGGAACTACAGACATACGTTTGGGAGTTGTCTGTGTAGACAGCATTTAAAAGCACAAGATGGGATGAGATGATAGGGGGACAGGTATGAACAGAGAAGAGAAAGGAAGAGGCAGGGGCCAAGTTACCAAGTTTCCAATGTTAGGAGCTCGCTCATGGAGATAAAGAAGATAGGAAAAGGAAACTGACATGGGGCAGCCAGTGCAGTAGGAGAAGCACATTTCTTGAGTTGAGAATCTTTTTGTACAAAGTGTTCATGCTCCACTGTGTCTATTTATTACTGTTTATATGGATCTATTTTTATTTTTTAGATTAATGAGGCTGTTATCTTAATTAGAGCCCAGAGAAAGAGTAAATAAATACCAGGAGTAAATAAAAACCTCAACCTGAGGCTATAGATTAGATGTAAGACAAGCCCTTTTTAGAGTAAGAGTGTGGTATAAATGAGCATGCACTAGAGTGAGAGGCCCTGGACTCTGGTTTCAATGCCTCTAGATCCAACTGTGTGATCCTAAATGAGTCACTTCCCCTTTCTCAGCCTCAGTTTTTTCATTTGTCAAAAGAGGCATTTGAACCAAGCAATCTTTCAGATCCCCTCTGCTCTCATATTCTATGCAGCTTCCTCAATTTTATGAAAAGATTTTATCTCAGGTATGTTAAAGGACTGAGAAAACAGGATAAAGTCACTGACCACAGCTGATAGTGTAAAGGCCAGAGCCAAGTGAACAACCTATCACTGGAAGAACTGCTTGTCTCAGACAAAGAGTCAGAGTGAGTGTGAACAGTGGGAGATGATATAGTGGGCTGCAGAGAGATGGGTAACAGAAGGGCATGGTTTTCTATCTTTGTATGGGAATATCATTTGCATGTTTTAATGTAGTTTCCAGATCATTGATGTACAAAGTGGAGCTCTGTACGGAGCATTGTGGATTGCAATGGAACATTTGAACTCCACTTTCCCAGGAGCCAGATCAACACCTGGTTACTCCCACCTACACCTCCCCAAGTCAAGCAGCAGACACCGATATCTGAACAGGCGTGTTTCCAAAGGTCTGGCTTGTTCCCTACTGGGTCCCCAGTGTTTAGCACAATGCCAGGTACATCATAGCCACTCAGTACATAGTTGTTGAGTGAATGAATGTTGAATGGACTCCACAGCCTCACAGATTTGCAGGAAAAGGTTCATCAACTCAATATGACAGGTGAAGGATCCTCTCATGTTTCTGCACCTGTTGGACTGGGAATCCTCATTGTTCAAAAATTTGCTTAGCAGCCCTTGGGAAAGCCACATGGAGTGATGGAAAGAGCACGAAGCTGGAGTCTGGATCCCTGGATTCTAGAGCTGCTGCAGCTATCCCAGCATGTGTGACTTAGGGATTAGATGACATACATAGCCTCTACAGACCACAGTTTCTTCTGAGAAAACATTAGAGAGCAGTGCCAATTAATGTTTCATTAAGCTCTCAGATTCTCTATTTCTTCCCTGTACTTTGTGAATGAAATGGGCCTCACTGGAATTCAAAGGCAATTTTCCTTCTGATTACAAATATTCTATTTGGTCAAGTTGCTATCACCTTAGTAAAATGAAAATAAATTGTTTTGGATTTGAAATTTTTTGAAGATATGTAATGAGTCAAAATTTCTGTAATTTTTTTCTTTTTTAAGATGGAGTTTTGCTGTTGTTGCCCAGGCTGGAGGGCAGTGGTGTGATCTCGGCTCACCACTGTCTCCTGAGTTCAAGTGATTCTCCTGCCTCAGCCTCCCAAGTAGCTGGAATTACAGGCCTCTGCCACCATGCCTGTCTAATTTTTTGTATTTTTAGTAGAGACGGAGTTTCATCATGTTGGCCAGGCTGGCACTCCAACTCCTGACCTCAGGTGATCCACCTCAGCCTCCCAAAGTGCTGTGATTGTAGGCATGAGCCACCACACCCAGCCTCTATATGTAATTTATCTTCATAATATGTTGACTTCTGTGTTGCATATGAAATCTCATGCTTTTCACATAATTGCTGCTCCATGAAATACTTTCTCATTCTCCCAAACAGCGAAGGCTTCCAGAGTTCCAGCAGCCATCTAGGCCTTCTTGATGGCATGAATAGTCTACTTCACAGCTCTTTATATCCTTTTCTCACTTCCATTATGGATTCTTAGGCATTAAGGATCATTGGGTAATCTTCCAAAGATGTCTCCAGCACAGTCCTAATATTTGTTGAATTAAATTCCATAAGCAAATTACTTATGGTATACATTTACATTATAAGCTATTCAATACAGACTAGGAAAGATACATAAGGTAAAATTTTAAAGAAAAGAAGATTATAATTTGTGACCTAAGTTTTTAAAAATTGAGAATATTTAGATGAAGCAAGTAATTACATCGACCAACTTTTTATGCACTTGCAAGGAAATATGTCTAATGAAAATCAATAGAGAAGGCAGATAGATATTTAATTCTGAGAATGTGTGAGAAGAATTGTTTATAATAGAGAAAAACTGGAAGTAACTTAGCTGTCTAGTAAGTTAAATAAATAATAATTGCATAAGATGTAATACTGTGCAAACATTAATAATACTGCAAAAGTATTTTTATTTCTAAAGAAAGATATTTGACACTTTTATCTGATGAAAAGTAAGTGAGAACAAAAAATATGTATTGTATTTTATAGATCTGTTAAAACTGTGTTCAAATACACTCATTAACATAGACATATATCCCAATTTTCAACAGTGGAAATTATAGTAGTTTTCTTTCTCTTTTTGGGTTTCTTAACTTGCATTCTCTTATTTATTTATTTCTTTACAATTAACAATGTGTTTATTGCATGTAAAATATGTGTATTAAATCTATGATAGATAATTCTGTTCAATTAAAATGTATTAAAAATCAGAAACTGATCAGCCGGGCGCAGTGGCTCACGCCTGTAATTCCAGCACTTTGGGAGGCCGAGGGGGGCGGATCACGAGGTCAGGAGATCGACACCATCCTGGTTAGCACGGTGAAACCCCATCTCTACTAAAACTATAAAAAATTAGCCAAGTGTGGTGGCGGGCGCCTGTAGTCCCAGCTACTCAGGAGACTGAGGCAGGAGAATGGTGTGAACCCGGGAGGTGGAGCTTGCAGTGAGCCCGAGATAGTGCCACTGCATTCCAGCCTGGGCAACAGAGCAAGACTCCATCTCAAAAAAAAAAAATCAGAAACTGATCAATATCGTCCATTCTTAAGATTCCCCCCCAATATTTTATTTTTCTCTTAAGTTTTGCACATCAATACTTGACTGTACTTTTCTGTTCAGTCACAGAAATGAAGTTCACTGTTGCAGACTGTACATCTGAAGACTGATCCTGGGTCAGACACCACCTGCCTAACTGAACATTGGCAAGTAAGCTGGTTTCTCATGCTTGTAACCATATCTATAGAATATCAAGAACATTAGCATGTCCCAAGTAGGTGAACTTTAAGAAAAACAGGTTTTGGAAAATTTGGAGAAAATAATTTATAAGTAAAGCTTCCTACCAGTGACCCAACATTAGCTTGAGCAACATAAACATAAGCAAGAATGGTTGAAGTACCACAAACTATAAGCCTTTCTTATCTCATCAGCCACCCTGAAATACTGTGAGCAACACAAATTTATCTATTGCCGAAGTTGGGTGTGGAAAACCCATCTGCTGGGCTGGAAATCAAATAATTCACATTTTCTACCAGTCCCTGAAGCTAGACACAAACTTTTCTAGACAAAAAAAGGAGAAAGGTGGAGTGTGACCTTGGCATCTGCAGGAGGTCAGCGAATGAGCACATTCTTGTTGGCAGGTAGAGACTTTAGGATAAGGCTGAACAGGGGAAGACTGTGCCAGGGGCCACACTTTCCTACCCCTTTTCGTATAACTCCCTCTGTGCTTACCTACTTAGCTACACATTTTTCTCTCACTACATGGGAAGGTGGCAAAGGACTCCAGTTCCAGAAAGCTGAGGGTCATTCTAGAAGTCCCTCTTTCTCGCCCCAACATGCAACAGGCCCTGCAGCCCCGCTGATGAGGCTTCCATAAATTTCCCTCCTCTATTTCTTCTATCTTCACCATTCCTTGTCCAAACTAGCTTCTAATTCCTCTCCTGGGCATTCCAGACTTCCCTCTAACATCAGTTCTACGTGCCTACTTAGATGGTGTTTTTGCATGATGGTATTTGCTTATCCTTTTGTCAGAAGCTTCCTCTTGCCATGGTCTTTCATGTGCCTGTGTCTGTGTATATGCCACCCTGTGTTTACTTTGCAGCATACCCTATGATTAATGTAGACTTGCTTGCCCTAGCTCTAGACTCCAAGTTCCTTGAGAATGAGAACAGTTTCCTTCACCTTGGAATCCTCATCCAGGGCTGTGCAGTCCACGGACACCCTCACCGCTCCCGTGAACATTAGCCATCATTTTGCAGAACAGACATGAGCTCCAGGGTAAGATACTATGGATGGATGAGCATAAATTCCATAATTCCCACTTGAAAAATGAAAGACAGATCATAATTTTTACACATTCTCTTTTTATGGAACGTCCCACTCTATAAAATTAAAAGGCCAAGAATACATAAGGAAATTTGATCCTAGAGAATTAACAAAGGTGCAAAGAGAATCAATATTTAACAACTAGATAATATCCTAGCAGTCTGGGATTTAAAGGGAAAAAGGGTTCCAGTGAATTTGCATATGTGCGTGTAATTACACGTGTGTTTGTGCATGTGCATGTGTTTGTGTGCCTAAGTTGGATAGCTATAACGTGGTCTTTATAGATGTGTGCTGTCCTACATCCTCTCTTCTTCAAAAAAGAGTAAATCAATTTTCCTCCTTTGGGCACCTTTCAAATCTAGCTTCTAAACCTCATATAATCTACCAGATCTGGGTCAACTTTCTTTTTGTTTGAGTTCTTCACACCTGGGAGGGTTTTCATGACAAGGTCTTGCTGTAACCATCAGAGAGGGTGAGGCTGGAAGAGGTTTAACGAAACATGTGGCTTTAGTCACATTAACATCAACACCTTTGGGTACCCTAATCTGGCTTTCACCTTTAAAGCCAGCTGTTTCTGAGCTCTGTTGATTGAGCCCTGAGTAACAAGCTCCAGCAGCTGTATTAAAACTTGATAATATCCTGCCTCTACTTTTATCTTTATTTACAGGAATCACTAGGAGTATGACATGAACTTTTCTTTACCCAATGACATAAAAACATACCAGTTTCCCCTCACCAAGCCTTTCCCCCTCCTACCCAGCCACGACCCAAGACCATTTCCCTGCTTCCTCTTCTGGGAGGCAGGCTATGTGGCTTCCATTAGGGCACTGCTGTTCTCAGCCATGTGGCAATCTGGCCATTCAGTCCTTTTTTCCTGACTCCTTGAAAATTACTTGCTTATGAGAGGCAGTGTATTGCAGGTGTCTATTAGAGGTCAGTCAATTTGCTTTGAGGGGGCCAATTTCTTTTTTAGCAGCAGGATCTCATTTTAGGGCATACAACAGAAGCAAGATTTAGTCTATGCCTAGCTCATGTAAGGTGTAGCAGGGATTCAGAAAAAGTATTGCCAGGGGGTGTTTCATCAACTCAATAAAATACATTTTAGTGCCTAATATGTGCTTGATCTTCTTTTATTTTTATTTATTTATTTATTTATTTTTTGAGACGGAGTCTCGCTCTGTCTCCCAGGCCGGACTGCAGACTGCAGTGGCGCAATCTCGGCTCATTGGAAGCTCCGCTTCCCGGGTTCACGCCATTCTCCTGCCTCAGCCTCCCGAGTAGCTGGGACTACAGGTGCCCAGCCACCGCGCCCGGCTACTTTTTTGTATTTTTAGTAGAGACGGGGTTTCACCTTGTTAGCCAGGATGGTCTCGATCTCCTGACCTCATGATCCACCTGCCTCGGCCTCCCAAAGTGCTGGGATTACAGGCATGAGCCACCGCGCCCGGCCTTGATCTTCTTAAAACATTTTAGTGCCTGATATGTGCTTGTTGAGGTATAAGGTGTTACCCTTATACCTATAGATAATGGAGAATATATATAGAATAATGGAGAAGAAAGATAGAATCCACAAAGTGATTCAGAAAATCATTGAATATTGCACTGTCTATTATCATCTTTATCAGGGATGCTTGAACCTTAGTGTGCATGAGAATGACCTTGAGGGCTTTTTAAACCCAGATTGCTGATTCATCACTTCTGAATCCAGGCACACAGAACCACTGGTTTATATGTACCATAGAAGGTTAGAGAAGAAGCTTAGGGAAGGTTAGAGAAGAAGGTTCAACTACTAGCACAGGCACTAGTGGTTGAATAATTCAGGTAAGTGTGTGATTCTTCTGGTTTCTTTGAGTGTTGACCTAACTTCTTTAGATAGGGCCTGGTGCGTCTTTCATTTGCATCAGAGAGTACATGGGGGAGTTGGAAGTTCCACTGGTTTTGACAGAGGATTAGGATATTCAGATAGATCATAAGAAGGAAGAGAGGTTTTGTAGATCAGGGAAACCCTGGGAGCACAATCACCACCTGAATTGAGCAGGGCACATGTTGGGGGTCTCTGAGCAGACTCTGCCTGGTGTGGAAAGTGTAGTCTCTCCCTGGAATGCATACAGATTCCAGACAAAGGCCATGCTGCCTGGCACAGAATCAGAACAAAGAGATTCTTGGCTCATGGCTTCCCTAAATTCAGCTTTTTGGCCTACTAAGTACCAAGGCAAGTACAATTTCAAATGTCCTCTGAATGTCTGTTCACTGTTGAAGGCACTCAGCACCATCTACTCACAAGCATAAGTTTCATCTCTCTCCATCTTTTCAGTCATGTGGCCACTATAGTGACAAATATTGATCCCAAATTTGGATTAGTGGAAAAGCTTGAGACAGACAGCATCCAGGCAAATCAAACAAAGTTTACCTGACTTCTTAATCTTCTAAGATATAGAAGAAATTCAGTGTAGATGTGAAGCCCAAAGGCTTCTCAAACCTTCTCTCAGGAGGAATACATAGTTATGGATGATACATTCTGAGCAAATGAGAGTCATATTAGACTTGAAGAACTTCAATTCACCCCTAATCCAAGCCTTATATACAAATAGTGGTTCTGCATTAAGGCTAGTCCAGGTATGTCAGAGACCACCTCACCCAGGCCAGGTACATCGATACTGCAGTTTCACAGAATGCAGCAAGACCATGGAGTATAGTGTGGGATAGAGCACTTGAGCCTCAGCATACTCCTCATGTGCCACCCCCACCCACACCTCCCCAGGCCAACATAACCTTGTTCACAGTTTTCCCTGAAATTAGCCAGAGACCTAAAACTGATACCAATATCACTGGGACTCATGACCCCAGGCCCTCAGACCAGCTCTGGGGCCTACTATCTAGCTTTATTTTCTTTTATCCTTAATCTGACACATACCTAGTGATACTGTTTGGCTCTGTGTCCCTACCCAAATCTCATCTTGGACTGTAATCCCCATGTGTCAGGGAAAGGATATGGTAGGTGGTGATGAGATTATGAGGGCAGTTTTTCCCATGCCGTTCTCATGTTAGTGAGTGAGTTCTCATGAGATCTGATGGTTTTATAAGGGACTCTACCCCCTTCACTCTCTCTTGCCTGCTGTCATGTAAGACATGCCTAGTTCCCCTTCCACCATGATTGTAAGTTTCCTGAGACCTCCCCAGTCAGCAGAACTATGAGTCAATTAAATCTCTTTTCTTTATAAATTACCCCGTCTTGGGCAGTTCCTTGTAGCAGTGTGAGAAGGGACTAATACAGGAAATTGGTACCAGGAATGGGACATTGCTCTATAGATAGCCTGAAAATGTGGAAGCAGCTTTGGAACCAGTTAGTGGCCAGAGGTTGGAACAGTTTGGAGGGCTCAAAAGAAGACAGGAAAATGTTGGCAAGTTTAGAACTTCCTAGAGACTTGTTGAATGGTTTTGACCAAAATGCTGATAGTGATATGGACAATGAAGTCCAGGCTGAGGCGGTCTCAGATGGAGATGAAGAACTTATTAGGAACTGGAGCAGATGTCCCTCTTGCTATGCTTTAGCAAAGAGACTGGTGGCATTTTGCCTTTGCCCTAGAGATCTGTGGAACTTTGAACATGTGAGAGATGATTTAGGGTATCTGGTGGAAGAAATTTCTAAGCCGCAAAGTGTTCGAGAGGTGACAGAGAGTAAAAGCTTGGAAAAATTTCAGCTTGGCCATGTAGTATAAAAGAAAAACTCATTTTCTGGGGAGATAGTCAAGCTAGCCACAGAAATCTGCATACATAACAAAGAGTAACATATTAATTGCTGAGACAATGTGGAAAATGTCTTCAGGATATGTCAGAGATCTTTATACCAGCCTCTCCCATCACAGGCCTGGAGGCCTAGGAGGAAAAAATGGTTTCATGGGCCAGCCCAGGATCCTGTTGCTCTGTGCAGCCTCAAGACTTGATGCCCTGAGTCCCAGCTGCTCCAGCACCAGTCGTGGCTAAAAGGTGCCAAGGTACAGCTCAGACCATTGCTTCAGAGGATGCAAGCCCCAAGCCTTGGTGGCTTCCATGAGGTGTTTGGCCTGGGGGTACACAAAAGTCAAGAACTGAGGCTTGGAAACCCCCATCTAGATGTTGGAGGATGTATGGAAATGCTTGAATACCCAGGCAGAAGTCTGCTGCAGGCATGGAGCCCTCATGGAGAACCACTGCTAGGGCAGTGCAGAAGGGAAATATAGGGTTGGAGCCCCCACACAGAGTCCCCATTGTGATACTGCCTAGTGGAGCTGTGAGAAGAGGGCTACCATCCTCCAGACCCCAGAATGGTAGATCCACTGACAGCTTGCACCATGTGCCTGAAAAAGCCACAGACACTGATGACCAGCCATAAAAGTAGGTGTTGGGGGTGCTGTAAACTGCAAAGCCACAGAGGCAGAGATGCCCAAGGCCATGAGAGTTCATCCCTTGCATCAGCATGCCTTAGATGTGAGACATGGCATCAAAGGAGACCATTTCAGAGCTTTAAGATTTAATGACTGCCCTGCTGGATTTTGGACTTGCGTGGGGCCTGTGATCCTTTTGTTTTGGCCAATTTCTCCCATTTGGAATGTGAGCATTTATCCAATGCCTGTACCTCCACTCTATCTTGGAAGTAACTAACTTGTTTTTGATTTTACAGGCTCATAGGCAGAAGGGATTTGCCTTGTCTCATATGAGACTTTAGACTTGGGCTTTTGAGTTAATGCTGAAATGAGTTAATACTTTAGGGGACTGTTGGGAAGGCATGATTATGTTTTGAAATGTGAGGACATGAGATTTGGGAGGGCCAGGGGCAGAATGATATGGTTTGGCTGCATGTCGCCACCCAAATCTCATCTTGAACCATAATCCCCAAGTGTCGAGGAAGGGATCTGGTGGGAGGTAATTGGATTATGGGGGTAGTTTCCTCCATGCCATTCTCATGATAGTCAGTGAGTTTTCACAAAATCTGATGGTTTTATGAGGGGCTCTTCCCCCGTCTCTCTCTCTCTCTCTCTCTCTCTCTCTCACACTCTCTCTCTCTCACCTGCTGCCATGCAAGATGTGCCTGCTTCCCCTTCTGCCATGATTGTAAGTTTACGGAGGCCTCCCTAGCCATGTGGAATTGTGAATAAATCAAACCTCTTTTCTTTATAAATTACCCAGTCTCAGGCAGTTCTTTACGGAAGGTGAACATGGACTAATACACCTAGTAAGCCTTTAGGATGTGCCAGGCACTCACAAATAAAACTGAAATTTATCAGTCTAGTACAAAAGGCAAATGTGTAGACAGATAAGAGCAACAAATAGAAGCACAGACAAGTGAGTTCAGAGGTGGCCCAGAGAAATGCAAAATTAATCTTATTTGGGAGGAGGTATGGTCATGACGGTCTTCTGGAAGAGGAACTTCTAAGCCAGGTTTGGCAAAATAAGCAGAGATCTCACATGTTGGGCCTGGAGGTTGGACAGAATTACTGCAGGCCCAGGATGCTACATGGAAGAGTACAGGGCATGAAACGGGGAGTATGAAGAACTTCAGTCAGGGACATCATCAAAGCATCAGCTGTGAGTGTTAGGGGAGGAGGGGGCAGGGAGTGTTGGGAGACAGAACTAGCAGGGTGGGCCAAGTCCACCTTCATTCTCTTATAATTTGTTCTCAACAGGGCAGTCAGAGCTGTCCTGGTAAAATTGGTAAAATGGAAGTCAGATTCTATTCCTTTGCTAAAAACCCCCCACTCAGAGTTTTCTGTGAGGCCTTGCATGATCTACCCCATTTCCACCCTGCCCTCTTCTCTCTCTTCTCCCTCTCCTCCTCACTCAGGCCCCTCCAGGCATTCTGGCCACCTGCTTTTTCTCCAGCATGCTTGGGCATGCTCTGCCTCTAGGCTTCCAGACTTACTGTTCCTGCTGCCTGGACTGCCCCTCCCTCAGCTATCCTCATGAATCCCTGCATCACTTCCTTGAGTCTTTGCTCAGATGCCACCTTCTCAGTGAGACCCACCCTGCGTCCTCCTCCACTTAATAGTGCATCTCCCTCACAGCACTTTCTACCCATTTTCCTCATTCTATTTTTCTCCATAGCACTTGTGCTTTCTCAATATATTGCATAATTTATTTTGTTTACTATCTGTCTCTCCCACTAAAATATATTCTCCATTAGAACAGAAGTTTTGAATGTTTCATTTATTGCTGTGTCTCTAGCTCCTATAATAGTGCTTGACAAATATAAGACACTTATTACATATTTGTCTCATGGGTGGATATCTTATATGCTAAGTCACGGAGATTGGATGTTGTCTTGAAATCACAGAAAGCCATCAAACACTTTAAGCAGAGGAGGAACAAGAGGTATTTGCATATCAATGGATTACTCTGGAGGCTGTATGACATCTCTTAATGAAAGTGGAGGTAAGCCAAAGGCTTGGGAAAACAGGTTACTGCAACCATCTTGGATTTAAATAAGTGAAAGAAATCCTGGAGAATAGCAGTGACCATGGAGTAGAAAGAAAGGGTGGTCTAAAAGATGTGCCCAAAGTGGGAGTTGGAGAAAAGAGTCCAAGACAACCCCTACAGCCTGCAATCAAGAAAGGAAAATGCAAACAGCAAGTCAGAATAGGGGGTGATGGAAAGGAGTTCAATCTTTCAAGTCCTACATAAGTAATGGAATGGTCTCCATCATTAGATGTTGCTATGAGCATATACCAGGGCTTAAGTTTCTAATGGAAAGTTTCAATGAATCAAAGATTAAATTGAACATTAATTCATCAGTATATTCATCAGAAATGCAATTGTTCATCACTTCAGGGGCTGTGGTTTTAGAGATAAATGAGAAATGCTCGGTGCCTAATAGAACTAAATCTAGAGACAGGTATAAAACAAAGACAATATACACAACCCACCAAGTGTTATTGGAGAAGCATCAGTAAAGAACCAGGAGGGCAGAGAGGATCTGCAGTAGGTGTTCAGTGAATACTGTTTGAATGAATGACCAACTTGACAGGGGTTGGAAAGAAAGTAAGGGGCCTGAACAATAGGGAAATTTGTGATGGTGTGAGGGGTTGAGAAGATGAGGAGAGGAGATAGAGAAAGGAATTCCAGGCAGATAAAAGGACTCCAGCAAAGAGTTTTGTGTGACTGGAGTATATGACACGTAGGTAGGAAGGAAAGTGGTTGAATAGGTTAGGGCTGGTTTGGGAGGGCATTGCACTTCAGGGATTTGCACTGTGTTTTGCAGCCAGGTGTAATGGAAGCTTCTAGATCAGGGGAGTAACATGCTATTAATGTAGTTTGGAAGTGAATTTGGATGACAATACAGAGGACAGTTGCAGGGAGGAGAGACTGAAGGGAGGAGGGTGCAAGTTGGATAGTGATTGCAGTGGTCTAGTTGGAGACAATGGGTGCTAAATAGGAAATATGATGTAGAGGAGGAGACAGAAATGGTTCATCGGTGGAATGAAACAGTCTTACAGGCTAATTTGTTAGGGAGAAAGAGAAGCCAAGGATAAATCCATGTTTCTTGCTTAGGAAGCTGAGTGACAGTGATATTTTTAGCCAAGAGGATGAGCAGGTTTAGAGTTGGGGGGAAGCCAGTGTCTGAAACAAACTGTACTTCACTCCCCTGCACTTGGGATCAGAATGTACTAGTATTTTGTTTTTATTTTATTTTATTTTATTTTATTTTTTGTTTTTGAGACAGAGTCTTGCTCTGTTGCCCAGGCTGGAGTGCAGTGGTGCAATCTCGGCTCACTGCAAGCTCTGCCTCCTGGGTTCACACCATTCTCCTGCCTCAGCCTCCCGAGTAGCTGGGACTACAGGCGCCTGCCACCATGCCTGGCTAATTTTATGTATTTTTAGTAGAGATGGGGTTTCACTGTGTTAGCCAGGATGGTTTGATCTCTTGACCTTGTGATCTGCCTGCCTCGGCCTCCCAAAGTTCTGGGATTACAGGCATGAGCCACCATGCCCAGCCAGGATACACTAGTATTTTGGATCTGATCCCCTTTCCTGGGCAGGTCAGTTAGGAGGCTATCTGGCATTTGTGGCTTCAGCAGGTTTAGGGCTGATAGCAAGAGGGGCTTTAATCCATATAAATGAGTGTGATGAGATCAAGGGTGAGTGACATCAGTAATCAAGGGTCATGGATTGAGATGAAGTCTTTTAGTGGAACAGTAGCCTCAAGTGGGTGATTCAAATAATGGTGGCTCTGAGCTAGCAGCAGGAGGCAGAGACCAAAGCCAAGAGATGGGAGAGCCAAGGAAGCTGGAGTGAGGAAGTGTGGGTGGCACTGAGCAGGACAGACACTGCTCAGTGTTGAGCTCTTGGTGCTTACCAAGGTAGATGGCTGGACCTTAGGGGGGTCACATGAAGAGTGGACAATTGGAGCAGATCCCTTCAGCAAACCCATGTCTTCTTTCTTCTTCAAAGATCAAATTGGTGCTTGTTTATCTCACTTACTAAGTTTGCTTACCTTGTCCCTTTGCAATTCACATTGTAATCTGGACAGTTGCATACCAAGAATACACTTGTGGCTTCTTTCTGAACATGGAGGTTATAAGAAAGGAAGATGTTATGAGATGATGTTCATGTCAAATGCAGGAAATGATGTTCTCCACTTGGTCAATTTTCTTTATCACTTTGTGATCTGGGTGATGGGAATGGGAGAGCCATTGAATTTCCTTTCCATCTCACCGACTCTCACCCATACATCCATTTATTTACTCACTCATCAAATATTTGAGGGCCAGGCACTGAGCTGAGCTCTAGAGGTGTAGCAATGAGGAAGACAGAGGTTGTCCCGCCCTCAAGGGGCTTGCACAAAAGAGGGTTATGGCAGAGTGCTGTGGAGGAGAAGGGTAGGGGAGCAGGGTGACTGACATAGATGGGGCTCCAGAGACATCTTTTTGAAGGAAGCAACATTTAAACCAAGGACTGAAGGACAAGATAATGCTAGCCAGGCAAGGGCAGGTGATGCAGAAGGAAACAGTGGAGAGGGCTTGCTTCAGTGCATGAAGACCTAAAGGAAGAAAATGGTGGGCACATGTGAAGAACTGGAAACAGACAAGGAGGTGGAAGGGGTGTGAGGTAAGGCTGGAGAGGTGGCCATGGAACACACTGGTCTTGGCAAATGATAATAAGCATTTTGTTTGTTAGTGGCCACTGCCCCACAGGGAAGTAATAGGAACTGAAATCTTCCCTTGTGGGCTGTGATTGAGGGATTGTGACCTGTGTCCTCCCAGATATGTGGATCTGATGGAGGGTTCCCGGAGTGATATTCCTTTTTTCTTAGGGGCAGAGTCATCATGAATGTGAGGAGAGAAATGTCAGTTGGAAAGGATGGAGTCTTTTCTCTAATCCTTTTTAGTTAAATCTGAATCATTTTATTAGTTTCTGTATACTTTAAAGTAAACTTCACCAAGAACCACAAACCAAAGTTGATTGTCAACAACCATTTTATTTTCATGTTTTTAATAAAAATTTTATTTATGTCTTGTCTTTTGGCAAAGTAATGAATTGTTGTATAAAGACAAAGTAGCCATTGTTGAAGTTTGTGTAAAGTATTATCTAGGTCATTCTCAAGATTGAAACAATTGTCAATGAAGGAAAAGATGGCTCGGGGTACGTGGCAATGACATTAAGTATTACATCAGATAGAGTGGCTCAGTAGTGACCCTATGTTCTTTCCAGCTGACATATATTTCACGACTTGGATAAGTGAGTTGGCAGTCTTAGATATGCTTTAATTTTTTTTCTTTTGTCACTTTTATTATTTTCAAATTTATTTTCAAATTAACCACACATTCAACCACTTTGATGGAGTTGGGGGCATACCTCCAGAATAGTACGAACAAGAATCACATTGAGCCAGTTTTATTCATGTGTGCTGAGATCTGGTGACAACAGTGCTAGAGGGTCCTGGGCAGTACCATCACCCGCACCACATGAAAAATTTCTGAATTTTGTGAGAATTCCACATGTCTGTAAGGCTGTCCTACGTTGGCCACCTCCCAGAAGCCATCAGCAAAACACTGTGCTCCTCATAAATGGAAGGGGAGGTGGGGACGTGGGGAGGATGGGTTTAAAAGGTGCCAATCTCTAATGGAACTAAATAATAGAAACCTTAATACGTTAAACATGTGGAGGCAGTTATCAGTTTTCTGGTGTATCATCTGCCTGAACAACATACCATTGATTTTTCAGACATTTGACATTGAGTTCAGGTGTAAGTATACATTTCTCTCTCTCTCTCTTTCTCTCTCTCTCTCGGCAACAGAGAAGCTTCATGAGGGTCAAGCTCAAAATGATTTTAGAATATCTTAAACTTGGCATGTCTATTCCATGGTACCTTACTCTTTTAAATAACCATATCTTTATTCTGGTGTGTTTTTTTCCACTTATCCTTTTACTTGATACATCATCAATGCTTCTTGCTGTTATTTTTAAGTTTCGTAGTTAGGTGTTTTTGTATACTAAGTGGGTAGAAACTAACACCGCTAGTTCTACAAGTTATAAAAGGATGCCACTTTTAAGTGAATAAAGTCCAAAAAGATGCCCCCTTCCAGTAATAAAATTATGAAACGGGGCCTTTTTTCTTAGACATAAGGCAGAGCGTGGGCTGAATTTTAGTCCCCACTGGCCCCACTTGTTTTCTCAGCGGTGTCTTTGTACCATCTTTAGCCTTCTCATAATTCATTTAACTCAGGAAGTATTTATTAGGAAAGGCACTATGTTAATAACTGTGAGAAATGTAAAGATAGGTGGGTTTCAGTCCTCCCAGCAGAAGCTTCCAGTCTAATATTGAGAGTAAGACAAGCACATAGACAAACAACTGTCTTAATTCTTTCCATATAAGTGTGTGCATGCTTGTGTGTGTTTGTATGCATGTGTACAGGCATACCTTGGGAGATATTGTGAGTTCAGTTCCAGACCATTGCAATAAAGCAAGTATCTCATTAAAGTGAGTCACACAATTTTTTTCATTTCTCAGTGCATGTAAAAGTTATGTTCACATTATACGGTAGTCTAGTCAGTGTGCAACAGCATTATGTCTAAAAAATGTACATATCTTAATTTAAAAGTGCTTTATTGCTAAAAAATGCTAATGTTCATCTGAGCCTTCAGCAAGTTGTAATGTTTTTGCTGGTTGGGGGGCTTTCTGCTATGTTGAAGGCCTTGCTCTGAATAGGCTTTGGCTTAAGAGAATGTCGTGGCTGGTTTGATATTCTATTCTGACCACTAAAGCTTTCTCCATATTAGCAATATGGCTGCCTCACTTTCTTAACATTTGTGGCCTCACTGGAGTAACACTTTTAATTTCCTTCAAGAATTTTTCCTTTGCATTCACACCTTGGCTGTTTGGTGCTAGAGGCCTAGCTTTGGACCTGTCTAGGCTTTTGACATGCCTTCCTCTCTAAGCTTAATCATTTCTAGGTTTTGATTTAAAGTGAGTCATGCAACTCTTTCTTTCACTTGAACACTTAGAGGCCATTGTGGGGTTATTAATTGGCTAATTTCAATATTGTTGTGTCTCAGGGAATAGGGAGGGCTGAAGAGAGGGAGAGAGATGGGGGAATGGCTGGTCAGTGGGGCAGTCAAAACACACGTTTATTGACTAAGTTTGCCGTCTTTTATGGGCACAGTTTGTGGTGCCACCAAAATAATTATAATATTAGCATCAAAGATAGCTAATCACAGATCACCATGACAGATATAATAATGAAAAAGTTATGAAATATTGCAAGAATTACCATAATGTGACACAGATACATAAAGTGAGCACATGCTGTTGGACAGATGACACTGATGTACTTGCTTGACAGGGTTAACACAAACCTTCAAGTTGTAAAAACTGAAATATCTGTGAGGTATTAAAAAGTGAAATTCCGTAAAGCAAGGTGTGCCTGCATTCCACATCTCATCCTGAAGAGTACGAAGCTGCTCACAAGAAGAACCCCCAAAATAATATGATGGTAAGTTGGAATTAGGAAATTCCAAATTAAAAAAAATGTGATCATAAATAATAAGAAGGAAAACATGATGGTGACCATAGATTCTAAACTAGAGATTCAAAATGTGGGTTTCAAACTCTGAGTTTCCTGGCATCCAAAATGAAAAGTGAAGCACAGTGGAGGACATAATTCTCGACATAAAAAAATCAAGTCACACCGAATAATTTGTGTTAACCCTGTCAAGCAAGTACATCATTAATCATCATAGACCAGGCCATGCTAGCCCAAAATCTCAGTGGTCCATCACAACAAATGCTTGTTTCTTATCCCATAAATAGGCTGCAGGTCAAGCAGATCTCCAGGACAATGCACTGTAGTGACACGGGGGATCACGTCACCTCCACCCTATAAATTACCATTCCAACCCTAGGCCTCTGTGTTGCCTGTGGGAGGGGGAGAGAGTGACTAGATATGTCACTTCTGCTTAAAGCTCATTGGCCAGGACTATTCACACAATCATACGTAACTACAGGGGGCCAAAAGATGTAGTATTTGGTCACCTTACCACCTGTGCCACAGACACAGGTATGCACACCTTCTCCTAAAGCTGAATTCTCAAAGAACTCTTTTACATAGAACTTTATACAAGGCAGAATAACGGAGGAATAAACATTGTACTAGGTAAATTCAGAGAGAGATGCTCTGAATGAGTCCTCAGAAGCTCAGAACAAATTCATTTAGAGTGATTAGGGAAGACTTCATTGAAAGAAGCTGGACCTAAAGTGGGTTTTATTTTTATTTTATTTCAGTAGGTTTTTGGGGGACAGGTGGTGTTTGATGACAGGAATAAGTTCATTAGTGGTGATTTCTGAGATTTTGGTGCATCCATCACCCAAGCAGTGTACACTGTACCCAATGTGTAGTCTTTTATCCCTCACCCACCTCCCACTTTATCCAAGTCCCCAATCCAAGTCCACTGTATCATTCTTATGCCTTTGTGTCCTCATAGCTTAGCTCCCACTTATGAGTGACAACATACAATATTTGGTTTTCCATTCCTGAGTTACTTCACTTAGAATAATTGTCTCCAGGAAAAGTGTGTTTTAAAGGATGATGAGAAATTTGGAAGATATGGGGAGGTTGTGGGAAAAGGAGATCATACCTCTCGAGGCAATGGCAGAATGTACCCATTCTCTCCTGAGAACATCAAATGGTCTGGTTTGCCTGGTGCCCTCAGTGAAGCTTCAGGAAGTCAGGTGGGAATCATGGGTGGTGGCCACTTTGCAGAGGGTCGCGGGATTTGTGGCTGGCTCAGCAAGTATTTGGGAGCAGAAACTGCCTGCTGCTATCATTGCTAAATCTTCTACTTAGCGGAGCTGCTGAGGGGTGCTTTCCAAAAAGTCTTTAATCATGTTTTGAGTCTTTATAAAAACTCAGAAATCATACAGTTTTTCTTTTTCTTCTTTCTTCAGATACATGTCATAGCAGTAAGATATGTATCCTTAAATATTTCCTCAGAAAAAATTAATGGAGTGAATTAAAAGAGACTTTCTTTCAAGCTGTTCCAAATGAACTCATTTCACAGCCTTTATCATGCCTTCCTTGCCTTTTGGGAAATTTATTTAAGTTATTAAAAAAATTCCCTAAAATTCTCAGCTGAAAAATTGGCTTCTGTTTTTTCTACAAAGCTAACTCACCTGATTTGTCAGAACAGCTTGAAAATGAAGTGCTAACTGGTGGGTTTTATTGCAAGGAAACCAAGTGGAACAACATATGTATTTTCTTAGGAAACTCAAAAAACTCACAGTCATGTGGCGTTCCTTGGGGTGAATTCTTTGTTATGAATTACAACCTGCTTACTGATGAGTTGTTAATAAAAAGTAGGCCTGCTGGGCCATTATTTTTTTCCACACAGTACACACGGTTTAGTTTTCCTTCTTTCTTTCCTTCTTTTCTTTTTTTAAAAGTTTTCATTAATGCACTGAGTGTGAATAAATCTGTTTCTAATTTGTAATTGTTTTCCCTTCATCTAGACAATAATTTATAGCCAAATCTAACACTTGTCCATTATTAACATCCCCCCAACAGGAAAATGTTTTAATTTTTCTTTCCTTCTTTTTTTCTTTTTCTTTTCTTTTCTTTTTTTTTTTTTTTTTTTTTTTTTTTTTTGCCTTTCTTTCTCTCTGATTTTTTTTTTAACATGAAATGTGAGACCAAAAAATTGCAGGATGGCAGGATCTTGTTTGTGGAGGTGACATCCAACTTGGTGTTCGGGGGACACCTGAGGTGACCTAGGCGCCTGTGGGCCTGTCCACATTGCATGGACAGAAAGGCTGGTCAGCTGCAGTTGTTTGGAGCTGAGAAAATATGCTCAGGGAAAACTATTGAGGAAAACTAGAAACAGATGCTAACCTGAGATGGCAGGACAACTTTATTTAGCATGGCAATTTTAATTAATTTATTTATTTTACATGTGCATCTGGTCACACTGGGGAGTCTCTATGCATACTCATTATTATGCTGTTAACAGTGTATCTGATTTGCCAAGGAATATTAGCAATTAAGTTCACTATGTATTCAAGTACATTCATATTTTAGTGGGCCTTTGTGAGGCATGTTAGTGGTTAGGGTTTTATTTGGAAAGGGGATAGAAGCTGATGTTTGAAGTTCTAGTGGTGTGGAAAATGTGTGTCTACCAATTAAGGATTTAAGTGGTTCTACTCCTCTCACCTCCAGAACATGCTAAGTTGTCAATAAACAGCCAGTGGGATGCTAATACATTGCTGTGGATGTGTTCCTGATTTTAGGATTATTTGGGATTGTTGTATTGCTCCTTCATGAACACATGGATGACAGATCCATCTTTATTTTCATTGGAGGTATGAGTGTGGGTCTACAGATAGGTTTTGGATGCTTAATTTATTAGTTCATGCCCCTTTTTTTGTCAATGTCTCCATTGATACCTACAATTATTTTTTAAAAATCGTTTTACGGAAAAGATACAATTTGAGATGGAAGATATATTTTGCACAGAAAAACTCAATATATTTTATCTTTCTGCTTCTGATGAATATAATTTTTATCATTCTGAATTTTGTCTGGGTCTTAAATTTCTAAAACTTTGTGATTACCATGGTGATTTCCCATGAGTTGCCAGGGATCCTTCTTTGGGACAGGAGGATTCTTGCTTGAATCAGCAGCTAATTTTGCAGTATTGTCAAGCTTAGCTAATTTGGCTTGTCACCCGGAAATCCAAGTGGTCTTATTGCCCACCAGATTCAGCTTCTCCCACCAGTGGGGGCTCATTCCTATTTGTGCAAAGTACACATTGTATGCTCCAAATGCACTGGTTGTTCTGACACATGAATTGAATCCACATAGAAGCTGGCACTAGGGAATATTGCATTGGTGAGCAGTGCTACCAGTTATGTAGTTGCTCACCTAAAAGCCCTAAATTACCAAGGAAGTAATAAGAATTATATTGAAGTGTTTCCTAATATGAAAAATGTGTGTATGTAAACTACACTCTTTTAGCTATATGTTATGATCATGTGTTATGATCCCACACCTATCATCTAGATTGCCTGAGCCTCTCAGAAAATAAGGACACTGTACCATTAAAAATAGGTGCAGACACTGCTTTGATCTGAGCTTAAGGAATATGGGTTTCCATTGCAAAGCAGGATGTTTCCAAGTTTGAAGTATCACATGTGAGACTCTGTTTGCCTCTGCTGGTGCCATAGAAGACAGCACTGGCATCACTAAGCCAGTCCTGCTCATGGCAGCATCATGGGAGATGAGCACCAGCTAGCAGCCTCTTCAGCAGTAGAGTGTGAGATGAGAGAGCAGAGAGGAGAAATGGAAAGGATCTGGGAACTGTAAACCAAGGACATTGACACCATTGCCACAGAATTTCACGTTTTCCACCCTTGACATAAACATCTACAAAAAATCCCATAGATTTTCATTCAGTTAGTAACTGTCAATTCGGGACCCACTATCTGCCGAACCCTATTCAAGCTGATTTTTTTTTCACCTGGACATTACAGTTCTGCATAAACAAAAAACATATCATGATGATTATGACCGGAATGTCATAGCCATTACAGGGAGAATATGCTACGGCTAGTGCACTAAGACTCTGACTTATCTCTAAAGGCTGAAAAGAAAAGAGCATGGGCTTTGGAATCAGACTGACTGACTGTGTAATAATAAACAGGATACTTAATCTCTCTGAGCCTCATAGAGAACTCATCTGCAGATATTCTTGCCCCAGGTTTTGTGAGGATTAAACAAGATAATGAATATAAAGTACATATAAAGGGTAAGAATTTAAGCAAACAGGCAAGAAAATTGGTTTCCTTCCTCCCTTACTCTTCCATGGAAAATAATTGTTAAGGATTCAGGTTTAGATCATATTTCCTTCTGCTAACATATAGCCACATGTTGATGGATTCTTCAAGTCTCTGGTCCAGACAGCAGATGGATCAGGGAAGGACGTTTTCCTAGCTACCAAAGAACGTTGAAACCTGTTGGAATAAGAACACATGTCCTCTAAAGTCAGTGGGGTCCTAGTATTGAGACTAAATGAATCTGGCCTCTTTTGTTGTTGTTTACTTTAAGTTCTGGGGTACATGTGCAGAACATGCAGGTTTGTTACATAGGTATAGGTGTGCCATGGTGGTTTGCTGCACCTATTGACTCATCCTCTAGGTTCCCTCCTCTCATCCCCCAGCCACCAACAGGCCCCAGTGTGTATTGTTGCCATCCCTGTGTCCGTGTGTTCTCATTGTTCAACTCCCACTTGTGAGTGAGAATATGTGGTGTTTGGTTTTCTATTCCTGTGTTAGTTTGCTGAGGAAGATGGCTTCCAGCTTCATCCATGTCCCTACAAAGGACATGATCTCATGCCTTCTTATGCCTGCATAGTATTCCATGGTGTATATGTACCACATTTTCTTTAGTCTATCATTGATGGGCATTTGGGTTCGTTCCATACTATACTACAAGTCTACAGTAATCTCGCCTCTTTTTAAACACAAATTCACATGAAGAAATTGAGCAGCCAATTATTGCAGGAACATACAGATGGTTGTTAAACCTCACATCCCTTTTAAAGATGAAAACATATTACAGATTATAAAGGTGAAACAGAGAAAGATTGGTGGCAGCCATGAAGTCTGTTGATTAGAGATTCAAGTTCAAATGAGAGACTTTTACTTTGAGTGAAGGGGTGAACGGGTCTCATGTGCTATGTTTCCAGCTTACAAAGCAACTGTCTCCTGCAATTCCTTCCCTGGAAGCTTATTTAAATAGTCTCTGTTTTCTCACCACAGGCAACCTAGGTTGGAAAATCCTCCGTAGACACGATTTATATAAATAAGTTTAAAAAATCAGTGCATGTGTGTTTGTGTGTGTGTTAAACCACACTTAATTCTTTCCTTTTGTCCTGATTTTTAGGACTTAAGCCCGGAAACAATAAGAGCCTAGCACCTTACCATATGACCTCTTTTGTGTTTCCTTTTTTTTTTAACTTGTAAAAATGTCCTGATCCCTTGAGTCCAAAGCACTAACATGTCCCACACCTCCTGAAGGACTTTCTCCAGCCAGGCCTCTTGCTGGCTCATCAAGTCAGATTCTCCTAGAGAGTCCACTTGTTTGGCAGCATATATTAGCTGATATCTGGATCCTTTGTACCACCAGGGACTCTTTAAGTCCTGGAGTTCTTGTCGCAATAGTGGTTTCCCTCTCAATCTCTGTGCAATAGTGTGTGTGTGAGCATGTGTGTGTGTGTGTGTTTGTGTGAAAACTCAAGTTTTACTATCTCTCTCATCATCTCCAGAGGGAGTTCAGGCTTCCTGCTCTGTGTTTTTCACAAGTCTGGATATTTTCAGCCCCCACCATACGACTTTACATGTTCCTTGGTCTGGGTATCAGTTGTGGATCTGGGAACATAATGATGCATCGGAGGACATTTCTCAGATAAATGAAACTGATAAAACTCCCAGCATTTCCATCATGTTTTCACCAAGGGAAACTGCTGCCACTCTAGGTGTTCCTAGCTTCTTTGCCCTTTGGTTCTGAGGGGGATGAAGGATGGGATGTGGGTGAGGTGATGTAGAATCTCTCAATAGGGTTGGAAATATTGTTTTTCATTGTGGGGCCAGATAAATGACTCAATCTTTAGAGCTGGCAAACAAGCTGTGATTTTATTCTGGGCAAGGTTCTGAAGGTAACCAGGTTAAAAGTACAGTTTTCCCATTTATCGAGGAGGTCCAAGTCTACTGAGAAATCATTTCAGCCCTCTTCTATCCAGAAGACTGTTATTTTTTATTTTGTATTTGGAGCTGCTAATGCAAAGAACAGGAGGGCCAACACTCAATGCCCAGGAAGAGAGCTTCCTGGCTCAAAAAGAAGGGCAATGCGATAGGCTAAATAATGGTCCTCTAAGGATATGCTCTTCCTAATCCTGGGAACGTGTGAATATTTACCTTAAATGGTAAAGAGGACTTTTGCAGATGTGATTAAGTTAAGGATTTTGAGATGGAGAGATTCCCCTAAGTGATCTAGGTGGGCCCTAAGTGTAATCACAAGGATGATGATGGAAGCAGAGATTGGAATAATGCAGCCAGGAGGCAAAAAAGTGCCAGCAGCTTCTGGAAGAGGCAAAGAACAGAGTCTGTCCTAGAACCTCTTGTTCATCTCTGGCTGTGTATATTCTCTTGCAGTTTCTGATGGTTCAGCACAGTCCATATTACAGTAGCATTGCTTCTCAAGGCCATGAGTTTCATGTTGGAAATATCCCAAGATTATTCATGTTTTTGTTTTTTCCTTCATTGGGAGAAATTGACAGAGCATAGATTTTATAGAACCTATGTTCTCCCTTGAAGTTTACTTGTAAAAAGGAATTCACATTGGTTCACAGTTTCCTTCCCATAATGCCCAGAGAAGCACTCCATCCAAATATGGACTGCTGTCTGACTTAAATGCAGCCCAAGCTCACAAGGACTCTCTCACCACTTGCAGTTGCAGCCAGGCAGGAGAGGCACCTTCCATCCTACTGCCAAACTAGTAGCTCCCACGGGTCACTCTGAGACCGCAGAGGCAGAGTGGAGTTTGTCTGCTAGGTGCTGAAATGCTCACATTGGCAGCTGGTGGGTAGGTAAAGGTCTTCCCTCTCTTTGCTTGCTTTCATGACATCAACCTCATGCTCACCTGTGGTTCATGAACTGAGGAAATTGTGTTGCCATGCTCTAGGTGGTAAAGGAAAGGATTGAGGATAATTAGTATGGGAAAAGGTAAAACTAGTCTAGAAAATTCTTCAAAAGTAAAAGCCAACTTGAGCCAGGAAACAGGACCTGAATGAGGACTATTTTACAAGAAGGTTTAACCAAAACAGGAACTTGATTCCAAGACAATTCTTGTGAAAGGGATTTATTAGGAAGTGTTCCTAGGGAAAGTCCATAGGGGGATAAAGGGGAAAGCATGATTAGGAAAGGAAGAAGGCAAACAAAGGTGCAGGATTAAGGACAGTCTCTTGGAGAGAAATTGTATCAGTTATATATTTCTGTGTAACAAACTGCCCAAGCATAGTGGCTTAAGACAACAATAAATATTTATTATGCCTCTGAGTATACGTGGATTAATATTTCATGAGTGGCTTGACTGGGTATATCTCCCTGGAGGTCTCTCAAGTTGTTGCACTTGAGATGTCAGCTGGGGCTGCAGTCATTTGAAGGCTTATCTGGGGCAGGAGGATCCACCTCCAAGGTCACTCACTCACATGGATGGTAAGTTAGTGCTGGCTGTTGTCAGAAGACCTCATTCCTCTCCACATGGACCTCTCCCAGGACTGCTTGAGTGTCCTCATGATGTGGCTGCTGTTTTCTCCAGAATGTGTAGTCCAAGAGAGAGTGCCAGACAGAACCCATTCTTTATATGACCTAGCCTTGAAAGTCACATAGCATTGCTCCTCATCTTCTATTCTTTAAAAGTGAATCACCAAGTCTGGCCTACATATAAGGAGAAGAAAAATTAGCTTCCACCTTTTTAAGGGAGGAGCATCAAATAATTTGTGGACATATTTTAAAACCACTACAGTAAATTTTGCTCAGTCCTGCACGGAAGCTCTACAGACAACACAGTTTACCACTCAGAGTAGTTTCCATCAAGGGCAAGGGAGCTGGGGTATTTATACTTCACACCTGTTTGTCATTGATTAAGGATGTCTGCAGTGGAAGAGGCATAAATTCACATGCTCCCTGCCTTTCCAACCAAGTGGAAGCCTGAGAGCAGCCCTTCAACAAGTGACACAGTTGTTAGCTAATGAGAGTAATCACAAATTGGAAGGTGCTGAGAGAACAAACACACACACACAACATGCACACACACACTGCAGAGGGATCTGAGGAGACAAGAGGCAGAGCACTGACAGAGTCTGCTACAACCAAACAGCTGAGTATCTAATTCAGCATAATAAACAGAATCTTATTCGCTGAGTGGTTTCTCTATTGTTCATTTATTCTATTGTATTATTTTCAAGGAGTAATTCAGTAATGTGGCTCCTTGGCCTCCAGTTGAATGGTGTTTAGTGGAGAGGCTGTGCTTGAAGTTCTCCAAACTCCTTTAAAGGGATCATCAGGTTTCAGGGATTCTGCTCTACATTCTCCTTCATGTGCAATTTCATCTCTAAGCAGAATTCACTGTTGTCTCAGAGAGCCTGGGAGCAGATGTCTGAAAAATATATAATGAAATCAAATAACAAAATGGAACTAGGCAGATGCTTCCCTGGAAGAGCAGGGGAAGGAGATGGCTGGCCACCAAGGGTTACTAATAACACTTTTTACTTTGATGGTGTCTTGCATCTGGGCCTCGAAGAGCTGCATGGCCATTTAAATAATACAGTGAGTTATTTCCTTGGATAAAATCTTTAAATCCAATAGGTCTTTTGAAAATTTGGTGCTTTGAATGCTTTACTCTTTTTGGATTGTTCTCAAGGGAAAAATGATTTTGATTTATAAATTGTATGAAGGTTTTAAAAGTCAGTTATTTCTTAAAACAATAGATAGTGCTCTGTGTTTGCACTACTATGTGGAATTTATACTTTTTTTCATTTTCTGCTTCAAAGCTGTCTTCATGAAATTATTTCAGTAAGTGATAGGACATTTCTGTTCAGTAGAGAAGGCATATCTACAGATCCTGCCCAAATTTCTAATAACCATTGGTTTTAGCCGTTTAACTATCTGCCAGTTCTTTTTCATGAAACACCAAATGACCAATTGCAGAGGACTGTTTTGGTTTTTCTCTGCTGTGACGGAAAAGGGTCATAGAAATGTGGTGGCCCTGGCAACAAGGAGCACAGGGCACTTTTAAACTGATATTTGGCTGCGAATAGCTAAGGACTGAGTGTTTGAGCCGATATGACTTTGAGATACTTCTCCAGAGAAGTGAAGCATAGGAGAGAGACTCCACCTTCACGTGAAGCCAGAACCCAGTCTCCCACCCAAGGTGATTGATGTCTGCTCGCACCAGCCATGCCTCCACCGACGCTGACCTCCTGTCATGGTTTGGCTGCCTGTAAAGAAACAGGAGAAACAATGGAGAAGAGACTTGGGCTGCATCTCATTAACTTGTCACATCTCTTCCTGAGCAGTGAACCTCCAGAATGTGTTTTGCCTACCCTGTGGTCACTGATTGTTTCATCACTGAGTCCTGAACCAAAAAGGGCAGCAGGATAACACAGCCCAGATCCAGAAAAAAAAAAAAAAAAAAAAAAAAAGAGTTCTGATGCCAGGACTGAAACCACAGCAAAGGCTGTGTCCCCAAGAGACCAGAGATTCACCTGCTGTCCTCTGCAGTCGCCTGCCTTGCTTTTCTCCAACTCAGCATGAGGAGTGTTGCTCTGCCTTACAGGCCTACAGAGTGGCCTCACAAGGAATGTGTTTGCAGCTGTCAGGAAGCTGGTCGCGGCTGCATTACAGGTACTCTACACTGGACAGTCTTTTCTGGCTCATGTTTGCTGTTTCTTTTTCTTTTTTTAAAATTGGGAAGCAGGAAGTTTTCCTTTCCTCACAGTCCCCAAGCAGTCAGAATTACCAACTCTGTCCACCAGGCGGAAGCACGGACAGCACAGCCGCCGGGCTCTTCAGCAAGCTGCCTGGAGGAAACGCAACAGCGACTTTCAGGTCATTCCCCACCCCTTCAAGTATCCATTCTGTCTCTCCTTTTTCTTCGACAAAAGACGATTAAGAGGACGTGCTTTTGCAGATTGTTTCAGTAGTGGGCTGGCTTCCTCCCAAATGGTCACTTCTTTACACAAGAAATAAGATCTGTGGAATGCCAATTAATTTTTTTTTAAGTGAGAAGGTATTTTCCACTCAAGTTTTATTATGGGATAATGAAGGAATTTGTAATTCCATTTGTAATCATGCCACTTTCCTTGAG
This sequence comes from Homo sapiens, assembly GCF_000001405.40. NCBI lineage: Eukaryota > Metazoa > Chordata > Mammalia > Primates > Hominidae > Homo > Homo sapiens. The sequence goes on along the minus strand of NC_000006.12, from coordinate 85,015,268 downwards.
AAGTCCATAGACTTCTCAAGTTTTTCTCTTGAGGAGGAATATCTGCTCACCCCTTAATAATCCCTTTGATTTAGAGGGTTCATCCCTTTTCCTTGGTAAGTCCAGATCCATTGGGTTCCACAACATTTTGCCAAGCAGAATAGGGAGACGAAAGGAGGATGGATGACAGGGTCCTGGCCCTTGAAGGGTTGACTGTCTCCACAGGGAGTATTGAGGGATCAAAATAAATACAAAAGTTCATTTCGTTTATCTTGTGTAGCGTTCGTTCCAGTTTTCTGTCTCACTGCTTTGACATCCAGTTCCAGTGTGCTTCCAAGGAGCCGTGCGCATAATTTAATGTCAGCGAGTCAGATCTGCTGGGCAAGTTCTAAAAACCAAATGTAGTTGTTTCCTTCATTTATTCCTCGCAGCTGTGGTTCTCAGGTCCCTTTACTTTTCTCAATGTCTTCCACACTCCCAGCCCCTTGCCCTCCTGTTCAGCTGGGCAGTCGGGGCTGCCTGACCTCAGCTGTGTTCACCACCTTCCTTTCAACACTCACTTTGTCCTTAGCTTCCTACAATCATTGTCTGGAACCCTCCCCCACCCAGTGACCCAGTGACCTGAAACTGCCCTCACAGGAAAGATGTGGAAGTCCATCCTGAGCAAAGGCACTTGGCGCTCTCAGTTCTCACTCTACCCCTTGCCCTCATCCAGCCATCCAGAAATTGTCTCTTCCCATCTGGTTTCAGCAAATCTTCCATGAATTTTCCTGATTCTCCTCTTCTAGGTCTCTTTATGGTGCCCCGCTCTCATCGCTGAAAGGTAGACTCTTTCCAGTCTTAGAATCTCCCCCTGTGCCATCTCCCCTAGGACTCTGATCCACGTTCTATGATGCTTTTCATTCAGTCCATTTCAGCCTCCACCTTTTCAGCCCCATCCTAGCTGCCGAGATGCATTTCCATTTTAAATGTCTTCTGGGCATTTCCACATGACTGTCCCACATTCACTGTAAACCAGATACAAGTATATCTAACACCAAACTTGTTTCCTCCATGGGTCAGAAATAGTCAAAATTTCCTTGCTTGTACCTATTTTATTTTATTTTATTGTTATTATACTTTAAGTTTTAGGGTACATGTGCATAACGTGCAGGTTTGTTACATATGTATACATGTGCCATGTTGGTGTGCTGCACCCATTAACTCGTCATTTAGCATTAGGTATATCTCCTAATGCTATCCCTCGCCCCGCCCCCCACCCCATAACAGTCCCCGGTGTGTGCTTGTACCAATTTTAATATAATTTCTTTCATCAATTTGAAAACCGAGTGGTGTCTATGCCTTCTTAACCACACCCCCCTACCCACAAATACAATGGATTAACAATACCATTAACATCACCTTCCTAATCCGTCTTGGAATATGTCAGCTGTGGTATACTCGAAAGAGCCTCTCCCTTGAAATTGGGAGGATGAAGTTGGGACATCTTGCCAGTTATGAGAAATGGAGCAAGTAACTTTTGCAATTCTGTCCCAGTTTCATAGAACAATAAAATCATAGCTTCCAGAGATGCCTTGAAGATATGTTCATCTTTCTTCATTCATGAATAAAAAGAACGAGCCCACAAAGTAAGTTATCTGAAGTCTCTGAGCAGAGACTCAACACTAGATGTTAAACTACCAGCCAGTGATCTTTCTTCTGAACCAGTGGATCTTTAGGAAGTCCCCATTAAAACAGAAATATGGCTTAAGAAGGACCAACACAGGAAGTAATCACTGTTACCGAATACTGAGACCAGGTTTCTTCTACCTTCACCGCTTCCCCTTCCCCACAGAATGAAACAAAAGAAAGGCTTTTTTATATTTTTCTCAACTCATTTTAAGTTCTGGGGTACATGTGCAGGATGTGCAGGTTTGTTACATAGGTAAACGTGTGCCATGATGATTTGCTGCACAGATCATCCCATCACCTAAGCATTAAGCCCAGCATCCATTAGCTATTCTTCCTGATTCCCTCCCTCCCTTATCTGCCACCCACAACAGGCCCCAGTGTGTGTTGTTCCCCTCTCTATGTGCCCATGTATTCTCATTGTTCAGCTCCCACTTATAAGTGAGAACATACAGTGTTTGGTTTTCTGTTCCTGTGTTACTTTGCTGAGGATAATGCCCCACAGCTCCATCCATGTCTCTGCCAAGGACATAATCTCATTCCTTTTTGTGGCTGCATAGTATTCTATGGTGTATATGTACCACAGATAATTATATTATAAACATACTTGCACATGTATGTTCATTGCAGTACTATTCACAATAGCAAAGACATGGAATCAACCCAAATGTCCATCAGTGATAGACTGGATAAAGAAAGGAAGGCCAATTTTGAAGCAGTAAAGAAAAGCAGCAGAACCTAGGAAAGGCAGGCTGAGAGCCTGTGTTAGGATTATTGGCATCCTTTCAATCTTTTTTCCATAACAGAGTGCCTTGAATTTCCATTGGCAGAACATCACCTGCACCCCCACCACCATGGGTTGGGTAGACATAACCCAACCCTCACCCCCAGGGGCAAGCCTGATAAGCCTAATCCAATCTGCATATCTAATCCTCCAGGCCACTTATTGGCAGGTTGACTGGGGAGACACCTGATGTGGACAGTGTGTAAAGCAATGGGCTTTTCTCGGACTGCTGAGAACTGGATATGACCCTTGGAACTCCTGGTGTCCACCGTGTGCTCATGAAGGAAAATCTGCCCAACACTGAGCAAGTAGCAAGAAAGGAGGGCAGATAAGCAGAGGAGGAGAAATCACATCCTGATGAAATCATTTGAGTCCCTGGATGAATCCTGGCCTGAAACTAACCCTACCCTTAAAACAAACATTCTTAAAAAAGAAATAAAGTAAAGGTTTCCAGTACTTACAGCCTAAAGGTTTTTGGTTGATACAGTCTGGGAAGGGTAAGATGAAATATATATATGTCTCCTTTTATATATATATATGTATGTATTATATATTTGTATGTGTGTATATATATACACACATATATATAAAGAGAGAGTGAGAGACAGAGAGAGAGAGAGAGAAAGAGGCCCTAATCTTTTCCCACTGGTATGGTTTGGCTGCGCCCCCACCCAAATATCATCTTGAATTGCAGTTCCCATAATCCTCAAGTGTCGTGGGAGGGACCTCATTGGAGGTGATTAGATTATGGGGGTGGTTTCCCCCATGCTGCCGTTCTGGGTGATAGTGAGTAAGTTTTCACAAGATCTGATGGTTTTATAAGGGGCTTTTGCCTGCTTTGCTCTGCACTTCTCTCTCCTGTCGCCATGTGAAGGATGTGTTTGCTTCCCCTTCCACCGTGATTTTAAGTTTCCTGAAGCCACCCTAGCATGTGGAACTGTGAGTCAATTAAACCTCTTTCCTTTATAAATTACCCAGTCTTGGGAAATTCTTTATAGCAGCATGAGGACAAACTAATACATCCACCTAACTCAGCTGCTGGTCCATCTCCCTAGCCCAGGGTCTGGCCATGCTCCCGGACTGCTCTTAGAGATGAAATCCTTGAGAAGGAACTCCACCTGTCCTTGCAGTGACTGGGAAGAGAGAATGTAGTGTTCAGTTTGCCCATTTAGACATCTAGCAACCTATGATTCTCAAAGGACTTTATAGACTGTTGGAGAAAGCAGCTAGGGAAGAATGACAGTTAAATGGTGTAAATCATGGAAACATCACAGCTTGGCAATAAAAAAAAGGGCGGTTGTGCTCTGACCTGGGGTAATCAGGGAACCATTTTGGAGAAAGTGGGGTCAAAAGAAAGTTTTCCCACTGTGCAGAGAGGCATGTAAGGGAAGATGAGATAAATGAGATGAGGAATGAACTATGATACATAGACTCCACGTTTCAGAATTTAGAATGTATGCTTCATCTGAGACTAGAATGTTAAAATTTAAAAAACTTCCAAAACACATGCAAAAAGATAGCAAGGAGGGGATTGAGGCATGAGGTATGTCCTATCAGGGAGTTTCACCATTTGTGGCTTTTGGTGATGTAGGCAGATTTTTTGAGGGAGATATTAATGTAATAATTAATCTACTTTCTGTCTGATGGTCTTTCATAATAGCACTTTGAGAATGATACAGAAGTCTCCACTACATTTATAATATTCTGAAACTTGAACCACATACTGAATCAATTGCTGTGTGAAGTTGAGTGTGTACTCAGAGCAAGGGAGGGGCTGTTTGTGTCTCACTATGCTAATTTTGCTCTATAGAGGCTTCATCTCTTCCTTCTCTCTGGGATATAAAAAAAGTCTACCTTCTGCACATATAATTGTGCTTTGCATCCAACAGCCATTTGTTGTAGCCCTGTGATCGCCATTAGGGCTATTTGCCAGATATTTCTGGCTTCCAGGGACATGGGAGAATTACACTTTCTCTCTTCCTTTGAACCCAGGCATGGCCATGTGACCTGTTTTGGCTAATGAAATGCAAGTGGAAATAACGTAGTGAAAGCATTAAAATCCAGTATGCAGTTTGGATGCTTTTTTTTTTTTTTTCTTACCTCTAGCATAGTGACAGGCAATGGTCAGAATGGTGGCTGTTCTGTCAGTCTGAGTTCCTGAGCAATTCTGATGAGGAACCTGCTTCCCCATCTAACTCCAGTGGATGTGGTAGCCTAGCGAGAAATAAACCTTTGTTCTTATTACTATAACAGAACCTAATTCATGCTGACATAAAAACTAAAAATATTCCAGCAACTGTACTTGAAATTGGATCAGTAAGATATGTCCTTTAACCTTTAAGAACTCACCATTTTGAGAAATGATATGAAGAAAAGTTAGAAGGCAACTCTTAAAATATTAATGAAAAACTTCAAAATATTTTATAACTTACTTGTAATTTCTTCATCTCTGATATATTTTGTTAATATTTAATAATGTATAATGTATATATAGTCTTTTTTTTAGTTATAATATATTGAATAAACTTTTGGGGATGTTACTTTCATATTTAAGATTTTTAACAAATCCTTGCCACAGGTTTACATTAGTCTTCACTGTTAAAATGCATAGGCAATATCAAATTAAGTTCTCTTTTGGCAGCAGATTACAAAGAAACTCAACTCAAATTGGCTTAAGGCATAAGAAAGTTTAATATTTCACCTACATAGAAGCTGAGGCTCTAGGTTGACTGATTCAATAGGTCAGTGTTGTCATCAAGCACGGGCTTTCCCATATCTCCAAAATGCGCTTCTCAGTGTTGATTTCATTCTCAGGTGTGGCATAAGATGAGGGCAGCAGCTCCAGGGGCCACATCGAGGACAGTGCTCAGAGTTAGAAGATGGGTGGTTTCTTCTTGTGTCTCTTGCTTAGGGGAGAGATAACTTTCCCCAAAACTGCTCAGAAAACTTTTCCTCTTATGTTCAGAATTCAGTCATGACCATTTGCAATCCAATCATTGGCCTGGGATGGTAGTTGGTGGGTAGAATTATTATAGTTAACATAGACCACAGTGTCCTCTATGGCAGGGGTCCACAACCCCCGGGCCACAGACTGGTACCTGTCCATGGCCTGTTAGGCAGGAAGTAAGCCAAGGGCTAGCGAGCATTACTGTCTGAGCTCTGCCTCCTATCAGATCATCAGCAGCATTAGATTCTTTTAGCAGCAGGAACCCTATTCTGAGCTGTTATGCAGGGATCTAGGTTGTGTTCTCCTTATGAGAATCTAACTAATGCCTGATGATCTGAGGTAGAACAGTTTCATCCCCAAACTATCCCCACACCCTACCCTGCCACTCCCCACCCCTTCCATGGAAAAATTGTCTTCCACAAAACTAGTCCCTGGTGCCAAAAAGGTTAGGAACCACTGCCTTATGGACTAATCATAATTATATAACCAGTCGGTTGCTGTTGAATATTTAGGATGTTTCTTATTTTCACTAGTATAAATGATGCTGCTGGAAACAACTTGGTATATGTAATTTCTACTTCTTCACCCTTTTAAGATTCCCCAAAAATGGAACTGCTGGGTCAAAGGGACTGAATATTTTTATTATTTTCTCTATGTATTACTAAAATATACTTCAATTGGCTAAGAACTGTACCATTTTATAATATTACTAACCCTTATAAATAATATTGCTTTATCTTTAAAAAATGCTGTAGAGTAGTATCACATCATGGGTTTGACTTATACTTCTTTATGAGTGAGACTATGTTAGTCTGTTTCTGTATTGCTATAAGGAAATATCTGAGTCTGGGTAATTTATAAAGAAAAGAGGTTTAATTGGCTCACAGTTCTGCAGGCTGTACAGGAAGCATGATACTGGCCTCTGTTCAGCTTCTGGGGAGGCCTCAGGAAACCTTCAATCATGGCGAAGGTGAAGGTGAAGCCAGCTCCTCTTACATTGCTGGAACAGGAGAAAGAGAGAGAGCATGGGGAGGTGCTACACACTTTTAAATAACTAGATCTCGCGATGACTCACTCTCCCCATGACAACACCAAGGGGGATGGTGTTAAACCACGAGAAACCATCCCCATAGTCCAATCACCTCCCACCAGGCCCCACCTCCAACATTGGGGATTACAATTCAACATGAGATTTGGGTGGGGACACAGAGCCAAACCATATCAAAGACAGAAACTTTCTTTTTGTATTGTTTGTTTACCCCTATTTGAATTTGTTCCCTCATAAGGTAGTACACTCTGACACAATATTCGGAAATGTTGAAGTCTCAATCTCTCAAGAAAACTTGGCACTAATTCCATCTCTGACACTGCAATGTTGGAATTAGGAACTGACTCAACATAAAGTAAATGCAAATTATCCAGAGACTCCAATGATCCAGATGGAACCCATGGGAGGCCCTTAGCAGCGAAATGTCACAGAGGCTGTAGGCCAAATGAAAGGAATTACAGAACTTGGAACAGAGTCCTTGGAGAGCACTTAAGCACAAATTATTTTTATTACCACATGAAATGATTGAGTTAGGAGCATCAAAAAAATTAAAAATGATATTCACATTTAAAAACTTTCAGAAATGGCCCTATCTTCAACAGAATATTTCTAAAGAAAACAAAATGGGATATAGGACTATCCATACCTGAGTTTAACACAAGTTTTGATTTAATAGCGGAGTCATCAGTCTTAATTTAAGCAAAATAATCTTTGGCAGTAATTTTGTTCTGAATGACACAGTTGCGTTTTTCTCCAGTTTCCTCTTTCGCAAATACCTTGGTTAAACACTACTGTAGGCTTCAAAGATGTTTATGTTATTATTTACTATAGGGTTCCCTAGGAGACTCTGAGGGGGTCTATGAACTCCTTGACATTGATTGCAAAACTATGTGCATGTGCATTTTTCACAAGAGTGGCCTCATGGCTTTCATGAGAAGTGTTCACAGTTGTCTCTCCTGCAGTGTTGCCCATTTTTATTTTTCATTGTGGCTTCCCTTCACCTTTTCCCTACCCTCTAGTTTGCTTCCATTCAATGATTTTTCACTCAGTTTTCCTGAATAAACAAGGATTTGGCCCGGGCTGCTCTACTTAGGGTTTCATTTTTGCTAATTTACACACTTGCTGTGACTCCGTTCCCTTTATATGGGGTAGTCAGGTACTACGATTTTCTGGTTAATATGCTATACTGACTGTCTACTTTTTTAATGTGTTAAAACATATTTAAGTGTATTGGACATTATTTATTGATTCTCTGGTTCAGAAGTAATTTCAGGATCTTTTGTTGTTGCATGTTAACAGTGTGCTTTCTGGATTTTTCTTTGGGGTCTTTGCATTTGTAAAGTGCAGCAAAATTACAGAGGGCTTCCAGTTCCTCAAAGGAGTTAGACCTATCTTGTCTGTTCCTTGCCATTTCAGTTGCAAGAATCTGTCTTTAAAATTAAATAATTACATGCAAGCATTTTCCTTAGCCCTAAAAATACTCCATGTACATAGGATGCTCTTTTTGAGTTCAGGGACTATAGAAATTTTGATATTTGTTCCATTTTCAGAACCTCAGGGATATAGTTTTTCTCTATTCTAATAAAAAATCACAAGGAATACAATAAAATATAAAAGTATGTTATACACAAATACATTTAATACATTTAATGGTCTTTTGCTCGTATTTACTTTTTAATATTTAATTTCCTTTTCTTCTAATTCCTTTCCATTGTCATCTACTTCTCTCTTCTTTTCATTCCTTTGTCTCCTTTCTTCAAAACCCTCTTTCAACCCTCCTCTGATTAATCCTATAGAGCCTGTTTTAATGCCGTTTACTGCCACTGCACTGATTTAGGGTCCTTTTGGATGGGGCAATTAAAAGAGCTAAAAATTCTACTTAAAAATCCCTGTCCCTGGAGTCACCAGAGTGGCTCTGGTACAGGAGCTGAGAGGCAAGCTCTGCCTGGAAAGATGGATGGGTTCAAGTACATGGTCAGGAAGCTGTATGTTGGGCAAGTGTGGGGCTAAAGCAAAGACATTTGCATATAAATGACTTTTAATAAATTCTCCTGGCACAGTTTTCTATTTATAACTTATTTTGAAATCTGAGAGGAGTTAACATTTAGAGAAAGTAAACCTGAGTTGGGATTTTGGTAGGTAGAAGAGAAGTCAAACCCTGAAAAGTTTAAATGCCTAAGGACCAATGCATAAAGAATGAGAATGTGAGGAAAAGAATGAAATTCTAGCTTTCTCAACATGGTGAATGCAGGCAACAATGGGGAATTTCCTTCCAAGCAAGTCTGGATTAGACTGTGTTTACAGCTGTGAATGTAAACAAGGAAACCCAGCACAGTGCTCACAGCATGAGCAGGACATCATGTTTTTGTTACAGTGACTGAAAACTATGCATAAAAATTGGAAGATTATTTGGTATTTAAATACAAATGTGAACTTAGTTACAAACCTCTAAAGATGCATTTAATTTTACAATTCCTCTTAACTCTGAAATCTTGTAGCAGGTATCTGCTGTTTAACTAGTCATGCCTAATTTTTGACCTATCAGCCTCTATACTGACTTAATTAAGTAAATAGATATTTAGGTCAAACCAGAAAGATATCACAACATTGCTAAATGTTACATGCCCAAGGGGAGAGGGCTGATTTTGACAGCAGGGATTATAAAGGTTTTAAAGTAATTAAAACCTGACTTGCTTTACTTGATGTATGCCGTTTTCAAAATGTCTAATTGTTTGCACAATTTAAAATAAGGGGGAAAAACATGGTAACTTTACTGAGCCAAGAGGGAGTTGTTTGAAATGGTTCAAGTTATGTTTAGATTCATGGAGGGGCATTTGAAAGAGTTCTGGAGCTGCTGTAAAGGATATTTTTCCAGATGATTAAATGCAAATATCATTTTAAAATGCTTAAGAAAATGATTTAAGAATAAGCAGGAAATAAAAAAGATGGGGAGGAGAGCACAGAGGTGAAGGAGGGGATTGTTTGGGAGTGAATTTTTTTTCCTCTGTGACCTAGTCTTGATCTCCCCTCATCTGAAGAGTCTTTGTTCTGCTAAAAAGCACTGGCAGGAAGATGAGGGTGCTGAGGTGGCACTTGGGCCTGAGTGAGTGAATGCCTGGCCAAGAAGTACCCAGCGTGCACCCTCATCACTTTCCTCTCCAACCTGGCTAGCTCTGCCCACTTTCCCCGGGATGCCTGAGGCTTTGGAATTCGCTCCCATGTACAAACACCTGAACAAGTATGGAAGACCTTCCCTGATCCTCCTGCTTCCTCTTTGCAGCATTTGATTCTAAAACCAATACCACAATGCCCACACCAAAAGACCAGCTGGAAACCACAGTCCTGAAACATCCTTTTCCTCCTAAACTCTATCAGTTTGATTTTGGCTTATTTTAGGATTATATTGTATATGAGGTAAATGGATACTTATTTTAGTTCCGGCCTTCTATAGCTGATGGTCAGGCTACTTTGCATGTTAGAAACTGGTGGATGAATTTGTAGAGATCAAAGCCTCTTGCAGCTTATAAAGTTCAATACTGAGAGGAAGTGACTGTAATTCTCCTCAAAACTTCAAGCTGAAATATCTGATAGCAAATGTTAGGGCAACTGTTCTCTCTGGGGTTTCTGCTACAATGGAGGCAGGACCTGGTGCAATGTCCATTTATATATCAACATTCTGCCTTTGATCTAACATGAGTTTGGAAAGGGGGAGGAAATCTTGAATTGGAGGAAGTTTCAGGAGCTTCAGGGAATTCTGTTTCCTATGAGTTTAAATCGGCTACTTGCTGACAAGAAATCTTTTATCAAGACAAGAGTTTTCTTTCTGAAAACTGAGTTTTGAGTTTAGATCCAAATTTAAGTTGGAGATTCTGGACTGGAATTGTATTTAGCATTGGCAAGGGAGAAAAGCCATAGGAAAGGACTTCTAAAGGCTTCTTGGACATTAAATGGCTATTTCACAACAACTTTGTGATGAGTTAAGTGTAAATGAATCAGAAACATACGGACCAAGTTTTCTTGGAAATTCACATGGGTTTAAAAAATTAAGGCAAAAAAGTTCTTGGCAAAGAGTATTTTGGGTTTGCCAAATTCAAGCCGCTTGAGAATGAGTTAAAGACCCTAGAGTACAGCTGGGCTACATGTTTGTTCCTTTCTCTTCCCCACCCATTTGAAAGGTACTGTGCAACCTGCAAAGCTTCAGGTTGGCCAAAAGTCAAGTGCACAGAAGGTCCTCTAGGACTTTCCTGGGCTGCTGGGGAAGACCAGGACCATGCTTTGGAGCCAAAATGTGGAGGCCTGAACTTGATCCTGGAGACAGAAGGCTCATGTGTTTGGATTCTTTCCATAAGAGGGGTTCCCTTGTAGAGGCAGATGTGGTCATAACTGCTTTGGGAAACTTGCCATAGGGGAGAGAGATCTTTCAAACTTTTAGGAAGAATTTGGCAACTCAGTGGAGAGCACCCACACTGGAGGCAGATAAAAATGTGGGACAGAACTGACTTCTTTCTTGAGGCTTTGTCTTACTCCCCCATCAAAAAGGGAGGGAGCCTCTATAGGGCAGAGACCTCATAGTGCTATTTGTTTACTGCACACAGATGGCACATCTCCTACGGGAGATGTCTGCAATGGCTGTCACACTGAACTGAGAAGAAAGTACAGAGGAAATGATATGTAAAATTACAAAGCAAGTAGTGTTTTTGGTGAAGGGGGAGTGTCATCAGAGGAAAGAATTATTTCAGCAATGCCTTGGGGTTTGGAAATTAGTTACTTCTGTAAAATGATATTCTCTGCAGTGGAATTTATTCAATTTTAACCTGGAAAGTGGGAAAAGGGAGTAAAGGGTGGCAATTTGAAAGAGGAATGACATGTAGGTGGGTAGTGATTTATAATATCAGTCAGGGGAGGAGCAGGTAAGGGGAGGACAATAAAAACAGAACCTGGGAGTTTATGATTTAGAAATGTTAGACAACCCCAAGCCACCCTGCAGTTCCTTTAACCACAGCAACGGTTCTGTCTGCTTGACAGCATCACATTTACTGTGCAAAGAGAGCTGACCTGCCTCTTGGCATTGCAGATTCTGCATACGCTCATGGAGGTGGTAACTGAAGTCAGATGAGGTGATTTTCTCCTAGAGACATGAACACAGTATCTGGTCCTGTAGTAGGCGCTCAATAAAATTTTGTCAAATGACTTGAAGTTGATGTTTTGTGGATGGCTGTTGGCTAATAGAAGAAAAGGTGAGAAGACTCAGAATAAATTATCCAAGAGAAGGCAAGGCAATAGAACACAAAAGAGTGAGATGTCCCTAAAACAATGTAGGATAGTCATAATGCATATTGAAGAGGCCCAGAAGGATGTAGCATCCGAGAAACTATTCAATTTACCTGCTGGGAAGTGTTTGATAATCTTTCCAAGGGAGATTTCAGGAGAGAGAAGGAGAAAGCATAACAAAAGCTCAGGAGGAGAGAGTTTATTATAGGGAAGTAGAGACAGTGGATATTGCTACGATGTGTTCCATTGGTCTGCCCTTCGATCAATTCATTCAGCAAATATTCTTTGAGCATCCTCTATGAGCCAAAAACAGGGAAGCAAAGGGATGCTACTTTCAGGAAACCTGTGATCTTCTAAGAGAGAAAGAACAAGCTGAAAAATAATGAGCAGAAAGCTGATTAAGATAAAGTATATAAGGGACGCACAAACTGCTGAAGTTTGAGAAAGGAGGAGGTTCCTTCTGACTAGCCTGGTGAGGAAGGTGACCTCTGAGCAGCACTCAGTGCCCTGTCTTGTAGCACAACCCACAAGGGTTTGCAGCCTGCTGGCCTTCAACATGCCTCAGCTTCCAAGCCCGGGCAGCAGTTGCCAGAATTTTATTTCCCACCAAATTCAAATAGTTTCTCTTCCAATCCCAAGGCAGATGTTAAAGCCAAACTGAAGCTCAGCGCCAGGACCACATGAACCCAAGTCTTTGTGCTCTTCAAAGAGAAGAAAGGACTATTCGAAGTAGAGAGTCCTAATGTACTGGTGCCCATGGGCCTCATACCCTACCCTCAATGTCATAGCAGATCAAGTTTTTGGTCACCCTCATGGCTAACTTGCAATTAATTTCCTAGACACCTGTGTCTACCAAGAATGCTATGTGAGCTGTTTTTATTTCCTAGGAGAAAGCCATAGGAAACCAATTTTCATTAGTTCAGCTGGCTTCTTCTTCTACTTGTTTATTTTTGAAGACAAAGACAATCTGCTGTTTGTTTTCTTGACTGTCTTAAGGTCACTAGATTCCTAGTCTGGCATGCTTCCTCCCAGTTTCTTTCCAATGCTGAGTGCTCTGAGGTGGCCTCATCCCTCATCCCTGCTCTCTTCCCTCCTTTCCTATTTCCCATTTGTTCAACTGTCCATCCCCCATGCATCTACTTCATAAGGATTTGGGCATCCAGATCTGTTGTAGGAGTTGTAGAGAGCCACAGGACAGGTATATGACAAGGTCTGTCTGCAAGGAACTTCAAGTCTTCTAAGGACTGTGCATAACCTCATTGAGTTTTAACTATTCCTTGGACCCCTGCCATTCACAGCTGCTTGCCTTTTTCATAAGTCCTTCTGTATAAAATAATATAATTTCTGTAAAAATAATTCAGCTAAGAAAGAAGAGACATTTTGGTAAAACTTAAAACTTAGGCAATATTTAATTTTCTAAGAGTGTTTTATAGAGCAAAAGTCACTTTAGTTGTTTGGGGACATGAAAATATGTAGTGCCTTAACAATTTGTTTTGCTCATAAAATTCTCATATTTGATATATTCAATATAAAAGTTTATTGAGAAATATTTGAAATTAGCTAAACTGTATTTACTTTTAAATGTTTTTAATTTTGTTTTTTTTAAAGAAGTTTTGTGCTGAGAGCTCTGAAAAATATAGCAGCTCTACTTTTTGCCATTGTATGAGCTAGCAAAAAACCTGGAGGACAGTAGTCCAAATATTGCTAGAAGGATTCTTGGGAGATGTAAAAACAACAGCAACAAAAAGCCCAAATAAGCAATATTTTCTTCCAAGTTTTCCTCCTGGGTTCTTCCTTTTTTTCCAGTACTCTTCTCCAGAGTTTGTGGATGGGTAATGACTCCCAAAACTTTTTCTATGTCAGACTTTGAGTGGGCAGACTCTTCTCTCTGCTGTCCTAGATTATCTTATTTCTGGCTTCTCATTTCTTCACTGACCCTCTGCTCTCAGGATCCCTTTCCACACGGGTTACTCTGAAGAGTTTGAAGAAAAAGTACAGATGTGCATCTTCTATTTTGTGACCTAGCATGCAGGCCTCTTTGAGGTCTGAATCCATGGTCTTTCCTGGTCAAAATTCCCACTAATAAAGAAAGGGTTGTGGCTTAGAGGGCTTGGTAGTTGGCTGTTACAAATGTTTTTCTATGACCAGGTGGCAAAGTGCTTGAGGGTAGTTGTATTTTATTTATCTCTCCAGAGTCTAACTTTGTACCTAATGCACAGTGGTTACACAATATTTGATTAATGAATGAACAAAAATTGTAAACATAAAAGACCCTTACTAATAGTTTTTAAACATATATGCATATTATTTTAGATTTTTAAATTATTACTATGAGGTACTTATGCCAACTCTGTGGTTATAAGCCAAGTAAAATGTTGCCATTGTATCTAAAAAGAAATAATGTGACAAAATATTTAGTTGCTACCATAATTAAAAATAATCTATGAGATTTGAATTTTTTCGAGATGAATGTGAACATATAACATGATCCTGAAGATGTGCTTATTTAACAATAGTTTAGTTCTGTCAAAAGTCTCTTTTACCATGGAAAAGAAATTCCATGAGTTATATGTTTTCATCAAATATTATGTTAATTTGGGTCCTACAAGAAGCAGATGTCAAGACAGGATTAAACATGCAAGGATTTTATTAAGGGAAGTATCTGCATGGGACAGGCTGGAGAAGACAGGGAGAGCCATCAGGCCATGATGCAAATCTGACCTCAAGTGAGGAAAAGAGGAAGAGAAGGTTTGGTGGAGCATCCCGGACTGCTGTGTTATCTAAGGAAGTTTCAGTGAAACTGTCTAGAGTCCTGGAGCCAAAGTTGGCTGTCAGAAGGGTCCCTAGTCTACCAGGAATGAGACTGTCTCAACAAACCTGCCTCAGGCAGTCATTGGCTGGGAGCAGATTGTAGGAGGCATAGCCTCCATGCAAACACCATGGCACATGGTCAATTAGAAAGGCTCTCTGTAATAGAGGTTGGCAGGTGTATACTCACGGTGGTCACGTCTGTACTTTGATATAAAACACCCAGGAATAGCACTATGTAAGGAAACATCTTTTTCTGTATACTTGAAGGTGGATTACTAGATAGCACAATAAAACTGCTTTATATTCTAAAGTATACACTTTTATGTGTAATATCTCAAATCCACATTTTTAGCAACTCAATGATATTGATAGGATAGTGTAGCAGACTGGCATTGGTCTCCAAATCCTATTCCCTCCTTTTTCCTTTCAATAAAATTCCAAATTTTTAGGTAAGTTCAAGACCATCCAGAATAAGGATTGATTACCTAATATCCCTTGTAGTAGATACAGCTGTGACTAGCCTCTGACCAACAAAAGTGGCAGTATTGTGTACAACTCACAGGAAATGTAGTTCATACATATTTCATACTTTGAGGGGAGTGGTGCACTCTTTTCTTCCTGTTGGCTGGAATGCAGATGTGATAGTTTGAATTTTAGAAAACGTATTAAATCCTAAAGTAGAAAAACTCAAGCTGAAGACGACAAAATAATGATGTAGAAGAAGCCTGAAACCCTGATTCCATGGGATACTATAATAGCCCTGGATTGCCCAACCCCAAACTTTCTTTATGAGTAAATTTAATAATATGGTTTTTAAAAATAATTTGGTTTTCTTTTTAATAATTTGGTTTTGGTTTTCTTTTACTCAGGATTGTACCTAATTTTACTAATACAGGAAGCTTCTGAAATTTCACTGCTTCCTGCCAGTGGGCTTTCCACCTCACAGATTGAATCCCAGGTTTCACCCAGGAAGAGGAGGGGCCAGGCTCCTCCCCACTGCAAATGGTGCAGACTTCTGTGGCTCCACCCCAATGTGCACTTCTCCCAGTGCGCCGGCCGGTTGGATTTTATTTCTGGGCGCCCTTCCCACCTGGCTGTCTCACTAGGAATGGTGTGTAGACAGAGATACAATAGCTATGGTTCTTAGATATTTAATGATATAGATAAATTTTCAGATTTCAGTAAGAAGGAGTGGTTAGAAGGGTGAGACTGGTCCTGAACTTTAATGGACGTTTAAAAGGAAGCATTTTAGGAATGGTCGATAGTATTTTGGGTAGCTCTAAATATATTCAGAGCTACAAAGTGCTCCTTACTGCAAAATAGTAATGTAACCAAAATTTACTTCTGAGCAGGTTATGACAGGTGAAAGTGGCATAGTATAGTAGTGGGAGTAGCCAAAAGTCATGGGTTCAAGCCTCAGGTTAGCCACTAACTAGCAATGGGATATTGTACAAGTTACTTAACCTTCCTGAACATCAGCTTCATTCCTGGTTAAAAAAAGCAACAAGGTTTTGCTTTACCCTTTTAAATCCATATATACCTTCTAACTTGAATATTGTAAATTCTGCCTTTTATGTAACAAAATTGAAATATAAGATATATGATTCCAACATGAATAGTTGCTCATGGAGCTGAAATTTTGATGCATTTGCATTGAGAAAACACTACACAGGGGAAATATTAAGTTGGAGGAGAAGGTGACATCACATTTGGGCTGGGGGCTGACTTGTAAAACAGGAATGGTGGGTGCAGAGATTATGTTCCTTAACTCTGAAAGTTTTGAATCAGAAATGCTGTGTGTATATGATTCAGATGAAATCTGAAACAATTATTAGATATTTTCTAACTACCCAGGGGTTTGTAATTGTGTTTGACAAAACACATGGCTGACATTTTTCAATTTTTATCCAGATGTTAGGTGTCATATGAGCCAGCCAAAGGCGGTCTATACTTCACAAAGGCAATTGGAAGTGATGAAAAAAATCAGTTTCTTTGGTTGCCACAGAGAACATTAAAAAACCAAATTATTGACTTGGGCTTGACATTAGCATGGTTGAGTTCAGCCAAACTGAACTGTGTTTTATGGCCTAGCTGGGTGATTATTCGTTAAGATTCTTCCCTTTTCTGTTTATGCTATCAGTCTGATTTTCTCTCTCTCTCTCTTTTTTTTTAAGTTATGCCCCTCTCCCTTCACTTTCAGCAGACAACCTCACTATATGGTTTAGGATATTTTCAGCCAATTTAGTGGTTAAACTAATCGAAAAGTCCAGAGAATGTCTGGCTTCAAATGAAGCTCAGAGTAGGGACTTGATCTATATCACCAGGACCTGGTTTTTCTCAATCTCTCTCTCTTTCTGCTTTAATTCCATTATCAGAAAAAGTCTTTCTGCCATGAAAACAAGATAACTCATATCCTCTCTGCTCAAAGCCCTGCAGGAAAGTATACCTGCCTGTTAACTAGATGCCAGAGCAAACATCCCATCACAGCCTATTACCTCAGTTGCAACACATGACTGGACCAATCACTATGGACAGTGGAATGTGATGTTCTGAGTGGGTTAGGACTGGGTCGTGTGTGCCACTCCAGAGTCACAGGGTTGAAAATGGAATGGGGTGGTTTCCCAAGAGGAATAAGGGTTTGATTGCCAAAAGAAGGTGGTATGAATGGCTCTGGGGCCAAACCCAGTTGTCCTTTGAACTGGGAATCTATTCTGTCAAGGCAAGTGGATCCTCTTCCAACTTCCCAATTCATACCCTCTTTCTTGCCATCATCTTAGAAGAATAGAATACCCCTCTTCCTGTTTACAGCCAGCCTACCCAGCACTGGTCCTGACTCCTTCCATCTAGTCCAGGATCTTACTTCATCAGTCATAGTTACTATTTCATATGTCTTCACCTTTTCCCTTTCTATGGGCTCTTGTCTTAGTTTATAAACCTGCTGGGGTCTATCTTATCATAAGGTACACACACACATGCTCACACTCAAGTTATTTGGACTCATCTCCCCTTTTAGGTGCCATTTAATATGTCTCTTCTCCCTGTTAAAAGGGGTTCTCTCCCCAGAATGAGTCTATGCCTCTTGTCTACTTTTTTCATGGGTCACTTACTCTCAACATGATGAAAAAGGTTTTTGTCTCTATACCTCTCTGACACTACACTTTTTGTCTTAGTAAAGGCTTGTTCACCAACACAGACCTTATTGTGAGCACTTTGAAGAGGAAGACATTCAATATAGGCAATTAGAACCATTATAATCATTGTGGAGCAAATTTTAAGGAAGTTGCTGGAGGTTCACAAAATCCCAGTAAAAATACAGCAAATAAACACTCTTGTCTGTATCACTGAATTGAATGATTCTCAGGACAGTACCCAGAAGCCTCTAGTAAATATCTGAGGCCATCTAAGGCCATCTGCTGATATGCCAGCACATAGCCTCAGAGAACCACATCTTCTCCTCTTCTGCCTTCTATTCTTATGTAAGTTCTTAAATTTATAACATCTAAATGGAGACATGACTGTCAAGAGAGTTGGAGTGACACAGTTTCTAAGGCTTTCAGTCTCCAAAGTAAAAGGGAGTGCTTAGGAAGGTGAGACTAGCCCTGAATATTAATATATTGTATTTGGCACAATATCATTCACAGACATTTCTTTTTTCCTTTACCTCTTTAACCTTGTGGCTAAGAGTTCTGTCCTTGACCTACTATGTGCTCCCACTCTGAGCTCTCCTTGAGTTGCCTCATCTATTCTCATAATTCCAATCACCTGCAGTTGATGATGCCTCAGTCTATTACTCCTCTTCAGATGTCTCCATAAATTTCATGTCAGTACAACTCTCTGCTGGGCCTTTTTATCTCATTCATCCCTGAAGATTCGAAACTCAACTGATTTGAGAATGAAATATTTGTTTTTGCTCCTGATCCTGCTCTTCCTCCATAAACCTGTCTCCTTTAGCCACATATTCAATCAATTGCTAAATCTAATTTTTAAAATATTTCCTATCTTCTTCTTCCCTACCACACTCTCCTGGCTCAGTAGCTCATTACCTTTTCCTTGGGATATCACCAACTTCTATTTGGATTTTCTGCTTCCAACCTCACCCACTTTGACTTTGTTCTTCATAGCCTCTAAAGGGACTGATCTGCAACACAAATCTGCAATGATTCTCCTTTGCTCAGAACTCTTGAATGATTCTTTAAAAGGTAACAAAAAGAGAGAGTGATAATTTATTTAATAATTCTCAACAATTTATCAAAGAAAGTAGACAGATTGGCTGCAAGTATTTATAAAAGATCCAACAAAGTTGAGCACTGTAATGGGAAGAGAAAAAAAAATGCACTCCAAATGCTCTGGTTCTAATTGCCCAGAATGAGTGTTTCAGTGTTTCAGTTGAGGTTTCAGAGGGGAATGATATGACGAAGAACCCAATCTTTTATGTTCTAGTCTTTATTATGGAGTTTATTAGACGGTATGGTTAAGTTCACAAGCCTTGAATTGATTTCTCATACATTCTTAGTTTCTTTTTTTTCAATATGTCAACCTCAGTGTGTGGTCTCTTTAGATACCAGTCAGAATATGATGTATTGGAAGACGTTGATAAAGAAAAGAAGGCCGGGCACGGTGGCTCACGCCTGTAATCCCAGCACTTTGGGAGGCCAAGGCAAGCAGAGCACTTGAGGTCAGGAGTTCGAGACCACCCTGGCCAACATGGTGAAACCCCGTCTCTACTAAAAATACAAAAGTTAGCCAGGCATGGTGGCACACATATGTAATCCCAGCTATTTCAGAGGCCGAGGCAGGAGAATTGCTTGACCCAGGAGGCAGAGGTTGCAGTGAGCTGAAATCACACTGTTGCACTTCAGCCTAGGTGACAGAGCAACCATCTCAAAAAAAAAAAAAAAAAAAAAAAAAAAGAAGAAACTAAGGGAAAATGCAACTCTGTTGGATAAAACAGAAACAAGGTTGAAAAAAAATTCCCTAGAAAGGAATAGCTACCTGCTTTCTGCTACCCAAAAATATATTTGGTTAACCTGAATCAAAGCCCTTATTGATAGTCATGTTCTAGATGCCCCCTTCACCTAGGCCAGTTTGAATCTGTGAGGAGAAGAGATACAAGTAATGTTGCCTAAACGTCATTTGGAGGGCAGGGATACAGAGGGCACACACACACAAATACTGGTAAGACAACCTTCTCTTGTGGAAGTAGGGTTGTTCATATATATATATATATATTCATATATATATATATGAAAAAAAATATATATATATGTAACACCTGGATGCCTAAACTGGCCAGTGATCTCCGTGGTTGTTAATTCTTCTTTGCTTCCTAGACAGGGGACTTTCTTCAGTGTTGAGGGTCACTGAGAACCAGGAGCTGTTTTCTCAACTGTGTCCTGTCTTTCTGCATCCCTCCCCTGCCTCTACCTTAGCTTTTTAACACATCAAAATTCACCCTTATTGCCCTCACCGTTAATTCTTTTCTTCCTCCCCCTCCCCCTCCTTCTCCTTCTTTCCTCTTTTTCTTCTTTCTTCTTCTTTCTTCTTCCTCTCCTCTTGCCTGCCATGCAGTGGGTTATCTATTGTGGGTTTTTTGCATTCCACCTTCATACTGGCATTTGAGTCAATATGGAACTAGAAACTGATGCAGGATTAAATAGAAAATAAGACAAAACAAAATTTTTTATTTTATCATTTTAAGCAAAGCTGCCGATGAATTGTTATACCAATTTAGATATTAAGCCTCTCATTGGTTGATTAATATTTTACCTCTAGTAGTGCAAGCATTGTGTTTTTAAAGCAAAATTATAATCTCCTGGTATATAGCAACATATTAACATGTTTGGCTTGAGCCTAATTAAATGGTAAATATAGTAGTACCCTACTTATAAAAGAAATGGGAAGAGGAAAGGTGGACGGTTAATGCTGTTAATGATAATAATAATATTTATTGTTTATAGGGTATTTCTTGAGCATTAGAACTCTCAGCCTATCCATGCGTGGAATTAGTGTGGCATGGTGGTTAAAAACATAATCTTGCACTATGACTACTCATGTTCAAATCTAGGCGTTACCAGTTACCAGCTGTATGATTTTGGACAAGTTTTTTTTTTTTTTTTTTTGACGGAGTTTCGCTCTTATTGCCCAGGCTGGAGTGCAATGGCACGATCTCAGCTTACTGCAACCTCCGCCTCCTGGGTTCAAGCAATTCTCCTGCCTCAGCCTCCCAAGTAGCTGGGATTACAGGTACCCACCACCATGCCCGGCTACTTTTTTGTATTTTTAGTAGAGATGGGATTTCATCATGTTGGCCAGGCTGGTCTCGAACTCCTGACCTCAGGTGATCTACCCTTCTCGGCTTCCCAAAGTGCTGGATTACAGGTGTGAGCCACGGCGCCTGCCCTTTTATTTTTTTTCTTTTAACCTCTCTGTGCCTCTGTTGTTTTCCTTCTAAAATGAGAATAGTAGTAGAGAATAGTAGTACCTAACTTGTGGAAGATTAAGTAAAGTGATATGGATATAGTATTTAGAACCATTCTTGGAATATAAGACTTAAACATAAGATATACTTTTTAAATATATAATTGAGGACCAGTGTAAGAGCTATTTTTAATAGCGATATTAAATATTATATATTTATAAATATTATTTGTAATTCATAAATATAAATAGTTAAGTAAAATATTTCTTTTATTTATTTATTTATTTATTTTTTATTATACTTTAAGTTTTAGGGTACATGTGCACATTGTGCAGGTTAGTTACATATGTATACATGTGCCATGCTGGTGCGCTGCACCCACTAACTCGTCATCTAGCATTAGGTATATCTCCCAATGCTATCCCTCCCCCCTCCCCCCACCCCACCACAGTCCCCAGAGTGTGATATTCCCCTTCCTGTGTCCATGTGATCTCATTGTTCAATTCCCACCTATGAGTGAGAATATGCGGTGTTTGGTTTTTTGTTCTTGCGATAGTTTACTGAGAATGATGATTTCCAATTTCATCCATGTCCCTACAAAGGACACGAACTCATCATTTTTTATGGCTGCATAGTACTCCATGGTGTATATGTGCCACATTTTCTTAATATTTATAGTTTTAGGGAATTAAAATTTTTTTTCTTCAACTTTTATTTAAAATTTCAGGGTACATGTGCAGGATGTGCAGGTTTGTTACATAGGTAAATGTGTGCCATGGTGATTTGCTGCACAAATTAACCCATCACCTACGTATTAAGCCCAGCATCCATTAGCTATTCTTCTGATGCTCTCCCTCCCCTACTCCCCGAACAGGCCCCACTGTGTGTTGTTCCCTTCCATGTGTCCATGTGTTCTCATCATTCAGCTCCCACTTATAAGTGAGAACATGTGGTGCTTGTTTTTCTGTTCCTGTGTTAGTTTGCTGAGAATAACCACTTCCCACTCCATCCATGTTCCTGCCAAGGACATGATCTCATTATTTTTTATGGCTATATAGTATTCCATGGTATGTATGTACCACATTTTCTTTATCCAGTCTATTATTAATGGACATTTGGGTTGATTCTATGTCTTTGCTATTGTGAATAGGGCTGCAATGAATATATGTGTCATATATATTTATAATAGAATGATTTCTATTCTTTTGGGTAAATACCCAGTGATTGTATTGCTGGGTCAAATCCTGTTACCTATGTAATAGGTCAAATCCTATCTAGAGGTATTTCTGCCTCTAGATCTTTGAGGAATCACCACACTGTCTTCCACAATGATTGAACTAATTTACACTCCCACCAACAGTGTAAAAGTGTTCCTTTTTCTCCACACCTCACCAGCATCTGTTATTTTTTGATTTTTTAATAATTGCCATTCTGACTGGTGTGAGATAGTATCTCATTGTGGTTTTGACTTGGATTTTTCTAATGATCAGTGTTGTTGGGCTTTTTTTTCATACGTTTGTTGACTGCACGTATATCTTCTTTTCAGAAGTGTCTGTTCATGTACTTTGCCCACTTTTTAATGGGGTTGTTTGTTTGTTTTTCTTATAAATTTGTTTAAGTTCCTTGTAGACTCTGAATATTAGACCTTTGTCAGATGGATAGATTGCAAAATTTTCCCCAATCCTGTAAGTTGTCTGTTCACCTCTGATAATAGTTTATTTTGCTGTTCAGATGCTCTTTAGTTTAATTCGATCCCATTTGTCAATTTTTGCTTTTATTGCAATTGCTTTTGGTGTTTTCGTTATGAAATCTTTGCCTGTGACTACATCCTGAATGCTATTGCCTTGATTTTCTTCCAGGGTTTTTATAGTTTGAAGTTTTACATTTAAGTCTTTAATCCATCTTAGGTTAATTTTTATATAAGGTGCAAGGAAGGGGTCCAGTTTCAATTTTCTGCATATGGCTAGTCAGTTCTCCCAGCACCATTAATTAAATAGGGAATCCCTTCCCCATTGTTTGTTTTTGTTAGGGTTGTCAAAGATCAGATGGTTGAAGATGTGCAGTCTTATTCTGAGCTCTCTATTCTGCTCCATTGGTCAGTGTGATATTTTAAAGGATATAACATTGAATCTATAAATTACTTTGGGCCGTATTTTCGTGATACTGATTCTTGCTATCCATAAGCATAGAATGTTTTTTCATTTGTTTGTGTCCTCTCTGATTTCTTTGAGCAGTGGTTTGTAGTTCTCCTTGAAGAGGTCCTTCACTTCTCTTGTTAGCTGTATTCCTAGATATTTTATTCTTTTTGTAGCAATTATGAATGGGAGTTCATTCATGATTTGGTTCCCTGTTTGCCTGTTGTTGGTGTATAGGAATGCTAACAATTTTTTCACATTGATTTTGTATCCCGAGACTTTGCTGAAGTTGCTTATCAGCTTAAGAAGCTTTGGGGCTGAGACAATGGGGTTTTCTAGATATAGAATCATGTCATCTACAAACAAAGATAATTTGACTTCCTCTCTCCCTATTTGAATACCCTTTATTTCTTTCTCTTGCCTGATTGCCCTGGCCAGAACTTCCAATGCCATGTTGAATAGGAGTGGTGAGAGAGGGCACCCTTGTCTTGTGCCAGTTTTCAAGGGGAATGCTTCCAGCTTTTGCCCATTCAGTATGATATTGACTATGAGTTTGTTATATATGGCTCCTATTATTTTGAGGTGTATTCCTTCAATACCTAGTTTATTGAGAGTTTTTAACATAAAGCAATGTTGAATTTTATCAAAGGCCTTTTCTGCATCTATTGAGATAATCATGTGGTTTTTGTCTTTAGTTCTGTTTATGTGATGAATTGCATTTATTGATTTGTATATGTTGAGCCAACCTTGCATTCTGGGATGAAGCCAACTTGGTCATGGTTGGTAAGCTTTTTGATGTGCTGCTGGATTTGGTTTGCCAGTATTTTATTGAGGATCTTTGCATTGATGTTCATTAGGGATATTGGCCTGAAGTTTTCTTTTTTTGTTTTATCTCTTCCAGGTTTTGGTATCAGGATGAAGTTGGCCTCAGAATAAGTTAGGAAGAAGACCTTCCTTTTCAATTTCTTGGAATAGTTTCAGTAGAGATGATACCAGGTCTTCTTTGTACCTCTGGTAGAATTCAGATGTAAATCCATCTGGGCTCTGTTTTTGGTTAGTAGGCTATTTATTACTGCTTTAATTTCAAAACGCATTATTGGTCTATTCAGGGATTCAATTTCTTCCTGGTTCAGTCTTAGCAGGGTGTATGTTTCCAGGAATTTATTCATTTATTCTAGATTTTCTAGTTTTGTGCATAGAGGCATTTATATGATTCTCTGATAGTTGTTTATATTTTGTTTGTTTGTTTGTTTTTCTGGAGATGGAGTCTCACTCTGTTGTCCAGGCTGGAGTGCAGTGGCATGCTCTCGGCTCACTGCAACCTCCGCCTCCTGGGTTCAAGCAATTCTCCTGCCTCAGCCTCCTGAGTAGCTTGGACTACAGGCACATGCCACCATGCCCGGCTAATTTTTTGTATTTTAGTAGATTTGTATTTAGTTTCAGCACATTACCCAGACTGGTCTCAAACTCCTGAGCTCAGGTAATCCACTCGCCTCGGCCTCCCAAAGTGCTACCATGCCTGGCGTGGTTGTTTGTATTTCTGTGGGGTCAGTGGTGATATCCCCCTTATCATTTCTGATTGTGTCTATTTGATTCTTCTCTCTTTCATTATTTATTTATTTATTTATTTTATTTAGATGGAGTCTCGCTCTGTTACCCAGGCTGAAGTGCAGTGGAACCATCTTGGCTTACTGCAACCTCTGCCTCCTGGATTCAAGCGATTCTTCTGCCTCAGCCTCCTGAGTAGCTGGGATTACATGTGTGCACCACCACACCCGGCTAATTTTTGTATTTTTAGTAGTGACGGGGTTTCATCATGTTGGTCAGGCTGGTCTTGAACTCCTGACCTTGTGATCTGCCCACCTCGGCCTCCCAAAGTGTTGGGATTACAGGTATGAGCCACCGCGCCCGGCCCTCTCTTTCATTCTTTATTAGTCTAGCTAATGGTCTATTTTATTATTTTTTTTCAAAAAACAGTACTTGGATTTGTTGATGTTTTAAAAGCCTTTTTGTATCTCTATCTCTTTCAGTTCTTCTCTGATCTTGGTTATTTCTTGTCTTCTGCGGGCTTTGGAGTTTATTTGCTTTTGGTTCTCTAGTTCCTTTACTTGTGATATTAGGTTGTTAACTTGAGATCTTTCTAGCTTTTTGATGTGGGCATTTAGTGCTATACATTTCGCTCTTAGCACTGCTTTAGCCATGTCCCAGAGATTCTGGTATGTTGTATCTTTGTTCTCATTAGTGTCAAAGAAGAACTTCTTGATTTCTGCCTTAATTTCATTATTTACCTAGGAGTCATTCAGGAACAGGTTGTTCAATTTCCATGTAGTTGTGTGGTTTTGAATGAATTTCTCAGTCTTGAGTTCTAATTTGATTGTGCTGTAGTCTGAGAGACTGTCATAATTTCAGTTATTTTGTATTTGCTGAGGAGTGTTTTACTTTCAATTATGTGATCAGTTTTAGAGTAAATGCCATATAATGATGAGAAAAAAATGCATATTCTTTTGTTTTGGGACATAGAGTTCTGTAGGTATCTATCAGGTCCACTTGATCCAGAGGTGAGTTTAGGCCCTGAATATCTGTGTTAATTTTCTGTCTCGATGATCTGTTTAATATTGTCAGTGGGGTGTTATAATCTCCCACTATTATTGTGTGGAAGTCTAAGTCTCTCTTTAGGTTCCTAAGAACTCACTTTATGAAACTGGGTACTCCTATATTGGGTGTGTATATATATATTGGGTGTATATATATATATATAGAGAGAGAGAGAGAGAGAGAGAGCGAGAGAGAGAGAGAGAATAGTTAGCTCTTCTTGTTGAATTGAACTCTTTACCATCATGTAATGCTGTTCTTTGTCTTTTTTTAATCTGTGTTGGTTTAAAGTCTGTTTTTTCAGAAACTAAGATTGCAACCCCTGCTTTTTTATGTTTTCCATTTGGTGGGTAAGTTTTCTTCTACCCTTTTATTTTGAGCCTATGTGTTTCTTTGCCCATGACATGAGACTTTTGAAGACAGCATACTGATGGCTCTTGACTCTATTCAGCTTGCCATTCTGTCTTTTAATTGGGGCATCTAGCCCATTTGCATTTAAGGTTAATATTGTGATATGTGAATTTGATACTGTCATCATAATGCTAGCTGGTTATTTTGCAGACTTGTTTATGTGGTTGCTTCATAATATCACTGGTCTGTGTACTTCATTGTGGTTTTGGAGTGACTGGTAATGATTCGTTTTTCCATTGTTAGTGCTTCCTTCAAGAGGTATTGCAAGGCAAGCCTGGTGGTGATGCATTCCTTCAGCATTTGCTTGTCTGAAAAGGATCTTATTTCTCCTTCACTTATGAAGCTTAGTTTGGCTGGATATGAAATTCTGGGTTGGAAATTCTTTTCTTTAGAAATGTTGGAATATTGGCCCCCAATCTCTTCTGGCTTACAGGGTTTCCACTGAGAGGTCCACTGTTAGTCTGATGTGTTTCCCTTTGTAGATGACCTGGCCTTTCTGTCTGGCTGCTCTTAACATCTTTTCTTTCATTTTGACCTTGGAGAATCTAATGATTATGTGTCTTGGGGTTGATCTTCTCATGGAGTATCTTACTGGGGTTCTCTGGATCTCCTGAATGTAAATGTTGCTCTGTCTTGCTAGGTTGGGGAAGTTCTCCTGGATGATATTCTGAAGTATGTTTTCCAACTGGGTTCCATTCTCCCTGTCTCTTTCAGGTACCACAGTCAGTTGGAGGTTCAGTCTTTTTACAGTCCCATATTCCTCAGAGATTTTGTCTGTTCCTCTTCATTCTTTTTTCTCTATTCTTGTCTGCATGTCTTATTTCAGAAAGATAGTCTTCAAGCTCTGAGATTTTCTTCTGCTTGGTCTATTCTGCTATTGATACTTGTAATTGTATTGTGAATTTCTTGTGTTTTTCAGCTCCATCAGGTTGGTTATATTCCCCTATAAATGGCTATTCTTGTTATCAGCTCCTGTATTGTTTTATTATGCTTCTTAGCTTGTTTGTATTTGGTTACAACATGCTCTTTTAGCTCAGTGAAGTTTGTTATTACCCACCTTCTGAAGCCTACTTCTGTCAATTCAGCCATCTCAGCCTCAGCTCAGTTCTGTGCCCTTGCTGGAGAAGTGCTGTGGTCATTTGGAAAAGAGGTACTCACTAGCTTTTTGAGTTTTCAGCATTTTTGCATTGATTCTTTCTAATCTTTGTGGGCTTATCTACTTCAATCTTTGTGGTTGCTGACCTTTGAATGGGGTTTTTGTGGGGTCTTTTCTGTTGATGTTGTTGTTGTTGCTTTCTCTTTGTTTTTTCTTTTAATAGTCACCCACTCTTCTGTAGGGCTGCACTGGTTTGCTGGGGGACCACTCCAGACCCTAGTTGCCTCGGGTTTTTCCCTTACCTGGAGGAATCACCAGTGAAGACTGCAAAACAGCAAAGGTGGCAATCTGCTCCTTCCTCTGGGAGTTCCATCCCAGGGGGATTCTCACCTGTTGCCAGCCTGGATGCTCCTATAGGAGGTGTCTGGAGAATCATCTTGGGAGGTCTCACCCTGTCAGGAGGAATGAGATTGAAGACTCACTTAAAGAAGCAGTCTGGTTGCTTTTTGGTAGAGTAGATGTGCTGCATTGAGGGAAAGACTTCCTCATCCAGACTGCCTGGACTCTCCGAGCTAGCAGGTTAGAATGGCTGAGTTGACTGAACCATAGAAACTGTGGCCACCCCACCCCCAACCCCCAGGCGCTTTGTCCCAGGGAAATATTCGAGTTCTTTCCATATAACACTGGCTAGAGTTGCTGAAATTCCCACAGGGAGGCCCCATCCAGTGAGGAGGGATGAAGGTCCACTGTTAGTCTGATGGGCTTCCCTTTCTAGGTGACCTGGCCTTTGGGGATTGGGGTACCACTCAAAGAAGCAGTCTGACCACAATCTGGCACAGAAGCTGTGCTGCACTGTGGGAAACTCCTCCTAGTCTAGACTGTCTGGACTCCCTGGCAGGCTAGAACCACCAAGCCAACCTAATCTCCAAGATGGCAGGTGCCCCTGCCTTGAGTTTTAAATAGGACTTTTTCTGTTCAAAAGTGGAGTTTAGACTTGTTTTATGATAAAGATGCTAGGAGCTTCTTGGCAACCAGCATTTTTTAAAGAAATGCTTTATAAAGTAGTTGGTCAGTTTGAAATCATTAGGTATTTCTCCCAGAAGTCAAAGACCACATTCAAAGCAAATTATATGCATGCTTCCTAAAGGTGTTAATGTGCTAATCTGCTGGTTCCCTGATCTAGGCAAAATGCCATAGTATTCCACATGAGCAAAATACCATGGTTTTTGAAGATTTCATATAAATATTACCCACTGTGTTTTCACATTTCCAAGTGTTATACTTCCTCATTAAAGTCAACAAGCTGGAACTGACATAGGGATCAGTAGAATAATTTCACTTCCAATTACAACCCTAACTTCTTCTAATAAGAAAGACTGAACTGATTCGGCTAATAATTCTTTCACTTTAGTAAACATTTTGATTCTTCATTATAACCATGAAAACATTACTTGTAAGACAAATGTTTTCTGCTTCTCCCTTGGGAAATATTTCTGGGGTTCACTGATAGTGCTATTGAATGTTAAATAAAAGGGATAAGCCATCCTTTAGTTCTTGAGAGTGTATTTGTGTATTTTTGATGCAGTAGGAGGAGAATGAGGCAGAAACACAGAGAACAAGGTGAAAAGTCACTTTGATTATTGGGTCTAGGGAAGGCTCCATACTCAAGAAGGGCTGTGAGGCAGAAGAATAGATTTAACAGGAAATAGAAGAATGCTCTGCCCACTTTTATGCCTTGGTATCTGCACTTTTACGAGCTAGTGACGTTCATTCCTCAAAACAGAGTTAACCTTCTGCTCTTAGCTTAAATTAGGAGATTCTCAAGCATTCAGATTTTGTATAATTTAATCAATTCATCTTCCCAGCTTTAAAGAAATGGCTACAATTGAGTGTGCTCAAGTTTTTCTTTTTTTCCCCCCCTTTCTCTCTGTATCTCTTACTCTCTTCCTTCTTTTGGTATGGACTTCCTTTTTATTGCGTCTAAAGAACTAATCTCTTAAAGACAATAATGATAATTCATGCACATTTGGGTTTACAATCTATTCTATTCAATCTATTCAGAGCAAGACACTACAGGTTGCATTTTCTAAAATTATACTTTAAGTTCTAGGGTACATGTGTACAACGTGCAAGTTTGTTACATAGGTATACATGTGACATGTTGGTTTGCTGCACCCATCAACTCATCATTTACATTAGAGATTTATCCTAATGCTATCCCTCCCCCTCAGCCCTCCACCAAGTGACAGCCCAGTGTGTGATGTTCCCCACCCTGTGTTCAAGTGTTCTCATTGATGAATTCCGACCTATGAGTGAGAATGTGCAGTGTTTGGTTTTCTGTCCTTGTGATGTTTGCTGAGAATGATGGTTTCCAGCTTCATCCATGTCCCTGCAAAAGACATGAATTCATCCTTTTTTATGGCTGCATAGTATTCCATGGTGTATATGTGCCACATTTTCTTTATCCAATCTCTCATTGATGGACATTTGGGTTGGTTCCAAGTATTTGCTATTGTGAATAGTACCGCAATAAACTTACGAATGCATGTGTCTTTACAGTAGAATGATTTATAATATTTTGGGTATATACCCAGTAATGGTATTGCTGGATCAAATGGTATTTCCAGTTCTAGATTCTTGAGGAATCGCCACACTATCTTCTACAACATTTGAACTAGTTTACACTGCCACCAATGGTGTAAAAGTGTTCCTATTTCTCCACATCCTCTCCAGATCTTTGTTTCCTGACTTTTTAATGATCACCATTCTAACTGGCATGAGATGGTATCTCATTGTGGTTTTGATTTGCATTTCTCTGATGACCAGTGATGATGAACATTTTTTCATGTCGTCTGTTGGCTGCATAAATGTCTTCTTTTGAGAAGTGTCTGTTCATATCCTTTGCCCACTTTTTGATGGGGTTGTTTTTTTTCTTGTAAATTTGCTTAAATTCTTTGTATATTCTGGATATTAGCCCTTTGCAAAAATTTTCTCCCATTCTGTAGGTTGCCTGTTCATTCTGATGGTAGTTTCTTTTGCCATGCAGAAGCTCTTTAGTTTAATTAGATCCCATTTGTCTATTTTGGCTTTTGTTGCCATTGCTTTTGGTGTTTTAGTCATGAAGTCCTTGCCCATGCCTAAGTCCTGAATGGTATTGCTTAGGTTTTCTTCTAGGGTTTTTATGGTTTTAGGTCTAACACTTAAGTCTTTAAGCCATCTTGAATTAATTTTTGTATAAGATGTAAGGAAGGGATCCAGTTTCAGCTTTCTACATATGGCTAACCAGTTTTCCCAGTTCTATTCATTAAATAGGGAAGTCTTTCCCCATTTCTTGTTTTTTTCAGGTTTGTCAAAGTCAGATGGTTGTAGATGTGTGGTGTTATTTCTGAGGCCTCTGTTCTGTTCTATTCATCTATATATCTGTTTTGGTACCAGTACCATGCTAATTTGGTTACTGTAGCCTTGTAGTATAGTTTGAAGTCAGGTAGCATGATGCCTCTAGCTTTCTTCTTTTTGCTTAAGATTGTCTTGGCAATGTGGGCTCTTTTTTGGTTCCATATGAACTTTAAAGTAGTTTTTTCCAATTTGTAGTTCTCCTTGAAGAGGTCCCTCACGTTCCTTGTAAGTTGCATTCGTAGGTATTTTATTCTCTTTGTAGTAATTGTGAATGGGAGTTCACTCATGATTTGGCTCTCTGTTTGACTGTTATTGCTTTATAGGAATGCTTGTGATTTTTGCACATTGATTTTGTGTCCTGAGACTTTGCTGAAGTTACTTATCAGCTTAAGGAGATTTTGAGATGAGACGATGCGGTTTTCTAAATATACAATCATGTTATCTGCAAAGAGGGACAATTTGACTTCCTCTTTTCCTAATTGAATACCCTTTATTTCTTTCTCTTGCCTGATTGCCCTGGCCAGAACTTCCAACATTATGTTGAATTGGAATGGTGAGAGGGGGCATCCTTGTTTTGTGCTGATTTTCAAAGGGAATGCTTCCAGTTTTTGCCCATTCAGTATGATATTGGCTGTGTGTTTGTCATAAATAGCTCTTATTATTTTGAGATACGTTCCATCAATACCTGGCTTATTGAGAGTTTTTAGCATGAAGGGCTGTTGAATTTTGTCAAAGGCCTCTTCTGCATCTATTGAGATAATCATGTGGTTTTTGTCGTTGGTTCTGTTTATGTGATGGATTACGTTTATGAATTTGTGTGTGTTGAACCAGCCTTGCACCCCAGGGAAGAAGCTAACTTGACCATGGTGGATAAGCTTTTTGATGTGCTGCTGGATTCAGTTTGCCAGTATTTTATTAAGGACTTTCACATGGATGTTCGTGTGGGATATTGGTCTAAAATTCTCTTTTTTTGTTGTTGTGTCTCTGCCAGGGTTTGGTATCAGGATGATGCTGGCCTCATAAAACGAGTTAGGGAGGATTCCTTCTTTTTCTATTGATTGAAATAGTTTCAGAAGGAATGGCACAGCTCCACTTTGTACCTCTGGTAGAATATGGCTGTGAATCCTTCTGGTGCTGGACTTTTTTTGGTTGGTAGGCTATTAATTATTGCCTCAATTTCAGAACTTGTTATTGGTCTATTTAGATATTCAACTTCTTCCTGGTTTAGTCTTGGGAGGGTGTATGTGTCCAGGAATTTATCTATTTCTTCTAGATTTTCTAGTTTATTTGCATAGAGGTGTTTATAGTATTCTCTGATGGTAGTTTGTATTTCTGTGGGATCGGTGGTGATATCCCCTTTATCACTTTTTATTGTGTCTATTTGATTCTTCTCTCTTTTCTTTTTTATTAATCTTGCTAACAGTCTATCAATTTTGTTGGTCTTTTAAAAAAACTAGCTCCTGTGTTTGTTGATTTTTTGAAGGGTTTTTTGTGATTCTATCTTCTTCTGTTCTGCTCTCATCTTAGTTATTTCTTGACTTCTGCTAGCTTTTAAATTTGTTTGCTCTTGCTTCTCTCGTTTTTTTTAACTGTGATATTAGGATGTTAATTTTTAGATCTTTCCTGCTTTCTGTTGTGGGCATTTAGTGCTATAAATTTCCCTCTACACACTGTTTTAGCTGTGTCCCAGAGATTCTGGTACATTGTGTCTTTGTTCTCCTTGGTTTTAAAGAGCACTTTTATTTCTGCCTTCATTTTGTTATTTACCCAGTAGTCATTCAGGAGCAGGTTGTTCAGTTTCCATGTAGTTGTGCGGTTTTGTGTGAGTTTCTTAATCCTGAGCTGTAATTTGATTGCACTGTGGTCTGAGAGACGGTTTGTTGTGATTTCTGTTCTTTTACATTTGCTGAGGGGAGCTTTACTTCCGATTATGTGGCCAATTTTAGAATAAGTGTGATGTGGTGCTGAGAAAGATGTATATTCTCTCGATTTGGGGTGGAGAGTTCTATAGATGTCTATTAGGTCCCCTTGGTGCAGACCTGAGTTTAAGTCCTGGATATCCTTGTTAACCTTCTGTCTTGTTCATCTGTCTAATATTGATAGTGGGGTGTTAAAGTCTCCCATTATTATTGTGTGGGAGTCTAAGTCTCTTTGTAGGTTTCTAAGGACTTGCTTTATGAATCTGGGTGCTCCTGTATTGGGTGCATATATATTTAGGATAGTTAGCTCTTCTTGTTGAATTGATCCCTTTACCATTATGTAATGGCCTTCTTTGTCTCTTTTGATCTTTGTTCGTTTAAAGTCTGTTTTATCAGAGACTAGGATTGCAACTCCTTCTTTTTTTTTTTTGCTTTCCATTTGCTTGGTAGATCTTCCTCCATCCCTTTATTTTGTGCCTATGTGTGTCTCTGCACGTGAGATGGGTTTCCTGAATACAGCACACTGCTGGGTCTTGACTTGTTATTCAATTTTCCAGTCTGTGTCTTTTAATTGGGGCATTTAGCCCATTTACATTTAAGGTTAATATTGTTATGTGTGAATTTGATCCTGTCATTATGATGTTAGCTGGTTATTTTGCCCGTTAATTGATTCAGTTTCTTCATAGCATCAATGGTCTTTACAATTTGGCATGTTTTTGCAGTGGCTGGTACCATTTGTTCCTTTTCATGTTTAGTGCTTCCTTCAGGAGTTCTTGTAAGGCAGGCCTGGTGGTGACAAAGTCTCTCAGCATTTGCTTGTCTGTAAAGGATTTTATTTCTCCTTCACTTATGAAGCTTAGTTTGGCTGGATATGAAATTCTGGGTTGAAAATTCTTTTCTTTAAGAATGCCGAATATTGGCCCCCACTCTTCTGGCTTGTAGGGTTTCTGCAGAGTGATCAGCTGTTAGTCTGATGGGCTTCCCTTTGTGGTTAACCCGACCTTTCTCTCTGGCTGCCCTTAACATTTTTTCCTTCATTTCAACTTTGGTGAATCTGACAATTATGTGTCTTGGCGTTGCCCTTCTCGAGTAGTAGCTTTGTAGTGTTCTCTGTGTTTCCTGAATTTGAATCTTGGCCTGCCTTGCTAGGTTGGGGAAGTTCTCCTGGATAATATCCTAAAGAGTGTTCCCAACTTGGTTCCATTCTCCCCATCACTTTCAGGTACACTAATCAAATGTAGATTTGGTCTTTTCACATAGTCCCATATTTCTTGGAGGCTTTGTTCATTTCTTTTCACCCTTTTTTCTCTAAACTTCTCTTCTTGCTTTGGCTTCGTTACCAGTGCAATCAGAAAATGGAAAGGTCTCAGTTTGCTCCCAGTGGTGAAGCCCTTGCTTTGCTCTTTTGATTCCAGATTGCTAACAAATGAAATGCCATGAAGCCCTCATCCTCTGCATTTCTCCAGCCATTCCCACCTTGTCTTCTGCCATTCCTTCCCTGATCACCTTGACTGATCACCCCACATTGCTGGGCACTTCACATCTCCTTCTCCATGCTCTTTACTCTTATGACATGTTCTTCCTTCCCTTTTTTTCTTTTCCTTTCTATTCATTCTTCATGACTCAAAAGTCTCTTCCTTAATGCTTTACCCAGTTCCCCACAGAGTTAATGAATCTTTCCTCTGTCCTTCATAGATATTGGTCTATCTCTCTTTTCAGTAATTCTATGAGTTATTTTATTTGTCTATTTTTTTTTAATCCCTCATGATGGCAGGGATGGTACTTGATTCACCTTTGTAACTTTGGCTTCTAACTGCATGCTTAGCCCACAGAAGACTGAATGGATGGTGAATAAATGAATGAATAAATGATCCATTCTGAAATTACGGGAGTAGAATTGTGCTACATTTGCTTTGCATAGCGTTGTAAAATTAGATTCTCTACAATAAATGGAAATTGTATTTTGTGTGTGTGTTTATACATCCACAATAAATAATAGAGATGAGCTAAATATTTACATCCACAAAGGCATCAAATGCTGTCTGCCTGTGCAGCCTCGCATTGTGTTGTCTCAGCCTTCGTATGTCAGCCTTCTCTGGATTCATCCTCCTTGCTATGGTTCTACCCTCCACAGGGTATACACACCTGCTGTGTCCTCATCTAGAAATATTTTCCCTTTCTTTCTCACTATGGTAATTTCAGCTTGTCTTAGATCCAGCCTAGTGCTCACTTCTTCAGGGAAGGCTTTTCTGACCTCCTTTGCTAATAATAATGAAAATAACAATAAAAATGGCAATAATAACAGGTAACACTTATTGAGAATATACTCTAGGACAGGGACTTACATTGATTATCTCATACAGTCCCCCACAACAACCCTCTGATGCGGGACCATCATTAATCACATTTAAAAACAAAGAAAGAAAGCTCAGAAAAACTAGGCAGCTTATCCAAGCTCACACAGCTAAAGCATGCTAAGCTACACTAGTCGTATATTCTCTTCACAGCTCTTATCACAGGTGAAATTTGACATTATTTGTATGAGTTTTTGATTAATAACTTTGTATCCCAGAAGACTGTAAGCTCAATAAGGTTACTATATCCCTAGTTCCTTACATAGTTATTGTGCCAGGTGTAGTTTAGATAATCAATAAATATTTGTTGAATGAATGTATTTTTTTATGTGGTTTCATTTTTATTGGGGCAGTGTTTTCATTTCTCTATAGCAATCACAAAGGAATTTTATAAGCACATATTAGCACGTAATCTTTTAATTAGAGTTTGATTTCTCACTCCACCATCTATAATGATAGTAAGTTTGTGTATGCTGATGTCAAAAAAACTAGTCTCCCAGAGACATGACTATTAACTACGTACACACTATGGACATGCAGGATGTTATTTCAGTTCCCAAAGTCCTAATATTTTGTTAGTGATACAGCACATTGCTGTATATAATCCTGAAACAATATATTTTGTTATTAAAAAAAAAATCTTCCACAACATGTTTTCCTTTTGGCCCAGTGGCAATGTTATGTCATTCTCCAGGAATGTTCCTTTTGTATCCAAAGGCAAATTTGGCTTAGAGAAATGTTATCAGCAGTTCACCAAGAGGTTTAATTGTATGCTTTGAATAGCAGAAGAAGGGAAACCCTAAAATTTCAGTTTAAATCTATTAAGCTGAACATCCCAAGCTTGGTTGGCTGCCAAAATATGCCATGATAAGACTTTCTAAAGCTAATAATGGAAGAGATTAGAAATTGGTGTCCATTACAGATTTGTAGAAAGCTCTTTCTTCGCATTAAGACTTAACAGCTGAACTGAATAAAATATTCACCCTTCATTTTTGTTTCGTTTAGCTATAATTGCCATTTTGGCCCATGGACCTAATTATCTTTGTGGTGTCTTGGCGCTATTCCTTCATCAAGAAATATGGTGAAAATCCTAAGTAACAGAGGTCCTGTAAGATCCTTCATTTCAATATGGGAAACAATGGACAGGAATGGAAATGAGACACTAAATAAACTATGTTTACAGTTATAAATTATTTGTAGGTTGCAATTTTCATTAAACATCAGATCTTGTTACTTCTTAACTATTCATTGAGAAATCTTTTTGAGGCTGAGTTCTTATCTATCTACTGTATCTATGTTTTGTGGCCAACCAGGTAGAGGCTTGCACAGTTGTGTAGGTGGTCTAGGCACAAATATTTTCCTGAAAATACACAATTGATTTGGGTGAATGTTGTTTCTCTTGGCATTTTACTATTTATCTTTTAAAAAATAGCGTGTAATTATGTTCATCTAATTGTAGAAGTGTTTAAATTTAACCATATTGTCTGAACTTTGAACCATTTTCTAGGAAATAGCCATTGCACACAAATTCATTGAACTAGAGTACTCTAGGAGGTATCATGGGCTTGACATCAGAAGATCTGGAGTCTATTCATTAGGCGGGCAACTATTTGGGGCAATCTTGGGTTAATCACTTTCATTTCCTATTTCCAAAGTATAGTGTATAATCCCTAAACTCCCTTCCTACAAGTGCTGAATTGAAACATTAAGTATCAGTGGCATCCAATTTTTTGCCACCATGGAGTTATTTTATTAGTACCTCCCCTCCCCAACCTCACAACATTGCCATTGCTGCTATGGAAATATTTTTTTTCACACTGTATTTTTATCTAACAATTATTTTTCCCATTTTAATGAATCAAAGGTATATTTTGCTATAGTTCTAATAAATCCACAAAGGACATCGATGTTTTAATTTGCCTGTAAAATATCTCAAATAAAGGCATGATTTCCATTGAATGTAATTAAATATTTTAAATAACTCTTAGTGACCAAAGTTAAATGACTGAATAACTTATAGATACCCCTATCATTTCAGAGACTCCAGGTTGAAAACTCTTCCAAGAACAGTAGAAAGGAGTGAGCCTTTGTTAATGAGTGCAGAGAGATTCTTTAAATTCTCAATTCTGAGAATAAATGCATTTTAAATCACCTCAGTCCTTAGAGGTGAGGGGAAAATGTCCCTAGAATACAAAATCCTCTCTGGGAGGGACTTCTCATTTACCTTTGCAATCAAGGAACTCACAGAGCATTTGTTGTAGAGTAGGTAGGCCCTTTTGTAATGGGAAAATAAATATTGAGAAGTAAGGGAGGTGAGGCGTGGGAACAAAGCGGTCAGGGCACTAAGGTGGAGTAGTCAGTTACAGGGTAGATCATCAGAAGCTTCCAGTGACATCTATGACCATGGCAACACCACCAGTGACATCTGGGACCACGGTAACACCAGCAGATCTTATAAAGTCATGAGATCTTTCTGTGAAGTACATAGTGTCAGAGACTTTTTCCTCAAGATTCTGATGTTGAAATTATTTTTGGAGTCATTGCAGCATGGGATTAGATTTGACTCCACCATTTATCAGTTATGTGAATTTGGTTGAGTTAAATTCTGTCTTCCTCTATTTCCTGGGTATGAAATGGAAATAACCACCTCATAGGGTTAGAGTGAGATGATGAATGTTGAAAGCCTCTCACATCATAGACATGTGACAAATATCAGGTCCTTTCTCAGTCTTACAATAGGTTACACAGAACAGGTCAGGCTGATGGCCTCAGGCACATCTCTCTAGGCTCTACAGTGAAACTAATACCTACTAAATTAACGATGAAGACTTTTGGCATCCCACTTAATGTTGCTGTAAATGACTAAGTCTCCAAATAGCTAAAATAAGTTCTACTGGACAATCAAGATGACTTTTGCTTTTTTTCCAGCTCCTTGTACTATAATTCAATAAAAACTTTGGCAAGAGTCCAGAAGATTTGTTT
Source organism: Homo sapiens (assembly GCF_000001405.40). NCBI lineage: Eukaryota > Metazoa > Chordata > Mammalia > Primates > Hominidae > Homo > Homo sapiens. The sequence goes on along the minus strand of NC_000006.12, from coordinate 84,977,457 downwards.
AGACCTTGGAAGAACCCATGAAGATCACCATCCCTGCACAATAGCATTGAGTCACTATCATCCCCCAGCCCTACATTTATTATTCTTCAAGGTGGAGAGAGGTATGCCACATGCTAGGCTAAGCTATGACTAGGACCATTTCTCAGAACAATTCTCTACCAAGGAACCAATGCATAAAAAACAGGCACGTATCCCACAAGCCTCCCATTCACAAAGCTAAGAGACAGACATTTTACTACAATGCTGGTTAGATGCCAAACAGAAACAAAAAATAAACATAAGGTTTCTTAGGCAAACAAGCCCTGTCTGGTTAACATATGCTCGACACAGAGACAACTGTCCTTTCCATCCCTTCTATGGAGGGGGAAACATCAGCACCATGAGCTCTGCAGAAACCTCACTGGCTCAGAAAAGGAAAAGAATGTGGCTTTCAAGAAACACATTTTCATCAAGCTGAGCAAACATGGCTTTGACGTCAGGGAGGGAGTATACACATGGGTAACAAAGGAGATGCACACCCATAGGGATTTTGTGGTACCTGGGTGACTGCCCAGAGCACTAAATCCTGGAGTTGAGAATCCCTTTGAAGACCCTTCACAATGCCTGGGAATTTCAAAGAATATCCTCATAATTCAGAAAACCCTCCAAATGTCATTTTACCTTGTTCTTTTGCCTCCCCATTGTGCTGGCTGTCCCTGGTGACAGACTGCAGCCCAGCCATAGCCTGGGGGAGGGAGTGGGTTGCAGCAGATGTGCACATCTGGATCACCTGCCCCTAACCCAGCACACTCCAACTTCTCCATGGCTTTGGCTTCCACAGGACATTTCTCGGGGTGGCCTCCTCTCTGAGGTAACTGAATCTTTTAGAATGAGGGTTTAACTACTGATTAAGACACTCTGTAATATTCAGGCTGTTCAGTAAACTACATTTAGTCCTCTTTGGGGTATGGAATCTTGCTCATTTCCTTGTAAGTAAATAATTGGTTCTTGGATTGTAGTCCTCCTAACAAATGGACAATACATAGCTTGAGGTATTGGGAGAACTAAGGGCATCTTTTGCGTTCTGCTATGTAAGTAATCTAGGCAAAAGGCAGTTTTGATTCTAATTCTACTTTCCCTCTGTGGGTTTTACACACAGTTCCTCTGAATACAGAAGGAAATTCAATATCTGCATGAGTGACATTCAACCCTGTCCTGCCTTATTCAGTTCTTTTGTTTTTAATCATTAAATGGCCAGCATACAATGACATTGCACATCTGTTTCTGGTCTGGGAAGATCAGTAAGGATGGGGGTGACTGAGAGCTACATTAGGTGAAACAATTACAAAGAAATGTTAAAAAGTATAAGTGTACCATTTCCCCACTTAACCTAATACATCCAGCATTTGCGAAATGATAATGTGAGGCTCGGTTGATGTGGTGACTTTTGGTGATGCATTAATGTCAAACAAATGGCACACTTTGCAATAACCTAGCTGGAAAGACTGCCTGCTGGGAGAGGTGTCCATGAGTGATGGCAAAAGCCATTGGCATTTGATGGCTGAATTTGCCCCTGTGTGACTTTGAATGTGTGAGTGCTTCTTTATGTTTTGTCTTTAAAAACAACCTGGTATTTTAATTAGCATTTGGCATACTTTTCTGTATGGGATTCTAATTATCTTAAAGACCCTTGGTAATTTTTAAAAGCAACAGACTTATTTCCAAGTAGCTTAAGCACTAGAAGAAACTAATATATTAATATTCAGCCCAATGGAAATGCAATTTCTAGTTTGAAGAACAAACATATGTTGAGAATTGCAAAAGTCAAAGTCCTCCAAACAAGGTTAAGTTGTTCTTTAATACACTGAGTGTATGTATTTAGAAGTCTGGGGATTTACAATTGGCAAGAGGACTATAACCTTCTTTTTTTTTCTGGTTTGGTGTGTGTAAATTTGTAGTGCAAGTGTTTCATTTCTCTACACATTTGCATTTAATTTGCCGCTGATTTTAATGTGAAACAAAGAAAAAAATTAGTAGGTAAAGAAATCCTGTTTCAGAATAAATGCATTACATTTTGAGGACCATGCTAAGATTTTCAGTTCCATGTTGTAACAGTGCTGTAATCTCAGGGAAGTATGTGCAAAAGCCTGCTCAGAGCATGAATTTTGAGCTTAAAGTAAGCATTTCTAAAGATTCCAAATAGTTGAGAGAGCCCAATTCTGCATTATAAAATAAGACTTTATCTTTATCTCTGTCTTATTTCATTGTTTAGAAGTATAGGCTATCACTTTCCACCCAAATTCTTTCACTAAATCACTGGTGTAAAATACATGGCTTCTACCTTGTAATAAGAATGACAGTATGCATACTTTCTCCTTTTCTCCCACCTTTCACTTTTATAGAGCTTTTTTTTCCTAAAAAAAAAAAAAAAAAAAAAAAAAAAAAAAAAAAAAACTTGCCACAATGGACTGAATGTTTGTGTCCCCCAAAAAATCTTGTGTTAAAATCCTAACCCCCAATATATTAGGAGGTATAGCTTTCACAAGGGTGGGGCCTCCAGAAATAGAACTAGCGCCTTTATAAAAGGGCACTAATAGAGAGCCTTCTTAACTTTCTTTCCACCATGTAAAGATACAAGAAGTTATCAGTATGCAACTCAGAAGAGGGCCCTCACTGTTACCCAACCATACTGCCACCCTGATATTAGACTTCCAGCCTCCAGAACTGCAAGAAATAAACTTCTGTTTATAAGCTATGGTACTTTGTTATAGCAGCTCATACCAAGACACTTGCCTCTTGAGAAACTTAAAAAGGGGAAGGCAAATCATTAAAAGAAAGGAGTATGACACTGCAGTGACATTTAGGTTCAGAGTGATTTACAGGTTGCCTTTGGGAAAATTTGGGAAGTCTTACACATTAGAGATTTGACTCCATAAGGATATTTTTTCATTATTAGGGTCAGTGCCTTAGAGATTGATTTGGCAGCCACTCAAATAACAGAAATCATGAAACCTAAAGCATCTTCTCTACTTTAAAGGAGCATATGCAGTGGAAATTTGGGATGAACTTTATCAGGCAGTGAGAGTGCATGGACTCTCCGTGGACCTACTCTGGGCTTCACTGATCCCAGCAGGTGTCTCCCCAGCAATGCTGTACACAAGATAGCCTATCGTGGGGTGAGAATAAAAATAGAGAGGAAAAGGACACATTTTTGATGTCACTGTTTATGGAACCCAAATCTTTGGTCTTCAAAGGTCTTAGCCTCATAGAGCTGTGGGCTGTTGTTTTTCGTTTATTCCCCTAAAAGAATGTAGAGGGGAAATATTACAAATATCCCCTGCTTTGGCGTTTGATTTTTTAAAAAATTAATAAAAACAGCTCCTAGCAGCTGGTTGAAACAATTATGCTCTTCACAAAAGTCTTTGCAGATGACACTGAATGTTAAGAAAATAATTCTTTCAATTAGTGTGTGGCCACTGCACCTGTGAACTGTAATCATCCAAGGAAACATATCTGTGAGTGTCAGTAAGAACAATTCAGGAATTCATCTACTCTGCCTTCTTCTATTGCCATGTTCACACAGATGTTAATCCCGGGGGTGCACACACTGAAAGGGCCACCCGCCTGTATCCCAGGAGCATGAGAAACCTGAGTGCAGATCAGGAAAATTATTAATTTCCAACTGTCTGCCATCAGTATCATTTCTCTTTGTTTCTAGGGCCACTATGTTTTGTTATTGTTGTTGTTTCCCAGGGAGCATAAGCATGCAGTAGATTTATTGTTCTATGTTTCCCCATATAAAGAAAAAGCAAGTTTTGCTGTTAAACATATTTGTATTCTATTTGCTGCTTCATTTCCAGTATTTTTAATAGTTCTCTAGAATTTTTTTCCTTTCTTTTTTTCTAAACTCTTTTCAGTTACAAATTGTTAAGAGAGTAAGACAGCTTTTTTGTTTTTTTAAACTATGATACATAATTCATTCATAATAACTATGATACATAATTTATTCATATTAACTAATGAACAGAAATGTATTGTGAACCAATACATTTCTGTTCCTTATATATTAGCCAATCTGTGTTATTCTATTATGGCAGCAAAAATGGACTAAGAAAGAAAGTAAACATGAGTTTCACCTTGTGCATCAAGCATTGAATTCCTGAATAACAAACCCCTCCAAAACATTATGACTTAAAACAACTACCATGCATTAATGCTTACAAGTATTCAGGTTAGCTGATAGTTCTGCTGTCTGGGCTGGCTCAGCTGATCTTGGCAGGGCTTATTCATCTGTGGTCAGCTGGTGGTTCAGTGGGCTGGCTTAGTCTAGGTTGGTGTTGCTTACATGTCCAGTGATTGGCTGGCTGTTGGTTGGAGTAATGAGGATGGCCAAGCCACATTGTCTCACATCATGCAGAGGGCTAGCCCAGGCTCATTCAGAGAGTGACAACGATCCAGAAGTAGCATGGAAGACATATTAAGGTCCAAGCACAACTGTCAAAAGGTCCCTTATGCTGTGTTTAATTGGTCAAAGCAAGTCATAAGGTCATTCCAGATTACAGAGGCAGGGAAATAGACTCCACCTTTTAATAGGAGGAGCTGGAAAATCACATTGTTAAGAACATAGGTGAAGTATAGGGCAGAGTGAAGAATTGAGGCTATTTTTGCAATCACATTTAAAATATTTTAAAATCATGATCTAGAAATTAAAATGTCACATATTTGCACCTTACTGAATTTGGGAAACCTTGCCCATGAATCAGTTATTCCCTGAAAATCACCTGGTTCTACCTCAATACATCATAACCTCTAAGGCAACATTGTGGATTAGGAAAAAATTGTGTTATAAAAAGGGGGGCTAGGCCGGGCATGGTGACTCACACCTGTAATTCCAGCACTTTGGGAGGCCAAGGTGGGAGGATCACTTGAAGCCAGAAATTTGAGACCAGCCTGGGCAACACAGCAAGACCCTATCTCTAAAATAAAATTTAAAAACTCAGCTGGGCATGGTGGTGTGCACCTGTAGTCCAGCTTTTTAAACAATGTACTACTCAGGAGGCTGAGGCTGGACAATTGCTTGAGTCCAGGAGGTTGAGGCTCCAGTGAGCTATGATTGTGCCACTGCACTTCAGCCTGTGGGACAGAGTGAGAACCTGTTTCAAAATAAAAGTGGGCAAGGGAGTACCACTGAGGAATTTCTCAAATCCTTTAATATTAGTGTGCCTGTGAATGGTCTTGGCATTTCCCAATCATATTTGACCTTTTTTCATGGAGTCACACGTATTCCAAGGAAAGTGCTGCTTCAGGATGTGTTTCTGATCTTGGACATTCACCCATGGAGTGCAAGTATGGTATTCTATAATTAGAGACGGAATGATAAAATAAGATGGACAAAAGTAAGGGAGGGATGTTTTCATTCCCGTAACATGTTCAGCTTTCCCTGTGAGGGAGGTCCCAAGAAATGAATGTCTCTATATAGTGTCATTGAATCCTTATTATTGGAAGGGTCCTTAGAAGTCTCCTAATGAGAAATCCCAGACTTTACACTCCCACATGGCTTGCCCAGTGCCACACTGCCAGTAAGTATTACAATTAGATATCACAGCTTCAGCTCATTTATGAAGTGGGTGCTCAACAAAAGATGACTTTAAAAGATTCATTTCTTAGTATGAAAGCAGTACTTTTGTTTTTAGCAATTAAGGTAATCTAGTCATAAAGATGTTGCCAACTATCTTTGTAACACTGGACAAATGACCATTCTGGCTTCAGTTCCTTTATTAGCAAATTAAGGAACCTAAAATAATAAGGTTATTATTATAAAAGAAATGTATTTGTCACTTACTGTGCAATGGGTAAGTTAACCAGCACTTTCAGGCAACAAATCATCTAGCAAATATTGTACTCCTATGATGTGTTAGCAGGTTTTCCAGGAACTGGTCTGCAGAGAAGGCATCTGTTCCTAGGAAGCTGTCATTTTAAGGGGGAATACAGGAGTGTCTGATAATAAGGAAAGAACTATAATTAAGAAAATGTGAATAGTAAAAAATACAACTATAGCCTTTTTATTCATTATCATGGACGAGAAAGTTACGTGTCACATTGCTATATCTTATTGTGTTTTAAATTAGTGAAATAAATTAGGGAATAGGGCAGTGATCTGATAGGCTACTTTTATATTAAGAGATTGGATATGCCACAAGGAAGTGACATTTAAACTGACTTAAATGACAATAGGCCAGCATGCAAAATGCAGCGAATATTCCAGGAAAATGAAACAGCGGAGATAAAGCCCTTGAGAGTATTTGAGAAATGGAAAGAAAGTGAATACGAGTGAGACTGAGTAGATGATAGGTCAAATGGTGACCAGATGAAGCTGGAGTCAAGACCTGAGGCCAGATCATGTAAGACTGTCAAAGCCAGGGGAAGACATTTATCTGGGTTTTATTCTAACTTCTGAGTAAGGTTTTATGCAGGGGAGTGGTATGATCTAATTTACATTTTAAATGTATTAATCTCTCTATTGTGTAGCACATAGATTATAGGGAACAAGAATAGAAACAAGGAGATCAGTTCCTGGGCTATTGCAGTGGTTTAGGTGAGAAACGGTGGTGGCTTGCCACAGGGTGGTGGTGGCAGGGATGCAGAGAAGTGAACGTATTTGAGAGATGCATTGGAAGTAGAGTTGAGATGATGTGGTGATGGTGCATTAAATGTGGGGCGTGCAAGAAAGAGAGGAAGCAAGAATAATTCCTAGGTTTGGAGTTTGTAGCAATTGGGCAGATGTGGTTTTATTTATTCAAGGAAATGAGTGAATTAGAAATAGAGTTCTGTTTTAGCCATATTAGGGGTGTATGGCAGGTTGTATATTCCAAAGTGGCCAGAATGCTCCTCTGCAATGTGACCTTGCTGTTCACCCATCAAGAGGTGTAGTCGCATCCCTTTCCTATAAATCTGCATTGGCCTTAGAGACTTGCTTATATCCAGTAGAAGGCTGTGGCAGTGATGCTGCCTAACTTTCAAGGATAGGTCAGAGGAAGCTTTGCAGAGAAACACTTGCTCTCAGGATGGTCCCTCTTGGGCCTCTCTTAGAGCCCAGTTGCCACAAAAAGAAGCCCAAGCCGCATGAAGAAGCCCCATATAGGTGGTCTGGTTGACAGTTTTAGCTGAGCCCAGCTTTTTAGACATCCCAGCCCAGACGCCAAACATGAGAGTGAAACCTCCAGATAAGTCTAGTCCCCAGCCATTCAAGTCACCCTGGCTGTTTGAGTTTTTCCAGCCGAGGCCCCAGACATCACAGAACAGAAATAAACAAATCTTGCTCTGACCTGTCCAAATTTCTTACCCACTGAATCCTTGGACATAATGAAATCGTTATGGTTTTACACCACTAAGTTTTGAGTGTTTCATTACTCAGAGACACATAGAGCTGTGTAAGATGATTTCACTAGATATCTAAGCAGAGATATAAGTAGGTTGTAGGGTATTTAAGTCTTAATTTTTAGGGAGTAGAGATACAGATTTGAGAGTTTCAGTATCAGTCAAAGTGAGAGCAACCAGGGAGAAGTCAAGGGGTCCCAGTACCCAGCAGAGCACTCCAATATTTAGAGTTCAAGCAGAGTGGATAGAGTTGGCAAAGTGACTTGCAAGTATGGAAACCACACATCCCAGCTTGCCCAGGACAGCTCCTGTTACATCTATTGATCTATTGGTTTAGCATTACCTCTGTTGGGAACTTTTTTTTTTTTTTTTGAGACAGAGTCTCACACTGTCGCCTGGGCTGGAGTGCAGTGGCATCATCTTGGCTCACTGCAACCTCTGCCTCCCAGGTTCAAGCAATTCTCCCACCTCAGCCTCCCAAGTAACTGGGATTACAGGCATGCGCCACAATACCTGGCTAATTATTTGTACTTTTAGTAGAGATGGGGTTTCACTATGTTGGCCAGGCTGGTCTCAAACTCCTGACCTCATGATCTACCCACCTGGGCCTCCCAAAGTGCTGGGATTACAGGCGTGAGCCACCATGCCAGGCCAGTAACTTTTTAAACAATGTACTATCATCATTCATAGTTGCATGAAAATGAGCAGGAATAGGAAGACCCCCCATTTTGTACTTCTATCTTCTGTTGTGACATCTGTAGTGCATAAATATAGGTGTAAGTTCACACATAAACGGGTAGTTACATCTGAAAGTTGAGCAGTAATAGATAACCCAATCCTCCTTTCCCAGCTGATTCTAGAATATATGTAATATTCCCTTTCTAGACAGCATGGAGTGGGCTTCTAATAAACTGTGTAAAGACACAAGTGACCAGGACCAGCTAACTGGCTTCAGTGGTAGTGAGACATATTCGTTGCTGTTGCTCCTGTCAGTCACTTGTTCATGTCCTGTGAAATAGCCAAGGGCTTGAGGCTACCACCTGATAAGGTCAAAAAGAAACATGTGAGATAGGAAACAGAGGCCAAGCAGTCCTGCCTATAGAGATAGTCAGAGGGCTCTTATTATAGTGGATGACTGTTTTACAGTAGGAGCTATAGCTATTTACTTTTCTAATGTTAGGTTATACTTTTAAAATTTTACAATAAACCCTATAGCAGCAATGAGCTCAAAAGGTGAAAGTGCACGTTTACTTAAAAAGTAAGACTTGAACTTATGTTGAAAAAGTAAAGTGGTAAGAGTGTAACTTGCAAAATATATATTTTTTGCCAATATATACCATCCGTGATGGGGCCATAGTAATATTCATGACCCCATGAAAGGTAGATGACAAAATCTGCTGAGAAAGCACAAGTGTCTACTTCCAAAGCGAGTAGTTATTCTAAGAGGGCATATCTGCTAAAAACTACATAACGCATGAAGCTGCTGAAGATGGGTTTACATATGTAAGACACAGTGAATTTCTCTGAGTTTCTCTTCAGGGATTTAGCCTGCTAACTTCCTTGTCTTTTGTTCTCAAACTCAACTTTCCTGTTCCTCCTTGCCCCTAGTTACTGTCAAACAGCCTACCCCTTTCCTGTCAGCTCTAATCAATAACTCACATCTGTTCCCTTGGTTACCTGTAGTCATTGTTCCCCTGAAACTGCACATCTCACACGGTCCACCTCTGTACCTCACATCCCCGTCCCCTTCTATATTTAGAAAAATATGTACAAGTTGCCAATCGGGTCAGCTCAGATTGTGTGGTCCGACCCAGCTGATGGGGGAGTGACACAGAGGTAGGGACTATGTTAAGAATAAAAAAAGCCCCTGGTCGTCTTTGTTCAGTGTGCTCGTGAGATCTTGATTGATGCAGGTAGCACCCTTCTGCAGAAGTAAATTGCCTTGCTGAGTGCTGGTTTCACTTCACGGCATCAAGCATTTATTCCTAAAGCATTTTATATCCAACAATTCTGGGGGCTCGTCCGAGATCCCCATTCTCTTTCTGAAAGGGGTCTTCCATCACCCTACCCAGAGGAGATGGCGTCCCACTGCCCCGTTGCAGTGGCCTCAGGTACAAGAGATTGAGACCCCCCCGTTGAGACAAATGAACCCGGACTCTCAGCGATGCGGGGAGGAGAGGGTTGCAATACCACAGCAACCAGGTAAACTCTGTGCTCAGACAGAATGTAGGAAACGTCACAGGGGCAACAAAGCACTTCCTTGGTGGTTAGGGGTGGGGGTTGGGGCATTCCGGAGGCTGAGTGCATGAATGATAACAAGCACTACTGCTGTACGGAGTGAGTGAGTCTAATCTGCGGTTCCGAGGTCACTTCATAAGGCTTAGGGTGGCCCTTCAGGGGGTCCCTTCAGGGGTTTATTCTGACCTGCCATCAATGCTAAGAGGGACCTGCAATATTCCCGCGAGGAAAGCAGTCAGAGCAGACAAAGCAAAAGAAGGATGCAAGAAGACTCCAGCAGGTGGAGCTAAAGGATAGACGAATTGAGCCTTAGCAAAGCTTCCAGTGGAGGATAGGCAAGAGACCACCAAATATGAAGGGTTAAGCAACAAGGAACCCCCCAAATAGGCCAGAGATCCCTAACATGAGGGGTTGAGCCACAGCAAGCTCCCACTAGGCAAGAGATTCCTAATACGAGGAACTGAGCCTAGGCAGGGCCCTGGATGGGAAATATTACAAGCAAAAAAGATAAAGTTAGCAACAAAGATACCTCCTGATAGTCCCCTAGGTCTCGTGTTAAAACATTAGAAAGATAATTAAAATATTAAACATAAGAAGAGCAACAAATGATAAAATACTGCTGTTCCAATTGGACTCAAGGATCAATCCTTGAACCCTTAGTTTTCTGGCCAGAATTTGGGTTGAATGAGGAATGGATTTGTGAACTTCTAATAGAAAATGTTGCTAGTAGAAGACCTGCCTCCCAAGAGGAAATAGATTATGCCCTATGTTGGTGGCAAGGCCTTGTCCTTTCCCCTCCTCCAAGGATTGAAAGGAGCAAGTCAAAAACTAATCTTTGGAGGAAAATTAGTTGTACATGCGCCCCATTAAGGACAGAATCATCTTGAATGAAAAAGACAGTGAAGGAAGGGTCTTAGGGGATCCTAGCAAAAAGAACAGCACACAGGATCCCCTAGACCATCCCCCACCTAATACACCCCCCCCTTCCCCTCAGGTATCACTCCATAAGTCTGTTCTTCCCCAGCCTAAGTCCCCCTCCTCAAAAGGACTCCAAGCTCCTAAGTTGCCAGGTGGCTTTTGTCATCAAGGATCCGCCGCAACATGTTGTCAGAGTTGTACGGCCCATAGTGCACCTCCACGGCAGCCAAAGTCCATGCTCCTGCCCCACCAGCTGGTCCAGGGTCCCAGCACCATATTGACGGTGGCTCTACAGGACACACAGCCTGGGCCACAGCCTGTGCCCCGAGCAGACTACATTATAGGTCATCTGCCTTACTTTTGCCAGCGCCAAGTAATACGGGGCTTCAGCTGAGGCTCCAAGCAGCTAGGCATCTCTGCAGCTAAGTTTCCTGAGCAAGAAGTAGAACTATCTTTCAGCTGGTATATCTACTAGCATTTATTGTGGTCAGTCCAGTGTTAAAGGTGGAAGTATCCACCAGAAAAGAACTTTGATTCTTTAAAGTCACTTATATTAAAATGTGCCACCAGAAAAAAATTACAAATGTATAAGTATGAAGCTATTCTGTTAAAAAGGATGGTTTAACATTAACTACTAAGAACTTAACCTATCACATTTCTTAACAAGAGATCCAAATCTAAAAAGAAAGCACACATGTTTAGATTTAAGTGAGTACCATACAAACATCTGGCCAAACTTAAGAAAAACCCCCTTCAAAAGTGATTAAGGGAAAAAGAACACAATAAGTGTTCAGTAATTAATAAAAAAAAGTTCCTAGAGAAATAAAATCAAAGTGTTTAATAATTAGTCTATTCAAATTTATAAGCTGTCTGCACTTAGTCAAACTTTAAAGTACCTGCAGGACCCAGAAAGAACCATCTATACTAATTCTAAATACGCCTCTGTGGTAATTCATATATTTAGAAAATTTCAGACTGAATTAATAGTAAAAGTCAAAGCCTTGTTTATGAGGAGTTAATCACGTAAGTCTTAAATAACCTTCAGTTACCAGAAAAGAAAATAGCTATTGTCTGTGTCTCCAGGTACCAAAAAGCCTGTCTTTCAAGAGTCAAGAAAATAACCTAGCAAATCAGAAAAGCCGGACTGGCTGCCATTTCTCCTGTAGGCGCTAAAGAGAACTCAGAGAAATGTTATTCAAACCTCTTATGAAGGAAGTCCTATCCCACCTACATTAGAGGACCCATTAAAGACCCCAAGCCATGTATAGCACACTCAAAGTTTATGAGTGTATAGGAATTTATACCCTCAGCCAAATAAGTCTAGAGACTTGGTTGCCAGAGATCAAATGTCTTCTATCTTCCTATTCCAAACTACCTCTCAAAACAATCCACTGCCAACATTCCTACATACTTGGTTTATCTTCCACTTTCTCTTCCCTCAGAACTCAAAATTTTCCAGTACAGGCGCTGCCCCTAGAGTTCCCAGTACATCAACACCAGCCTGAGGAGCCGGCCTAGTACTTCCCACCACTGAAACCGCAGTCCAGGCAGCAAGAAAAGATGGAGCCATCACACCCGAGTCAAGAAAGCAACACCATTCCTCAAGTTGTGGACCATTATCCAAGGGAAAATCCCCCTCAAACTAAGGTTAAGAAAAGTCTAACCTCTTTTATCTATTCTATTACCCTTTCTTCTTTCCTCATTCTATTGCTGACCTTGTTATCAATGTAACTAATTTAGACTCACCCCAAATCATTAACTTTGATGCTTGCCTTGTTATACCTTGTGAGAAGGATGAATACTGGCAAAGGTATGTCACTACCTTAGAAAAATACCTCTGCCCCTTCAGAGAAGCTGCTGACCCCACACCTTGCTCATGGTGGGGGTACCAGGGCACCCCAAGTTGAGAGATATGTTCTCAATGGGCAGATGTCATCCTAACTACCAGAGAACACGTTGGGACCTCCCCAGAAGGCTGTACTGACCTAAAATCTTACCTCTGCCTCACCAAAAGAACCAACTCCTCTAATTGTCAACTTGACTATTGTAACCCGGTAACTATCTCTATTAACACCCTTAACCTCCACCAACCCTGCACCCCCTTTAGAATGCTTTTACGGCTCAGGAGCAGAGGCCAATGGATATGACCCTACAGTCTTCTTTAAAATACGCTTTATTGATCCCCCTTCTCCTTCTCCATCAGAACCTTCTACCCTACCTAACAACAATGCCAACATAAATATTGTAGAAGTAAAAGATTGAAGACAAACCCTAGCAATTGAAACAGGATATCAAGATGTTAATGCCCGGTTGGAATGGATTCAATATTCAGTCCGCACGTTAAACAAAAGAAATTGTTATGCTTGTGCACATGGCAGACCAGAGGCCCAGATTGTCCCCTTTCCACTAGGATGGTCCTTCAATAAACAGGCATGGGCTGTATGGTAGCTCTTTTCCAGGATTCCACAGCCTGAGGCAACAAATCATGCCAAGCTGTCTCTCTGCTGTATCCCAAAGTCCAACACCCTGCGGGTCAGCCTCTGAGCACCACTCAGCTTCTATCTCCCAACGTCAATTTCACCTCATGTCTCTCAGGACAGGGGGAGAATTTGGTGTTCCTTGGAAGCTTAACGGGATGCAGTGAGCTTAAGCCCTTCCAAGAGCTTACCCATCAGTCTGCCCTTAGTCATCCTCGAACGGATGGATGGAGGTATTACAGTGGACCCTTATTAGACACTCTGCCAAGTAACCGGAGTGGCACTTGTGCTCTTGTCCAGTTGGCTGTCCCTTTCACCCTGGCAGTTCATCAACCAGAAAAAGAAAAACCACAACACTGAAAAATAAGAGAAGCCCTTTATGGGTCTTTTGACTCTCAAATGTACATAGATGCCATTGGAGTCTCACAAGGAGTGCCTGACATGTTCAAAGCCCGTGACCAAATAGCTGCAGGATTTGAATCCGTATTTCCATGGGTAACTATTACTAAAAATGTAGCTTGGATAAATTACATCTATTATAATCAGCAGTGGTTTATTAATTATGCTAGGGATGCTATCAAAGTAGTAGCTGACCAATTAGGGCCTCCTAGCCAAATGGCTTGGGAAAACAGAATAGTTCTGGACATGTCGTTAGCCGAAAAAGGTGGAGTTTGTGTGGTGATTAAAACCCAATGTTGTACCTTCATCCCAAACAACACTGTGTGCGAAGGGAGCATAACAAAGGCTTTACAAGGACTTATCGCTTTATCCAATTAATTAGCTAAAAATTCTGGAATCAATGACCCTATTCCAGGATGGCTAGGAAAGTGGTTTGGTAAATGAAAAGGAATCATAGCCTCAATTCTTATTTCTCTTGCAATCGTAATAGGTGTACTCATTCTTGTTAGGTGTTGTGTCATACCATGCATCCGTGTGCTAATACAAAGGATTGTACAAACAGCACTTACTAGAGCCTCCCTTAGTTCTGCTACACCTTATTCAAGTAAGCATTTCTTTTGAGAAGATCAAATCGAACAGCAAAGCCAAGACATGTTAAAAAAAAGTTTGAAGAGAAAGAATCATAAGAAAATTTAAAAGGGAGGAATTGTAAGATACAATGAATTTCTCTGAGTTTTTCTTCAAAGATTTAGCCTGCTAACTTCCTTGTCTTTTGTTCTCAAACTCAGCTTTCCTGTTCCTTCCTGCCCCTAGTTACTAAAAAACAGCCTACCCCTTTCCCTTCAGCACTAATCAATAACTCACATCTGTTCCCTTGGTTACCTGTACCCATTGTTCCCCTGAAACTGCACATCTCACACGCTCCACCTTTGTACTTCACGTCCCCCTCCCCTTCTATATTTAGAAAAATATGTATAAGTAGCCAATCGTGTCAGCTCAGATTGTTCAGTCTGACCCCAGCCCATGGGGGAGTGGCACAGAAGTAGGGACTGCGTTAAGGATAAAAACCCCCTGGTCTTCTTTGTTTGGTGTGCTCTTGCAATCTTGATTGACACAGGTAGCACCCTTCTGCAGAAGTAAGTTGCCTTGCTGAAAGAATTAATCTTTTGCCTGAGTGCTGGTTTCACTTCATGGCACCGAGCATTTATTCCTAAAGCATTTTATATCCAGCACATACCACTCGGTGAAGTATGACTTTCCTTGTAGATTAAATGGCTACTATTCTAATTAACTTCACTCATTCTTTAAACAGCTTTATTGAGGTAAAATTGGCACACAGTAAGCTAAATGGATTTATAGTGCACAATTCAATAAGTTTTGATATACATATATATCCCTAAAACCATCCCTACAGTCAAGATAATGAACACATCCATCACCCTAATAGTCTGTTCATGTCACTTTCTGGAGCACAGGCTTTTCATTTTGGGCTCACTCTAGTGATTTGTGGGAATAGCTGAGGGCAAAATTCATGCTTAATCACTGTATTCTCCACCACCACACAGTCATAATAAGACAAAATTCTAGCTTTACCTAAGAATGTTCTTGTGAAGCAATTAGTGTGTTAATTTACTAAATCTCATCCGTTGATCATACATCTTTTTAATATTCTGTGTGATAAGAAGTATACACATAAAGTATTTCTGCTGTATCTTCAAGTATGATGGTTGCCTTGAGGAGAAGCACTTGGTGATTGAGTTGTAAGCTGAACTCACAACCTTTTTTCTGGGACACTATTTTCTTTTTACTTGAAATATTGAGTGACAGAAAAATATGGTTATTTGGACTTGTGTGCTTGGCAGACATTTTCTTGAAAATAAATGAAATGGCCTTCTTGTTTGAAGGACATCTTAACCATATTTGCTGCTAAAGATAAAGTTTTAGCTTTCAATGAAAGTTAAGATTTTGGAAAACTCATATCCGACATTGTGATCTAGAAATCTCCTAATACTTAAAAACTTTTCTGAAGAAATCAGTGATGATATTAGCAAATGTGATTTTGAAAAATATTGTGTAAAGAAATGTATCAACATTTGGAAGATCCGCATACTTTAATGAACCAGTATTTTCTTAATGACCAATGCATGATGTTATAAAACCAGGCATGGGTAAAAAATATTTATTCAAAGTGCAAATAGACCAATGGATTTTGACGCAACAGACTTGAGTTCATTAATATGATTTTCAATTTCACAGTGTAACCATCATTTAAAGAAACCCTTCCGCCCAGCATGGTGTCTCAGGCCTATAATCGCAGCACTTTGGGAGGCCAAGGCAGATGGATCATTTGAGGTCAGAAGTTTGAGACCAGCCTAACCAACATAGCAAAACCCCATCTCTACTAAAAATTACAAAAAATTGGCTGGGTGCAGTGGCTCACACCTGTAATCCCAGCAGTTTTGGAGGCCGAGGCAGGCAGATCACGAGGTCAGGAGATCAAGACCATCCTGGCCAACATGGTGAAACCCCATCTCTACTAAAATACAAAAAGTTAGTTGGGCATGGTGTTGTACGCCTGCAGTCCTTGCTACTCGGGAGGCTGGGGCCGGGGAATTGCATGAACCCAGGAGGCGGAGACTGCAGTGAACTGAGATAGTGCCACTGCATTCCAGCCTGGCGACAGAGCGAGACTCCATCTCAAAAAAAAAAAAAAAAAAAAATTACAAAAATTAGCCAGGTGTGGTGGTGCACGCCTGTAATCCCAGCTACTCAGGAGGCTGAGGAACAAGAATCACTTGAACCCAGGAGGCGGAGGTCGCAGTGAGCCAAGATTTTACCACTGCAGTCCAGCCTCCAGCCTGGGTGACAGAGCAAGACTATCTCAAAAGAAAAGAAAAGAAAAAAAGAAAAGAAAAGAAAAGTGAGAAAGAGAGAGAGAGAGAGGAAAAGAAAAGAAAAGAAAGAAAAAAGAAAAGAAAACAAAGAAAAGAAAAGAAAACAGCCTCATCAAATTTTGGTGTGGTATAAAAGAAGAGTATTCTCAATTGCCAAATGGCTATTAAAAATACTCAGCCCTTTTCCAGCTACATATCTCTGTGAATTTGGATTTTTTTTTTGCTTCCTTCAACAACAACAAAAAACCGTAATGCAACAGATTGAATGCAGAGGCAAATATAAGAATCCAGCTTTCTTCTACTTAGGCAGACATAAAAGAGATTTGTGAAATTGTAAATGTTTGGTGTCCTCAAAGTACTTAGGTGTATAAAAGTGTCCTGAGACCCAAAGTGCGAGAACCTCTGTGGGTTTAACACTGAGTTAAATCCAGGTATATTGTGTATTATTTGATTCTCACAAGAATCCTAAGAGGTAGACTTTATCATCCCTATTTTCTAGATGGGGCTAAGAATCTCAGGTTAAAAAACTTCCCTAATGATTTGTTCCTTTGACTCTCTAATGCCAAAATGTATGGCTTCCCAGAATTCGTGTTAAAGCCCAGTTAGTCTCATCAAGGATAATGATAACCAAGGGACACAGACTCAAAGTCTGGCTGTGTATCACCTTGCCCACTCTGCTACCTCATTCCTCAAGGAAATTTACTGGAGAAAAGTTCAGTACTTTATGGGAGACAAGGCCCAATTTCCTGGACTTCTAGGAGCTGGGACTTGACTGGCAGCAGCTTGCTTTTCCTACCCGGGATTGACAGGAGCCAATTATCAAAGCAGCTTCCCACCCCTGGAACCCTGCATTGATTGGCTCCCCTCAAGCCTCCATTTCCAGCTGTCCTCCTCCACTCAGGCCAGTTCTCTCCCTCCAGCATCGCATCTGAGTGATGCATAATCTCCAGCCAAAGCCCTATAGCCACCCCTCTTCTGCCACATCTTCACCAGCTTCTGGTGGACCCCTCAATTCCCACAGCCAGAGCTGCCCTGTGGAATGCCCCACCAGTGGGCTCTTGCTCTGGTTCCTTCTTAGGAGGCTTTTCTGTGGATGCATTCAACATCCTTTTCTCCTTATTTGGGACCTGACTTCCCTTCTTGATGCCATTTCCCTCCATCTTAAGAACATAATGTGTCTACTTGAGCCCCTAGAAGTCTGGGCTAGGACGAGGGGCCAAGAGGAATCTAACTTCATCTGCTAGACCCAGGACCAACCTCCATTCTTCCTCCACGCAGAGCCTTCACCATGTGCCTAAGCCCTCTCCCTCCCATCCTTGGAAGTGCATCTAATAAGGCAGTGCATCTCATGACTGCAAGACCACCCCCATAGTCTTTTGGGGTCTCTCTTCCAGTTTCTTCTGTACCCCATACCTTCCCCTCCTCTTAGGTGATTTCACTTGAAATTATTTTATGTTAGCATTATTTTTTTCAGTGCTGTGACAGGTAGAAATTGGTATATTAATCTGTTCTCGTGCTGCTAATAAAGACATACCCAAGACTGGGTAACTTATAAAGAAAAGTTTTAATGGACTCACATTTCCACGTGGCTGGGGAGGCCTCACAATCATAGCAGAAGGTGAAGGAGGAGCAAAGTCATGTCTTACATGGCAGCAGGCAAGAGGGCATGTGTAGGGGAACTGCCCTTTCTGAAACCATCAGATCTCATGAGCCTTATTCACTATCATGAGAACAGCATGGGAAAAACCTACCCCCATGATTCAATTACCTGGCATCAGGTACCTCCCTTGACACATGGGGATTATGGGAGCTACAATTCAAGATGAGATTTGGGTGGGGATACAATCAAACCATATCATTCTGCCCCTGGCCCCTCCCATGTCTCATGTCCTCACATTTCAAAACCATCATGCCTTCCCAACAGTCCCCTAAAGTCTTAACTCATTTCAGCATTAACTCAAATATCCACAGTCCAAAGTCTCATCTGAGACAAGTCATGTCCCTTTGGCCTATGAGTCTGGAAAATCAAAAGCAAATTAGTTACTTCCAAGATACAATGAGGCTAAAGGCATTGGGCAAAGGTTCCTATTCCAAATGGGAGAAATTGGCCAAAAAAAAGGGGCTACAGGTCCCATGCAAGTCTGAAATCCATTGAGGGCAGTCAAATCTTAAAGCTCCAAAATAATCTCTTTGACCGTATGTCTCACTTCCAGGTCATGTTGATGCAAGACATGGGTTCGCATGGTCTTGGGCAGCTCTGCCCTGTGGCTTTGCAGGGTACAGTCCCACTCCTGGCTGCTTTCACAGGCTGGTTGAGTATCTGTGACTTTTCCAGGCACACAGTGCAAGCTGTTGGTGGATCTAACATTCTGGCACCTGGAGGATGGTGGCCCTCTTCTCACAGCTCCACTAGGCAGTGCCAAAGTGGGGAATCTGTGTAGGGGCTCTGACCCCACATTTCCCTTCTGTATTGCCCTAGCAGAGGTTCTCCTCGAGGGCTCAGCCCCTGAAGCACACCTCTGTCTGGACATACAGAACTTTCTATACATCCTCTGAAATCTAGGTGGAGGTTCCCAAACCTCAATTCTTGACTTCTGTGCACCCACAGGCCCAACACCATGTGTAAGTAGCCAAGGCTTGGGGCTTGCAAACTCTGAAACAACAAGCTGAGCTGTACATTGGCCCCTTTTAGCCATGGCTGGGACTCAAAGAGCCAAGTCCTGAGACTCCAAAAACAGCAAGGCCCTGGGCCCGGCCCATGAAACCATTTTTTCCTCCTAGGCTTCCTGGCTTGTGATGGGAGGGGCTGCTGTGAAGACCTCTTACATGCCCTGGAGACATTTTCCCCATTGTCTTGGTGATTAACATTTGGCTCCTTGTTACTTATGCAAATGTCTACAGCTGGCTTGAATTTTTCCTCAGAAAATGAGTTTTTCTTTTCTATCACATAATCAGGATGCAAATTTTCTGAACTTTTAGGCTTTGCTCCTTTTTTAAACCTAAGTTCTAATTCCAAACCATATCTTTGTGAATACATAAAACTGAATGCTTTATTCTCTTTGAAGTATTCAGTTTTATGTATTCACAAAGATATGGTTTGGAATTGGAATTTAGGTTTAAAAAAAATACCTAGGAATCCAACTTACAAGGGATGTGAAGGACCTCTTCAAGGAGAACTACAAACCACTGCTCAATGAAATAAAAGAGGATACAAACAAATGGAAGAACATTCCATGCTCATGGGTAGGAAGAATCAATATTGTGAAAATGGCCATACTGCCCAAGGTAATTTATAGATTCAATGCCATCCCCATCAAGCTACCAATGACTTTCTTCACAGAATTGGAAAAAACTACTTTAAAGTTCATATGGAACCACAAAAGAGCCCGCATCACCAAGTCAATCCTAAGCCAAAAGAACAAAGCCGGAGGCATCATGCTACCTGACTTCAAACTATACTACAAGACTACAGTAACCAAAACAGCATGGTACTGGTACCAAAACAGAGATATAGATCAATGGAACAGAACAGAGCCCTCAGAAATAATGCCACATATCTACAACTATCTGATCTTTGACAAACCTGACAAAAACAAGCAATAGGGAAAGAATTCCCTATTTAATAAATGGTGCTGGGAAAACTGGCTAGCCATATGTAGAAAGCTGAAACTGGATCCCTTCCTTACACCTTATACAAAAATTAATTCAAGATGGATTAAAGACTTACATGTGAGACCTAAAACCATAAAAACCCTAGAAGAAATGCTAGGCAATACCATTCAGGACATAGGCATGGGCAAGGACTTCATGTCTAAAACACCAAAAGCAATGGCAACAAAAGCCAAAATTGACAAATGGGATCTAATTAAACTAAAGAGCTTCTGCACAGCAAAAGAAATTACCATCAGAGTGAACAGGCAACCTACAGAATGGGAGAAAATTTTCGCAACCTACTCATCTGACAAAGGACTAATAACCAGAATCTACAATGAACCCCAACAAATTTACAAGAAAAAAACAAACAACCCCATCAAAAAGTGGGTGAAGGATATGAACAGACATTTCTCAAAAGAAGACATTTATGCAGCCAAAAAACACATGAAAAAATGCTCATCATCACTGGCCATCAGAGAAATGCAAATCAAAACCACAGTGAGATACCATCTCACACCAGTTAGAATGGTGATCATTAAAAAGTCAGGAAACAACAGGTGCTGGAGAGGATGTGGAGAAATAGGAACACTTTTACACTGTTGGTGGGACTGTAAACTAGTTCAATCATTGTGGAAGTCAGTGTGGCAATTCCTCAGGGTTCTAGAACTAGAAATACCATTTGACCCAGCCATCCCATTACTCAGTATATACCCAAAGGACTATAAATCATGCTATTATAAAGACACATGCACACGTATGTTTATCGCGGCACTATTCAAAATAGCAAAGACTTGGAAACAATCCAAATGTCCAACAACAATAGATAGACTGGATTAAGAAAATGTGGCACATATACACCATGGAATACTATGCAGCCATAAAAAATGATGAGTTCATGTCCTTTGTAGGGACATGGATGAAACTGGAAATCATCATTCTCAGCAAACTATCGCAAGGACAAAAAACCAAGCACCACATGTTCTCACTCATAGGTGGGAATTGAACAATGAGAACACATGGACACAGGAAGGGGAACATCACACTCCGGGGACTGTTGTGGGGTGCGGGTGGGGAGGGATAGCATTAGGAGATATACCTAATGCTAAATGACGGGTTAATGGGTGCAGTATGCCAACACGGCACATGTATACATATGTAACAAACCTGCACATTGTGCACATGTACCCTAAAACTTAAAGTATAATAATAAAAAAAAAACTGAATGCTTTTAACAACCCAAGTCACCTCTTGAATGCTTTGGTGCTTAGAAATTTCTTTCTCCAGATACCCTAAATCATCTCTCAAGTTCAAAGTTCCACAGTTCTCTAGGGCAGGGGCAAAATGCTGCCACTCTTTTTGCTAAAGCATAACAAGAATCACCTTTGCTCCAGTTCCCAATTAACTCTCCATCTGAGACCACCTAAGCCTGGACTTTTTGGTCAAAACTAATCAGCAAGTCTCTAGGAAGCTCCAAACTTTCCCACATCTTTCTGTCTTCTTCTGAGCCTTCCAAACTGTTACAACCTCTGCCTTTTACCCAGTTCCATTTTTGGGTATCCTTATAGCAGCACCCCACTGTACTGGTACCAATTTACTATATTAGTCTGTTCTCATACTACTAATAAAGACATACCCAAGACTGGGTAATTTATAAAGAAAAAGAGGTTTAATGGATTCACAGTTCACATGGCTGGGGAGGCCTCACAATCATAGGGGAAGGTGAAAGAGGAGCAAAGGCATGTCTTACCTAGCAGCAGGCAAGAGGGCATGTGCAGGGGAACTGCCCCTTATAAAACTGTCAGATCTCATGAGGCTTATTTACTATCATGAGAACAACATGGGAAAAACCTATCCCCATGATTTAATTACCTCCCACTGGGTCCCTCCCATGACATGTGGGGATTATGGGAGCTACAATTCAAAATGAGATTTGGGTGGGGACACAGCCAAACCATATCACATGGTAATGAATAAGCCTGTATTACTCTTGCCCTCATGAAGCTTATAATCTACTTTGGTTTCTGTATTCATATTGATTGCTCATCCAAAGAACTTGCCCAAAGCCATTTAATAGACATAAAGAAAATGTTTGATTAAAAAAAGACGTTCTTTTTACTAAGTTTTTGCAGTTATTCCAATATACATATATGGAACATTTATATACTCATATAGAAACTCTATACTACCTTTTCTGGTTTCTATAGCCCTTTGGTCATTTTAGTATTTATAGTGCTTTTATTACTATGCAATATTTCATGTATGCATCTACTCCTAAAGTACACTCTGAATATCCTGAGGGAAAGAGCTATATCTAACTTACCTTTTTTACCTTCCCACCTTTTCCTAGTACTAACAGCTGCTGAGTACATCTAGAATGACTGATATCTCTTGCTGATCAATATAATAATGTATTTTATGGGTTATTATTTACAAAATTATACAAATGAAAGACATAGTAGTTTACTAATGAAAGACATGGTTATTATTAATATTATGCTGTTTCTTTCATAACAAGACATAGTTTTATTAACTGTTTTTGCAGCTCAAGTTCCTTCTCTCTTTCTCTTGTATGTACAAAAGCAGATCATCCTGAGCTAAGTAACAGGGTTGTTTCAAATATTCTTAGAAAGTTAGAATCAGCTCCAAAGAACGCTGGCCATGGGTGCATAATACCTGATTGGGGGAAATTATAGATATAAAGTCTTTGGGCAAATTCATGTTTTAAGCGTGTGGTATATGTACAGACTTTAGACTTTTGTCCCATTGTTTAATTCTTACCTTCCTCCAACCCTCGTCAAAGAAGGAAACCCTAAAGTTGGACTGAAAAGCCTCATATGACAAGAAGCATCTTCAAATAGAAAGCTCTTTTCTCAATCCCTTTGGATAATCAGTGGGCAAAATCTACCCTTTCTGGCTGGGAACAAAACCCACGGGCTATGATCAAGGAATTCATTGGAGAGTGTGGTTTCCCTCTGGAGGAAGCGTATTTCACATGCACCTTGTCCATGTTAGAAGAGGACCAGGGACATGCTGTGAGTGTGTTTGGCTGACTGACACATATCTCAGTAGAAGATCTCTCATACACCTGTCCCCACTTACCTGAGTGTCAGCTTCAGGGCTTGGTCCAAGTTATTCCACTGGCCTCACTATGAGGCTGACCAGAAGACCTGTGATCTGTGTAATGAGAAAATCATTTGGTGTATTTCAGTGTTTGCATAAGATTTTTTTTTGTGTTGAGTATGGGTGCTCTGTATCATTGCCAGAGCATTGGGCAAGATACAAACATCTCCATGGAAAACTATCTCATGTTTTAAATTTTCCTTGTTCACAAAACCTACATGGGTGCTCACTAATTTCTCCCATCTGAAATTTGTGAAGTGGTCCTGAGGCCTTCCTATTAGCAATTCCACACTGGAAATGTCATTAGTAACTGAAGACAGATTATACCACCCAAACATCCTCATGTGTCTCTCATTTAGCTTCTTTAGCATTATGATTAGAATAAATGGTCCAGCTCCTGCTTGGAGCTTCCATAGAGAGCACCAGGCCTTAGCCATGTTGTTGGGTGAGAGAGGATCATCCATGCCTTTGTGGAAAAATATAAGATCAATCACAGGCAGTTTCCAACAGAAGTAAAAATCACCTCTCTCAAAAAAAAAAAAAAAATCATAAAGCTCCAATCAAGGACCTTGATGACAAGTGAAATTAAATAAAACATGAGTGATGAAACACTGTAATATGTTTATGATGAGCTAGTCCAGACAGCTGATAATTAATTGTTGTCCAAATAGCAACTTGGCAGTAGATGACTGTAACCAGGACACAGAGCAGTAGTTAGTTAAAAGTACTAATAAGATGTTTGCTTCTTTTGAAGACTCACTTCCAAGGGGAGGAAAAGATAGAGGAAAATCATGGACCTTCCGTGTGCCTAGACTGCCTGCAAATCTGTATTCTGACCCATTGTTGGCTTTTTGCTTTTACATTCCTTTCTGCAGTGGTAATGCTATTTGTGCTGTGCAGCCCCAAAGCAAATGTCTGTGTGTGTTTTATCCTGGGCTACCACCCACAGAACATCCAAAATCTGAAAACAAATAAATGCAGATGCACACAATTTAAGTAAGTTAAAAAACATGTTCTTATTTATCTGCCTAGATTCTTACACTTAAAATAGCTTTGGTTTGAATCCTCTTCAGCCTCCTGTTTTTCCTGAATCTGAAAGCTATCCTGCAGAGAAGAAAGATAGCGTTCAGAAAAGGAAACAGATTCTTCAAATGAACTTAAATAAAATGCACATATAAAAAGAAGCCAAGAACTAAAAGGAGGCCTTGGAGATTTCCTGTTTGAAGTCTCAGTTTCCTTATCTGTGAAATAAGATTGGACCAGATAATCTCTCTGGTTCCTTCAGCAATCCTGCTTCTTAAACTATTAGTGGCATAGAATTCAAAGAATGTGTGGAAGCTAAATCCAAACATGTATAATTTAAATGCCACTTAGAAGTAGAAGAAATGGACTCGGCGTATTGGCTCACACCTGTAATCCCAGCACTTTGGGAGGCCAAGGCAAGCAGATCACTTGAGGTGAAGAGTTCGAGACCAGACTGTCCAACCTGGTGAAACCCTATCTCTACTAAAAATACAAAAAAAAAAAAAAAAAAGTCAGGCATGGTGGCACACGCCTGTAGTTTCAGCCAGTTACTTGGGAGGCTGAGGCAGTAGAATTGCTTGAACCCAGGAAGTGGAGGTTGCAGTGAGTTGAGATCGCTCCACTGCACTCCAGCATAGGTGACATAGTGAGACTCTGTCTCAAAAAAAAAAAAAAAAAAAACAACCAAAAACCAAAAAACAAACAACAACAACAAAACCAGAAGTAGAAGAAATGATCATACAACATAATCCCCTAATCTGAATTTCTCCCATGGTTCTCACAGTTTGTATACAGAGGTAATAGAGCTAAACCTCAGATAGCCAGAATTTGTTAATTAGACTTCCTAGCTGATGAGACACTACTAAGTATAAGTCTGGGTCTGCCCACTTCTTTTTGGAATTTTTTTTATTTTCTATCTTCCTCCATGTTTTGGTTTGAATGTATACCTGCAAACTCATGTTGGAATTTAATTGCCATTGTAACAACATTAAGAGGTGGGACTTTTAAGCAGTGATTAGATCTTAGTGGCTCCATCCTCATGAATGGATTATTGCTGTTAGTGCAGGAGTAGGTCAGTTCTCATGAGAAAAAGCAAACCCTCTCACACCTGCTCTCTTGCCTTCTGCCTTCTGCCATGGGATAACCCTAACCAGATACTGAGGCCATGCTCTTAAACTTCCCAGCCTCCAGAACATTGAGCCAAATAAACTTCTTTTGTCTATAAATTACCCAGTCTGTGATATTCTGTTATAGCAGCAGAAAATGGGCTAAGACAATACCATTCCCCTTCCACCTCATAGGCACCCATTCTGTGCATGTCCTTGCATTCCAACTTTCACTTATTTTTATAAAATATGCATCCTAATATATAGTATTATTATATTTTTTAAAATTTTATGCAAAATTTACATAAAAATCTGTTTATATTTTTGTATATTAATTGCTTCTGATCACTATGTATTATTATACTGATTGGATATATGCTCCATTTTGCTTATGTATTTTCTTATTGATAGACCTTCTCATTGCCTTGACTTTTACCCATAACTCTGTAAACAACATTCTTATATAAATCTCCTTGGACATCTATACAAAAATTACTATAGAGCATTTACTCAGAAATAGAATTGCTGGATCTTAGGGTATGTGCATATTCAAGTGCACTAGCTGCTCACCAGAATGAATTCAGAAACCCACCCCTAGTCTATGTCTGTTTCTATTTCCACATCCCACCTTTATATTATTTTAATTTCTAATTCTTGACAATTAATGGGTTAAATTGTATTTACTGTTTGAATTTTCATCCCTCTAATTATTCTTGAGGTTGAGTTGCTCTTATAAATGCAACAATGCTGTGTTCACTATCCAATTTTCTTTTTCTAGACACAAAGGAAGGCTATACTTTACAGCTTCCCTTGCAGTTAGGTTGTGGCCATGTGAATGAGTCCTGGCTAATGGAATGTGGGTGGGATTGTAATATTATCATTTATTATATTCTGAGAGATTCTCAAATTGTTTGTGTAGTTACCTTTACTCCCTTCTCTCCCTTTTGCCCTCTATACAATTAGGAGGGGTGTGGGGGGTTCAGCAGGGATCCATTCTCATTTGTGACTTAAAGAATGTACCATTAGCAAACATCACCATCATCCTGACCCAGAGGTTAAAGGACTCTAAAGTATAGCAATATGGTGCCCTTGTTGCCCTGGCCAAAACCTGACATATGAAGTAAATGGGAAAATGTCCTACTTGTGAAGGTTTCTTCTAGCTCAGAAAGTTTTTAGGGAATTTTTCCAAGATTCAAAGAAGAACAAAAGTGATGAACTTCTGTTTTCAGAGTAGGGCTATATAGTACTATACTATCTGTAGTTCTCAGTGTTGTATAATCAGATTAGTGGTTTTAGCCTTTACTAAAAACAAACAAGAAGGGATCTGGCTTGAACCAGATAATAGTAAAAATATTATATTGACAATGTTACATTTGGTAGTGTACCCCTTAGAGGAAGTATCTTTATTTAACTAAGAATCAAGATATTATAAGTAAGGAAGTTTATGATTCCCATGCAAGCCATTGTCCAGCTTATTACCACAGTTGCTGGAAATGCTTCTAAGTTTCAGTAACTTAAGAAATATAATTTTATTTACATCTGAGAGGAGGGAATAACAGTCTTTATTTTATTTATTTATTTTTATTTTTATTTTTTTTGAGATGGAGTCTGACTCTGTCGCCCAGGCTGGAGTGCAGTGGTGCGATCTTGGCTCACTGCAAACTCCACCTCCTGGGTTCACGACATTCTCCTGCCTCAGCCTCCTGAGTAGCTGGGACTACAGGCACCTGCCACCAGGTCCGGCCAATTTTTTGTATTTTTAGTAGAGATGAGATTTCACCGTGTTAGCAAGGATGGTTTTGATCTCCTGACCTTGTGATTCACCCGCCTTGGCCTCCCAAAGTGCTGGGATTACAGGCGTGAGCCACTGTGCCCGGCGTTAACAGTCTTTCTTTTAAAACAACACAGTCCATTTTATTTATTTTCTTGAGTACTCTTCATAATCATTATCCAATACTGGGCATGTTTTCTTACTCTCAGGGTTTACAATGTAACACGCAGTCCTCAATTTCCTTGTCAATCATGGCTGCTAATTATTCTTTTGTTCCTGTATGAAGAATTTGCATTGTCTTAATGCTATCACTCCACTTGCCCCCACCCCAACAGACCCCGCTGTGTGATGTTCCCCTCCCTGTGTCCATGTGTTCATATTGTTCAACTCCTATTTATGAGTGAGAACCTGTGGGGCTTAAAACCTAGATGACGGATTGGTGGGTGCAGAAAACCACCATAGCACATGTATACCTATATAACAAACCTGCACGTTCTGCACATATATCCCCGAACTTAAAGTATAATTTAAAAATTTTTTGCATTGTCTTCAGTCTGAAGTTTAGCATCAACAGAATTAGTGGAATAAATTAATAGCACTGTTATAAATTCGTCGCAAAAAGATCATCACCCAGGCACATAGTCATCAGATTATCTAAAGTCAAGAGAAAGAAAAGAATCTTAAGAGCTGTGAGGTAAAAGCATGAGGTAACCTATAAAGAAAAACCTATCAGATTAACAGCAAAGCTCTCAGTAGATACCCTACAAGCCAAAAAGTGTTGGGGTCCTTTCTTTAGTCTCTTCAAACAAAATAATTGCCAGCCAAGAATTTTGTATCCAGCTAAACTAAGCTTCATAAATGAAAACAAGATAAAGTATTTTTCAGACAAACAAGTGCTAAGAGAATTTGCCACTACCAAGCCAGAACTATAAGAAATACTAAAAAGAGTTCTAAATCTTGAAACAAAACCTCAAAATACACCAAAATAGAACCTCCTTAAAGTGTAAATCTCAGAGGGCCTATATAACAATAACACAATAAAAAAAAACAAGGTGTCAAGCAACCACTAGCACGATGAATAAAACAATACCTCAATTCTCAACACTAACATTGAATGTAAATGGCCCACATGGTTCACTTAAAAGATACAGAATGTCAGAATAGATAAAAGTCCACCAACCAAGTATCTGCTGTCTTGAAGAGACTCACCTAACACATAAGGACTCACATGAACTTAAGGTAAAGGGGTGAGAAAAGATATTCCTTGCAAATGGAAATGAAAAGTGAGCAGGAGTAGCTATCTTTACATCTGACAAAACAGACTTTAAAGCAACAACAGTTAAGACAAAGAGGGGCATTATAAAACAATAAAATGACCAGTCCCACAGGAAAATATCACAATCCTAAATATATATGCACCCTAACATGGGAGCTACCAAATTTAAAAAACAGTTATTACTAGACCTAAGAAATGAGACAGATGGCAACACAATAACAGTGGAGGACTTCAATACTCCACTGACAACACTAGACAGGTCATCAAGACAGAAAGTCAACAAAGAAACAATGGACTTAAACTATACCCTAGAAAAAATGAACTCACCAGTTATTTACAGAACATTCTATGTAACAACTGCAGAATATGCATTCTTTTCATCAGCACATGGAACATTCTCCAAGTTAGAACATATAGTAGGCCACAAAACAATTCCCAACAAATTTAAGAAAATCAAAATTATATCAAGTACCCTCTGAGGCCACAGTGGAATAAAATTAGAAATTAGTTCCAAAAGGAACCCTCAAAACTGTACAAATATATGGAAATTAAATAATCTGCTCCTAAATGACATCTGGGTGAACAATGACATCAAGATGGAAATTAAAAAATTCTTTGCATTTAATGATAATAGTGATACAACTTATCAAAGACTTTGGGACACAGCAAAAGCAGTGCTAAGAGGAAAGTTCATAGCATTAAATGCCTACATCAAAAAGTCTGGAAGAGCACAAATAAACAATTTAAGGTCACATCTCAAGGAACTAGAGACACAAGAACAAACCAAACCCAGCAGAAGAAAAGAAGCAATAAAGAACAGAGCAGAACTAAATGAAATTGAAACAAACAAACACAAAAAACCAACACAATAGATAAATGAAACAAAAAGCTGGTTCTTTGGAAAGATAAAGAAAATTGATAGACCACTAGTGAGATTAACCAGGAAAAGTAAAGGTCCACATACGCTCCATTAGAAATGAACTAGGAGATATTACAACCAATACCACGGAAATACAAAAGATTATTCAAGGCTGGTATGAACACCTTTATGTGCACAAACTAGAAAATCTAGAGGACATGGATAAATTCCTGGAAAGATACAACCCTCCTAGATTAAAACAGGAAGAAATAGGAACTCTAAACAGACCAATGACAGTCAGTGAGATTGAATTGGTAATAAAAAAATTAGCAACAAAAAAAAGTCTAGATGGATTCACAGATGAATTTTATCAGGCATTCAAAAAAGAATTGGTACCAGTCTTACTAAAACTATTCCAAAGATAGAGAAAGAGGGAATCCTCCCTAAATCATTATGTGAAACCTGTATCACCCTAATACCAAAACCAGGAAAGCACATAACAAAAATGAAAACTACAGACCAATATTCCTGATGAACATAGATGCAAAAATTCTCTACAACATACTACCTAACTGAATCCAACAGCATATCAAAACGATAATGCACCATGATCAAGTGGGTTTCCTACTAGCGATGCAGGAATGGTTTAACATACGCAAGCCAATAAATGTGGTGCATCACATAAATAGAATTAAACACAAATATCACATGATCGTCTCAATAGATGCAGAAAAAAGCACTTGACAAAATCCAGAATCCCTTTATGATTAAAACCCTCAGCAAAATCAGCATAGAAGGGGCATACCTCAAGGTAATAAAGCCATCTATGACAAACCCACAGCCAACATTATACTGAATGGGGGAAAGTTGAAAACATTACCCCTGAGAACTGGAACAAGGCAAGGATGCTGACTTTCACCACTTCTATTCAACATAGTATCAGAAGTTCTAGCCAGAGAAATCAGAAAAGACAAAGAAATAAAGGGCATCCAAATCAGTAAAGAGGAAGTAAAACTGTTCCTGTTCACTGATGATATGATCATATACCTAAAAAGCCCTAAAGACTTATCCAAAAAGCTCCTAAAACTGATAAATGTATTCAGTAAAGTTTAAGAATACAAAATCATGTACACAAATCGGTAGCACTGCTATACACCAACAGTGACCAAACTGAGACTCAAATCAAGAACTCAGCCCCTTTTACCGCAGCTGCAAAAATAACATTAGATACTTATGAATATATCTAACCAAGGAGGTGAAAAACTTCTACATGAAAAACTATGAAACACTGCTGAAAGAAATCATAGACAACACAAATGGAAATACATCCCATGTTCATGGATGGGTAAAATCAATTTTGTGAAAATGAGCATATTGCCAAAAGCAATCTACAAATTCAGTGCAATTTCCATCAAAATACCATCATCATTATTCACAGAACTAGAAAAAAGAATCTTAAAATTCCTGTGGAACCAAAAAAGAGCCCACATAGTCAAAGCAAGACTAAGCAAAAAGAACAAATCTGGAGGCATCACATTACCTGACTTTAAATTATACTACAAGGCTATATTTACCAAAACAGCATAGTATTGGTATAAAAATAAGCACATAGACCAATGGAACAGAATAGAGAACCCAGAAATAAAGCCGGATAGTTGTAGCCAACTGAATGAGTGAGATGAAGTATTGTTTACATGTTGCTCACAACGTCCAGGTTATGTTTATGTTGTTGTCATTTCCCCAGAGTTACATGTAAGGGTGACACTAATGAAGATTGAGTTTAATTGCTTTTTAAAGTGTCTTCAAAAAGATTATACCATGAATCAGCATTGGAATTTTATTATGCACATAGAAAGGCACATAAACAGAAAACTATAATACATAATAAAATCTATATCTAAAATGAGTCTAAAATAAGAGGCAAATGTATAAATTCTAAGTGATAATACTTTGTCAGTTTAATTGGAGGCATTTTTTTCTCCTTAGTGGAAAATAAAATAATGGCACATCTAAAATTTAATAAAATATAGCAGTGATCCTACATATGTCTTTTCACTCACCTTTTAGGTAGACTGAGAACTGTGGGAGTGAGGGGCTGTAGCCTGGTACTAGGGGAGTTAGCTCACCTAGTCTTATATAAGAATTAATTCTGGCTTTCCTGGCCAACAGCTGATAGAACACTTGGGTTTCATTCCTGTGCATGTATCTCATTCTGTGTTTTAAGCAAGGATCTCCTCTTGTCTTTGCTAGACCAATACAGACCTTGGCCATGGTTCTTGCTCCTGCAGCATCTAGCTGTGGGCTTCCATCTTCATGATCCACAAAGCTAACTCACCTAGTCCCGGGCTGGAGCCCCTCACTCCCACAGTTCTCAGTCACATCCACCTGACGACGCAAGACTCACTTGCCTCCTTCTAGAGCCCTGCCTGGCCAGATAATGCTGGATCTTATCCATTCATACTCCAAAGGATACTATTCACTAGAGGACAAAGCACGTGTGGGGTAACACAAACAAAAGCAACTTTAAGGCCTTTAAAAGGAACGTTCATCTGCTTTAATTAGGAACACCCTGGAGAAATGTCACCTCACAGAGTATCTTTGTCTTCTCTCCATTTTCTCTCTTTTTGATTTCCAACTGAAATAACCAAATTTCTCCTATGTTTTATTGATATCAATTTGGCTCTCATTAGCATCTAAGGTCCACCTCCAAACTTACCTTCGAGTCTCCTTTTAAATATCCAAACTTTGTGGAAGGTTTTAACAACCACTTGCAAGCATCTGATTAGAAATCTTAAGCAATGGGCCACCTTCATCTTTGGACTACAATGACATATCAAAACTATGCATATGGATTTGTGTGGAATAAAATACATATTCTGAAACCAAACCATCTCTACGTAAGGGAGCTGGGTGTAGGATGTCAATTAGTCATGACTGCACTCCTCTAACTACAAAAGCAACTCGAAGTTTATGATAGAGTAGCATTATCTTAAATGTGAAAATCTGGCACAAAGTCTTTTTTTTATTTTTATTTTTTATTTATTTATTTTTTTTTTTGCAGTTGCAAGATTTAATAGAGTGAAAACAGAGCTCCCACACAAAGGCAGGGGACCCAAAGGGGATAGGCGTTGCCGGCTCGAATGCCTGGGTTTATATCCCGATCATTGTCCCTCCCCCTGTGCTCTCAGGCAATAGGTGATTGGCTATTTCTTTACCTCCTGTTTTTGCCTAGTTAGCATTTTAGTGAGCTCTCTTTACTACCTGATTGGTCGGGTGTGAACTAAGTTGCAAGCCCTGTGTTTAAAGGTGGATGCGGTCACCTTCCCAGCTAGGTTTAGGGATTCTTAGTTGGCCTAGGAAATCCAGCTAGTCCTGTCTCTCAGTCCCCACTCTCAACAGGAAAACCCACGTGCTGTTGGGGAGGCTGGCTGACAACCTCTCTAGCTGCTTCCTGCTGAATTGGGGCATAGTAGGGGTCGTGCAGTTGAGATTTCCTCAGGAGGGGTGACTTTGATGTCATCAACATCGGAACATGGGCTAGCAGACTGGTCCAGGGGTCCACAGTAGATCTTGGTCATGGACTGCATCTGGGGCTCCATTTGAAGACCCATTTATAGTTTTACAGCTTTGATTCTGGAAGAGACAAACTTAACAAGGAGGTTAAAGATACAGGGATTGAAATGTATGGCCTGCAGTGCAGGGGATTATTTCTTTGGCACACTTCACAGGCCCTGACTATCTGCTTGATAGTTTTGAAAAGGCCTGGTCCAGTAAATAATAACTTGGCCATCTGATGGGTGCTATCAATGCCTAAGTGAAAGGTGTGGTGAAGGGTTTTAAGTAATTTCCATTGGTTAGCTGCAGGCAAAAGTATTTTTCCTTCTTCAGTGGCTAGCCATCCTGAGGGGAGGAAACTATGTCCTCATGAGGTTCCCCATCCTATTTCTCCTGCTGAGTACTGGGGCTTGGTTTCCTGGAGGGGATTATCCCATACTAGGGGTCCTTCTATAAGCATTTCTAATGGAGGGTCCTGCCTTGCGGCTCTTTTGGCTTCAATATCAGCTTGGTGGTTCCCTTCTATTTCCCTTTCCTTTCCTTTCTGATGACCCCAGCAGTGTAAGATTGCCACCTCTTTAAGTTTCTGTACAGGATCTGGCACAAAGTCTTATTCAAAGGTCAGCAGACTCTTAGAGGGAGATGCAGAATAATGCAAATACACTCAAAATATCTCCAGTAGGAAGACTTTATTCATCCCCAAATGCTACATTTCACTACTTCTGTGATGCGCATATTTTATCCTTTGAACTGGAATGTGTCTTACAGTTGTTACAGTCAGGGAGTGCTTGTGAAGTGATTGCTCACCTGCACATATTCAAACTGGGTCATAGCTGTTTATGTTGTTGTCATTTCCCCAGAGTTACATATAAGGGAGACACTAATGAAGATTGAGTTTAATTGCTTTTTAAAGTGTCTTCAAAAAGATTATACCATGAATCAGCATTGAAATTTTATTATGCACATAGAAAGGCACATAAACAGAAAACTATAATGTATAATACAATCTGTATCTAAAATGAGTCTAAAAGAATTTTTCAGTAAGATGCAAATGTATAAATTCTAACTGATAATACTTTGTCAGTTTAATTGGAGGCTTTTTTCTTCTTCTTAGTGGAAAATAAAATAATGGCTCATCTTAAATTTAATAAAATATAGCAGTGATCCTACATATGTCTTTTCACTCACCTTTTAGGTAGAGGAAATAGGCAACAAAAATCTATTCCAGTTTTTCACAGAAACTGCCTTGAAGTTCTTGGCAACTTTGGTGGAAAAAATACCCTCAACATCCAATTATTGTTTATTTCAGATTAAAGTACTAGATTTTATATATTCTATAAAAATGCTGTTACTGGGTAGCTCTTTAGCTCTCCCTGTCTTGCAGAACCCTCATCATGGTGTGTTAAACAGTCTTGTTAAAGTGAGAGGTATAATAAGAAAAGGATGTACAGGGTTCTTGACTAGAGGACAAATTAGAACTGAAAATTGACATGCCCCTGTTCCCCACTGAATGATAGTGGTTATTTGCCAGACCTCTAGAGATTAAGTCTCTAGCCTAACCTTTTAAATAACCTGGCATGCAAATCACAAAGAGCCTTCAAATAAATTATTATAATGCTTTTGAAAGTTTCAAACATTGACTCATCCAAAGTTTAAGTTTATCAAAAGCAAAGAAAGTCTGGGTGCCGGTGATTGTCATAACATGCTCTCCTCTGGATCACCATCCCTTTCTCCTGGATTAAAACTGTTCAGTTTTTAAGTGGGTAAGGATGAGTACAGACTTTTGGTTTAGTGGAGTGATTAGTGGTGTAATAAAAAGCCGGGTGTAAGTTAGATTGAGGAATTCAAATGTTACTGTTTCTTTCAGCATCCCCAGATTAAGAAATTCCAGATCAAAGCCAAGGCTGGACAGCTTATACTGTAAAGAAATTTGGCAAACACACCAGCTTTTACATGTACCTTTTCTCTTTATTTAATGTCATTTTCTTTTTGGCCCCTTAAGAGGAGAGAAGTAACAATTGTTTTATTTTATTTTTTAATTGACAAATAATAATTATACATAATCTTGGGTACATAGTAAAGTTTTGATACAAATAATGTATAGTGATCCGATCAGGGTCATTATTATATCCATCATCTCAAACATTTATCATTTATTTGTGTTGGAAACTTTCAATATTCTCCTCCTATTTGAAACTACATAATGTACTATTGTTTTTTTTTGTTTATTTGATTTTGTTTAATTTAAAAAACACTGTACTGCTAAAAATGCTAACAACCATCTGTGTCTCTAGCCAGCTGTCATCTTTTTGCTGGTGGAGAACCTCTCCTTAGTGTTGATGGCTGCTGACTCCTAAGGGTAGTGGTTGCTGAAGGCTGTGGTGGTTGCAGCAATTTCTTAAAATAAAACAACAATGAAGTTTACCTCTTTGATTGACTCTTTCTTTCATGAAAGATTTCTCTGTAGCAATGCTGTTTGTTAGCATTTGACCAACAGTAAAACTTTTTTCAAAATTGGAGGCAATCTTCTTAAACCCCATCACTGGTTCACTGCTTTATCAATTAAGTGTATGAATATTCTAAATCCTTTGTTGTCATTTCAACAATGTTCGCAGCATCTTTGTGAAGAATAGATCTGAAGAAACCACTTTCTTTGCTCATCCATAAGAAGCAACTTCTTTTTTATATATGTATTTAAGTTCTAGGATACATGTGCAGAACATGCAGGTTTGTTACATAGGTATACATATGCCATGTTGGTTCACTGCACCCATCAACTTGTCATTTACATTAGGTGTTTCTCCTAATGCTATTGCTCCTCCAGCCCCCACCCCTAACAGACCCCAGTGTGTCATGTTCCCCTCCCTGTGTCCATGTGTTCTCATTGTTCAACTCCCACTTATGAGTGAGAACATGTGGTGTTTTGTTATCTGTCCTTGTGATAGTTTGCTGAGAATGATGGCTTCCAGCTTCATCCATGTCCCTGCAAAGAACATTAACTCTTCCTTTTTTATGGCTGCATAGTATTCCTTGGGATATATGTGCCACATTTTCTTTATCCAGTCTATCATTGATGTACAATAGGGTTGGTTCCAAGTCTTTGCTATTGTGAATAGTGCTGCAATAAACATATGTGTGCATGTGTCTTTATAATAGCATGATTTATAATCCTTTGGGTGTGTACCCAGTAATGGGATTGCTGGGTCAAATGGTATTTCTAGTTCTAGATCCTTGAGGAATCGCCACACTGTCTTCCACAAGGGCTGAACTAATTTACACTCCCACCAACAGTGTAAAAGTGTTCCTATTTCTCCATATCCTCTCCAGCATCTATTGTTTCCTGACTTTTTAATGATTGACATTCTAACTGGCGTGAGATGGTGTCTCATTGTGGTTTTGATTTGCATTTCTCTAATGACCAGTAATGATGAGCATTTTTTCATATGTCTGTTGGCTGCATAAATGTCTTCCTTTGACAAGTGTCTATTCATATCTTTTGCCCACTTTTTGATGGTGTTGTTTGTGTTTTTCTTGTGAATTTGTTTATGTTCTTTGTAGATTCTGGATATTAGCCCTTTGTCAGATGGATAGATTGCAAAAATTTTCTCCCATTCTGTAGGTTACTGGTACACTCTGCTAATAGTTTATTTTGCTGTGCCTAAGCTCTATAGTTTAATTAGATCCCATTTGTCAATTCTGGCTTTTGTTGGCATTGCTTTTGGTGTTTTAGTCATGAAGTCTTTGCCCATGCCTATGTCCTGAATGGTATTGCCTAGGTTTTCTTCTAGGGTTTTTATGGTTTTAGGTCTTACATTTAAGTCTTCATTCCGTCTTCAGTTAATTTTTGTATAAGGTGTAAGGAAGGGATTCTATTTCAGCTTTCTACATATGGCTAACCAGTTTTCCCAACACCATTTATTAAATAGAGTATCCTATCCCCATTGCTTGTTTTTGTCAGCTCTGTCAAATATCAAATTGTTGTAGATGTGTGGTGTTATTTCTGAGGGCTCTGTTCTGTTCCACTGGACTATATATTTGTTTTGGTACCAGTACCATGCTGTTTTGGTTACCGTAGCCTTGTATTATAGCTTGAAGTCAGGTAGTGTGATGCCTCCAGCTTTGTTCTTTTTGCTTAAGATTGTCTTGGCTATGTGGGCTCTTTTTTGATTCCATATGAAGTTTAGAGTAGTATTTTCCAATTCTGTGAAGAAAGTCAGTGGTAGCTTTATGGGGATAGCATTGAATATATAAATTACTTCGGGCAGTATGTCCATTTTCACAATATTGATTCTTCCTATCCATGAGCATGGAATGTTCTTCCATTTGTTAGTGTCCTCTCTTGTTTCATTGAGCAGTGGTTTGTAGTTCTCCTTGAAGAGGTCCTTCACATCCTCTGTAAGTTGGGCTCCTAGGTATTTTATTCTCTTGGTAGCAATTGTGAATGGGAGTTCACTCATGATTTTTCTCTCTGTTTGTCTCTTATTGGTGTATAGGAATGCTTGTGATTTTTGCACATTGATTTTGTACCCTGAGACTTTGTTGAAGTTGCTTATCAGCTTAAGGAGATTTTGGGCTGAGACAATGGGGTTTTCTAAATACACAATCATGTCATCTGCAAAGAGGGACAATTTGACTTCCTCTTTTCCTAATTGAATACCCTTTATTTCTTTCTCTTGCCTGATTGCCCTGGCCAGAACTTCCAATACTATGTTGAATAGGAGTGGTGAGAGGGGGCCTCCTTGTCTTGTGCTGGTTTTCAAAGGGAATGCTTCCAGTTTTTGCCCATTCAGTATGATATTGTCTGTGGGTTTGTCATAAATAGCTCTTGAGATACAGTCCATCAATACCTGGTTTATTGAGAGTTTTTAGCATGAAGGGCTGTTGAATTTTGTCCAAGGCATTTTCTGAACCTATTGAGATAATCATGTGGTTTTTGTCATTGGTTCTGTTTGTGTGATGGCTTACGTTTATTGATTTGCATATGTTGAACCAGCCTTGCATCCCAGGGATGAAGCCAACTTGATCAAGATGGATAAGCTTTTTGATGTGCTGCTGGATTTGTTTTGCTAGTATTTTATTGAGGATTTTTGCCTCAATGTTCATCAGGGATATTGGCCTAAAATTTTCTTTTTTTTTGTTGTATCTCTGCCAATCAGGATGATGCTGACTTCATAAAATGAGTTAGAGAGGATTCCCTCTTTTTCTATTGATTGGAATAGTTTCAGAAGGAATGGGACCAGCTCCTCTTTGTACCTCTGGTAGAATTCGGCTGTGAGTCCGTCTGGTCCTGGACTTTTTTGGTGGGTACACCATTAATTATTGCCTCAATTTCAGAACCTGTTATTGGTCTATTCAGAGATTCGACTTCTTAGTTAGTTCTGGGAGAGTGTATGTGTCTGGGAATTTATACATTTCTTCTAGACTTTCTAATTCATTTGCATAGAAGTGTTTATAGTATTCTCTGATGGTAGTTTGTATTTCTGTGGGATTGGTGGTGATATCCCCTTTATCATTTTTTATTGCGTCTGTTTGATTCTTCTCTCTTTTCTTCTTTATTAGTCTTGCTAACGGTCTATCGATTTTGTTGATCTTTTCAACAAACCAGCTCCTGGATTCATTGATGTTTTGAAGGTTTTTTTGTGTCTCTATTTCCTTCACTTCTGCTCTGATCTTAGTTATTTCTTGTCTTCTGCTAGCTTTTGAATTTGTTTGCTCTTGCTTTCCTAATTCTTTTAATTCTGATGTTAGGGTGTCGATTTTAGATCTTTCCTGATTTCTCTTGTGGGCATTTAGTGTTATAAATTTCCCTCTACTCACTGCCTTAGCTGTGTCCCAGAGATTCTGGTATGTTGTGTCTTTGTTCTCATTGTTTTCAAAGAGCATCTTTATTTCTGCCTTCATTTTGTTATTTACCCAGTCATCATTCAGCAGCAGGTTGTTCAGTTTCCATGTGGTTGTGCAGTTTTGAGTTAGTTTCTTTATCCCGAGTTCTAGTTTGATTGCACTGTGGTCTGAGAGACAGTTTGTTGTGATTTCCGTTCTTTTACATTTGCTGAGGAGTGTTTTATTTCCAATTATGTGGTCAATTTTAGAATAAGTGTGATGTGGTGCTGAGAAGAATGTATATTCTGTTGACTTGGGGTAGAGAGTTCTGTAGATGTCTATTAGGTCCACTTGGTCCAGACCTGAGTTCAAGCCCTGGATATCCTTCTTAATTTTCTGTTTTGTTGATCTGTCTAATATTGACAGTGGGGTGTTAAAGTCTCCCATTATTATTGTATTGGAGTCTAACTCTCTTTGTAGGTCTCTAAGAACTTGCTTTATGAATCTGGGTGCTCCTATATTGGTTGCATATATATTTAGGATAATTAGCTCTTCTTATTGAGTTTATCCCTTTATTATTATGTAATGGCCTTCTTTGTCTCTTTTCATCTTTGTTGGTTTAAAGTCTGTTTTATCAGAGACTAGCATTGCAACCCCTGCCTTTTTTTTTGCTTTCCTTTTGCCTGGTAGATCTTCCTCCATCCCTTTATTTCATGTGTCTCTGCACGTGAGATGGGTCTCCTGAGTACAGCACACTGATGGGTCTGAGTCTTTATCCAATTTGCCAGTCTGTGTCTTTTAATTGGGGCATTTACCTCATTTACATTTAAGGTTAATATTGTCGTGTGTGTATTTGGTCCTATCATTATGATGCTAGCTGGTTATTTTGCTCATTAATTGATGAAGTTTCTTCATAAAATTGATGGTCTTTACAATTTGGCATGTTTTTGCAGTGGGTGGTGCCGTTTGTTCCTTTCCATGTTTAGTGCTTCCTTCAGGAGCTCTTTTAGGGCAGGCCTGGTGGTGACAAAATCTCTCAGCATTTGCTTGTCTATAAAGGATTTTATTTCTCCTTCACTTGTGAAGCTTAGTTTGGCTGGATATGAAATTCCAGGTTGAAAATGCTTTTCTTTAACAATGTTGAATTTTGGCCCCCACTCTCTTCTGGCTTGTAGGGTTTCTGCAGAGAGATCCACTGTTAGTCTGATGGGCTTCCCTTTGTGGTTTACCTGACCTTTCTCTCTGGCTGCCCTTAACATTTTTTCCTTCATTTCAACCTTGGTGAATCTGACGATTATGTGTCTTGGGATTGCTCTTTTCAAGGAATATCTTTGCTCCATATTTCCTGAATTTGAATGTTGGCCTGTCTTGCTAGGTTGGGGAAGTTCTCCTGGATAATATCCTGAATAGGGTTTTTAACTTGGTTCCATTCTCCCTGTCACTTTCAGGTACACCAATCAAACATAGATTTGGTCTTTTCACATAGTCCCATATTTCTTGGTGGCTTTGTTCATTTCTTTTCACTCTTTTTTCTCTAATCTTGTCGTCTCGCTTTATTTCATTAATTTGATCTTCAATCTCTGATATCCTTTCTTCCACTTGATCGAATCAGCTATTGAAGCTTGTGTATGCTTCATGAAGTTCTCATGCTGTGTTTTTCAGCTCCATCAGGTCATTTATATTCTTCTTTACACTGGTTCTTCTAGTTAGCCATATCCATTTTCAAAGTTTTTAGCTTCCTTGCAATGTGTTACAACATGCTTCTTTAGCTCGGAGAAGTTTGTTCTTACCCATCTTCTGAAGCCTACTTCTGTCAACTCAGCAAACTCATTCTCCATCCAGTTTTGGTCCCTTGCTGGTAAGGAGTTGTGATCCTTTGGAGGAGAAGAGACATTCTGGCTTCAGGAATTTTCAACCTTTCTGCTCTGGTTTTTCCCCTCTTTGTGGTTTTATCTACCTTTGGTATTTGATGTTGGTGACCTATGGATGGGATTTTGGTGTGGATGTCCTTTTTGTTGACATTGATGCTATTCCTTTCTGTTTGTTAGTTTTCCTTCTACCAGACAGGCCCCTCAGCTGCAGGTCTGTTGGAGTTTGCTGGAGGTCCACTCCAGACCCTGTTTGCCTGGGTATCATCAGCGGAGGCTTCAGAATAGCAAATATTGCTGCCTGATCCTTCCTCTGGAAACTTTGTCCCAGAATGTGGTGTCTATCAGCCTCTACTCGGAGATGTCTCCCAGTCAGGCTACATGGGCCTCAGGGACACACTTGAGGAGGCAGTCTGTCCATTATCAGAGATTGAACGCCATGCTGGGAGAACCATTGCTTTCTTCAGAGCTGTCAGACAGGGACGTTTAAGTCTGCAGAAGCTGTGCCCACAGCTGCCCCTTCCCCCAGGTGCTCTGTCCCAGGGAGTTGAGGGTTATATCTATAAGTCCCTGACTGGGCCTGCTGCCTTTTGTTCAGATATGCCCTGCCCACAGAGGTGGAATCTAGAGAGGCAGTCAACCTTGGTGAGCTGCAGTGGGCTCCACCCAGTTTGAGCTTCCCGGCAGCTTTGTTTATGCTGTGAGCATAAAACTGCCTACTCAAGCCTCAGCAATGGCGGATGCGTCTCCCCCTCCAAGCTCCAGCATCCCAGGTCCATTGCAGACCACTGTGCTAGCAGGAGAATTTCAAGGCAATGGATCTTAGCTTGCTAGGCTCCGTAGGCATGGAACCTGCTGAGCCAGGCACTGGAGGGAATCTCCTGGTCTTCTAGTTGTGAAGACCATGGGAAAAGCACTGTATGTGGGCAGGAGTGTACCATTCCTCCTGGTACAGTCTCTCACGGCTTCCCTTGGCTAGGAAAGGGAAATCCCCTGACCTCTTGTGCTTCCCCAGTGAGGCCATGCCCTGCCCTGCTTCAGTTCACCCTCCATGGGCTGCACCCACTGTCCAACCAGTCTCAATAAGATGAACCAGGTACTTCAGTTGGATATGCAGAAATCACCCATCTTTTGCATCAATCTTGCTGGGAGCTGCAGATCGGAGCTGTTCCTATTCAGCCATCTTGGAAGATCTCCCTGTATTATTGTTAACTATAGTCATCATACAGTGGTATAGAACACTAGAACTTATTCTTCTTATCTAGTTGTAATTTTGTATTCTTTAATAAGTCTCTCCCTATCCTTTCCTTTCTCCTCTCCTTCCCATCCTCTAATATCCTCTGTTCTACTTTTCACTTCCATGAGATTAACCTTTTTAGCTTCCACATAAAAGTAAGGACATTCACTATTTAATTTTCTGTTCCTGGCTTATTTCACTTATTATGCTGTCCTCCAGTTCCATCCATGTTGCCAGGAATGACAGGATTTTTATTATGTCTTATGACTAAATAGTATTTAATTGTGTATATATGCCACATTTTTATTTTCCATTCATCTGTTGTTGGACACATAGGTTGATTCCATATCTTGGCTATTGTGAATAGTGATAAAGTAAACATGGATGAGCAGATGTCTCTTCCGTATACTGATTTTGTTTCCTTCAGATAAATCAGCAGTAGTGATATTGCTAGATCACATGGTAATTCTATTTGTAGTTTTTTAAGGAACCTCCATACTGATCTTCATAGTGGCTATAATAGTTTACATTTCTACCAATAGTGTATAACTTCTCTTTTCTCCACATCCTGGCCAGCATTTGTTACTTTTGTCTTTTTGGTAATAGCCACCAAACCAGAGTGAGATGACATACTTCATTGTGGTTTTGATTTTCATTTCTCTGATGATTAGTGATGTTGAGCATTTTTTCACATATTTGTTGGCGATCTGTATATCTTCTTTTGAGAAATGTCTGTAAAAATTATTTGCAATTTTTTTCATCAGGTCGTTTGTTTTTTCACTCTTGAGATGCTTGAGTTCTTTGTATATTCTGGTTATTAATTCCCTGTGGATGCATCGTTTGTAAATATTGTCTCCCATTCTGTAGGTTGGCTTTTCACTGTGTTGATTGTTTCTTGTGCCATGCAGAAGCTTTTTAGTTTGATATAATTCCACTTGTTTATTTTTGCTTGTGTTATATGTGCTTTTTTAGGTCTTACTCATAAAATCTTTTCCCAGACCAATGTCCTAAATTATCTTCCTTATGTTTTCTTTCAGTATTTTTATAGTTTCATGTTTTATGTTTAGGTCTTTGATCTATTTTGAGTTGATTTTTGTAGAGGGTGAGTGGTAGGGGTCTATTTTCATTCTTCTGCATACGGATATTCAGTTTTCCCAGCATCATTTATTGAAAAGACTCTCCTTTTCCCAATGAGTGTTATTTACACCTTTGTCAAAAATCAGTGGGCTGTTGATACACATATTAATTTCTACATTCTTTGTTCTTTTCCATTGGTCTATGTGTCTGTTTTTATGATAGTTTCATGCTGCTTTGCCTACTACAGCTTTGTAGTATATTTTAAAGTCTGGTAGTGTAATGCCCCCAGCCTTTTTCTTTTTGTTCAAGATTGCTTTGGCTATTTGGGGTCTTCTGTGGTTTCATATCAATCTTAGATTTTTTTTCTATTTATATAAAGAATGTCATTGGTATTTTGATAAGGATTGCATTGAACCTGTAGGTTACTTTGCTTGATATTGTCATTTTAACAATATTAATTCTGTTGATCCATGAGCATGGGATGTCTTTCAAAAAAGTGCCAATTTTAAGATTGTATCTGATTTTTCTTAGCTTCTGCATTTCTACAGCTTTCTCCTTGCATGATTCTTTAATGAAATGGCTGAACAAGTTTTTTTGTTCAAACTTGGCTCATTTTTTTTTCCTGAAAGTCTCCCCTAAGCCAGATTTCTTTTTAGCCAGTCCCAGAAAGTTCAGTGTACAACTGATAAATCCTGTTCTCTGAACTTCTTATAATTTAGTTGATAGTTAGTACTCACTTTGTAGGGTCACGTGTTGATATGTTTGTTTGATGAATACATCTTATTTCCTTGGCTAAAACTGGGAGCAAACTAAAAGCAATACCCTGTCCCCAAGTATGTCAGGGTAATTTCTTCCAATACTAATTTAGTTTTTTCCTCCCTGTATTTTTCCTTCTCCACTTCTGGGAACCAGCTTCTGTGCTTCCTTGCCCAAGAGGAGGAAACAAATATATATATATACATGCAAATATATGTATGTACTTACATGCAAATACACACACACACACACACACACACACACACACACACACATACACATAGACATATACATCTATAGTAGAGATGGGATCTTGCTTTATTGCCCAGGCTGGTTTTGAACTCCTGCGCTCAAATGATCCTCCTGCCTTGGCCTCCCAAAGTGCTGAGATTACAGGCATAAGCCACTTCACTCAGCTCCTAAAGAAAGATTGTTACTCAGATGACTCTTCCTTATAGTCATTGGCTCTTTCTGGTTTTTTTTTTTGTAAACACCTAAACTCATAGAAGGAATTATGCTGCATATTCCAAGGAGGGAACAGAACAGCAGGGTGTGTCTCAACATAAGAAGAGGTGAAAGGAAGATATTCCCTAGCTTGGGAAAGAGAGGGGCA
Source organism: Homo sapiens (assembly GCF_000001405.40). Taxonomy (NCBI): domain Eukaryota; kingdom Metazoa; phylum Chordata; class Mammalia; order Primates; family Hominidae; genus Homo; species Homo sapiens. The sequence continues at coordinate 84,933,437 of NC_000006.12, read as the reverse complement.
TGCAAGTACCTCACCTAGTGGGAGACTTTGATCCTGATAGCTCTCTGGGCAAATGGCAGAACATCAGAAAGAAATGTCTGAGCATATCTAGGGAGGCTGGATCCCAGGCATGTTGGAACAGTCTTGGCAGACATTCCTATGCCCCACATATGGCCTATGAGCGAGTTGCCCTTGGACTTCAGAGGAACAAACAGGCTTACACAATGAAGACATCCATGACGACCACACTGTAATGAAGGACTAGACACCTTTCCATATCCTTCAGGTATCTCTTAAGCCTCTGGGTTCTCATGGGACCATTAAAGAAGGAGATGAAACCTCAACAATGAACCAAGACTTAACATCTCACTAGTCTGGCCAAATGTGGTCCTTATATTACTTAAGCTGATTGTTTTATACACTAAAAAATAAAATAAAAAAATATTTCTTAGTCACATTTGACTTGGTATAATAAGTTTCTACCTGCCATATGTATATTTTTGTTGTCAGATAAATTCCTAGTGCCAGGCTCTGAATCATAGAAATATTATTTATGCAGTATACTTTTTAAGAATTGTTTATTTTCAGAGAGCTCAGGACTAATTTTTTAGTCTAAACAAGTAGAAAATTGCATGACATGTCAACAATTAACATGATTAATATGCCCCAAAGAATTTTTGTCACTGGTGAAATTGAAAGTACATGATTAAATTTGCAGATGATGTATAATTTTGGAAGGCAGCATCTGGCAAAAGGCCTAACATCAAAATCTATTATGACTATGATAAACTGGAAAAAGGATGCTATGTCTTAGAAATTAACTGGACATGGATGTGAATAAGTATAAAAGAGAGAAAAAAGAACAGATAGAAACTGAAATAAGGTTCTTGATGAGAGTACAGATTATGTAAGTAGAAAATGGGCAACACTTCATTCCAGTGTAATTAAGGAGAAAGCAATCTGTCATTATAAGGCAATGTAATATAATACTATGAACAATTTATTCAAGGATGGCCTGTTCATGCCTTCATGTATTTACTCACTCAGAGAGAGACCAGGTAGAGGGTGATCAAGAACACAGGGAGCACCTAGAGTCACACTGCCAGGGTTTAAATCCTGGCTCAGGTACTTATTACCTTTACCTATATCAACTTTGGGTAGTTTTCAGAATTCTCTGTGCCTTGATTTCCTCATCTGTGAAATGGGGTTGAAAATAATACTTTAAAATTTAGTCGAGTTAATATTTTTAAACACACAGAATGGCTTCCACCTCTAGTGAGCTCTGTAAAAGAATGTGTTGAATAAAATATATTTGCTCAACATTGATTTATTACTATTGAGTTTAAACCACTTCTTAGGGCACCGTAATAATGCCAAAATATGTAAGACATGGCCCTTGCCCTCAAGAAGTTTATGACTTCACAGAGAAAACACTGGAATGGTATACAAGTCTAAAATTCAACTTTAAAATAATTTTGAAAGTAGCTCAGCAGAGACACAAAGACATTTGAAGCATGAGGGGTGGATTATAAATATTCTAGGGTGACAATGTAAAAGGACTTCAGTTTAGTCTGCAGTGCAGAAAAACAAAAGCTTTTCTTGAGGGCAGACTTTTCTCCATTGCCATAGAAGTTAGAAATAAAACAAAGTGGACTGATGTTATCTCGTGAGTATTTGAAGCTGATGAAGAAGAGTTCCCTGGCAGAGGTAACAGTCACATGTAAGGATGTGTGACATCCTTGGGGGAGATAAGTATGACCAGCCTAAAGATGTAGAGGCTGCCTCTCAGAGTCCTGCTCAATTGGCAATATAGCAATAGAAAATGCATAAAAAGTCTGGGCTCAGGGACTCATGCCTGTAGTTCCAGGACTTTGGGAGGCCGAGATGGGCAGATCACTTGAGGCCAGGAGTTTGAGACTAGCCTGGGCAACATGGTGAAACCCCGTCTCTACAAAAAATACAAAAATTAACCAGGCGTAGTGGTGCATGCTTGTAATCCCAGCTACTCAGAAGTTGAAGTGGGGAGATCACCTGAGCCTGGGAGTTCGAGGCTGCTGTGAGCCATTACTGTGCCACTGCACTCCAGTCTGGGCAACAAAGTGAGAACTTGTCTCAAGAAGAAAAGAAAAAGTAAAGAAAATGCATGAAAAACCCATTGTCATATAATAACTGTGCATTTAATATTATCAGTTTATGGGTTTCAATGTTATTAATTACAAAAATTGGAGTAAAATACAGGTTTTGCTATTTCAATGTCAGATGCATTCCCTGGACTATCAGGCAGAATTTTAATGTAATTTTTATATAATTTTGATAATGACCATATATACTTGTAAAACATCATCTCTATTTTCTCTCTGAATGGACTAGGGCAGTGTGAGCTGAAATGAAACCAAACCAATCACTACTGAAGAAGAAATGCAACTGACTCCAGCCTTAGGTAAAATAATCTCCTTGCCACTTTTCTCAGAGAGAAATAGAGATTTACCTCTGGTATCTCCATAATACATTTTAATTTTTTTGAAGCAACAGTAGAAAGTTGCTAGAATAAAATCTTTATGCTAGGTTTATACTGGCAGATTTAATGCACAGCAGAAAGGAAAGAAGAAGTCTTAGAAGCAGAGAGGAGAATACAGACAAAAACATAGCAGAGAAACACTACCACTATAAATGATTTCTGCTGGAGTAAAAATGAAGGTAAATTAATAAGTAAACCAAAACCTCATAACAGTCAAACAAATTGCAACTGAGAAATTTTTTTAAAGATGGCAAAATAAGAAAAATTTAAAAAGAAAAGAAAACACAAAAATATTTGTAAGATGTGTTTTTAATGAAAATGAAAATTTCAGAAACATCTCCCTTTTCAGAAATATCAATAATCACTGAGAGATGACAGCAGGGAAGGATAAAAATGCAGGAACATCTGGATCCTGCTTGGAACTGGACTTGATTCTCTAAGGCAAAAATAAAATGCCACCAATATTTTCATGACAAACATGAGCACTGGGATATGTTCTCCCTGGGAAGCCTAGTGCCTATTTCAGCATACTGAGGAATTGAACTTTAAAGCCTTATAGCAAATTACCCCGTGCACCCTTTTGACACACTGGGAGTTTATTATTGGGGCCATTCAGCACTAGGTAAGTCCTTATTAGTTGTCTCCCCCACTGCCTTGGTACTGACTAAGCAGGGTCCAGGTAACACTAGCAAGATGGGGTTTTACCACCACCTGAGGTACATGTGCATTCCAGCTTCTGTACAGGCTCACCCAACTATGCTCCCCAGTGTCAAAACAAGAACTCCAAATCTTGAAATCTCCAAGAAATCCAAAAGAGAGCTGGTTGGAAACTTGTTGGAATTGTTATTTTATTTTCAAAAATTTGAATTTCTTGGCTGTTGAGAAGGTTGAATTTGAGGGTGAGATGTTATTGTGACCTTCCCTGACATGCTGAATTATTGGAAGCTGAGGCTGGGCATTGAAAGTTGTGATCAGTCAGTGGATGGACTGTCTATTTTTGAGGGCAGATTTCTTGGATCTCATTTTGTAATGTCCAAAGTGTATCCTCAGATCTTTTTGGAGCCTGTTATAGACTGAATGTGTCTCCCCAAATTTATATGTTGAATCCCTAACACCCCCCATGTGACTGCATTTGGAGATAAGACTTTTAGGGAGTAATCTAGGTTAAAAAACATTGTAAGGATGGGTTCCTAATCCCATAGGATTATTGACCTTATGAGAAGAGGAAGAGAAAGCAGTGTCTTTCTTCTTTCTCTCCCTCTCTCTCTTTCTCTCTCAGTCTTCCTGCCATGTCAAGACATAGCAAGAAGGTAGCAGTCTGCAAGCCAGGAAGAAAGCCTTCACCAGAACCCAATCATGCTGCACTCTGATCTCAGATTTCTACTCTCCAGAATTGTGAGAAAATAAATTTCTGTTGTTTAAACCACCCAGTTGTGGTATTTTATTATGGCAGCCCAAGCAGACTTAAACAGAACCAGAACTACGAGGTCCAAATTCTAGCCCTGAAGCATGCTAGCTGTGTGACACTGGGCAAGTAACTTAACCTCTCTGAGCCTGTTTTTTTCATCTGCAAAGTGAGAATAATAGCAATTCCCTTATAGGAGTGTTTAAGAATTAACTAAATTGATGCACTTAGCACAGTGGCTGATAATAGTAATCAATTAACAATCAACAATTACCATTTTTTAATTATTTATTAGCAGAAAGTGTTACAAAAGCCTTTTACCCCTCCAAAAAATCTGAAATCCTTAATTAAAAAAAGATAATAAAATCCTGTTTTAGCAAATACCAAAAGCCCAAAAAGAAAAAAGCCCTGACTTTTAGGTTTAAGAGACATTATTGACTTTTTGACTTATTTATTTGATAAGCATTTAATGAGCTCTGTTATATGTTTTCAGAGATGGAATGAAATTATGATAATCTTACATTCTCTGACTTATACTTATGGAGCTTCTAAAGATATATATATATAAAAATATATAATATATAAATATATAAATAATATATAATAAAATATATAATATATAAATAATATATAATATAAAATACTATATAATATAAACAATATATAATATATTACATATATTTATATATTATTAATATATTATTTATATATAATCTTACATTCTCTGACTTATACCCATGATGGAGCTTCTAAGTTTTATATATATTACTATATATAACTATATATTACTATATATAATAATATATTATAATTATACATTATAATTATAATATATATTACTAAATATATATATCTAGAGAGAGTAATTCAAGTTTAAATACCAACAGGGAAAGTACTGACATGAAGTGACAATGAAGCTCAGAGAAGAGGGAATGCACAGAAGCCTGGAGTTCTGGGGAATGCCTCCCAACAGGAGCTAGGGAGATACTGAAGGTCTTGGGATGGACAGGAGGCAAAGAGAACCTGACCCTAGAGAAGCAGTCTAGTTGGACCTGGTGTGGGATGTTTAGCAAGGCCATGGTATGGTTGAAGTGACGTTTCAAGGTAATGCATCTGGTGCTTGGTTCAACATGAACTGGAGATGAGGAGAATAAATATATGCTACTTGTTAATAACTATACTAGGCACATTTTCCCTATTTGCAGGTGGAATAAGTAATTGATACTCAGATGCCCCTGGGAGGAATGGATAGTAAGACCTCTGCTTGTAAGGCCATTCTTGGGGTAGAGGATAAAAGAGTGGCAGTGGGTGCCAGGACAGATTTAGGCAGAATGTTCAGGGTTTGAGTGATTGGATATCAAAAGTGAAGAAGAGGCCAAAGGTGATGAAATTGTTTCTAGTCTGGGACACTAGGAAAGGTGGTGCTGCCAAAAAAGCATAGAGAAGTGAAAAAGAAAGCTGATTTGAGGAGAGAAATTGATAAATTTAGTTTTGGTCCCATAAGATCTGCATTTTCTTAAAGAACCAGGGAATTCTTTGGGCTAATAAGTTATTGATGCATTGATTTTAAAAGGCAATTTCTCACATTGCCTTTCCATCTTTCTTTCTGTCTCTTGACCTTTTCCCTCTTATATACTTTTCAAATTTTTTATGACCTTGATTTCATGATTTATAAAGCTACAAAAGCAAGTGGGCCTATTTTTGTTTCTTTCTTAACACACTCCTTTCCCCATATTTAAGTTGTTAGCAGCAGAAGCCATTGTGGTTTTCTGAGACACACAATCATTCCTCAGAAAAAATGCTGAAACCTCATTGTTAAATAAATATGAATAATATTCCCTCCAGTCACTATTCTCCAAGCTGTCCCTATTATAAATAGGCTGAGTTATATATTGAGCATGTAAACATTGTATTTGTCAAGAATGCCATACTTCCATCAATTTTTAAAAGGATCAATATCATCTTTTCTTATGTTATATGTCTTATCATCCCTTGTGTTAAATATCATTGTTTATCTGTACATGATGCCATGCTAGATTCTGTATGGCCAACTTCGGTAGACACTTAGCCCACAGGCAGAAATACTGAATCATTTTAGGAATTACATACGATTAATTAGATATAAGTAAAAGGTTAAGACAGAGAGGCAATTAAATGCACTGATTTTGCACTTGGCATTAGAAAGTGCAGAATTTAGAAGCAAATATGTTTGTTAAGAAATAATAATGATGTATTAAATGTAGCATAGTATTCTCATGTTTGTTCCGCTGGGAGAAAAATCAGCCTGTGTTTTTCAATCTATGATTTAAAAATAGTGGCCACAGTTAGGTCCAAGTACAGAAGGAATAGTTCCCTCTATGTGGGCAAAGTCACATGGTCTTTTTTGCATTTCAGTACAGCTCTGTTTTTTGTGTGTATGTGCTATTTTCACTTATTTCCTTTTCTCTTTGTTTCCGTGGATTTTCCCCTAATAGCCCCTTCTATTATTCACATATTTTAGTCCTGTTCCCCAGGTGTGTGTAACATTGTTCCTCCTTCATGCCATCTGATCCCACTGATTCATCAAATGCTCAATATCCTCCACAGTGTCTCTCTTTTTCACAGCGTGAGTCAGCCTCTCTAACTCTGGATTACTGTCTAATTTGATCTGGTCAGTTCTGAAGATATTAGGTAATATTAGACCCATCTCTGGCCCCATGGAATTTCACTTAATATCTCTCTTCTGTTTTCTACCATGCCAAAAATCAATGTGTAATAAAGATGAATAAATCATTTTCCAACTGTAATAAGATCATTGTATTTTAATTATTGAGCCAGAAAAGTCTATCCTCAGAGCAGATGTTGAACCCAGGTCATTTGGGAGAACACCAGGCAAGCTCACCAATATAGGATGACCAAAAAACAGTCTGTGACAAAAGATCTTTTCTCAGGATTTTAACCAGAAAACTTGTTATTAAAAGGTAACAATACTATTATTCGTGTATTTATTGATTGATTAGTATTTAGGAAAGCTTTATTTTTCCAAACAAAAGAATGAGAATTATCTGAATTATTTTTCCTCAAGTTCTACTTATTGTGCCATTATTATACTCAGTAATCGTTGGGTTTTGATTCTTAGATGTATGCAATTATAAATGGGCTCATTTCCAACTCTGAATTACTCAGCCATGAAATAGGGTAAGAAACTGATTGTGGAATAAAGGAAACTTTTTTCCCTAAGGGCAGAAATAGGATAAACCGTTATAAATACTTAAGGCTGTGTACACCCAAGTTCATTTTTATGGTTGTATTCTGATTAATAAAATAGAGTGCTAATAATATATATTAAACCAATGTATTCAAAGTCTAGAACCCAGAAAAAACATTTTTTAAAGCAATATTATATTTAGAGTTTTTCATATATAATTTAGCAAGTCTGATGCTACTGTGGTAATTTTATAGTTGTCTCATATACAAAGTTGATAAACATTTTAGTGATGTTTAAAACATAATCTTACCATGTGTTTATTATACTTGAAATACATCCAAATGAAACTCAGAAAGCAACCCTGTTGCTCTTTAACTATTTGTACAATAGCTCTGGATTAAATTTTAGAATGTTTTAGGAAAATGGAAACATTTCACACATACAATACTGATTCAGGATACTTTTATATAGGAAACATATGTACATGACTTATATTTATTAAATGGGCATTAGAAAGAAACTTTCTGATTAATGTCCCCAGGGATGGAAAAAAGCAAGCCTTTCTCCTTCTATGAACACATTACATTCTTTGGTGTCTCTCTCAATCTCCCCAACTCAGCCCTCATCACTCTCACAGCAAGTAATTCTAAATTTGTGTACACACAAACACACACACACACACACACACCCTTCATTGATGTGTTGTGTTGAAAAGCCAATGAAACAAAGTGGTCATGCTGAAATAAGACAAAAAAAAGATGATATAAAAAGTATAGAAGGAGCTAAAATGGTCTGATAGAAACACAGAATTGGAGAAGAAAAAATACAAATAGAGACAAGATGAAAAGAGGTGTAGGAAGAAACATAGACGTTATAAAGAAAAGTTTTAAAACAATAAAAGGAAAATGGGAGTGAGATGAAATGTTGAGGAAAGTAAAAGAGATACAAATGGATTATGGATGTTGATTGAGGGGAGGTAATTAAAATCAAATATAGGAGTAAAACCAGAAATATTAAAAACTTGGAAATATCAAGCATATTAAGATATAGAACAGAGAAACATGTTGATGAAAAAAGATATTCAGAAAAAAATGGGGCTTAGAAATACAAAACTGAGAAATAGAAGTTTATTTCAAAAATTGGTAATACTATGTTTGGTAAAAGGAGTAAAAGAGACTTTGTGGTATAGTTGAAATAAATAAAACTTTGCTAAGTATCAGGTCTTTGAGTAGTAGCTCTGACATGAACAAGTTCTATGGCTACAGGCAAGACACTGCTTGGTGGCTTAGTTTCCTCATTTATAAAGTGAAAAAGATAGCAGCTTTTAAAGTTCTTTCAACACAGAACAATGAAATAACTAAGTAGAAAATTTATAAAGTAATGTAAATGCTTGGAGTTCATTGAATTTATTTTTTCTTATTGAAATTTAGAGTATGTTTGAAAAGCATTTTAGGAAGATGTTCACAGATGCCATTTGCACATTATTTGGCCAATGTGGTGATACATTAAACACACAGGTAGCCTTGCTCACATGATTTAATGTTTCTGGCACTGTTCTCTCATATTCTACTATGTGTATTCCAACCTCCAGAGAGTCGCTTTCTCTCATTGCTGTATGCAGAAAATTAAGATAAACTTTGGGCCAGGCTCAGTGGCTCACACCTGTAACCCCAGCACATTAGGAGACCGAGGCAGGCAGATCACTTGAGCTCAGGAGTTCGAGACCAGCCTGGGCAACATGGTGAAAACTTGTCTTTACAAAAAAATAGCGAGGTGTGAGGGTGTGCACCAGTATTTCCAGTTACTAGAGAGGCTAAGGTGGGAGGATCACCTGAGCCAGTGAGATCAAGGCTGCAGTGAGCTGTGATCACACCACTGCACTCCAGCCTGGGTGACAGAGAGAGATCTTGTCAAAAAAAAAGAGAAGATAAAGTTTGGGTCACTTCTCAGTTCAGAAAATGGAGGTAGGGAATATATGGAATAAGTACATTTTCTTCACTGGGGATAAGGTGATCACAAACTGGGGGCAGGTAAAGAACTGATAAGGAGCCAGTAAGAACACAAGGGAGAACCAAGTTGAAGAAGCCGAGGTTGCCCCTGGAGGCATATTTGTAGGTCTTACAATAACTTGGCTAACTACCAAAATAATAGGTGTCTTTTTCAATTAAAAAAAAAGCTTTATTTTTTTCTTTATTATTATCAATGGCTTAACAGTCAATGGTCCTTGAAATACTGTTTAAGCTAGACATAGCAGGAAAAGTAAACAGCATTACATAAGCCATTGTGTCTCTGATCCATATAAACAGAAAGAGATGAAATGCACTTTGGATTTCTTTAAAAGTGGAAGCTAAACGTCTTATCCTTTGGGGAAGGCATTTTAATTTCAGAGTCTAAAAGATGTAATCTGGGAGCAGTAAAATTTATTTTTAATTTTTTTTGGCGACAGAGTCTTGCTTTTTTGCCCAAGCTTGAGTACAATGGCATGATTTTGGCTCACTGCAGCCTTAACACCTTGGGCTCAAGTGATCCTCTTGCCTCAGCCTCCTAAGTAGATAGGACAACAGTCACGTACCACTATGCCCAGCTAACTTTTAAAAAAGTGGTTTTTTTCGGTGGAGATGGGGTCTTGCCAAACACATAAGAGGGAGTGTGTCTAAATAATCTTTACAGTGTTCCTTGGCGGCTGAAAAGGATCCTTTACATCATCTTGCTGGCCTGAAATTTCCTCTTGTTTCACTCCTGTTTTCTTTTAAGACACACATTTCATTGTGGTCCGTGAAAGAAAATCCAGCTGCCTTTGTGTTCTGAATCCTCACCAGCATCCTGGTTCCATGAGAGAGAACAGGAGCAGTAGCAAATCCTGAAGAGGGTCTCCTAGGTTGCCTTTCAAGTTGGCTATGCCTTGAAACATTCAGGAGTGCATGTAGTATGGACTTTACCTTTTCTCAAGTTTCTGATGCAGCAACAGAGCTATGAGATCCTCACTTGTTTATCCGATAGCCTGGTTTTGAGCTTGGAAATGTGGGCTTTGGACAATAGGCACAGAATGCTGCTCTGCAGTGGGGAATGGAGTAGGAATAGGTAACAGTTCTTTGCTTGTGAAGGCTGGGAGGGGGCTGCCAGCAGCCAGCCAGGTCAGGGCAGATTTGTCAAAGTTTTTACTCACTTGCCTTCAACCAGTGTGGACAGAAGCTTTTATAGGAAATAAGAATCTAAGCCCCAAAACGTAATTCAAGCTGAGAAAATGTGTGTTGTGAGTACACTGCATCAGGCCTCCTGCGGGTCTCCTGAGTCCTAAACATTTGTGCAGTTTTTAGATCAATGATGTGCCTCAACTCATCAACACCAGAGGTGTGAATAGAGCCATTCAATCCTTTTGACCAAGAATTGACCTGTATAAAAATGCATCCAAGTTAGCGGTTTAAAATACGTGCTTATCTCAATGGCGTCAAAACAATATTGTTTACTGACTCCAAGGAATTTGCCAATTGTCTGGAAAAATAAGAGCCCAGATATTCATAACTGAAATGAAAGCCTGAACCCAAAAGGAAAAGGAATTTCCAAGTGTGTTTGTGAATGGGATGAGGATGAAGGGCCAGAAAGGGGCAGCTGAGAATCATGATAATTTTTGAAGAAATTCATATTGTAATTTGTTAAGAAAAAAATTTTTTATAAAGAATCCTATGAGATCTTTTAATCAGTCCTTTTTCCTTCATTGTATTTCAGTTCGTTTATCGAGCATCTGCCTGATTTGGCCCTGCCTCCTGCCCTGCCTCCTACATGTTCTTAACCCCCACAGAAGGCATGACTGTTAACTTGGGGAGCTTATAATCCTACATAGAAAAAATAGCCAGCAAAAGACCAGGATACTTGTGCATCTTCAGAATAATTTATTAATCTCTCTCTCTGAGCCTCATCAGTAAAATGGTGAGAATCACCTTAGTATTTGCTTCATGATGGTGCCACGAAATCACACATGATATAAAGGGCTCAGTACAACACCAGACACATATAAACACTCAAAAATATTACATGTGATGTTGTTAGCATTAATTATTATGGTATATGACAGTTATTATCTTGGCTTCATCAGCCTGAAATTGCAGAAATATGAATTTATCTAAGTCGATCTCAAGAATTTTGAGATCACCCTAAACCCAGTTCTCACTTCCCTCATCAAGCTTCCTTGGCTTACTCAGAGACTGGCCCCCTTGTGACCTTCAGCAGATCTAACTGCTCTCTTCTCATGGGTTCTCAGTTTTCCCCTCTAGAGGGTGAGTCAATTTGCTTAGAACAGGAGCACCTCTCCAACCTGGTATGCCTCATTTTGGAAAGCTCTCTTTCCTCTTTCACCATAGGGACCAGACACACACACAAGGTTAAGTGCAAAATTGTTTGCTTGCACAGGGAAAAGACCAGCATCATTCACTTTTAGCTGTATTTTGTCATTTTAGTACTAAATAATAAATGAATTTCTCACCTAATCGATACAGACTTTCAGAGAAAAATACGCTTCCAAGTGAGCTTTGAATTCAGTCTATTTCTGGCATAAAAGTCCTTAAAAGAAAGAAAGCCAAGGGAATCCAGGAAGAAACAAAGGTGGAAAGTAATGACAGGGCACTGAGAGTCCCCACCCTGGAGATTCTAACTTAGGAGTCTCTAGTGAGGCTTGTATGTGTGTTTACCAAGATCTCAGGTGATTTACAGGGAACCTTGGGAGGCATTGGAAAAAAGCAGTTAAGATAGGGGAGGAGACAGAGAATTGGCCCAGGTCTTTGAAGACAAGAGCCAGGAATTTTAATTTGCTATGGTGGACAATGAGAGAAACACTTAATTATAACAAGAAGGATCATGAAATTCACTCATTATCAAACTGTCTACTTGTCAGCTCACCTGGTGAGAATAAGAAAGCTGTTTTTAAGTATTTTTTAGAAACACAGATACAAACAATGAGGTACAATCATTTGCATGTTAAATTTGTAAACACTTAAAAGTTATAGTACTTAATGCTGGCGGGGATACATCTTTACATTATGTTACAATATAAATTAGTATAACACTTTTGCAAAGCAACTTATTAATACATAAAACCATTGAAATCTTACGCTCTTTGATCCAGTAATTCCACTTCCAGCAATCTAATTCAAAATGTAAGGCAAGCCACAGTTAAAGATTCATCACAGCACTGTGTACAACTGTAAAACGTTATGCAATTGTTAATATGTTAAATATGTAGACATACAAAAACACCTAATATATAAATTAAATGAAAAAAGTAGGATCTAAGCCTCTATGTTTACGGCCATTTGAAAGCATTTTTAGAAAACAAAAAGTCTGGAAAACATATTAAAATTATAATAATTATATTTAAAGCAAGGGTTTGATTTTTCTTTCTCTTTTCTCCAAACTTTAGGTTATGAGATTACCTCACTTCCTGAATTAAAAATAAAATTATAAAATCAGTTTGTTTTATAATTAGCTTATGTAATAACTCACTTAATAACTGTAAATTCAATTTATATTCTAAAACATCTATAAACCACCAGTGCCATACTTTTTATGATTTCCTGATCATGGAGCTCAACTGGAAATGGAAATAAAATTAGAGAAATGTGAAAACTTTGGTAACTTTATTATGGAGACAAATTAGTGGACAGAAATCAAGTCCATTTTATTTCTATTTGGATCTAAACTGTCTCATAAAATAACTCATTATTAATATTTTGACTGAAGACATTAAGTGAGTACTTTTCTGGGAAAGGGTGTTTCAGCTATATTCACAAACTTTCTTTCCTGGGTCTGGAGCTTATTACATCCCTGGTGCTTTAGTGCTTTTTCTTTTCTTCTTCCCTAATTTTTTAAATTAACATTTTTTAGAAAATATTTTGACCATATAGAAAAGTTAAAGAACTCAGCAATGAATCCCATACACCCACCACCTAGGTTCTAATTTAGTTTTAATTTCTCACAGTTGCTCCAATTCTTCAATTTATTGGAAGAAAAAATATATTTTATACTTCATCTACAACATAATTTGTTTTTACCATTACTGTGGTGGAAATGGAATGCTAGGCTCTTGCAGCTTCACCACTAGAACTAAGGTGTCCAGAAAATATTTGTCAAGGAGAAGAAAGAGATTTAGATTTGTCTGAGTCACCATCTTGGAAGCATATTTTTCCTTGGAAGTTTGTTCAAAAAGGCAGCATTTTTCCCTTTCTTTCCTCATAGCGCTCTCTTCTATTTTTTGGGACTCAGCACTATCTCCAGCACAGCATTTGCATTATGGTATTCTGTGGTTAATGTTCTATTAGCAAATAATTTTACCTTCAATATACAACTTCAGGGCAACTAAATACTATATTTTAAATATATTTAATTCCCATGGAAGACACATCTATTAAATGAAATTACAACATAAAGAAGGAGAAAAATAATTCAGTTTTCAATATTGGATTTATGTGAATGTTTTCAAGAATACATGTAGCTTGTTAAGAATTTTTTTTAAAGTGATATTTGCCAGAAAACTTGAACAGCTGGTGAAGCAGGCTTTAATAGTGAAAAGTACAAACATCAGCATCCATCAGATCTGAATTCAAAGTCCCATTCTGCCACTTTCTAGCTGTGTGAGTTGGAAAAGTCAATCATTCTTCTCTGGACCTTCCTTAACTTGAGTTAATAAAACCCACATTACACTATTCTTGTGCAAAATGAATGCTTAGCATGATGTCTTACACATAGTAGATGTTCTAAAAAGTCCATGTATTATTATTTGATTATATAATGGAAATGTGTGAAGGGCACTTCCTCTAATTGTCCTTTTATCAAAAATTCCAACTTGAGCATTACTTGACCTTTCTAAATCTCTCTCTCCTCAGCTCTATAATGGAAGCTCTATAATGAGATTGTTGTGAACATGAAATAAGAAATTATGTGAAAATGTTCTTTGTGAATTTGTGAATCTCCACATCAACTTAAAGTTATTATTTATATTATTACAGATGGTCCCTGACTTACGATGTTTCAACTTATGATTTTTTCAACTTTATTATGCAAAATCTATGAGCATTCAGTAGAAATCATACTTTCAGTACCCATACAACCATTTTTAACCTTTCAGTACAGTATTCAATAAATTAAATGAGGTATTCAACACTTTATTATAAAGTAGATTTTGTGTTAGATGATTTTGTCCAGTTGTAGGCTAATGTAAGTGTTCTGAGTATGGTTAAGGTAAGCTAGGCTAAGGTATTATGTTCAGTATGTTAGGTGTATTAAATGCACCTGATGCTAATGACCTCTGTGCCTTATCTTCAGCCCAGACCCTTCCTGAGCTTCAGAGCCAAACGTCCAACTATCCATAAGTGTGCTCTCTCTGAACATCACACAGACACCTTAAGCTCAGTGTTTTCAAACACATGCCATCATCCTCTTCTACATTCCCACTCCATTTGGGCTTGTAGAAAAGCGTCACCATTCACAAAGTTGTCCATGACAGAAACTGAAGTATTGTTTTAAAATTATCCTTTTCCCTCAACTCCCACATTCACATACTTATTAAAGCTTGTCAATTCTTGCTCTGAAATAGTTCTCCAAATCCATAGCTCTCTCTTATCACCTCCAATAATCTAATTCAAGCCACTGATACCTGTCACCTGAATTTTAGCCACTGTCTTCTAACTGCTTCTCTTTCCAAAAGTTCTCAGTAATCCTTTCCTTACTTATAGCCAGAATAATATTTTCTAAAATGGAAAATCTGGACATTTCTGATTTCTCATCAAAACTCTTTGAGGGTTTCCCATTGCCTCACATGTAGGAGGTGCTTCATAACCAGGTGGCTCCCATTCACTTCTTGCCCTTTTTTCTATTCTTCTCCATGGTCCAGTCATGATGATGTGCGGTGCTTCCTGGTATCCTATCCTCTCGTACCTTGGAACTTCCCTCATGCTCTTCACTTTGCTTGCTTTAATGACTCCATCCTGCCATCCTCTCCCCTGATACACACACCCAACACCTGATCCAGTTAGTTACTCGCCTCCAAACTTAAAAGTCATCTTTGAAGTGCTAAGGTTCCCCTGCTCTTTGCTGTCACAGAAAATTGTACTTCCCTTATTTTGGATTGGTCACTGTGTACTCTAGTTATTTTGTCAGTTACTCTCTCTAGACTGTAAACTTTTTTAAGGAGGGGAACCCTGTGTCTATCCTTGTCTATCACTGTATCTCTAAGACCTGACAATAAAAACTGATTTGATTCTTTTTGGGCTTTTTAAATCCAAACTTGCTTCTTGGGCTGTTCTTAAGAACTGTATTAATTTAGAATCCAACCTAGGTAGAAAAAGCAATAATGTAACATATGTTACTGACAAAGTTACAAGAGAATACAGGCTTTTTTAAGCCAAAGGTTGGCAAACTTTTTCTAAAAAGGGCCAGAAAGTAAATATTTTAGGCTTTGTGGGCCATGATGGCCTCAACTGCAATTATTCAACTCTGTCATTGAAGCATGAAAGCAGCCTTAGACTATACGTCAACGAATGAACATGGCTGTGTTCCAGTAATACTTTATTTACAAAAACAGGTGGTAGGCTAAATTTGGCCCACAGGCCATGGTTTGCCAACTCCAGTTATAAACAAATATGGAAGAATTTTGATCAGTAATGTATTATCTCCTTAGAAATGTTTATGTAGAAAAGACCATTGTATATAAGTAGGGAATTTGGTGCTATCAAGAGAAGCTTGTTTATCTTTTAAATGGAAATGTTGGTAGTATTATAAGTAGAGAAGCAAAACTCATTAAGAAAAGATCCTAATGGGTTGGCAGACATTGCATAACTTTAAAAATGCAATTAACAAATACTGTCATTTGTCTCTCTAGGGATAAGAATAGCTACATTGTGAGGCAGGCTGTAATGTGTGAATTGAATATGGTAGTGCCATATAAATAATATGGCAGAGATCTAATCTGGAAAAAATAGGTGTGAATCAAAGGGACTACAGGCTCCAAATGGGAAATGCAGCAAATGCTTTCTGCCATCACTTTAGAACAGCAGTGGATTAACACACATTTCTCTTATTCCACTTGGCCATTGCCCACTAAATGAGAAAAACACACACTTTACATTAGAAGGGTAGTGCCAAAATATTGAGAACTTCTTTTATTACATCAATCCTAGGCGCATGGTCTTCATTATTCAGCCTTTTATTGTTCCTTGCAAAGAGATTTTATCCAGAGTACAGTACCTATAAATGTGAAGGGCATGCTGCCTTCAGCTTGAAAAAGTTACACACAGTGTCCTAATTGACTTGGATCCTTGAGACTGTCCACATTAGTGGTTAATTAACGTTAAAAAAAAAAAAGAAGGAAAGAAAATTACCTTTGGCTTAAAAAACCCAAGTCTACACTTTATGTTCAGTCTAAAATCAAGGATGCACTTTCAACCTTTCACCTTCTGACTCCGCTGTGTAAGGGCCAGGTCGGCCTCCAAACAGGAACACTTCCAAGTGACTGGTATTTTTTATTGGTTTTCAGTATACAATATTGAAGCACTTTATTGTCCAAAAGTAATTATATTTATTTAAGACTGTTACTGGAGGAGAGAAAATAAATATCCAGTGGACCTTTATAAACTTTTAATATAACTTTCTGTAAAATATTAAAAAACATACTTATCTCCACTTTTCATAGTCTTTTTGGCTCACTCTATAAGAAATGTTTGCTCTTTCTATTAATTTGCATTAAAAGTCCTTATGTGCTAAGACAACAATAACCACAATAACAACAAAACTATTTTCAAAGGCTTAAAAAAAGTTCTCTTCCTTTAATCACAAATCAGTCTTTCTTGCTTTCCTCTGAGTATATCAAGCCTAGATTAAGCTAGACCAGACTTTTTTGATTTAGTTTCTATCTTGTTTTAATAGAAACAAAAAATTCATCCTACTCTCTGAAAGCCTGTGTGACAGCGATCATCTTACGTGGTGATCTCTCTGTGCCTTCGTTTCTTCATCTATAAAATAGGAATTATAATCATGCCTATGTCATGGTGTTGTAGGGAAAAATAAATGTGCTAATGTATAAAGACTTAGAACCCTACCTGGTACATGGTAGGCACTCTGTGTATAGGCTATTATTATTATTGTTGTTATTATTTTTCCAAAAGGAAAAATATGTTACACAGAAATACCGAACTTATAGATCCCTATAGGCACCACGTTGCTTGGTGGCTTCACTAATGCTGTTCCCTCTCCTTGGAATTATCTTCTTCAGTCTGTGGATCTATCCAAGTCTATTTCATCTTGTAAAACCTTGTTCAGCTTAAAATAACCTCTTCTGGGAAGGCTTCCTCAATACCCTTCTCCTATTCCATGTGGAGATCCTGATCTCTTCCCACTGGGCTACCTCTTTACTGTGAGTCTGTGATGCTGAATTATAATTTATTTGTTCACATTTCTGTCTACCTTCTTGAAGTTAGGAACTGTGTCTTACTCCTTTCTGTATCCCTGTTGCCCAGTACAATGACTGCCTGATTCCCAGTGGGTTTTCAATCAAGCTTGTGGAGCTGAAATATTGCTCAGCAGCATAATGTTCCTATGAAGTAATCAGAAGCAAATTAGAGGCCATATATTCGAGAAAGAATTAGGATTTCAGATTCCCTAAAATTCCTGATCTAGGCAAGGAAAGCCAGAAATATATAAAAATCTCACTTATCTTTAAATTGTTCTCATTTAATCAATCAATCAATTAATGGAACAATATTTATTGACTACCTGCTCTGTGCTTAGCCCTATTCTGGATCCTTGGAATACTAAACAGAAAAAGAAAAAGCAATTCCTAGTCTCATGGAGCTTATGTTATAGAAGAAAAGAATAACTAATAAGTAATAAATACATAAAGGAATAAACAATAAATGTAAATAAAAAATAAATTATAGAGTGATTTAGAAAATAATAATGCTATGAAAAAAAAGAGGTGGAAAAGGGGCTTGGGGCAGTGGGTTGTGAGGCAGAAGGAGCAGCCTCTTGCAATATCAAGTAGGTTAGCACTGGCCTCACTGGGAAGGAAAATCTAAGCAAACATTTGAAAGAAGTGAAGGAGTCCACTAAGGACATATGTGGGGAAGAGAGTTCCAGGCAGAAGAAACAGCCAGAGCAAAGCCTGTGAGGTGGAAATGTGCCTGGTATGTTCAAGGCAGCCTGTGTGACTCAACTGTCATGGGCGGAGAGGGGAGTAGGAGATGAGATCCCAGAGGTGATGGGACCAAAGCATCAGGTCAATGTCTTTAATATTCAAGAAGGCCAAGTATAAGAAGGCTCAGAATATTGCTTTCGAAAAATAAAATACCCTCTGCAAATGTTGCATTGTATTAGGAAAGCCATCTAGAGCAGCTAGGATTCTCAGAGAAATCTGGAAAAAAGACAAAGAAACTCAGGCAGCAAGCCTAAAGGAAATAAGGCAGTGAAAAGAGAAATTTAACATGTTTTGCTTCTGTTATCTTTTTATTAGACCTGCAGGAAAACTTTGTTCATAAGGAACCTTATGTAGTTGCCTGCAGATGCAATTTTTGTGCTTGAAGCCTAAAGGTTTGAAAAACAGAGGAAAAGGCCAAACATGAATTGGAGGTTCTTATGGTTATACTTCAAAATTAGCCAGGCTAGGGAAAATGTCTATGAACCTAGAGATATTTCTGATTTTCGTCACAGGCCTGTCAGTAGTTTGTAAAATGCCAGCAATGAGTAAATAATTTTTCTTTAACTTTGGAATTTATTTATGTTATTTATTATGTTATGGAGACTTAGGCAACTCTAATAATGTATTACAATTAATTGTTTAATTCATTCTTTCATTAGTAAATAAACATTCACTAATGTTTATTAAGTGCCTACTATGTGTCAGGCACTCTTTAGACACAAAGGATACGGTCATCACTAAAACAGACAAAATTCCCTTTCCTTATGGAGTCAATGAAAGAATGTCCAAAATATGTGTTAGATGGTGGAAAGTGCTGTGGGAAAAAATAAGGCAGTGTCTGGGGGCAAGTACTAAAAGCAAGGGGGTTAGGAAGATTGCTGTTTATACAAAGCAGCCAGAGAAGGCCTCTCTGACAAAGCAACATTTAGCAGACCCTTGAAGAAAGTAAGGGAGCACATCATTGGGATATCTAGGTGAGAAGTATTTCAGGAAGAGGAAACAGCTAGTGCAAAGGGCCTGAAGGCAGCAGAGCATGTGAAGGAATAATGCTTTACGGCTTACTGATCACTTTCATATCCTTTCTCTCATGTCATCCTCATCAGATCCTTGGGAAACAGAAATGGCAAGTATTGCTTCCCTTTTTTATTTTTTTGCCAATAAATGGAGGAAGTAGTAGCAGTTTGGTCAATAAATGCTAATAAGTGGTGTCACAAGAACTAGGGCCCACATCATTCCAAAATTACTGCTGAGCCATGCACTCACTACCTCCATGGTGCCTTGACAAAGCCAGATGTGCTACAGGGCCTCTCAGGAGCCCTCAGGAATAAGCAAAGTTGCAGGTAACTTATGTGTGTGGCATGGTATGTATGAGCAGGAATCTTGGAGGTGCACAGCAGTTGGGTACACAAAATGCTTGATATGGTTTTGCTGTGTCCCCACCCAAATCTCATCTTGAATTTCCACATGTTGTGGGGACCAAGTGGGAGGTAACTGAATCAGGGGGACAAGTCTTTTCCTGTACTGTTCCCGTGATAGTGGGTAAGTCTCACGAGATGTGATTTTAAAAAAGGAGTTCCCCTGCACAAGCTCTCTCTTTTTGCCTGCTGCTTTCCGCATAAGATGTGACTTGCTCCTCCTTGCCTTCCCCCATGATTGTGAGGCTTCCCCAGCCACGTGGAACTATGAGTTCTCCATTAAAGGTCTTTCCTTTGTAAATTGCCCAGTCTCAGGTATGTCTTTATCAGCAGTGTGGAAACGGACTAATACAATGCTCATAATTGCTCCTCATTCAGCCTGAACAACGCTAAGAGACACAGGGGTGGCATATGTCTGCCTTCAAGGGATGCCCTGTTTAAGACCCCCTTCTAAGTCCCTATTTCCTGACCCAGGATCCAACTCTTCCCACGATGCCTGGGAGTGAAAACACCCTCCCTTCTGGGGAAATCTGACCTCTCACCCACAAGAGTGTGGTCTCTTGCTCTGACCCCATCAGGGCAATAGCGTCAGATCAGAGTATTCCAGCAGCAGTACCGTTCCCAGGCCTTGGGGGATTCAGCCTTAAACACCACCACATGTTGGACATTACCGGACGGTCCCACTTGCGCTTTGCGTAGCCTGGCCCAATTCCCTTTTTATAGTGGCTTTTCCTGCATGAAGGAAAGGTTATGCCTGCATAGCCCTCCTGCAGCTTTATCATTCTCAGTTCCCGAGGCCCTGTCAGCAACTGCTCAAACAAGAACACACACACACACACACACCTCCACAGAACAAGCAGTAGTATTACAGGCACCCTCAAGACTTCACTATTAAGTTTAGGTAACATTTATATGATCAATCATCATAGTTTGTCTCTCATATATGTGTACAGCCCTGTACATATATACATATGTATCTACAAATATACATATTCACATATTTCAACATGTGCACATACATGCATATGCACACGTACTCAAGTGGCTAAGCAAATATTAGTTAATTATTAATTTTAATTACTTAATATTTATCATGTTCTCACGATTGGCATGGCAAGTAACTGATTTGTGTGAGGGACTGTTTTAGATTATACAACATAGTCATTAAAATAAAAAATTCTTGGACATCTTGCATTTAACTAGGGAATAAGGATATCAAAAATAGCAGAAACTCCCCAGGATAGACGTTGGCAGCCTGGCGTCCCACTCTCCTCTTTCTCTGGGGTTATCTAACTCCTTAGAATGATTTATGTGTCAGTTTTGCAACAGTGATTCCTAGAATCCACCCGGTGAGTTTTGGCTGCTTCTTTTTCATGTCTTAAATTTTTATATATGTGTTTTATATATAAATTTAAATTTTTGGTTTCAGGAGGACAAGTCCTATGACATGATAATCAAAACACCACTATATTCTCAGGCCTCAGTTTCTAACAGTAAGCCAGAATATTTTTCTTTGTTTGCTTTTTGTCCTTTGCTTCTGTTTTTACTAGTATCCTGTGAGTTTGTAGAGTAATTTTATAGAGCACAAAGAACAGTTGAAATTGTTGAATATCCAGGTCATTAGATGAATATGAACAGCGAAGGTGATGTGTAAGCATAACAGGCATTCAGTGAACCCAGACTCCGCATCAATGCCCTACCACCCGCAACCATTCATTTTCCTCCTCAAATTATTGGTTTGGACCCTTCTCTGGACTCTGAACACAACCCTATAACTGAGTTGTGGATAATAAAATTTACCCTCAGAGCAACCAGTGCTTTGACAACCTATAACAATGTGAGATCTAAAGAGTTTCAAATTTCCCTGTATTCATTATTTGTCCATTAGTAATGAAGCATGCTGACCACCTAACTTTAGTTTTGGGGGCTTCCTTGGTCAATAATATGAAGGCATTTATTCTCATACAAATCATGAGAAACATGATTCTGAATTCCTTTCCTAACTTATGGTACTTCTTCCTGAAATGTTAGATTCCTTTCTCCTGTTTGTCGTGCAGTGATTTTTCCTGGACATCTAGGAGATAATGGGATGCTTTGGTAGAGACGTTTATTACCAGGTATTAGTATACTTATTATACTCAGTTTTACCTCCAAGTCCTTAGTTATGAATGCCATATGGAGAAAATTCTCAAATGACTAGATATAATTTAAATGTGTTACGTCGATGGTGTTTAAAGGAATGAATGAGTGTAAGAGGGAAAATAGGGCACTGATGTTTTCATGAGGGTGATGCTTATTGGGCAACAGTTTATCAGTTGGCAAAGGGAGGTACTTGTTCAATACTGGTGCTTTATTCTAGCCAAGAGGAAAGGAAAGACTAAAAGATCAAGGACACAAATGAAAAACAAACATAGAAAGCTGCAAAGTTAAGAACACTGAGAGGAGGAAGCCACAAGGGAGCTGGATTATATTTCAGACTTAAAAAAAAAAAAAAAAAAACCCAAACCTACAATCTGTCTTGTAAATTAATTCCACACTTAATTTTTGAAATTCCTTCTTATTTTTCCAGACTTGAGCCAATATGAGGGGGATGAAATATTATAGGGAAGTGGCAGCCAGGCATATAGTGGTAAACTAGTTTACTTTTACAATTCCCTTTCATATGTAGATTCAGCACTGCCTTTTCCTTTGTCATTGCTTACAAAGATCTAAGCTTCCTTCCTAAGGCATCATCTTTTATTAATCAGCTTATGCACAACAGAGTCCAAGAGACTGGAACTGGGTTCAGACAGATGTTGATAAATGTCTTAAGTTTCTTATAAACTAAATCAAGGCCAGACATGTTTTATTAATCAGTTAACCTTCATACACACTTTGTCCTCTGTATATTGTCTCACACTTTATATGCCATCCTGTTTACACTGCTTATCCTGAGTCAACTCTAGACAGTTAGCCTTTATTTAGAAAGACATGTTTCTATACATATTCAGTGGCCAACACAAACAGTCATTTACAGATGCATATTTAGCAAAACAACATTAGGTGTTAGACAGTGAAGAAAAGGACCATCATGCGCTTATGAACTATGTTTATTTTATCTAATAACCAGGATAAGAATATAGAACTGGTCAAATGCCTGCTGGTAGAAATATTTATGAACTTATCCTTCAATATCCTTATACCTCCACTCAGAAAGCCAAGAACCTACTGAACAAACACATTGCTTGGTTCCACCTTTTATTTCCTTTTAAAAGATTCTTACCTGGAGCCCAAAATAGTAAATGTAAATTGCTGCAACAGTAGGTCCTCTTCCAGATAGTAGCTATAGTTATTATATTAGTTCAAAGCATATTATAAGGATAAATAAATAATCAAGGCAAGAAGAATAAAATTCATGCTATGGAGTAAACTATGGATAGTAACAAATAATCTTCAGGTATAAGCTATGGTGTTAGCATGACATCAGTGATGAATTCTTCCATCAAAACCTAGGGTAAACCTTAGCTAGAAGCAAATTACCTGCCTGCCCTAATTTGTATCTTTGCACTCTCCAATTGTTGCACCTTTGCATCTTCCATATGTGTTGTCCACATGGGTATCCTACTCTGGTCCATTTTGTGTCCCATCTTGTAGCAGAACTGTTTTAGATTGTACAGAAGGTCTCTCAGCTGCAATTGCTTCATGGTTTAGAGATAGGCCTCTACCACAAATACATAGGGTTTTGGTCTGTACGGTTTTACTATTTTTATTTTGGTACCCAGTTCCTATAGCTGACTACAGATGATGGAGGAAGAGCAGGCATTGAGTGCCCCCTGTCACTCTCTCCCTGAGCCTGTGAAATGATCTTTCTTTCATCTGTACAATGCTGGGAGGAGTTTTCTATGCCTCTTTGATTTTAGTTGGAACAAGAACACATAATGAATTAAGAAGTGCCTGAAACATTCTGTCTCATTACTCCAATGCCTATTTCTCTTTAGCTGTTTCTCTTGTTTTCTTGCTACAAAAATACCCATTACAATGGAACTCTCTGCCCCAGGTGGACACTGGGTACATCAGTCAGGGATCAGTAATTTGCTTAAGTGCATGCCCAAGGTTTGCCAACTTACAAGAGAGATGCCTCCAAAGTGAAAGATAAAGTGGTTCTCACAGCATAAAAATATTTCCTGAGTAAGCAAACTGATATAAAGATTAGAAACTAAAAAAAAAAAAAAACGCTTTCTCATTTTTTGTATTAATAATATGTCAGTAAGTAGTAATCATTTATAGAATGCTACGTAGAGTAATTGGCATTTTTCTTGCTACTGGATTTTGGATCCAAGACGGTAGGTAAGAAAAAAGTATTTTTGGCAACTAATGTCTTAGAATTTTAGAAAATACGCATTGGTAATATGACTTTAAAATCATAGCCTGCTTTGATCTAATGCATGCGTATGTTAACATAAGATAAAATTTCTTTTGCATTTTATAACACTAATTAATTTTTATGAGCATTAATTTTTAAAAATTAGGCAGAACTTACATACAATAAAATGTACAGAATTTATTTCCAGTTGGAAGACAACCAAACAACTGTATCCACTTGTGTAACCACCACCAAAAACAAGATATAAAACTT
Source organism: Homo sapiens (assembly GCF_000001405.40). Lineage (NCBI taxonomy): Eukaryota > Metazoa > Chordata > Mammalia > Primates > Hominidae > Homo > Homo sapiens. The sequence goes on along the minus strand of NC_000006.12, from coordinate 84,909,139 downwards.
TTTCATCACCCCATAAAATTACCCAGTAGCCTCTTACACTCAATTTTTATCTCACCTGAAGCAACCACTTTCTGATCACTATCACTATAGATAAGTTTTGCCCAGTTTCAGACTTCATATCTGTTAAACTATATAGTATGTATTATTTGTGTCTGGCTTCTGTCACTAAATACAATATGTGACATTCACCCATGCTGTAGTTGGTAAGCCCCTTGATTTTTGTTTTCAAAAATATCATGAGTCTTGTGCTGGATCAGAACATACTGAGAAATTGGAAAGTGTAAAATAATATGTTATTTATTTATTTATTTATTTATTTTTATTTTTTATTATTATTACGTTTTTTATATAGTTAAAAATTACCTCAAAGATCCTTCGACCCTAACCTTCAGCCTAGTTTGAGTCTCCTGGGTGATGCCAATACTACCTGGGACCCTGGCCTTTCTGGGAAAACCTCCAACACAGGGAACCAAACATTACATGAGGCATCTAAAGTACCACAAGCTCATACTTTAAAAAAACATTTAGAAATGCTATTTAAGTTTCCCTGTGATGAGAAATGATCCTTCATAGTCTTAATGTGTATGGGGGGCTATCGTGAAGACAGGAAGGAATTTCCTCAAGCAAATATTTTGCTCAAGTTTTAGTTTCATTTCTGAGTCAGAACATCTGCAGTTCTAAAAGAGGGACCCTGTTTCAAATTGCTTGACTCCTGTGAATTATTTGCAAATCCTAATAATATTTCTTCAAGGATAGATTTCTATATTTGATGTGAGAAAGACTGTCTAGAAATTCATCAATTTTACATGTGTTCTAGCTCCTTCCTTACTTTATAAAGTTTTAGAAATTTACATCAAAACTGAACTATGTTTGAGCCACTTGTCATGTTGTCCTTAACTGTCCATGTTATCAATAAGATATGTTATGCTTTGTTTCCTTGAGTAGGGCAGGAATTAGGATTATTAACAGTACCAATAGATCACAGTCAGCTTTCTCCTTTCCTCTATGTAAGGTAATTCCTTAAAGAGATAACTCTCATAAAACCTTTTATTCTGACCTTCCTATTGTTTATGGTAATTTCGACTAACTGAAAAGTAAACAACTGCAACACAAGTGATAATGACAGTGATAAATTAATAATTGACACTTGTCAGCCAAAGATTATCTAAATACTATTTTGAATACACTTAAGGAATTTGGAAAGTATCTGAAAAACAAAGACTTTAAAAAATGTTATATATTACTAAATAAGTATTGGGATGTAGGGCAGCAAATCAAGAAAATTATATCATGTGTTTCTTAAGAAGGAGGGCTTCTGCTTCCTCCTTTTCCCTTTCCTCCTCTTTCCTCCTGTTGCTTTTTCTCCAAGTATTTCTTCTTTATGAACCCTTCTAGGCTTTAGTTTGTTACTCACAATGTAAGTTACATGTCTGTTTGTTCTCTGCCTCATCTCAACAACCTGACATATAATAGATGCTGAATAAAATTTTTGCCTAAGCATATGTAGTTGATGACTGGCAGACATAGGAGGAAGCTTGGTTTCTGTCTAGATCTCTTATTCCTTATAACCACATCAATTGTATTTGTCTAGTAAGTCTGTTGCCTCCTCTTCAGCACAACCACCACTGATTAATTCTAGACTCTCACCTGGGTTTATGCAATTTGTTTCCAAATTTGTCTCCACCAGTTGCCTTCTAACAGTGTATCCTCCACAAAGTCCCCAGAAGACTTTTCTAAAACTCAAATTTGATCATGTCACCTTCCTGCCTACACCATAAGATGGTCCCCCCAATGTCAGATGAAAGACAAAAATCCTTCCCATAATCTACAAGCTCCTACAAAATCTAACTCTTTTCCACCTCTCTACCTCATATTCCTTCTTTTCTCTCACTGCTCAATGCAGCAACTCAGAACTATTAATATATATGAGAGCCGATTCTTTGAATGTATGTTTCCTGCTTTGTCATAGTGGTTGCTGGGTTTTTTTTTTCCCCCTGAAATCTCATCACCTGTCTACAGATGGCTGATTACCATTCCATTATCCAAGACTTCCAGGAGCTCCCCTAAGCACCCTGGGCCCTCCTCTGTTATCCCCCAAACCAGTGATATCATCTGCATCTCCACGAACTATGTTAGCACTTGCCTCTCAGTCTTTCCCTTCCCTTGCCCCAAATTTTCCTCTTATCAAAAGGACTCTGTGTGGTTGGTCTAATCAACTTAGCTTCCAAATTCATGGACCTCTTCCTCTTCATTTCAGCAGTACATTTCCAAGATGCTTTGTTGCATCTTATCATTGCCTGAACCTCATGCCACTCTGCAATCATAAACTTTATGATGTATCCAACTGCAATTACAACTTTCCCCACTTTGCCTTTCTCACTCCCTTCCTTTCATTACACTTGCCCTTTTACCTCATGATCTCTAAACTTTGGCTGCAACTTTTCTAACAGTCTGCCCATCCCCTTGGCTCATGCTCCTCCACCGAAGAATAGTTTATGTTCCCCGAATACACTCCCTCAGAGCCCATTCACCATTAACCTGCAGGTAAGGTTAGGCCCCTATTGGCTCGCTAACTCTGTGGAGCAAGTACCACCAAACCCCTCTCAATTAACAAATCCAATGGGCTTTTGTCAGTCCTTATGTTTTTCATTTTTCTGAGGGATTCACCTTTACTGACTTCTCTCTCTCTCAGTTTATTTATCACTGTTCTCTGGTTCTCGCTGGTATCGTCCTCCCAGTCTTCTTCAAGCATTTGTATTCCTAGGGGACTGTCCTCAGCCCTCTTTTCTCCTTGGCCATCTCGTCACCTCCATGGCTTCAACTATTAGTCACACATTGATGATCCCAAAATGTTTGCTTTTAGTTCTGATTTATCTCCTAAGCCCAGATTTGTATGTACCAGTGCACCCTGTACTTCATCACAAGAAACTCAAGCCCAACAAATCCAAAGATGAGCCTATTATCATTCCCTTAAAATTGTATCTTCTTCCTGCATTTCTGTTGTTATTATTATGAAATGAATTGCCCTCCACCCAACAACTCATGCCAGAAATGCAAGAATCTTCACAAACGTCCCCATTTCCTCATTCTCTGCATTGAATTAGGAATCAAGTTCTTTCTCTTCTACATTATTAACATCTCATGTTGTCCCTTTCCCACTCCTACCACTGTGTTGTTCCAGCCCTCCAACCCTTGCAACAGTGCCTGCAAACTGATTTCTCTACCCCCAAGGCTCACACCCTTCCAGCCCTTTTTCCTAAACACAAATCCAATCTCATCTCTCTTCTCAATCTCTACTCTCTACAGCTGTGGCTCCTACCTTGGTTGCATGTTAGAATTACTTAGGGAGATGTTTTTGAAATACCATTACTCCATATCCAGATTGAATTGGTTAGACTGGGAGTGAGATATTTGTTGTTGTTTTCTTAAATCCTGAGGGATTCTATTGTAAGGCCAAAGATAAGAACAAATTCTACAAATTAAAATCAAAAGACCTTTATTTAGACTTGCAAAGTCCTACTTACTGCCTCATTTTCATGTTTTCTGACTCCATTCACTCTATGGGCAGCTCTATAAAATGATGTAATTTCCTTCCCCATTGCCCTTGCTAACACTGTTTCCTTTGTCTAAAGCTCCTTTTCATCGCTTGTCTGTCTGAAAATACATATTCACCTATCAAGGATCTGATCATGTCACCTGTGATGGGCTGAATTGTGTCCCAAAATTCATATGTTGAAGCCCTAGTCCTAGTACCTCAGAATGTAACTATATTTGGGGATAGTGTCATTAAAGAGAAAATTAGGCCAGACACGGTGGCTCATGCCTGTAATCTTAGCACTTTGGGAGGCCAAGGTGGACAGATTGTCTGAGCTCAGGAGTTCAAGGCCAGCATTGGCAACATGGGGAAACCCCGTCTCTACTAAAAATACAAAAAACAGAAAAACAGCTGGACATGGTGTTGTGTGCCTATAGTCTCAGCTACTTGGGAGGCTGAGGCTTGAGAATCACTTGAACCTGGGAGGTGAATGCTGCAGTGAGCCAAGATTGCACCACTGCACTCCAGCCTGGGCTACAGAGTGACTCAGTCTCAAAAAAATAAATAACTAATAATAATAATAATAATAATAAATAAATAAAGAGAGGGAGAGAGAGAAAGAAAATTAATTAAAGGAAAATGAGATCCTATGGGTATGCCCTAATCCAATATGACTGGTATGCTTTACCAGAAGAGGAGCTTAAGAGACACACATGAGCATGCAGAGGAACAACCATGTGAGGGCACAGCAAGAAGGCAGCCATCTACAAGCCAAGAAGAGAGGTCTCAGAAGAAACCAAACCTACCAACACCTTAATCTTGGACTTCTGCTCCCAGAACTGTAACAAAATACATGTCTGTTGTTTAAGCCACCTAGTCTATGGTACTTTCTTATGGCAGCCTTAGCATATTAATACACCACCTGTACACAATCTTTTCTGAGACCACTCCTTCCCTCCAGGAAGTGTTGGCTCCTTCTTTGTTTCTGCCTATATTCTACACCCTTGCAGGCTTATAGATTGGCAGGCATAGCTCTTTACTGTTCCTATTTGGCTATTGTTTTCAGAGGGCCAGGACTCTAAGACTCGGGAAAATAGATGTCTCCTCTCAGTTGCCTTTGTCCTAGTAGGTGCTACAGTCAATAATTACTTATAAAAGTGAACTAGATTTGTGAGATGACTCAAAGGGAGAAGTGTTCCTCTATCTGCCTCATTTCTTATTTGGTCTCTAGAACAAAGTGAACTTCTCAGGTGTGCCAAGCCTACACATGACACTCAGCCACTCCACAAGCTGCTTCCTCTGCCAGCACTGCTTTTGTCTTCTTTCTCTAGAAGGCTGACTCCTAGGTTTCCCTTAGACTCATCCCAGCAGTTCCGCCCCTGGAAAGCCTGCATTGATTATCACAGATTGGGTGACGTTTCCCAAGGGGAACATCATGTCTTGTTCACCCCCAGTTAAAACATACTCACCCCAATTAAAACATGCAAGGAAACTGACCAAGTCCATGTAAAAAAACATACTTCACTAGACTGGGTACCCTTAGATTGTGGATTTTTGAGGGAACATGACTTATCTTTTTTGTTCTTATCTTTATGTTCTCAAAGCCTATCACAGTTCCAGCATGCAATAGGCACTCAATGAATAATTCTTAAGAAACCCTCACTCTCCCTTAAGGTAACATGGTATAAGAGTTAGAATTTAGATAGAATTAACCATTTAATTATCTAGAAACTAAAACCAGTGCCTCCCTTATAGTATGTGTTAGACAGGCTAGGCTATGTAGCTTACAACAAAAAGGCTTAAGTCCACCCTAGGTCATCTGAGTTCTGCTTTACATGCGGACTCAAGCTGAATGTGATGGTTAATACTGAGGATCAACTCAAGCTGAATGTGGTGGTTAGTACTGAGTGTCAACTTGATTAGATTGAAGGATACAAAGTATTAATCCTAGGTGTGTTTGTGAGGGTGTTGCCAAAGGAGATTAACATTGGAATCAGTGGGCTGGGGAAGGCTGACCTACCCTTAATCTGGTGGGCACCATCTAATCAGCTTCCAGTGAATATAAAGCAGACAGAAAAACGTGAACAGCGGAGACTGGCCTAGCCTCCCAGCCTACATCTTTCTCTTGTGCTGGATGCTTCCTGTCATCAAATATCAGACTCCAAGTTCTTCAGTTTCGAGACTCGGACTGGCTCTCCTTGCTCCTCAAGCTTGCAGACATCCTATTGTGGGAACTTGGGATCGTGTAAGTTAATACTTACTAAACCTCCCTATTGTGGGACCTTGCGACCGTGTAAGTTAATACTTAAGAAACTCTCCTTTATAAGTATATATCTATCCTATTAGTTCTGTCACTCTAGGGAACCCTGACTAATACACTGAAAGAGCAGCCTCCATCTGAAAGATGGGCAGTCGTTGTGACAGAGGCAAAAAAGAACATGGCAAACCTCAGCCTGACTCTTAAAACTTCTGCTCAGAAGAGACATGATACTTCCACTCAGATTCCACTGGTTCATGTTCAAAGGCCACGCCTGGGCTTAATAATGAGGAATCTAAAGTCTTGCCAGAGAGAGAGAGAGGCACAAAATGCAGGTATGCAGAGTAAAACCTTTGACTCAAAGATTGCTAGTTCTTAGTACGAACTAATTTTTAGGTCAGTTTATGTTATTTTTTAAAGTATATTTATATCTTCCTCTTCTAGCCAATGCAGAGTAACAGGGGCCAGATTTACCTTTCTTGCTGAAACAATTAAAAAATCAGACAAAATATATTAAACAACACTTTTCAAGATATTGGACATAAAGCAAGGAAGGTGAATGATTAATTTGGGACAGGAAACAAGTAAGGTAAGCCTCATGCTTGCCCTGGCTTTCAGGCTTGAGGGAGTTTCCAGGCTGTGATCCAAAAAGAGGGAATATAAGCAGAACCCAGCAAACTCCCTGAGTTGGGAAAATTGATATGAGAATTTGGAGAGACAGAGGGCTGCAGTTCACAGTGCAGAGTAATGGAAGACGGAGAAGATTGGCAAGAGCCTCAGAGGGCTGCCCTTGAGTATTCAGCGAGTGCTGATCAGCAGGTGCGTGCAAGGAAACTGACCAAGGCCAGGTAAAAAGAACCACCCAAAAGGATTAGGAGAAACAGTAGCTTAGCTGGAGCTCATTTGGGACCAGTGCCCATTCCCACTTGCAGAATGGAAAACCTCTATGTGGCATTGAGTACAGGACTCAGAAAATTCTTGTCTCAGGTGCAAAATAATTATCTCCAGAATAAATCCTGCTGTTGCCCCACCTGAGAAATCTTAAAAGCAAAATCTGAGGGAATCAAACTGTTTCCAAGTCACTTGACTACCTCCCATAACAAAACTTAAAAATATTTACAGGAATTTAAAAATACCCAGCACCCAACAAGATAAAATTCACAATGTCTGGCACCCAATAAAAAGTTTCAGGCAAGAAAAGAAACATTAAAATATGACTGTATTGCAAGAAAGATCTTAAAGTGACAACCTTAGTTTCTGTCCACAAAAACTGGAAAAAGCAAGAAAAAATTAACCTCAAAGTAAGCAGAAGAAATAAGATAATGAAGATCAGAGTGTAAGCCAATGAAATAAAAAGCAGATTAGAGAAAATCATTGAAACCTGCTTTTCTTAAGAAGATTAATATAGATAATTAACCTCTACACAGACCTATTCGATCAGGATAAAAAAGGGAGACAGGGCACAAATTACCAATATTCAGAATGAAAGAGTTGTCAGTACTACAGATTCTATGATATTAAAAGATTATGAAGGCATATTATGGATAACTTTATGCTAATATATTTGACAACTTATATGAAGTGGGCAAATCCCTTGAGGAACAAAAAATATCAACTCACATAAGAAGAAATAAACTTTCTAACTACCTCTATATCTGTTAAAGAAATTGACTTTGTAGTTAAAAGCCTTTTCACACACAAAAAAACCTCAGGCCCAGATTACTTTATTTCTGAATTCTGCTAAATATTTAGTTTAAAAAAATACCAATGCTGCATAAACCCTTCCACAAATTTTGTGAGGAGAAACTACTTGCCGACTCATTCTATGAGTCCAACATTACCTTGCAAAACAAAGACATCACAAAGAAAACTACAAAGTAATATTCCTCATGAACACAAAGACAAAAAGTTGTTAACATTTTAGCATATAGAATCAAACAATATAGAAAAAGGATAATACATCCAGACCAACTGTGGTTTATCCCAGAAATGCAAAGTAGTTTTAACATTCAAAATCAATCCATGTAATCCATAGTATTAACAAACTAAAAAAGAAAACCATATGATCCTTTAAACAGACACAAAAAATTAGATAAAATCCAACATCCATTTGTTATTTAAAAATAAAATTGCTCTCATCGAACTAGAGATAGAAGGTAGCATTCTCAACTTAATAAAGGACATTTATGAAAAACCTACAATGTGATATTTAATGCTTTCCCCTCCCAAGATCAGGAATAAAGGAAGGATGTCCACATCTAGCCAAAATTGTAGGGAAGATTCTAGTCAATTCAATAGGCTGATAAAAAGAAACAAAAGACATCCAGATTGAAAAGGAAGTAGAAAACTGTCTACTTACAATGACATAGGTTTGTCTGTAGAAATCCTGATAATATCTGTAAAAACATCTACTAGAATTCACTATGTTACAAAATACAAAATCAAGATACAAATATCAATTGCATAGTAAGGAAATATTGAAAATTGGAATAATTAATATAATTCCACTTACAATAGCATCAAAGATATGAACTATTTAGAAATATATCTGACAAAATATATGCAAGACATGTACACTGAAAACTGTAAGACATTGCTAAGGGAAATTAAAGAAAACCTATATAAATATAGATTTATACTGTGTTCATAGGAGAGAAGACTTGATATTGTTAAGATGTCAATTCTTGTCAAGTTGACCTACATATTCAATGCAATCCCAATCAAAATCCCAGCAGGGTTTATTTTTATTCTTATTTTTTAACTGACAAGCTTATTCTAAAGTTCAGATAGAAATGCAAAGGACATAGAACAGCCAAAATAAAATGGAAACATAAGAAAAAAGTTGCAGTACCAATACTTCCTGATTTCATGATTCATTGTAAAACTACAGTTATCATAACAGTGAAATATTGGTAAAGATAGACTGATGGAATCAAATAGAGAATTTTAGAAAAGGTGCAAAGGCAATTTATTAGAAAACGTTTTTCAACAAATGATATACAATTGGTTATCCATAGGTAAAAAATAAATTTCAAACCATATTCACACCATACATTAAAAAAATTTGTATATCTAAATGTAACACCTAAAAGTATAAAACTTCTAGAGGAAAACATAGAAGAAAATCTTTGTGACCCCGGGTTAGGCAAAATTTCTTATATAAAACACTAAAAGCACAATCCGTATAAGATAAAAATGATAAATTTAACTTCATCAAAATGATAAAATTCTGCTTTCAAAAGATATTAAGAGAATGAAAAGATAAACTACAGATTTGGAGAAAATATTAGCAAATCATATATGTGAAAAAGGACTTGTATCTAGAATAGGTTAGGAATTCTCAAATCTCAATAATAAAAAACAACTTTAAAAATGGGTAGAGTCAAACAGACTTTTCGAGAATAAAGTTAAGTTGAAAAAGAAACATGAAAAATGTTCAACACTTTTAATCATTAAGGAAATGTGAATTAAAATCACAAAGAAATACTACTGCACTTTCGTTTTTTTTTTTTTTGAGACGGAGTGTCCTCTGTCGGCCAGGCTGGAGTGCAGTAGTGCAATCTCGGCTCACTGCAAGCTCCGCCTCCCGGGTTCACACCATTCTCCTGCCTCAGCCTCCTGAGTAGCTGGGACTACAGGCACCCGCCACCATGCCCGGCTAATTTTTTGGATTTTCAGTAGAGACGGGGTTTCACCGTGTTAGCCAGGATGGTCTCCATCTCCTGACCTGGTGATCCGCCTGCCTCCGCCTCCTAAAGTGCTGTGACTACTGCACTTTCATCAGAATGGCTAAACTAAGAAGACTGACCATGTTAAGTGCTGATAGGGTTGTGGAGGAACTGGAATTCTCATACACTGCTGCTGAGAATGCAAAATGGCACAATCATATTGGAAAATAGTTTGTCAGTTTCCTAAAAAATTAAATATATACCTATCACAGGAGCCAACCATTCTATTCCAGATATTTATCCAAGAGAAATGAAAGCAAATGTTCATGCAAAGACTTACACACAAATGTTCACAATAGCCTTATTTGTAATAGTCAAAACTGGTGCAACCCTAATGTCCATCAACAGACGAATGGAGTTAATGGATAAACAAATTGGCATGCAATAAATTACTATTTAATAATAAAAAGAAATGAACTACAGATAAATACAACATAGATGAATTTCAAAATAATTATGCAAAACAAAAAAATCCAGACTGAAAAAAGAGTATATACAGTTTTGTTTCATTTATTTAAAATTCTAGAAAATGTGAACTAATATATAGTGACAGAAATCCAATCAGCAGTTGCCTGGTGGAGGGAAGATGGGTGGGAAGAAGGAAATGTACTGGAGCAAGAGATCACTACTGGGAATGATGGATATGTTCACTATCTTGACGGTGGTGATAGTTCTATTAGCATATGCAAATGCTCAAACTTGTTAAATTGTACAGTTTATCATACATTGATTATACAGCAATAAAGTTCTTAAAAATGGGATCAATTGAGCAATGGTGGATAAAAGTGTATTTATGTTTAATTACACACAGAATAAGTGAATAAGTTCTGGTTATCATAAATATAACTTTAGAATGCTAAAATCCCTTTTACCCACATATTCAGCTTCTTATTACCTACCCATCAAAGAAAAACATGTGCACATGTGAATGAGATCATTTTCCCCATACTTTTATTTATAGTTGTATATTTAAAAAAATATATGGACCAGAAGGATAAATGACCTTCACGGTCATAGCTACTTTCTACTTGAACTAAGACTGGGACTCTGCTTGTCCTGAGCCCATGTTCCAGGAGGCTTTCCACACATAGTTCTGCTATCTCATATCGTAATTCTGAATTGGAATGTTGAAGAAGCCAAGGATCTGAGTAACGCAATTTAAATAATTTCCCATTAAATAAGTTGAAATTTTTTCAAAAATCTGTAGCTGTTGCAAGTCCTGCAACATCTGGGGAACTGACTTCTACAGAACAGTTTGTTCCCTAATGCTGATGAATAAATGGGACATCATTGCTCAACAGTTTATTTACAAATGAATCTATAGAAGCATAAAATTGAGAACTGTTCTCGATTAGTTATTTTTTCATGTTTACTCAGTCAAATATTAAATCTTCCAAAATATGAATCTCCTTTGGGAACAAATCTTCTGGTTTTGATAGTTTCCACTGTTGGAAAGTTTTTATTGATATTTGACCTATGCTTCTTCCTTTCCTTACTTTTATTCTACTTATCCTGTTTAGATCAAACCCCATCATTTCCTCCAAGTGCTTATGCATTTCAGCTATGCTATGACTCATCCTAGTCAACATTTAGTCAGGATCTCCACAGACAATACCTTAGCATTTTTATGGACCTTATTGTCTTTGCTGGAATAAATCTATCATAATGAGATACAATATCCCGGCCATAATTTCACTATACTTATCGAGAGAGGGGCAAACTAATTGTCCTTGTATCCCCCATGTTATTAAATGTAATATGTGAAGTCGAAATTCAAAAAATTTAAAAAACAAAAAGCAAAAACCCTTGGGTTTTTCCTTTCATGTTACATAGTACACTTCTGTCAATGTTTAGCACAGTAATTTCTCTGGTTTTTTTTTTTTTAATGCTTACTAGGAACTCACTATTGATAGATTTTATTTTTCAGATCACATTTAACTAAATAGGTAAGTTGCTGTATCTGTCAGTATTTACTATTTGTTACATTTAACGTCTTTTTTTACTCTTAATTTCCTCATCTGTTAATCGGAAAGAATTCCTAACTTGTAGAGATGTTGTTCACACAGTACAAGAGAGCAATACACCAAAGACTAGCACAATTTTCACATGAAGCAGGTGCTTAATAATCATTACTTCTCCCTGCCATCTTGCCATTTTTTCTCCCTACCAGAGCCTTTTACCATCTTAAATACTCCATGTGCCATCTAGGCTATGCCTCTGTTCTCTATGGCTGGTTGCTGATTGACACTATGGCTTTTTCATTAGCCTCTTCCCTTGATCAGGTCATCACTTCCTTTTGTTTACAGACCTACAGCCTTGTTTTTCAACCAAGTGCAGTTTCTCTGATCCAAACAGATTTAAATTCATCTGTCAGTAAAATCTCGGGAGACTATACCATGTCCTTTACTAAAATTCCAGTATAACATCTGCTGAATCTTAGAGTTCAAGCCAAAAGAAGTTATGAAGTTTGTATGGTTTAAGTTGTTCTTTGTAAACTCTGGCTGTATACTGCTAATGATTTGTGTTTTTAATTGATGTCTAATTTATTATTATACAATTCACTTCTTCTAGAACATAGACAGAAGTCTATTTTAACATAACATGGCCTTTTTCTAATTATAAAAGTAGTACTAGCTCATTATAGAAACTGAAAAATCAAGAGAAGTATAAAGAAAAAAGAAAAAAATGCCTGCAATCACATTGCAGAGATTACTCTGTTAACATTTTGGTGTATTTTGCTCGCACGTATTTTATCCAAGTTGGATATATGAAAGTATATGCATATTCCTTTTTTAAAACAGTACAGTAGATTTCAATGATTACTATTTTGTGTCTTCAATCTTCTGACTTTCCTCCATTTTCCACAATTAAATTTTTTTCATGTAAGGCAACAAATATTTTACCTCCTTAATATAGCATACATTTAAATCATAATTCAACAGCCAATATAAGCACATATTGCAGCTCAGTGGATTTTAAAGAATCAGAGTATTACTATAAATTTTAAACAGAAATATGATTTGGGGATTTTTGTTTTCAAATATTTCTGCTTTTCATTAGGGCTGTCTTTGAAACTCATCATTACATCCTAATGATTCTTAATTTCTCCATTGCATTTTTCTTATTATAAATCTTTAAAAGGTAATAAAAAAATAGCAAATCCAAACTTAGATGACATAAGGGACAATTTTGTTTTCACTGTCTTTCCATAAATTAACTTGCCCTAATTTTCTTTCCTTATAATACCAAAGACCCTCTTAATCTTGCAGCAACATCCCATTCATATTTTGGCTTGGCTTTAATCTTCAACCCACTTCTCCACCCCATTCCCCAATGCTTTTATTAATGCATCTTTATTATGCTGAGCATGATTCTTTATCATTGATAGGTTTTCCTAATATTTTCATAATGTCAGTAAATTTCAACTAAGTGGACTGAACACAGATGCTTCTTCATTCTTTTGACTGACTACATGGACTTATTTGCACATCTGAAACATTCTTGAAGGGCTATATTTTAGCTCTGGAATGATTAGAAGGCTCACAGAAAGAAGAGTAGTTCTAATCTGCCCAGAAGTGCCTACGTTATTGCAAGGTTTAGTGTGTCTACTTGTAGTGGGAAAAGCTGTTCCACTTTTCCTCTGTTGTAGTTTCTGAGGCCTATACTTCACTGCTTCAGACTTGAGTACTTCACTATTACAACCTTTCCTATCACACAGTATTGCATCTACACTCCTTGACATTCTCATTCCTGTTGTGAGGATTCTACCAGGCTTTAATATTTAGGAGCACAGTAACTGGATTTTGTTCTTTTTTGGACCCAGAATCTAACCCAATGCCTGCCATTTCTATGCTTGAATTAAAATGAGCGATCACTTTATACCAATCTCCTTTACTCGTTAGAAATCATTTCAGATAAGTAACTTAAACATCATTATGAAAAGGTCAACATACTGTGTTGTGATTAAACTAGGGGGCTTGGGAGTTAGCTGGCCTAAATTAGATTCCCACTTCCACCACTTACTTTCTTTGTGAGCTTGGGCAGGTGATGAAACTTTGTGCTTCAATTTTTCTATGTACAAAATGGAAATGAACATAGTACTTACAGCACAGAATTGCAATTAGCTGCACACTTTTCAGGACAGTGCCAAGCATGCAGTACATGCTCAGTAAATTTTGACAGCAATTTTTAGTATGGAAGGTCTGTAATATAGCACCCTCAGAGATCATTCTAGACCAAGTTTTGTACTAGTAAGTCTGAGAAAATAAGGTGAGATTATCTCAAAACTGGGTCAAGCAAATTTTCTCCATTGGATAAAAGCACCAAAACATCACGCTGTCCTTATTCTACTTTGTACATGCCTCCTCTTTCAGGCCCACTGATTTCATAGTTTTGGTTTGGCGATTTTTCAGCTAGTACAATTTTTCCTAAGTTTAAACCCCAATCTTTATAATTTCTGCCTATATGTATGTACGTTTTCCTTTCCTTTTTACCCTTATTTTTCTGACAATAGCATTTATATATTGTACTTTTTGGAGAAACATAATTTTATCCCTCACATTTGTTTCTCAATTTTCTCCAAGTGTGCACTTCTCCCCTCCCCCCAGTCCTAACTGCTCTAACTTCAGATCATGTTAACAGGTCATTCTCAGCACAAAACATTTAGGCAGATGTTTTCTTCAAGGGCAGACTGTGTAGGAGAATATCTCTTTGATTCTTTTTCTCTCTTTCCCTCTTCTACTTCTTTCATTCCCCTTCCTTTTTTTGTATCATTTTTTTCTTCATAGCATGTGGGAAATGAGGATTCTGCAGTCACCCTTTAAGGTAGTCGACATAAAATCTAAACAAGATAACTCAGACTCTACAGAGGAGAGTGAGCTAGTCTCTCACTCTCAGACTCCACAGACAAAAGTGAGCTAGATAAAACATGGGAGTGTTGAATACACAACCTAAACATTGGATGAACCTTGATTCTCCAAGACTGGCCCCCATTAGTTATTGGTGGTAAGTCTTGCTTCCTGGAAGATGACTACTGTAAAATGAATAAAAACAGTCAAGTAAAACAAAAATATCTTTTGATCCTATTCCTATTATCTGAGTCTTTTTTTAAAAAGCAATTAATTTTCATTAGAGAACATTCTAGCATCATTCATGTTTTATTCCTTTTTCTCTTCCTAAGACGCTAAACAGCAATAATTAGGAACATACTAGTTCCAAATAGGGCAGAAAAGAATAAGGAATCCATTCTGCAGAATTGGCAAAACCTGTGTCTGATTTACATAAGCACCCTTTCTTTATTCTTCATTTTGATTAAATATACCAGTTTCGGAGAGCACTACTCATGCTATTGGTTTTGCAGGTAATTTACAGATTAAATTACTCAAGAGCTAAAAGAAAAGTTAGAAGAATTAAGCATACTCTGTTAAGAATTCAACATCATCATCATTATCATCATTTTTCTATAAAGGTTTGGTTTTTTAGGAAACAAGTTTTGATTATTAAGGCACTTTTCTAAAGACCTTGTTTTGATGGGCGAGTGATGAAGATTGCTGAGCATCTTACCTTTCTTTTTATAAGTTGTTCCACTGTAGGTGTTAATTAGGACTAAGCAGAAATGATGAACCTTGTTACTTTATATTCCTCTAAAAATAATTTAATTGTACTACATGATCTGTAAAACAGAATCAATTAGTATATATTTCTTCTGTATTTGCTTATATGTGTGAAAAATGTCTCTATAAACATTTAAGAGATTACTTTTTATTCTCCTATTTGGGTTTGGGTCCCCTGGAATTAAAAAAGAGCTATTTATTCTGGTAGATTTGGACATAAAATTGGCAAGGTTTTTCCTTTTATCACTCACAACTGTCTTTTTTTCTCTCAAATTTACGAGGTCTTTATATCCGCTCCATTTTCTTTACTTTTTCCTTATAGTTCCTCTTCCAACAGTATTTGCTTTTTATCAGTCCCTGAAGAACTTCTGTTGTCATCATTTAACATTTGAATGGCAATAATATTTTACAAAATGCTTTACAATTGCTTTTTATAAGTTATTCTCATGCCTTCAATAACTCTTAGGTTATTATTTGTATTATAGCATAGAGTTTTGCTGTTATTTGTAGCCACATAGACATTCTTCCTGACTCTGCCTTTTCCAGTAGATTTGGCAAGGTTTCGCTGGAAATTATGGTCAGTTTTAGGCAGTACAATTTTTTTAATACGCTAATTGCAGAAGCCTTAAAACTTTCTTGTGGCTTTTTGTTCTTATATAGGAAATGCCATTTTAGATCAAAAGGAAAGTATTTTATTTTGTCTCTTCAGACTCTCTGAAACATACAGGAATATGGAGTAATTTGACGCACACAATATTGAACCTGGAAAACCCTCAAACAGTACATGAGATAAAAAATACAGTAGTTCTAAGAAATATGAGTTATTGGAATACATATTTAAAGCTTCAGGCCTATTTCTGTATGGGATTTTAAAGTAGCATATTTTTAAAAAAGATCTTTGTATCTCTGCAGTTAGCAGAAATTCTGATACATATCACCACTCAGTTGAGGAATTTAATATGAATGTTGATTTATTGATGTAGGTTATTTTAAGAATATATACATGTTTCTTCCCTTCCTGTTCCCAGATAGTCCCCAGAAGAGTGAAACTTTGAAGCTATTTTCCCAAGCACCAAAACTTACTCAAGTTGTGTAATATTTAGTCATTGACTACAACTTCAGACAATCTATAACTTGGTTTTTATAAGAAACCACAACAAATGCCCAGGACATGTTTCCATCATTAGCACACTGAGAACCCCTTTAGAGAAACTTGGAGAAGGATGAGTGCTTTTGGAATGTTTGCCTTTTGGAATATCTTTATACTCTTATGTCTGCCGAGATGTGCTTCCTCTCATAGCTTCTTTAAGTCTTACAAACCAAGAAACAAGTTAAGCTACAGCCAACATATTTTTCTCCTTGGTAATATTCTTAACTTTTGAGTTACCTTGGGCTTGTTTTTCATTTGCTTTATCACACTTTACCCAACAATCAGTTAAATTTATTTTCCTAGGAATTTCTTGTCAGACTTACTCATATTCAATCACAGATTAAATGATTCTATTTCTACAGCATATCATAGTAAACTAGAGAGGATTTTGGAGGTTTCTATATGCAGTTTGGTGAAAAAAATATATATTTTTTCTTTACCTTATATGGATTTGTTATGAAAAGCAAAACATAAATGTTAGGCAGGATATTAAATATTGAGTTTGTACATAGCTCCCAAATAAAATATTTCCAAATTTTTAAATGAGAAACTAGATCTTACTTTTGTGTACATAACATTTTATTATAGAGTTTTATGATTTGTTTGGTTATGCATATATCCTAATCAAGATTTTTTCCAAATGATGATTTATCTTCACATTCTTAAGATAAATAATTTGTGAGAAACTTTGTTTATATGAATAAGAGGTAGCAAATAGCAAAAATGTATTTATCACTTTTTCTCCATATCACAGACTCTTACCTCCATTGAGCAGAACTCAAATTATTTGAACACTTTAAATTAAACATGAATGGTGTATTCATCCTTTAAATCTAAAGCTTCTTTTTCTTTCATTGATAAGTGTAATGCTTAAAGTCCTCATTGTACAACAAGAAATTTCAAATCCAGTTAATATATTTTCTAAAATCAAGCATTTCAAAATACTCATGAAGTGTTTCCTCAATAATACACAGATGTTACTTGCTCTTAAAAGGTTTTTGCAAAGATCCAAATTATTGTATCAACTAAACACCGGTAGCAAATTGTTTTAGCCTCAGTTTTCTAAAGTTGAAATGTCTGCTTTGTCATTACATATTAATATATTTCCTATAATTTTTGCAAATTTTTAAGTAAGCCATTTCATGAAGCTAAAAACTACAGCAAATCTGCAAAATGAAAATTATCCAATTTTTTCAATTTTTTTCTTGCTTCTAAACTGTTGACAAAACTTTTCCTTTGGACAGCCAATGCATTTAAGTGTGAAACAGCCGAAGGAAGTATTCTCCTTGTACTTTGCAAAAATCTGAAAATAGACAAGACTGTGGAAGCTTGGATTTTATTAGATTGCCATTTTGATGTTATCATATGCATAATTCAGATCTACAGACGGACATTTATACATGAGAGCATGTTTGTGAATAAACCATATATTACCACATCTCAGGATGTTCAGAAGGAATGTAAAGGCTTTCTGCAGTGTTACCATAACACATGATTTACTTCAAATGACTATTTCAACCTCAGTAGTTTGGGTACTTTCTGCAGAGCAAATTTGGTCCTCCCAATTATTTTTCTTCAGGGTTCGAATGAGTGTTACTGCTGTTGTTAGCATTACTCAGCCATGAGAACCTTTTGGGTTTATAATCTTCCAGATCAATATTGTCTCCAAGTCACCTGGTATGTTATCAAGGAATCTACAAATACTATTATTCAAAAATAAACTGTTTTGGTTTTCTTTGTCTTATTGGCTCCACATATATATGGACATGCTTTTATTTTAAGTAATTAACCATCTTTATTACTATAGTAGTTTCCCATTTCTTTTTCTTATTTTTTATTTTATTATTACTATACTTTAAGTTTTAGGGTACATGTGCACAATGTGCAGGTTAGTTACATATGTATACATGTGCCATGCTGGTGTGCTGCACCCATTAACTCGTCATTTAGCATTAGGTATATCTCCTAAAGCTATCCCTTCCCACTCCCCCCACCCCACAACAGTCCCCAGAGTGTGATGTTCCCCTTCCTGTGTCCATGTGTTCTCATTGTTCAATTCCCACCTATGAGTGGGAATATGCGGTGTTTGGTTTTTTGTTCTTGTGATAGTGGACATGCTTTATACAGTGTAGCAAAGTGAACAAGTCTATGATTGTGTGAGAAAGCTTGATTTTTTATTGTTAATCGTACAACTGTGTAAGTAGGCTTTTGTGCTCAGTTTGTTGCTACTCTTGTCACTAATCTGTTTTTTAAAATCACAATTCTTATTTTGTACCTAAAAAAAATTCATATTTTTTCCTGGGTCAGGATGAATCCTCTATAGTAAGGTGTCAGTATTTTGATTTATTTGGTAATTTTTCTGTGTAAATAAGATATTTTGGTTTAAAAAGAGAAAATTTTTCAAAGCACATAAATCCATATTTTAAATAATCATTATATTATTGATTCAGTAACTTAAACATTTTATGTGGAGTATTGGGTTTTTCTTGTGTATATGATGATACACTTACTTTAGTCAGTTTGCCTTATTGGCTCCACATATGTATGGACATGCTTTATACAGTGTAGCAAAGTGAACAAGTCTATGATTGTGTGAGAAAACTTGATTTTTATTGTTAATCGCACAACTTCTGGTTTGAGAGTAAATGGCTATAAAAAGTAAACCTACTTAAATATAAAATTCTTCTATGATTCACATGTTTGAGTTTTTCCAAATAGAGTGCCTTACATTTTTAGGAAAATTTTTAGACATCCCATGAAAATTAAGTGACTTTTCAAATTCTAAAACATTAATTTCCATTTAATTCAATAATTAAAGCTCTAGAAACTAAAAAATCCAAATATCACTAACTATAATATATATGACAAAATACTTTTGAAAGTTTGATTTTCTGAAGCTATAAATTCTAGAGTCCTCTTAAAAAACTTTTATATTAGAATTACTTTTAATAATTATTTGGAGTTTTTAAGAAATGAACCATTTTTTTGATTTCTCAAACCCCCAAAAAATCATTACAAAATTAATTTAGAAAATCAGATCTCAGCCAGTTGTTAACATCAAAATCTATTTGATAAATTTTCAAAAAAGAATAAATGAGAAAGTTAAGAGAATCACTTTAGCCCTTCTTTGGCCTTCTACTCAGCTACTCCTGAGTTTTACAGTATTTTGTTGGTTCTATTTTTTGCAGGTATAAATTTCCAAAAACACTTTTGGAAACCATTATGGTATTAAATACTTAAACTATAGTTATTTCTTATATAATAGAGGTTACTGGTTTTCTCCTTAGTTGTCTCTTTTAACCAGTCCTTCTCCTTCACTTTTCACTGCCATCACCCAGGGGCAGGTCTTCAAAGATCCCTCCTTAATTTCTGAACCCTAAGGACTCTCCCTGGGTAAAGTTATCCTGTGCTTCCTGCCAGTCTGTTGTTGAAAGCTGATCACATAGTAACCCTGCCCTGAAGGCTCAGTGGCTTCCCAACATCCATAGAATCAGCTCCATATTTAGCTTGGCATTCAAGACCCTTCATAATGTAGGTCCCATTTACCTTTCCAGGTAGCCCCTTGCTGTTCCTCTATATCTGCTCTCTATGTAGATAAGCTCAGTGATCTTTGGGAGAATTCTTGAGGCAGAAATGCAACCAGCAGTAAGTGATGTATAGAACAAGTTCTAAGTGGAGGCAGTAATATCAGGAGAACCTGGGCCAGTTTCAGTGTTTCTAACATGTCCTTGGAACACATTGTCCCCATAGCAATTCCTGAAGGGATGTACTACCCATTCATTTCAAATAACCTCTTCCAGGAAGTCCTACATGATCAATCACCCAAGTATGATTTCTGTCTTGACTCATCATACATTATGCTTTGACACTTATTAAATTCTGTCTTGTGCTATAGCTGTTTCAGTTTCCTTGGTTTATTTCTAACTATATATTTTTGGCTTTACCAAAGAAGAACCCTTGATGAGTTGCTTTTGAATGTCACATGGTACCTGAAACAATGTCTTTTGCATAATAGGAGCCTTACTATGTATTTATTGGATCACATCAACTTTGTTTATAAAACCTATTTAAATATTTATATATTTTATTAATACAATCCAACACATTTTGAGCAGTTTATTTGAAAACAAGATGGTATTTAAAGCAACTGAGTTTTCTTACCAACAAATATCTGGCATTCCAACAGTTTAATAATAATAATGACAACATTTAGAGAGAAAGAAACAACTCCTTCATTCTCAAAATAAAACTGTGGATTTATTTAATGACAATTAGTTCTCTGCTGCCAAATTCGGAAGAACATACTTATCATGCAAATTAATTTTCTAAGGTTAAGTATCAAATGCAAGAAAACATTAGTGAAGTTGTCAGTCATCAAAGGTACATTCTGAATCAAAATCAAAATGCTCAACAATCTTCTATAAAGAAGCTAAAAAATGCACTCTGGGTTTTATCAGAAATTAATAATTGTTTTATTCCTGTTATTTAATATGGCTTTTGAATATGTATAAAAGCAATAGTTTGAAATAACATAGCTGACTTGCACAAGCATATCTGATCAGTTGCTTAGTCTAAGGAGCAAGAAAGCCAAGTAGATGGAGAAAGTTTGCATTGTTTTGCAGTAGTGACAATCTATTTATGATTGTATTTTCTATTTGACCTTCTTAGGATGTCTATAAATGAGTTTACTGCTTAATACTTTTTCTATAATATAAGCCCTCTGAAAAAAATAATAAATAATAATAATAATAAAATAAGCACACACATTCAGAGGAACTCTTTGTTTGCCTATTTTTGTGCAGGAGATGTGAAAAGTATTAGCATACAGGCTTTCTAAAATAGTTTTCAAGAATATTTTTATGAACAGATTTGGTGGCAGGTTTTGTGGCAAATCAGATTGTAATCATTCAATATTATTGGCTGACAAAAGCTGTCTTACTGAAGGCGGGAAGAAAAAATAATTTTTAAAGACAGTTTTATGAACAGATTTAGGTGCACAGACGGCTAAAGCTGGAAAGGACATAGCTAGTGCAGCTCCTTCATTTTTTTTAGCAAAGGAAATAGAGGCACAAAGACATTTCATTAAATGACTAGTTTAATGACAAGTCGTGTGAATTAGAAAGGTATGAGAATATAGATGTCTTGACTCCTGAAATAGTGCTCTTTCCACCATTCTTATTTTATTTAGTTTTGCTAATGACATTCTAGTTTTATTTGTAATGCTTGGTAGCGTGGGTATGCCACACTGCATTTTACAAAACTAATAAAACTTCAGCAATAGGAGCACCTCTTCATACTTAGCTGCTCTTAAAGCTTTAATGAGAAGGGGAAAGCAGCAGGGGAGGGAGGGGCAAAGACAGTTGTGCAAGAACTATCTGAAAAAGAAGCTATGGGAGGTTTTCTTAGAATCATAGTTGCAAGTCAGGTTAGAGAGTAAAATTTTTACAATGTTGAGATCTCATGTCTGACCACCTAAGGAATTTGCCTCAAACTGTCACCAGTAGGAACTTCACTTGCTTAATGAGTTGGAAGAGGGGTCAAGGTGGTGACGAGGTTGGGATAAGGGCTTGGAATCACTAGTGTACAAAGGAGAACTCCCTAAGCAGAGGGTCGTATTTTATCTCTGCTGAACTCTACTTATATATGCTCAAATACAATTCAGGCTGTTTGTTCATAGCCCCTTCATCAAAAAGCTCAGAAAATTATCCTTTTATATATTTTTTAATTTGGGGGAAACTAACAAAATCACTTTATTCCTAGAAGAAATGTCTCTCTAATTTATAATTTAAATCTGAAGAAGACTTCCCCCTTTCCCAAGAATGCCTATGAGGAAAAAAATCCTTTTTCATGATTGAGAACAGCTTTATTGTTGACTGGTTGACAAAGGACATTGGCCCAAAGGTCTGATTGAACTTAAAGAAAAAACTGTCACACTGAACAGTCTGGAAGAATAAGTATGGGTGAGAATAAACTTTCACTCTTCTATAAGAAATAATTTCTGCAAGTTAAGCTCATCAATGTCTTTCTCTTTCAAGTTAGCATTAGGAGCCACACTGGCAAAGAACTATGCCAAACTAAATCTATTTTTATCCATAATCCATATTGGCAGAACTATTTATAATTCAAACTGACTTTTTTCAGATATTCAACATGTTTTATGTGTCTCCCAAACTCAGCTGATTTTCAATAGTCAGAGGCAAATACATTTATTACAATATGGCATATTTCCTGAAAAGTTACATCACGTGTAGCTAAGAGAATAACAGAAAGCTTTTGACTATTTATTGTTTATGACTATGCCCACTATTTTTTATGTTAATTAAGATAGTCAAGAATGAGCTGTGTTTAAACCCACCAAGCAAAGCTTGGTTAGAGCTTAGAATTTTGATTTTTGTTACTCCTTATCTTCTCATAAGTCCTACAAGAAGAAAGGTAAGCAAATCTGTTCTTGATCCCATTTCTTCTGACCTAAGAATATTTTAGGAAAAGGTCTCTTAAACCTATTAATAAACATTTATAAAATTTTGTATAATTATACACATTTTAAGTGTTTCAATTTTGTACCTATTAATCATAACTAAAAAACTATCACTTTGATAAAATATATACAAATGTAGCATTTTTCAATATAAATTTCAAAAATGGTTTAAAAAGACAATTAGCAACATACTATAACATTATTAAATATTCCCTTTTGCTAAAGCTGCAGTGAAATGACATTATCATAAATCCTGCTGGAAATGCACATTATTAGAAATTCCTCTGGAAAACAGTCTATAGCAAGCTTCAGTACCTTAGCCTAACAAAGCTATCTTAAATATTTACAAACAGCTTTAGTTTCAAAATATTTTTGCAGCGTTGTTTTGTGAATAAATTTCTTCAAGTAATAAAAATAACGTGTATTTTTATAAATTAAAAAAAGACAAAGAAAAGCAACTTGTATTCCCATTGCCTAGAAAACCGTGATTTCACTGGTAACATATTAATGTATCTCTTTCCAGTGTTTTTCTGTACATTCCTTCTAAAATTTGAAATGCATTCCATATTTTATGAACCATTCTGTATATTCGTATATAGGAAATATTTTCATATCACTAAATATTATTTCTCAAATTTTAAACTTTATGAAAAAAGTCGTCTGTTATTGGACCTTTATGTCATTTCCAAATTTTAAAAATCTTAGAACAGTGCCATGAACATCCTCATCTATTAAGCCTTTGAGCATATTCATAATGAGTCCCTTAAAATGTCCTAGTAATGCAATTTCTTGGTCAAAGTTTATTACGTATGTTGTGGTTTTTAATACATAGTGCCAGTGTGCCTTCCAAAATTGTTAAATCCATTTCTCTTCCCATTATCTGTGACCAAATGTCCCTGTTTCTCCCAGTCTTTGATATCTTCAAAATGTCAGCAGTTTGCTTGGTGAAAATTACATTTCTTAATGGTTTTAATTTTCATGGCTATACTTATCAATGAAGTTAAATGATTTATTATGTTATAACTGGCCAACCAGACTTTTTTGTCAGTGGCCTATTGGTGGTCTTACACTCACTTATTTTTTTCTAGTGCTGTACATGTCTGACCTCACTGATTGGTAATTGCTGTTAAGATATCAACCCTTTATCAGAGATACGGAAAAGCTTTTTCCAAGTTCACAGTTTGCCTTTGATTTTATTTATGGTGGCTTTCTAAAAACAAAATTTAAAAAATAAATTATGAGGTTGAAGTTATTAATAGTAATCTGTTCAGGGGACAAAGACTATTCGAGTTGAGGAAGAAACAGGAACAAACTTAGGTAGACACGGGTGAGACCAAATTCTGCATGGTTGGTCTCAGCCGCTCCTGTCTTCTCTCACTATCAGAATCCTGCCCTTCTAAAACACCAAACTAAGCCCATTTTCATAAAATGTGTGTGTTACTACACTATATGGCATGGATCAACTTACTATCTTGTCTTGCTCGTAGATAATTCCTGTAATCATTTATAAATTCTCAGCCTGATTGTAAGCAATTCAAGGACAGGAATACTTTTTTATATTTCTTTTCTATTCTTCATAGTTCTAGCACAATGCTCAGCAGGTAATAAGCCTTGAACAATTACTTGTTCATTGATTACAGATGTGTTTCTTCCCTTGTATTCTGTGGCCAAATCACTGTTTTTCCTTTCTCACAGATTTTATTGAAGCTACATCTCTGTGAAAATCACTGAGCCATTTCAAATGAAATGATTTCTGTTCAGTCAAATCCGTATTCAAAGTAACCGATTTTCTCAAGTCATAGGTAAATTCAGTCAAAATAGTTGATTTGGTTTTCGTTGACCTAGCTTGTGCTCAGTCACTGAAAACACAGCCTAGCATGAAGTTGGTTTTCCTTGTGATATCTGTTACTGCTTGCCGAGTGAGCTGTATGGCAAAAGGGCTATTGTTCATTCATGGAACAATATTAAATAATCAAAGAAGCTATGAAAGAATGGATTTTAAAATATTTCTGGAAACTCTTTTAGAAATGCACAATGCATTTTTAATAGAATATATATCTTTTGAATGTATTTATAACTGTACACAACATGCCACAATTTTATAATTTTAAAACAATAAGCTTTATGAATTCTATACAAAACTCAATATTTAAAAAGTAAACATTTTAGGTGCATGTAAATCTTTTAAGAGGTTCTGGTCTAAGCTTGCCAGTTGAAATCTATGTACTACATGGTAAAATGTGTACCTGTGTGTGTATTTGAACATGTACACAATAGTACGTGTGTTGCCACATTAAAATCTTGAAGCAGTTGCCAAATAAGGAAAATTAGCTGCTATCACTTTTAAAATGTGAGAAATGTGACCTTAAAAGTAAGTATTGACTTGTAAGTATACTATTATTTGGGTAAACGCCTGTTTTCTGGTATGCCTTTGATGATCAATTAGCATATTTAAAAGATAAATATATATTAGACTTATAAAGAATGTTCTAATATTTAACTGAAGAGAAAGTGAAATGTTCCTATACCAGAATTTGAAACTGACTTAATGTATGAGTTAGTGCATAAGAAGTAGTAGACCTTTGAAGCTTAAAGTTTAATTCTTTTTAGATCATCTAGAACTTGAGTATGTTCATGTCTGTTTCTCATAAATGCACATTATAAACACTACCTGTCATCATCCTAAGAAGTGTGGTGCAGTTGATAGTTTTAGTGAGCAAGAAATCACTTTCGGGTAAAAGTCATTCTTTAAGATTAGTGATGGGATCTGCTAAATGGAGTCTGCAATGGAGAAGTTTGCACCAGAGGGTTTGTGAATTATGCAAACACTGGGCTGCATTCTTTGGCACCACCTATTACTAACTAACTATTTGGAGTTCCTTTAAAGGTAAAAAATAAAAAATAAAAAGTAGTTCTACCACCACCCAGTAAAAAAATGTACTCTGCAATCTTTTCTTGTTTTGCATATGATTGGTAGCATACCTTTTAACTGCTGTAAGTAATAAAAATATATATGTGCAAGTTGGCTATAAGAAATGCCAAAGTTTCACCTAATAAAATTTTGGTGTGCCTCAGTTTTCAAAGTAAATTTGATTTATTTGAGCCACCAGCCATCCGATGACAGCCCTGTGTTTTTTATATGAGTCATGTCCCAAGGGGTCTAGAATATGCCAATGGTGTACCTTGGATTGGATCCAGTGTCCGCAAACAGGTTTTCATTAGACTTTGATGCCGGTCGCATTTGGGAGCAGAGAGGCTGCTGAAAACCAGCTTTACTTTGGGATCACTTCTTTCTTTTAGAAAAAACAACAAAGATCTTTTTTAGCAAAGCTTTGCGCCTCCACATTGTAGGTGTATGGTAATATTTTAGAGAGCAGTAATCTGTTATTGCAGGTGGTCGGGCTTCAAGCACTTCCGTATTTTGAGAATAGATCAGACGAAGTACAACAACTTTTATTGAAAAATTGCCGAATTTGAAAATTAGAAACACATTTTCTGTGGCTAAGATTAAGTTAGCATGTATTACAGTCACTTGGACTTTTCTGTAGCTCTAAAGGGAATATAATTACATAGGTTATTCCACATGTCATGAGATTGGAACCTTAATCACACTTAGAAATCTTTATCATGCTGACGTAGATCCTTACTCTTTAATCTCTTTAGTAATCGAAGGACTTTTCTATTTTTTTTAAAGAATATGGAGTAGGTAAG
Organism: Homo sapiens; assembly: GCF_000001405.40. Lineage (NCBI taxonomy): Eukaryota > Metazoa > Chordata > Mammalia > Primates > Hominidae > Homo > Homo sapiens. The sequence continues at coordinate 84,882,668 of NC_000006.12, read as the reverse complement.
TCAATGAGAAATAAAGCAAACCCACCTTTTATTTTTATGCAGTAAAAGCCAGTTTTATTTCTGATTTTAAGAACTATATTGTATTCTTTCATGCCCTCAGAGAAAGTTATATGTGAAGATGGAATCAAAAATGATCATTTAAAATTTGTTTTTAGACACATATATATCCATGTGAATGTGTGTAGATATACTGTATAAAGTTTAGATAGAACTTCATTTAAAAGTGAGATTTAGAGTCTTTTTTTATATCAAAGAAAAACACTAGATGTATGTTGTTTACTTAGTGACAATAAAGCCTAAGAGTTTTATCCAATAAAAATAAAGGAACAATAAAAAGAAAGTCCAATTTTTATCTAAGGCCAAGAGAATTCCAAGAGACCAAAGGCGACAGAAATATTACTAAACAACCAGAAAATAAACAGGACATTAGTTGTCATTCAAGAATTTAATGACATTGTCTTCTGATTTGGAAAATTAATCCTGTTTCAAAATAGGAAAAAATATTTTATTCCTCTTTCTCTCTGTGATAATTTTAAATGAAATATCATTTAAATGCTGCATATTTTTAAATGAAAAATGTATTTTGAACCCCTCTAGTTTGGATCAAAGTCAGGTCTACAGTAACAACTTCAATCAGCCAGTCAACCAAGTACAGAATTTATCTATCTTATAAAATAGAAATAGAAAATTACAGAGTAGACTATTATATAATTAAGTGGTCAGTGAGATGGTGTAGGCTACTGGCTTTCAAATTTTCCCTGGGTAACCCCTATTTTTTAATTAACTTAAACCCCAACTTCCATGTTCTTAAGTGAACATCTAATATTTTTATTATAGCTTTACATAGATAAATAGGGTGTAATCTCCAATGCATTGTAAATATCAGCATTTTCACTCTTAAACATATTCAATAAAGTCTAAATATTATAGTTATTTGATACTCATCATCTATTTAAAAAATACACAAACAGATTGCAAATGTGCTCAAGGGTATTTTTACGATAATGAATATGCCTTGAAGCTAAATTGGAATGATACACAACATATGCATTTATATAAAAATTTATTTAAAAACAGTTTCACAGTTACAATGAGTAAAATTTATGCTACATGTATTGTACCTTGAAAAGCTGTTAAAATATACAAACAAGTTAGAAATTTTAGATTATTCCTTTGACCTGTGTTTTTATTCTACTTCCTCCATAGAATCCCATCCTGGTATAGTATATTTTCAGTTTTTTTTTTTTTTTTTTTGAGATGGAATCTCGCTCTGTCGCCCAGGCTGGAGTGCAGTGGCGCGATCTCGGCTCACTGCAAGCTCCGCCTCCCGGGTTCACGCCATTCTCCTGCCTCGGCCTCCCGAGTAGCTGGGACTACAGGCGCCCGCTACCACGCCCGGCTAATTTTTTGTATTTTTAGTAGAGACGGGGTTTCACCGTGTTAGCCAGGATGGTCTCCATCTCCTGACCTCGTGATCCGCCCGCCTCGGCCTCCCAAAGTGCTGGGATTACAGGCGTGAGCCACCGCGCCCGGCCAGTTTTTTTTTTAATCTTTTATTGACGGTCCCATAACTCTCTTCAACAAAAATGTATATATAATTTTAAATTTAAATATTTTTATAGCCTAAGACATAAGGCTATAAATATTAAAACATTTATTTGATATTGGATTGTTATAATGAGCACTCAACTGATAAAAAGCAACATACATATACACCAAATTTTTATGAATAATTAGATATAAAAATTAAAACACTTACTGGACATGTATAAATTAATGAGACGCATGGAACTGTTTCTTTCTTCATTTAATTGTTTCTTTTCCATTACTAATTCCCAAATCGAGGCAAAACTCAACATCAATTTTGTTCCAATTCTTTTGTTTTTATACATTTAAGCACCAAGAAACCCCTTCTGCATAAATCATAAGATGGACAAGAGTCTGTAGAAACAATATGGCCCAGGTTTATAATTCCTTTAGGGATATATATGTCATATGATGACCTATTATTTAAAAGTTTTAATAATCTAAACTCAATTAGGTCCTCAATTTTATTAAAAGCAAAAACTTGAAAGCCACCTGACTTGAAAAAAGTCAGTCATTACAACCATGCAGGCATATTTTTTAACATTTATGCCAGTATTTTGAATGTTTTTGTTTGCTTGGCACTGTGGAAATTTTTACAGTTTTGTAAGATTTTGGTTGGGTAAGAGGTGTGCCTTTCTTCTGTAAATGGGAAGAAAGTTGGTTGTTAAAGGAACACCTTTTTCTAGGTGAGTTCTCATGCAGATCAGTGTTACAAAGGAGTATACCTGGAAACTGGGAATCTGAAAATTGGTTTCATTAAAGATATCCTTAGCTGTATATCCTTTAGAAAGTTTTTTTTTCATGTTCAGGAGCATCCAGACTCCAGTATGAAGATTGGTACAGCCATCAAGAAGCTTCTAATTAAACTAAAGAGCTTCTGCACAGCAAAAGAAACTACCCTCAGAATGAACAGGAAACCTACAGAATGGGAGAAAATTTTTGCAATCTACCAATCTGACAAAGGGCTAATATCCAGAATCTACAAAGAACTTAAACAAATTTACGAGAAAAAAAACAAACAACCCCTTCAAAAAGTGGGCAAAGATATGAACAGATACTTCTCAAAAGAAGACATTTATGCAGCCAACAGACACATGAAAAAATGCTCGTCATCACTCTTCATCAGAGAAATGCAAACCAAAACCACAATGAGATACCATCTCACACCAGTTAGAATGGCGATCATTAAAAAGGAAACAACAGATGCTGGAGAGGATGTGGAGAAATAGGAATACTTTTACACTGTTGGTGGGACTGTAAACTAGTTCAACCATTGTGGAAGACAGTGTGGTGATTCCTCAAGGATCTAGAGCTAGAAATACCATTTGACCCAGTGATCCCATTATTAGGTATATACCCAAATAATTATAAATCATGCTACTATAAAGACACATGCACACATATGTTTATTGCAGCACTATTCACAATAGCAAAGACTTGGAACCAACCCAAATGTCCATCAATGATAGACTGGATTAGGAAAATGTGGCACATATACACCATGGACTACTATGCAGCCATAAAAAAGGATGAGTTCATGTCCTTTGCAGGGACATGGATGAAGCTGGAAACCATCATTCTGAGCAAACTATCACAAGGACAGAAAACCAAACACTGCATATTCTCACTCATAGGTGGGAATTGAACAATGAGAACACTTGGACACAGGGTGGGGAACATCACACACTGGGGCCTGTCGTTGGGTGGAGGGCGGGGGGAGGGATAGCACTGGGAGAAATACGTAATGCAAATGAGTTGATGGGTGCAGCGGGCCAGCATGGCACATGTATACCTATGTAATGAGCCTGCACATTGTGCACGTGTACTCTAGAACTTAAAGTATAATAATAATTAAAAAAAAAAGAAGTTTGCAGGCAGGAGGAAGTACATCTGGGTGCCAGTGCTGGGAAGGCAAGCAGGTATATCACAGCAGCTGGAGCTGAGCAAGGCCTGTAGCAATGGGCAGGCTTCAGATATTCAGAAAGGGGCCAGGAGGGCATTCCAGGGGAGGGGCTCTTTCAATCAAAGGCATGAAGACAGAGTTGACATGATCTATGTAGGAGAGGAGAAGAAGACTGCCTCAAATACCTGTGTTGGGTGGGCCCAAATGAAAATCCAATCCTGAATGCAAGGATATTGGGCCTAATGTCATGAGAAGGACCCTCAAGAATTATTCTAAGTTTTATCCCCGAACTCTTTATCAATTCAAAATGTCAATGGGCATATTTGGTTATAAAGACCCTTTCTAGAGAAAGTCAGCCCTTGAAATTAACTTACTGTCAAGAAAATTACATTAGAGAAATCAGTTTCTGTGTAAAAAAAATTTATAGTTACCTGGAATTGATTCTTCATTCAACACATTTATGAAGTCACAGCTATTCCATGCACTTGGCATTGGGTGGCCTTATGGACATCTTTTCAGCCCACACCACAAAATCTAGATTCCTCATCATACTGGCTACCCAGAGCTCTTCTATTGGAGTGATGTTAGATAAAGGATACTAAAAATGGGTGCTGATGTTAAGGGGAACCCTCAAAATTTCCTTGATACTCTATCTTCTTGGGTGGCCTAGTGCCTCCTCAAAGTCTATAGTTTAGGAACTATACTGTGCTATTACACTACCTAGATAAAATAAGAGATTATCTTTTCTTATCTAACTGGCGAGCACAGTTGGTATCAGTGATATAAAAGTTTTAAAAAACCATAAACACACAACACAAAAATCATAAACACACAAACACAAACACCTACATTCAAATGTATTCACCTCTAGTTTCTGAAATAAACCACATCTAAAAAGGAAACTTTTCTAGAAGAATTTCCTTTCAAATTCATTTCTGTCAGAAATAGTCCCCAAGCAGTCTGTGGTTACTAATCTTATTTTTAGGGCAAACCATATTTATATCAGCTCCAAGGCTTTTCAACCTCTTTAAAAAGATAAAAAAAAAAAAAAATGAAAAGGAAAGCCTATACCAAAAAGTTCTCCCAAATTCTAGAAGAGTCCACTTTTCTTCTGTAGGTTGTATTCAACTTTCAGTCTACAAACCTGACCCTTTCGTTTTCTAACTTCCCTTTTATGACATGGCATCTTTGTACACAACCTCCCTGCATTTAAGACAGTCCCCTTGGCTATTCTCCCTGGAACTCATCTTCACCACTCAGCTTGAGGGTCACCCCATTTTCCTGATTCCCCTATGCCAGGCAGCACTCTCTTCCTCTCTGTACCCACTCTGAGCTGCATATACAAAAACGACCTATGAAAGTACATGTTTTTCTGCATTACATTATTATGGGCTGTGTTTTATTGATCTTTAAATCCTTAGAACTTAGCAGTGTTCTTGGTACGTGATTATTGCTCAATATATGTTTGTTGAATGAGTGAACAAACTAACAAGACCCTGGTACCCACTATGTAAACAAAAAAGAAAAATAAGCTAACAACAAGCATGGGTTACAGTTTTGTGCAGGCATATTTTTTAGGATTCATTAATTATAGTGGACCTATGACATTTAAAGTTTTGATTTTTGTTTTTGTTTTGTTTTGCCTTACAGTGTGCTGTGTGTGTGTGTGTGTGTGTGTGTGGAAAAATGTGTATGAGGTATATATGTGATGTGTGGTCTATATGGTAAAATAGCCTTCATTGTCACCTGGAAATCCTAGAGTTTGATCTTATGTTTCTGCCTCTATTCTATTCCCACAATTTTCTTTGCTCTTATCATATCTACTTGCTGCCACCACACACACACACACACACACACAGGGGGAGAGAGAGAGAGAGAGATTGAGAAACACAGACACACAAACATCCCATCTCTAAGGTGAAGTGGTAAGAAATGGGAGATAAAATACAGAAATATGGAATGATCAGAGTCCTCACTTTTTTGGTGACCCATCTAGCCAACACAAAGTGAGATTTGCCATTTTAACTGCCTTGCCAATAACTCTCTTTTGGTTTCCTTGATCTTTTGGGGTAGTTTTGTGGGTTTGGGGTGTTGGACATTAAAAGCAGCGATGTTGGAGGTAGAGGCTAAGCTGGATAAACATGAAGGACCCTCAGGGTTCTTGGGCATGTGGAGACCCTCTGGTGGAAAATGAAGTGGCATGTCTGAGATTCCTGCTGATGTAGGGTAGGGACTAAGTAATGACCCAGCTTGTGAAATCAGCCCTCTGGGGCTGGCATAGAGTCATAAACCAGGCCAATTAAATTCTTAGAGGAAAATATAATTGTGTAAACTTCAAATGTTGAGTTGAACTATTCAACAGTAAGTTGTTCTTTTAACTGCCAACAGTACCTGAGCCCACTTCTTCCTGTTATGCCACCAACTAACGGCAGCTCTGGGCTTGGGTTTCTGGATGCTGGGAGGAAAAAAAAAGCCTTTTCCCAAAGTTTTAGTGTCCCAACAGCAAAACTGAAGTGATAGTGATAATATGGATGATATTAAGATACTTAGAGTTGATACTGGAATGGGCTAAGACTTCTGGGCTGTTGGGATGGGGTGAATGCAGTAAGAACTGTATCATTCTTGGTGGGCCACAGGGAGAAATGTTATGGAATGAACTGTGTCCCCCTAAATTTCATATGTTGAACTCCTAACCCCCAGTACCTCAGAATGTTACTCTATTTGGAGATAGGGTCTTCAAAGAAGTAATTCAGGTAAAATGAACTCATATGGTGGGCCCTAATTCAAAATGACAGGCGTGCTTATAAGAAGGGGAGATTAGGACACAGTGCTGCACACGGGCAGAGGAAAGACCATGTGAGGACACAGCAAGAAGGCAGCCATCTGCAAGGCAAGGAGACAGAACTCAGAAGAAACCAATCCTGCTGACACCTTGCTCTTGAACTTCTAGCTTTCAGAGCTTGGAGAACTAAATATCTGTTGTTTAAGTGACCCAATCTGTGGTATTTTGTTATGGCAGCTTTAGAAAACTAATATAGTCACCTTGTCTGGGAAATATTATTTTCTAAGTCTCCTTATTTTCTAACTCAGTGAACTTTGTAAGTGATGGAAAAGATTTAGGTTTTGAGAGGCCTGAAGCTTATACAATTTTTGAGCCTTCTCCTCAAGAAAAAAAAATAGGTAGGAAAGAAAATATTTACAGAATAAGAAAAGAAATCACAATGCATTTTAAAATTGTAAAGTGCTGACAAATTAAAAAACACATGACCACGTGAACATTGCTCAGGCCCCTCTCCAAGGGCTGTTTAAATAGGAGCCTTGAGTGAGGCTCGTGCTTGGTTAGCTATGTGGTAAATGACCTGTTGAAATGACAGAAGGAGACCAGATTCCTCTATGGCTAGATTTTCTGTCTTTTCATCCTCTTGTTAGCTTCACTACAGCAAATTTGTAGATAGGGTTTCTTTCTCATGAGCCTCTACTAGGCCCTTAGTTTATGTTTCCAGTCTAGCCAAATAATCTTTTCACACAAACATGGTGCCTTCTGGAAGAATCCTTGCAAATACCATGCCCTGTGTAGTAATTAGTCATGATCAGCTACTCTTTTCAGCAGCCTTTTGTGTAGATCCCTGTAATTAAGCACTCTTGGCCCTGTCAGTTGCAGGTGATGGAGCAGAGTCAGAGTTGGTGTCCCTGGCACAAAAAAAAAAGCTCCTCTGCAGTTGCACAGAAAACCTGAGAATTTTGGTGAAATTTTCCAGTTTCAGAATTCACTGGATCTCAAATTGGATCACTAATCTGCGGTCATTTCCTTGACCCTTTTTCCATTTTCACAGGCAAAGCTTCCCTTTTGCTCAAGACAAAAACTCATAAAACTGTGCCAGAGAAATATGATTTTTTTTCACACTTCACAAAGCTGTCAAAAAGCCTAGGTTTGCCAGATTTGCTTTTAACGTGCAAAACCTTTCACATGGCTCCAGGCACAACCCGGAATCTGGTGGCCAACTAGTTGGATTTCTTTCCAAAGGAAACAGTAGAAACATTGTTGGAGAAGAAGATGGTATTGACTTCAGATGGAGCTGGCCGGGGTGTTGTTCATATTCAAAAGTGCAGACGCACTGGCTTCTTCAGGGACAACTTTTATTTAAGTAGGTTTAACAGCACACGGCAGGCATGGTGTGTGTGTGTGTGTGTGTGTGTGTGTGTGTGTATTACACAATAATTTCATTTCACATTTTGGATACAGACCATGTTTTTCATCTCCATTTTGCAAATGAGACATCTAGAGAGCAATCCAGTAGAGGCATTGGGACATAGGTGAATCAGTTTTATCAAATTATATCTGAGCCTCTTACACATGACTCAGTCTTAGCAGCTTGTCCTAGGACTTCTCATATTTTATGCTTTCCTCTTTATTATTTTCCATGCCCACTCTAAGGATATTTAATTAACAAAAATCTATTATATTTGACTATGTACTTTCTCCCTCCTTTCTTCTATTCTCTACATCAGTGATTCCAAAGTATGGTCCCTGGACTGGTAGCATCAGCATCACCGGGTGATTAATTCGAAATGCAGATTCTCACTGAATCAGAGTCAGTATACTAAATAGGGCTCAGTAGTCTGTTATCGAATATGCCCTGTAGGACACATTGAGCCCACAAGGTGAGTGCTATTATCCAGAGGCTTAGGGAGGCTGTGTGCCATACCCACAGCCAGGACGGTACTTGGGGATAGCTTGGAGATTGTTAGCTATGGCTGCCCAACCAGTCTTCATAAAGCCCTCTTCTCTGCTTGCTAGGCAACATGAGACAAACCCCCATATTTTATTGCTTCCTACTCACAAGCCCTTTATGATAAAAATTCTGGACACATTATCTCCAAGGGCACACAGCTGGTAAGTAGTGAAGCCAAGATTCGAAGGAGATACGCTTGGATTTAACACCTGTGCTTTCTTCTATACCTTGCTGCTTTCTCAGAACCAATTGTTCATAAGGTGTAGGACTGGACTTGGTGGAGGACACAAAGTTAAACAATAGAGGGTCCTGACCCTTAAGGAGTTTAGGATCTAATGGGAACTCTAGCCTGTGGCTTTATCCATTCATGGGAGTTAAGATTCAAGAGACCTAGAATGCTGCTTTGGGAAAAACTGAGGCCATAAAGTCAATAGCTGTAGATTTGAGTCCTGGTTCCACTAGCCCACAAGCTGTGGGCAAGTTATTATTAACCTCTCCAAACTTCAGTTTCAACATTTGATAGAGGCAGTAATACCTACCTCATGGCCTTGTTGTGAGGATATTTTGGGATTGTGTATATCAAAGGTTTAATCCAGTGCCTGACGAACAGGAAATAAATACATTCTTGTTGTCATTACCCACCTAATAGGGTTGTTGGGAGACAGGAAAATAATGATTATAAAATTCCAGGCATGAATGATTAAAGCACTGTAAACTAGATAGATAGATAGATAGATAGATAGATAGATAGATAGATAGATAGATAAATTTCCAGGCATGTCATGGGCACTCAAGAAGTGGTGTGCATTTTTATTTTTTTTTTATCAACAAGTGAAATTGTAAACAGAAGTATTGGCTGAGATGTCATCTCCTTATGCGGATCAGTTGGGTGGTGGCCGAGAGAGCTAGAAGCTGAGAGGAAGAGAGGGAAGTACAAAAGCATTGTGGAACAACTGGGCTTCCCACATCTGGGTATACTAAAAGCAGCTCTGTGATTATTGAGACGTGTCATGGGCTTGATCACTTGAGTATTACTTCTTTAACCTTTTTTGAAATACTGAATTTGGAGAAAAAAGTAGGTCAGCAGTCACAGGATGTGAAATATAGGACACATTTCACAGAGTTGTAAATTTTGCAAAAAGGGATACAGCCAAAAAAAAAAAAATCAGTGGGGCCCAAACTGAATTAGTCAACTCTACTCTGTTTAATCACATCAGGCATTTGCTGAATGCACTTGGTTAGCTGTGTTTTCTTAACCATGGAGTACAGTCACAGACTGTCTAAGGAAACTTTAGCTGATTACACTATCTGTGGCTTGGGGTCTATGTACAGACTCCTGCCTAGAGATTGAGTTCATAGGCTTTTTTAGTTTTGGCAAAATTTTACTAAAAAACAAATCCAGGTCACATAGATAGAATGTAAAAAGTAGTTTTGCATTACAATCCTTCGTAGAAATAGAACCTATTTGTTACAGAGCCAATTTATTTCCAGGATCTTTTGGAAGAATACATTTTATAAGACTGGAATATTCTGAGTTTTTAATTTTTTTTAGGAAAGAATGGAATATGTAAAGTACCCTATAATCTCCAGAGAGATGAGACAGGAAATACCAGCTCGAAGCTTACAAAAATGGTAATGACCAAATTTCCCAAGAAAGTAATCTTACAACATTTTATGGTCATCAGTTCACTTTACACATGAGTAAACAGTGATAAAATAAGGTGATGTATAAGCAAGTTTGTAACCAGCTGTGCCTTTTATAATTATACAGGTGCCCTAACACTTGATGGAGGAGGCGTTAATTTTTATAGTATAGGACAATTACTACATTTGTTCATATAATTCTCTTGCAAGGCAACAATCCTGCATTAACTAAAGAGTTAACATATGGCAATATTGTTTACATTAGGTTCCTGCTACCTGGTTTCATGCTACCCATTTCAGATTGGCAGAAGCACAATTGTAGAGCCAGATTATTGAACTCAAACTAAGCTAAACAGAACTGAATGCAACTTTGTCCTGGTTGCCCCTATATGGTGTGTCTGCAGACCTGCTGGCCTCAGCAGCTGCTGGACTGGCCCCTTGTTTATGGGGCTCCCCTCTGCCCCTGGGTCCACCTTTTTCTCCCTTCACTTTCTACTTCCACCCCTACCCCCATTTCCTTCTCGTTCTTGTGGGGTCTTGCCCACTGCCTGGGAGAGGCCTCTGATGAGCCATCAATGTTGTGCCTTCTGCTTCTTAGTTTCCCATTCTTTGCCAGTCGTTTAAACCTGAGTGTCAGCTTGACTGTTCTTGCATATTCTCTGCTCAGATTTGGCGACTCACCTGCTGACACATGGTTTCCAACCTTGGCATTCTTTTTCCTCTACCAGACTTCAGGGCTGACACTGCACAGTTCCTCTCTAACCACCCTGATTCCTCTCACCCTGGCAAACTGACCTGAGTCCCTGCCACATTACTTCTTACCTTCCTGATACATCCCCTCCACCCTCCGCACACACACACATACAGTAAGACATAATGTTTGCCATGGCTACCCAAAGTAGTTCAAAACACTGGCATTTATGATTGTATAGTGATCCAATTAGCAAATGTGTTCACAGTTTTTCCTAATTTAGGATATTTAGGAGTCATCTGCATTCAATATCATATTGTGTATTTATGTGAGTATATATTGTACATGTATGTGAGTATGCTGTCTTTATATGTTATGGGAATATAATTATGATCTCACTAAAAAGATTTCTCTTTTATTGTTTTATATTTTATATTTGTTTTATATTACTGAAAACGTCTCAAAGAATTTCTTCCTATTAACTGCTAAGAGATAGGTACTACAATAGCTGCTTTAATGAAGAAAAGTTTCATTTATTTCCATATAATTGTGCTAAACCATAAAACAAACTACTAGCATGATGTTCTCTTAAAGCTAATCAGCCCCTTGAAATATATTTACACTGTTAAATTATTTCCTAAATATTTACTTAGAAATGGTATAAAGATCAACTTAAACTTGGATGAAATAAGCACAAATAGAATTAATAAGCATGCTTTTCAATATTGTTTGATAAATCTTCACTTACACATGGTTACAAGGATAAACTTGGATTAAATAAGCACAAATAGAATGAATAAGCAGGTGTTGAAATACGTATTTTAATGCACAGACCTGTGAACAGTTTAAACAATTTCACTTGGGTTACATTCACAAATACCACTATTTACCCACCAAAGGAACTCACCTTCTCATGCCACCAGTTTGAGCAATAACAGCGATGATGTCTAATACCTATGAAGACCTTACTATGTTCCAGACACTGTTATAACTGTGATCTCCATGTTAGACAATCCTCATAACTACATGCAGTAGATACTATTGTTATCTTCATTATCTCCATTTTACAAGTGAAGAAACAGAGACACCAGATGTTAAGTAACTCATCCCAAAACACATTGCTTATAAATGGTCAGGGAAGAATCAAACCCAGTCTTCCTCCAGAGACCGCATTTCAAGCCCCTCTGCTCTGCAACCTCCCTAACTACAGTTCAGAATTTTACCACTAGCAGGGGCTTCTGAGAGACTGCAGAAAACAAAGGGAGAAACCGAATTTGGCAACTATATCTAATTTCATTCCTTCCCTCAAGTCCAATAAAAACAACAGTAAAGGGATTTCTTTTAAATACAAATTCAGAAAGAGGAAAAAATGAGAGATGAGACTGCAGTAACAGAATTTAGAGAGTTGGAAATCTGTTGGATGAGTAGGGATTAAGTAGCTGACCCAAGAACGCTGAATACTAAGCCAGCAATGGAGAATCTAATTGCAACTAATGAATACCTCATAATTGGCCAAAGCCTTGGGAATTAGTGGCACTAGGAATCTCTTGACTCAGTGTGAGGGCAGAATGCTTGAAATCTGTTGAGTAACTGATTCTTAGATCTCAGTATGCACTCAGACGTGTTCACTCACCTTCCATTTTTCTAACATTTAAGAGTTCTTTACATATCTGATAGAATCAGTGAAATCATCTGAACTCATAGTTTTGAAGTTTTCACAATTTCAATTCCTTTAATAGATACTATTTCACACTCATGAGAATGGTTAAAATATAACACTGACAAAACCAAATATTAGGGGGACATTGAATAGCCAGAACTCTCATGTTATGCTGGTGGAACTATAAAATAGTAACACTACTTTGGAGAACTGTTGAAAAGATTTCTGGAAAGTTAAACTTACATTTACCCCATCAGCAACCAATCAATTCTACTTCTAGGTATTTATCCAAGAAAAGTGAAAGTGCATGTCCGCAAAAGGATTTATACAAGAATGTTCACAATAACCTTATTCAGATTTGCCAAAGCCTGGAAACAACCTGAATGTTGATATAAATCAACAGGAAAAATGGACAAAAAATTGCTGTATGGCCATACAATGGAATACTACTCAGCAATAAGGGGAATGAACTATTAGTGCACTCAATAACATGGATGAATCTCAAAAATAGGGTTGAGCTACAGATGCTAGACACAAAGAAAGTACATTTTGTATGATTCTTTTTATTTGAAATCTAAGAACATGCAAAGCTATTCTATGGCCATAGAGTCAGACAGTGGTGCCCCTGGGACAGAAATCAGGGCTTGACTAGAAACAGGCCTGAGGGGATGTCTAGTAATGATGGAGATGTTCTGCATCTTGTTTGAGGTGGTGCCTACATAGGTGTATACCAGTGTCAAAATTCATCAAACTGAAACCCTAGATTGGTGCATTTTGTTGGGTGTAAATTATACATCAATAACTTCAAAATATTTATAAGTTGCAAAACAGATAAAAATGTGCATTTATGAATTATGATTTTAAATGATAACAAACTTTATGTTTCTGGCACTTTCCAAGAGCTTTATACATACAAATTAATTTAGTCCTTGTGTTATCTCAATGAAATATGTATATTACAACAATTTTACAGTTAGAGAAATGCAAGCCTATAAAGTAAGAAGCTTTCCCTAAGCTACACAGTGAGTCCACGCTAGAGCTGGGATTTGAACCCAAGTAACATGACTCTAGAGCCTGTACACTTGCCTCTCAATAACTAGAAAGAAAGATGGGGTTATAATAAAAATAAGGTTGAGAAAAAGTGACATTTAAATAATAAATTGTCTGCAAATAGAGCTCTTTTGACAAATTTGGCTCTAGCACAGAGAAGAGTTTCGGGTAGCTCTTTGGGGGCTAGGTTCTTGACAGGTGTGACAAAGGAGAAGAAGGCAGGGAGGTTCTTTCAGATCCTGGCTTCTCCTGTGGGTCAGGTCTTCAGTCTGTGTGGAAAATTGCCCATGTTCCTGGGCTGGCATTGCCTAGACACTGGGAACTAAGGAGGTGCCACCAGATCTGAGTCCTGTGTGGTCGGAGCACTGGGGTGTGGCGTGGCATAGCAGTTCTGGAACAGTACCTTTAACATCAGTTGGACCTAATTTCCAGTACCTTTTCTATGGTTTTATAATCGTACGACTCTCTAAGCCTCAGTTTTATCATCAGTAACCACAAGATGATAACACCTATGTCAGGCAGCTGTTGTTAGTTTGAAATGAGATAGGATACATGTAGCAGGTACATCTAGGTGTCTGTTCAGTGTTTATTCTTGCCTTCCTTCCTCTTCACTAATTGATGCCCTATTTTGCTCAGGGAACAATGTACCCAGCTAAACCCCTTTTCAGATGCCCTCTCAATGAGGGGTGATCATGTGACACAGCTTTGACTTAATAGAAATAACATAAGCAGAAGTCTGCTGGTATTTGGGGGAGTCTTCTTCTTCCTATCTGGAACTTCAATGTGCGGCTTGAGGTGAAGCAACCATATTGCAACTATGAGGATGAAAGCTGTTTGCTAAGGATAGGAGAGGAAAAATAAGAAGCTAGGGTCACTATTGACCATTGGAGCCTCTGCCCCAGCTCAGGATGGCCTATGGAACATGAGGTCCCCAGTGGTGAGGCTACTACATTTTGAATTTTTGTTACATACAGCTGAATGCCATCCTTATATCCAGGAAGCTGATAAGAATCATTAATAGTTAACAGATAACTGTCCCTTCCCCCTAAATAAGCTGACAGTATCCCTGTGTTATTTCTACTTCTGGTATACTGTTGTAACAAGCATATCACTGGAATACATTCTCTTTTGAAACAGAGATATGACTGTACATTGTATCTCTTTTCATTACTGGTTTGCCAAGCATAGACATTAATGAATACTATTCTCAATCATAGTTTCAAAAGATGTTTTTATTAACACTTATTTGTTTCTTGCACAATTAGGATATATACTTGGTAATTTGTAAGTCTTATGTACTTGTCTTAAAGACGTTTAAAGGGCAAGGTTGCCTCATCTTCCTTTTCTTCAAGGTCAGTTTATTTAGTATGAAATAATAATAGAAATAATCAGCACTTATTAAGCATTCACTATCTTGATCAATCTTCCAAATGCTTTATGTAATTTGATGTACTTAATCCTCACAAAAATTAATTGAAGGGACACAATTATTATAAACATTTAACAAAATCAATGCCCTCTTATAAATATTTTATGAAAAAACAAACATCAAAAAAGAGAGAGAGAGAGATACAGCATGATTAAGCAACATCATGAGTGAGAAGGCCGGTTTTGCCACCAGCAGTCTGACTCCAAGCCTTCCTAGCATTACTCACATACCCTGATTTTAACTGCTGCCTAAAGCAGCCTAGACTCACAGTTGGTCAACAAGATTCAAAAATATTTAGTTGCTCAGTGTGCACACACACACGTGTGTGTGTGTGTGTGTGTGTGTGTGTGTCTGTAAGACAGAAAGTTAGAGAGGAAAACAGAACAAGAAAAGATGTTGGATGGTAAGATTTTTAGAGTGGGTGAAGGTGAAAGAAGCCTATGGTTATAGGCTAGGTCTTCAAAACTGGAAAGAAATTCTAATGAAGTTGTCATCTGATACAGTACATTTCTAGGCTGAAAATTTATTCCCTCATTTAGGGAAAAAAGTTAGAGACACACAAGATACAGTAAATTAGACTTTATGCAGAAGGAATGTAGCAAAGAAAATAATTTCTTGCTTAAAAAGAATGACTCCTTCAATGAAGAGGCATTATCACAAGATAGATATCCTGAACTTACTAACGTATTTAAAGGTATCTTGGACTTACTGATGTATCTAAAATAATGTGAACAATTTTTTCTATAATTCAGTTTAGGGTAGATATAAGAAGATTGTTGCATGAAATTAAACTTGACTAAGAAGTACAAGCTGAGTTTAAATAATAATATGAAAGGTTGTATTACATAGCACAATGGAAAACCTGGCTTTATATTTTCTTGTTTTTAAAAATGGAAGTAAACAGTGGATTAACTGAACTAGATATAGTGAGCATTTCAAACTGAAACAATAGTATAGAAATCATTTTTAAATCTTACCTTTTGATCTCTCTTTGAGTTATTTTGAACTATTGCATCATGTTATTTCTGGCTGAGGATTTTTGAAACCACGTGTATGCAGGATTAGTCCTAGACAACAGCAAATACAGTCAAGCAACCAAGAGGTAGGGGTGGAAAAAGAGGGAGTGGGTGCTGGCTAGCCAAGGTCAATATTGAAAAGTCACAAGGACATGTTAGGAGCTAAGCTAGTAAAATAGAGCATACAAGCATTGCAAGTAGTTTTCAGAGAAATTCAAGTGTTTTTAAGAGGTTGAAATGATACATATCTGCTTTTGTTACATGGTATCTTAAATATTCTTATTTGACACATTATAGATTTGTTGAGATATTTAATTCTCTGAAATTTGCCATTTATGGTAAATACTATTTACCATAACAATGCCATTTATGTTGGAAAAGTAATTGATAATTTCTAAACCTATTCCTAATTAGAAAAGTAGGAATGGACTAGAAATAGCAACATGGTAAAAAAGGATCTGTATTAAACCTACAGCCAATACCATGCTCAATGGTAAAGCACAAGCAGTGTGCCCAAGAAATTCAAGAACAAGGTCCTGCTCACTATTACTATTGTTAATGTTGGTTTTGAGGTTTTAGCTAATGCAGTAAGACTATACCATGAAATAAAATGCATGATTAAGGAGAAAACTTATTATGCGCATGTGAAATTATTTTACTCTTAAAGAGCCACACCAAAAGCTTCTTAAAATAAGTAAGACAATTCAGCAAAGTGGTGAAACACAAAATAAATATCCAAAATAACTTTCCTTTGTATGAGCAGTGACCAGTTAGAAAATTCCATTCATAATAGCAGTCTAAAACATGAAATCACTAGGAGAAAATTAACAAAAAGTATAACTTTTATGAAATATACTGAAAAAGTAATTTGAAAGATATTAGAGAAAGACATATGACATTTCTGAATAAAGAGACTAAGTATTACAAATAAATTACTTGTTTGCCAGTCAAAATTTTAAACTTTTTTAACTTAAAAATAATTCTAATATTAAACTAGGTAATAAAAATAGAGATGAGAATGGCTTATAAAATCTTAAACAAAAGGAATATTAAAGTCAGACTCAAACTACTATATAGTAAAATGTAATATAGAACTCTTGCGATTAACACCACATGGTATTGGCAAAGAAGTGTCAGATCGATGAAATGAAGTGGATAACTTTGAAATAGACTCTAGTATGTAGACTATATTATATTTTAAAGGAAATGTCACAAACCAATGGGAAGTCTTTTGCATCCAGCAAATAAGGTTGAAAGTACTAATAAACTTCAGAAAAAAGTAAGATTCTCATTGTTCAATTCCCACCTATGAGTGAGAACATGCGGTGTTTGGTTTTTTGTCCTTGCTATAGTTTGCTGAGAATGATGGTTTCCAGCTTCATCCATGTCCCTACAAAGGACATGAACTCATCCTTTTTTATGGCTGCATAGTATTCCATGGTGTATATGTGCCACATTTTCTTAATCCAGTCTATCATTGTTGGACATTTGGCTTGGTTCCAAGTCTTTGCTATTGTGAATAGTGCCACAATAAACATACATGTGCATGTGTCTTTATAGCAGCATGATTTATAATCCTTTGGGTATATACCCAGTAATGGGATTGCTGGGTCAAATGGTATTTCTAGTTCTAGATCCCTGAGGAATCGCCACACTGACTTCCACAATGGTTGAACTAGTTTACAGTCCCACCAACAGTGTAAAATTGTTCGACATTTTCTTAATGCAGTCTATCATAATAATAAAATAAAATTTAAAAAAAAAGTGTTCCTATTTCTCCACATCCTCTCCAGCACCTGTTGTTTCCTGACTTTTTAATGATCGCCATTCTAACTGGTGTGAGATGGTATCTCAATGTGGTTTTGATTTGCATTTCTCTGATGGCCAGTGATGATAAGCATTTTTTCACGTGTCTTTTGGCTGCATAAATGTCTTCTTTTGAGAAGTGTCTGTTCATATCCTTTGCCCACTTTTTGATGGGGTTGTTTGTTTTTTTCTTGTAAATTTGTTGGAGTTCATTGTAGATTCTGGATATTAGCCCTTTGTCAGATGAGTAGATTGCAAAAATTTTCTCCCATTCTGTAGGTTGCCTGTTCACTCTGATGGTAGTTTCTTTTGCTGTGCAGAAGTTCTTTAGTTTAATTGGATCCCATTTGTCAATTTTGGCTTTTGTTGCCATTGCTTTTGGTGTTTTAGACATGAAGTCCTTGCCTATGCCTATGTCCTGAATGGTATTGCCTAGAGGTGGGAGTTGAACAATGAGAACACATGGACACAGGAAGGGGAACATCACACACTGGGGCCTGTTGTGGGATGGGGGGAGGGGGGAGGGATAGCATTAGGAGATAAACCTAATGTTAAATGACGAGTTAATGGGTGCAGCACACCAACATGGCACATGAATACATATGTAACTAACCTGCACTTTATGCACAGGTACCCTAAAACTTAAAGTGTATATAAAAAAAAAGAATAAAGAAGACAAACTAAAAAAAAAAACAGTTTGGTAAATGGAAAGAACTTAATAATTCCAACCTGTTTGACAATAATTGCATTCTGTTTTGCCTGATGCTTGAAGAAATCCAGGTTATCTCATACAGTCTTATTTCTAATTTGTGCCAATGAAATGAACTCATAAGTTCATAAGATGTAAAACGAACTTTTTTTGTGCCATGTCATGAGAGCAGATAATTCTTGGCTGTCACATGAACTCATCACCTTTTAATGGGTCAAGGAGGCTGTAGACATTACTCATCCTAGCTTTTTTGTGGACTTTCACTGTCAATTACAAAGCTCTACTTAACCTTTTACATAGAACATTGATTCTCCCCTCCCCCACTTCGTTAATTCTTTCACAGATAATTGATAAAAATTAAGTTTATTTTTTGTATTGAAAGAGCATTTTGTCATGGTTTATGATTTTCAAAGAACAATCATAACCACAGGACAAGTGTTAATATCTTAACATGTTTTAGACTAAGACTCATACTAATTTGAAGAATTTTGTTCATTGAAACCTATCAACATCAAATGGTTGAAGAAATCATTCAGTATTTATTAGTATGTTTCTTGTCTTTTAAATTCTGAAAGAAAATGGGGGGAGGATTTGATTTTAGGCTTTTTTGTTAATCAAAATATTCATTCTGAGACTTGAGAAATTAAAATACTGTGCTATAGAAAATAATTAAAAAAAAAGAAAAGTAAGATTCTCAGAGAAAAAGAAACAAACAGGGAATAAAAGTAAAAATATGTTTTTAAAAACCTCTACAAATGAGATTATGCAACACTGCTTGATTATCATGGTAGCGTATGACACAAATAGGATCATTCCAGAACTCATGAAAAAAGTTCATTCTGTATTTTGTCATTTATATTTACTCTACATTTAATTTTAAGAAACACCATTTGATCTGGTATGATATATGTTATTCTCTAGGTCATCCTATGTCTCAGAGAGTATTTATTAATCTAGTGTATAACCAGCTTCACTTTTATAATGGATAATAAAAAAGGATTTGAAATTATTTAAGGGTTTGCTATATTTGCAACTGCTGGCTTGGGTAGTCCCCAGCCTGTGATAAACCCTGGCATTTGTTTAATCTGCTCTCTACCAGCAACTGATACACAGCATGCTCTGCTCTTTGTATTTCTAATTTTTTGTCAACCCTTTGATCAAAATCTGATGATGTAAAAAACAAAACAATAGAATCTGTTGCAGTGGCTGCTAAATGAGTTCAAGAAGTTGTTTAAAGTATTGTCATAGTTGAGAAAATGATTCCTTTCCTTCAAACTAGATCCAAGTTCTTGATGTTAAGGGAGAAAGAATTAAGTATTATTTTATGAATTCCTGGTGAGAACATGCTGCCATAGCCCAACTGATAAATATTGCATGTGAACTCTTGGAGTCACAATCCAAGGGTCATCTCAGCCAACACTTACTGGGGTTTCCTTCTCCGTCACAGAAAAGTAAATACTTATCTTCCTCTGCTTATGTGATACATAACTAAATATTTTTATGGTCTAAGCATATACCACCTCTCACTACTTAATCTTCATTTTTAAAGAAGACAGAACTATAGAAAAGGCCCTGTATTTGATCCAAACTGTTCTTGTATAATCTGGAAGAAATCACCTAACCTCTCTGAAATGTAGTTTCGTAGCCCATAAAATAAGAGTAACTGGAACACCTGTCCACTGGACTTTACAGGGTAATTGAGAGAATTGCTTAAGGTTATGTCTGGAAAGGTGTTTTGAGAGCTATTTATATCTGTCTACCTATACCTGTACTTATATACCTATAGCTCTATCAAAATGCAGTGTGTAATAGTTAGATTGATGGGCTCAGATTATCACCATAATATTTCTATTTTGGGGCAAACTATTTCTTTTCGTGAGGGTCACAAAGATGTAGTAAAATTATTTGTGGATTATTTATTTGCTTCATTGTTTTGTGAGTGGCCCCATTCAACGTAGCTTGAAGCCCTTCTCTCCATTCCCAATAGTCAAGCATTCTGACCACCAATCCTGCAGTTTAGGTCACCATCAATAAAGTGAGATGCCAGTGCCTGGCCACCCGGATCTCAGAAACTCCAGACACAGATTTATCTAACTTAGTTGTTCTCAACCAGGGCCAATTTTGCTCCCTATCTCCCAGAGACATATGACAATGTCTGGAGATATTTTTGGTTGGCACAACTTGGGTGATGGCACTACTGTCATCTGAGGAGTAGAAGCCAGTGATGCCACTAAACAACCTACAATGCACAGGACAGCCTCCCTTCCCCCAGAAATAATTATACAACTCTGAGACTCAATAGTGCCAAATTGAGAAACCTTGGTAGAAGTCAATATTGGACAACTGTGAAATGGTCCATCACTTGTATATTCAGAGTAACTGACTGATGTGAATGGAATTCAAATGGTTCTAGCTCTGGCTCATTTACACCATCATATCACAAGGTTTTAATGAGTCTAATGTGTCCATTTCTTTACTTACATTCTGTTAAGCCGCATCCAGGGAATTCAGCCAACTGAACATTTTGATATTGTATTCACTGCAGTCAAGTAGAATTCTTCCTGATCTGAAACATGATTTTCTCTACACAGAGTCTCTGTAATTGGTTCTCCAGGTTTTGTTCTGAGCCTAGGTAGAAAAGCACTTACTTAGGGTTGAACCACTCTATTCCATATTAAAGTCATTCAACCATTAGATTGGAAGGAATTCTAATCTGCTAGAGGGCAGGGGGAGAAAACACAGACAGTAAGGGATGTCAGATGGTTTTCCAGGCACATGAGAAGGAAGTTGCTAAACTGGATAGGCCAGAGAAAGTAGGCAGGAGGCTAGAGACACCTATATCAATTTAACACCATAGACGAGAACTCTGGTAGATTATAACTTACAGTATGTTTGGATGAAAATGTCTCACTGCAATCATAAAAATACAATATAGAATAATTAAACAATTAAATGAATCAAAGTTACACACCCAATAAGATACTGCCTCTAGTCTTCATTTTATTCTTATTTATCACTGCACAGTAATGTTTCTATTAGGCTGGTAATACAGTACCACAAGTTGACCTGCTGAGGATGTCATTCTATATTTTAAGGTAGCTTTCTTAAGTTTCACTGAGATTTAGGAAATGATTTTGAAGAAATACATCCAAAGAGAAATCATTACTGATTCTCATATGAAAATAATATGCCTTTTAATTTTTTTTCTTTTATATCTCCGTGACATTGACAGTGTGACTAATGTATTTGGTGGTATGAGAAATCCGCAAGGCAATGACATCACAATATGTAATTTGTCCCTTGTGTACTCAGGGAAGTCAGTTCTTTTGCACATGTAAAGAATCAAAAGGCCTAACTTGAAATGGGAATAGTATCCAGAGTAAACAAGTTGAAATGTTCTCTTTCCCCCTTGACCCAGCTTTTTCCCCTGTAGTTTTAAAGTTTGGAATTAGGTTGTCATAAGTCTGAATTCCATTTATAATTAGCCAATGATTTTAAAAAGAAAGAATAAAAGAAGAATTCTGCCGTGCATTAAAATTATTGACGTATAGTATTCTGTGGGTTCTGGTGCTTGATGAAGTTCTTTACACTGATTTGTTGTTGTTGTTGTTGTCAGCAACCGAAATACCTACTAATGCTTTCTGGCTCTAAAAGAATTGCACAGCATTGGCTACATATGTTTACCATTATCTACAGAACTGTCAGACCCTTTATTCCAGAGGAGGCATGCGTGGAATAGGCCAGAATGTGAGGGAACACAGTTCCGGTAGTGAAATTAGCAACTGGAGAACATTCCCAGGGAAGTGGCTGAGTTTAGTTCTGGCAGAAATCTCATTGCTGCTAGCACCGAAAAAAAAAAGTGAAACAAATATAAAGGGTAAAATGTACCTGGGGAAACCAAAAGGCGAATACATAGGAATTTCACAGCCTATCAAAAAATAATTCTGATCTTTCTTTTCATTTATGCTAAGATCTTGGTTATTGGGCAACTTCTGATTTTGAAACAGCAAAATGCCTATCTGAACCTGGATTACTGATGAAGACATAATTCTTAAGACTGGCAACTTTTTGACATTTGAAGAGAACTTTAAGTTTGTTGTGGTTATAGAATTTGAAACTTATCATTATGTTTGAATTAAATTACACCTATTATTTTTATTTCTCCCAAACTGTATCAATTCACCAAATCAAATATGACAAAGTAGAAACACAAAATCAGCTTTTCAGTGTGCTCCATAAGGTTTTGTTAGGAATAACTTCAAGCATGGAAAATCACCAGAAGATATACTACCAATTTATGATATTTTTTCTTTTTTCCTCACCTTGATTAAAGTCTAATTGATTAATAAAAATTGACATATTTATGATATACGATGTGAAGTTTTAGTATATGTAGACATTGTGAATTCATTTAGTTAAGCTAACTAAAATATCCATCGGCTCACATACTTTTGTTTGTGGTAAGAACATATAAGATCTACTTTCTTAACAATTTTCAAGTATACGTCATTATTAACTATAGACACCATGTTGTACATTACATATCTTGAACTTATTACTTTTCTCTAACTGCAATTATGTGTCCTTTTGACCAACATTTCCCTCATTCCTCCATCCTCAGCTTCTGGTAACCGCCATTCTAATTTTTGCTTCTACGAGTTTAATTATTTTAGATTCCATGTATGTAAGTGAGCTCTGGCAGTATTTGTCTTTCTGTGCCTGGCTTATGTCACTTAACATCCTCCAGGTTCATCCATGTTGTCAAAAATGACAGAATTTTCTTTTTTAAGGCTGAATAGTATTCCATTGTATATATTCTTTATCCATTCATCCATTGGTGAACACTTAGGCTGATTTCATATTTAGACTATTATAAATAATGCTGCAATGAATATGGGAGTGCAGCTATCTCTTTGACATGCTGACTTTATTTCTTTTGGCTATATATACAGAAATGGGGTTGCTGGATCATGTGGTAATTCTATTTTTAATATTTTGAGGAACCACCATTCTGTTTTCCATAAAGAAGAGAATTTTAAGAACGGTCTAATTTATATTTCTATTTCTACTTTCTATTTCTATATGTATATTTCTACTAACAGTGTACAAGGGTTCTCTTTTCTCTCCTTCCTCACCAACACCTCTTATCTTTCATCATTTTGATAATAGCCATTGTAACACACCATGTAACAGGTGTGAGGTTATAGCTCATTGCTGTTTGATTTGCATTTCCCTGATGCTTAATTATGTTGAACAATTCTTTTTCATATACCTGTTGGCCATTCATATGTCTTCTTTGGAGAAACGTCTATTCAGATCCTTTGCCCATTTTAAAATCAGGTTATTTGCAGCGGGCGCCTGTAGTCCCAGCTACTCAGGAGGCTGAGGCAGGAGAATGGCATGAACCTGGGAGGTGGAGCTTGCAGTGAGCTGAGATCACGCCACTGCACTCTAGCCTGGGTGACAGAGTGAGAGTCCATCTCAAAAAAAAAAAAAAAAAATTCAGATTATTTGCTTCTTGCTATTGAGTTGTTTGCAATCCTTATATATTTTGGGATATTAACCCATTATCAGATGTATGATTTGTAAATGTTTTCTCCCATTCTGTAGGTTGTCTCTTCACTTTCTTGATTCTTCCCTTTGTTATAAGGAAGACTGTTAGTTTGATGCAGCCCTATTAGTCTATTTTTGCTTTTGTTTTCTGTGCTTTTCATGTCACATAAAAATACAATAATTGCCCAGGCCAATGTCAGGAAGCTTTTTCCTATGTTTTCTTCTAGCAGTTTTATGTTAATAGTTTCAGGTCATATGTTTAAGTTTTTAATTCATTTTGAGTTGGTTTATGTAAAGAATATGAGATAAGGGTCCAATTTCATTCTTCTTCATGTAAATGTCCAGTTTCCCCAATACTATTTACTGAAGAGATTGTCCTTTCCCCATTGTATATTCTTAGTACCTAATTAATAAATTTTCTTTAATGTTTAATTAGGTTGCTAAGTGACAGGGATGTACTTGTAAAATACTGTTAAAACTTCAAAATGTGGACCAACTTGACCCCACAAAGCTTTTGGGACCAGGCAGAATCTACAGTTATACAAATTGTTTAACCATAAACCTAAATGTATCTTGGCCTTTCTGATTCAAGTAATAATACTATGTATTAATCACTTGTATATCATTCCTTCCATTTAAGCTTGACAGCAAGCACTAAAATAGGTTTTATTATCTCTTAAAAGGCAAGAATATTGAAACATGAAGATTCACATAAGAATTTATTGCAGAGCTAGGATTTGAACCCAAGTCTGTCTGACTCTAACCCCACAATGTGGGATTACTAAACTCATTTCCTCTTGTTCCAGAACCCACACTTAAGGCTTTATTTCCCAGGCTCCTTTTTATCATATGCTGAGTTCCATGTGTATTGGAATGTAAACAGAAGTGATGTTTACCAGTTTTGTGACTATCCCAAAAAATCCTCGATGCAGAATTTTCCTCCAAGTGATTTCCTCTTTCACTGACTTGAGATAAAATGCATGAACACATTGGATATGTTAAATATGACAGAGGCATATAAAGGAAAGAATCGGAGTTCCTATATTATCACTTGAAAAAAGACATCCTTCAATTAGACACATCTGTTTTATAATTTATGTAAGCAAGAAATAAACTTCTATTGTATTTGAACCACTATACATTTGGGTGTTGTTTGATATAGAAGCAAGCATTACATTACCCATATATTACCTATATAATACATGTCTTTCTCCATACTATAAAGAACTAGAGAAATCCATACAAAAGGAATCAAATAAATATATATACTGGCAAAGTATGTAAATAACTTTTAAATCCTTAAGGATCTGGAGAAGAGGGATTTGAACAAACAAGGAAATACCTCATCAACTCTTTTAAAGAAACTCATATTTGGAAAGGTTATATCTTATTTTTATATTATTAAGAAACAACTCAAGGACCTGGTTTAGAGTCACAAAGATATAAAATCCACTAATGGATATTTGAAAAATGAATTTTCTGTGTGTAGACCAGTACGGTGTCTACAGAGATGCTCAATAATTATTTTTATTCGATGGTATTCATTGGACAGACTTAGAAGATGGGGGAGGGAAAGAAAACAAAAAGACCCTGTATTCCTCAATAGATAATTCAGTTCAGAGCAAACAAGGGTTAGCTGCAATTATATACATTTTCAAACTCTTAGGGATATCAAACTTCACTTCTGTAAAATCTAGTGATCAACTCAGGAATAAAATTGGACTTCTCTAAAAATTAGCACTAACGTGATAAGGTTTTATGGTAGTTATGTTTATATAAAAACACATCCCTATACACCTACATTTTTTTACATCTGTCCGTTCTCATAACAGAAAACAATATTAAAAAAGCCTCAGGGAAGATGCTAAAGTTTTGTGGGATTGCTGTAAAAACATCGTATTATCTAAAACTGAGTCTAATGTCTTCAAGGAGAGTATGTTCTGACATTGATATCTAAGGGTTCCGTCTGGTGGATGAGACACCACCAAAGCATCTATGGAAGAGGAGACCCTTGAAGATGGAGGGTGAATAGTGTCAATGTTCCAGAGAGGAGGCAATGAAATATGGTGGGAAGGTCATGCTCTGGAATCAGAGACACCTTGCTCTTCTACTATTTAGTCACTTAGCTTTGGCTAGGACATCAGATATCTCGGATTGTGTGTTATGGTATATCTGCAAAAGGGGACCATCCTATATAGCTTAAATTTTTTATTGGAATTGCCAATAATATAAACAAGTTGTTTGAAGAAATAGATTCTAAGTAGAACTTGTTGTTGTCATCACTGGAGCACTGCCTAACCAGAGGACAGGGTCCAGTCTCCAGGGGAGGTTAAGTGGATAAGCCTGGCTGGAAGGCTACAATCAGTGGTTTAAGAACCAGAGGAGGGATGTAGTTCAAGTGGGGGGAAATTGGTACACAAACACACAGAAAACAAATGCTCAGTCATAAGAAGAGAGAAAAAATTTCAGGAAGCATGTGGAACCACTCCAGGATCACTAGGTACTAGGCTTATGTGGCATAACTGTCACTCAGTCACTGGGAAAGAGAACCCCTAATATACTGACAGACATGGCCAGGATTGATTCAATAACTGGATAAAGCTTAGCCTTTAGGCTACAGGTTTATGGTACCTGTATCTGTGTGCATTTGAGGTTGGCTGGGACTGAAATTCTGGAAAGTAAGCTATGTTCCTCAATTTTTTTGCTCATTTTTATTTAAAAAATGTTTTCCTCTAGCTTTATTGAGATATGATTAACAACTAAAAATTGTATATATTTAAGGTATACAATATGATAATTTGATAGAGGCATACATTGTGAAATGATTACCATAATCAAGTTAATTAACACATCCATCATCTCACATTATCTTTTTCATGTGTGTGTGCATGTGTGTGTGTGTGTCTGGTGTGAACACTTAAGATCTATTCTCTTAGCAAGTTTCAAGTATAAAATATAGTATTATTAACTACAGTCACCATGCTATACATTAGATCCTCAGAATTTATTCAACTTATAACTGGAAGTTGGAACCCTTTGACCAACTTCTCTCTCCAACCCTTGGCAACCACCATTCTACTTTCTGCTTCTATGAGTTCAACTTTTTTAGATCCCACATGTGAGATCACACAATATTTTCTTTCTGTATCTTGCTTATTTCACTTAGCAAAATATTCTCCAGGTATATCCATGCTGTCCCTAATGGCAGAATTTCCTTCATTTTTTTTGGCTGAATAATATTCCATTGTGTGTGTACATATTACATTTTCTTTATCCATTAAAAAAACCCCACTAAATTGCACTGCCAATGTTGTCTATTAAAGTTCTTCTATAAATACCATATCCCCGCTTCTCTGTTTCCTTCCTTTCCTTTTGTTTCTTTCCTCTAGCTGAAATGCTGTCTTGTAGGGGTGAAATAGGTAAACTAATGTTATTGAACATGATGAAGGCTATAAAAGGAGGCACAGAGATGTGTGCAAAATGCAATAAGAACAGAGACAGGGAGGTTGATGAGGGAGTATATTTGCAAGAATATTGCAAGCCTGTCAGGGTGAGAAACAGAGCGACTGCTAAGTGCAGGCCAACCACGAAGAATTCCCTTCTGCTTCCTTAACCCTAGTGCTCAATCATGGGCTCTGTCAGCAGGATGCAGGGACAGTCTCTAGAGATAAGCCCTCCTAAGGCCCCCCTTGCTCAAATCAGGAGGGAGGACACAGTGATAAGCATCTCCAACTGGAGGAACCCGTAGTCCAGAAGTCAGCTCCACTGCAGGCCTCCTAAGGTTGGATATGGATATGATTAGGGTCTGCAATAAGTGACATCTGTTTGCTCTGACCTTTGGGTAATGTGGCGTTTCTTTCTCTGGGGCAGATGCCAGAAAGGTGTTTATTGTGAGTTGACAGGGGTCTTGGTGGGTGGTGAGGTGTGAGTCAAAATTCGACTATGCATTTTGGCATTTTGTCTACAGATGTTTCTCAGATGTTTGTGGGCGGGCATGTCTTTAAATGAAAAAATACTAAATGTATGTTTCTTTTGCGGAGAAAAGGAAACAACTCACACTCAAAAACTTGGCGCCTTTCTGCCTTCAATGGCACTCTTGTTTAATGGCCAGATTGAAATTACTTGCTGCATGTATTTTCTGAAGAGAAAATTTGCTCATATAAGAAAAAAATCTTGTTAGAATGAAATTAACAAGCTGATGAAGAACTTGAATATGGCAGTGGGGGAAGTACGGAAACTTCATGGGGTTCCAGGTATGAGTTTTATGTAGTCTAGCCTTCCTTTATCCTCCCAACGTGCACTTCCCCCTAAGCAAGCCAAGATGCTGGTTTCGATGAGGATCATTCCTAACCCCAAATGTTCACTGCAGTTGGAATTAGGGGGATCTTCATAATTCACCATCTACACTTGTTTCACTAATAATTATATTATAGTACCATGGAAATTATATTCTGTTCAAAATGCTGGTGTTATATATGAGAGAGAGAAAGCCCTTGAAGGATATTCAACTTGCAATCCCTTCAGAATTAAGTTAAAATGTGAAAAATTGATTTGCAAAGGAAAGAAGAAAATCAAACCACACTTTTAAAATATCTTCTTCTTTTCATACTACAAGAAAAATAAATTTTAAAAGTCCATTTTACTTTTGATTTCCAGAAATTTTAAATTTCTAAAGAAATCCTCTATCTAATTTAGTTTGAGAAAAATCTACTTGAAAAATTTCACAAATAGATGAAAGAAACTTCTTTAGAGTTGATTCATCTGATTAGTCAATAAATGGAAAAAACAGTGATGATGAAATAAGCCTGGAAACCAAGAGCTTAAACATTATGTAGCATTTCCCTGCTTTGTATCAAAACTTCTTGAAATAATATTTTTGACAGATGCTCACTTTGACCTCTACTTGTTAGCAGCTTTATGGAATTTACCTCCCAAAAAAGTTTATTTTCAAAATATGCTTATTTATGGCTAAGGAAACCAACTTATTCAATTTGGCTCACTTAAAATTCTCAAACTTTAATGGCTCTTTTAATAGGAAGTATTTTATGTAATATTGCAGCTTAGAAAGAAGATAGCTGATGAAGGATTATAAGAATAGTTGCAAAGAAAATAAAAATTTGTGTTACATCTGTTAGTTACTATGTTCTGGTATATATTTAAAAACTGTTTCTTTAACTTGGCTACCATATATGCCTATTTTCCAAGTTTTCTACAGAAATGAAACAGAGAAATATGACATGTAAAAGCAAGCCCACATAATAGTTTGTTTACAGCCTTGGTTTCATTTTCTCAGATTAGGAAAATGTGTTCTAGCAAATCTAGAGAATGGAAACATCTTAACATATTTAAGGTTCACGATTTCCTCATTTCAACTCCTTACTATACTAATGACTGATGTTGGGTGTCAACATCTCATGGGAAGTGGGGCTATAGTTACTGATATTTGGGGACCCCACAGAGTCTAGCTAGTGGCAGTTAATAATTGTAGCTCAGCCAGAGAACTATCTGTTCTTTCTTGTTTTTCTCATCTCCTCAGTCTTACCCACTTCTTTCATTCCTTTTCTCACCTCTAACCTAGTTGGAGAAAAAAAATGGTGGTAAGTTAAGCTCTATTTTTTTCTTATCCAAAAAGTATGTAGCAAAAGGTCCTAGGAACAGAAGACATGGCTTTCATTGCTGATGTGCAGTGGGGTGGCATTCAGTGTTTATGAATCTCAGTATTACATGTGGCCACAGTGCCTACAAGACAAGTGTGTCAGTCAGGGTAGGTGTGCTCAAAGCAGATTGGCAGGAGGTTCTGCTCCCCAGACCCAGGCTGACAGGGCACCCCACCATGTGACACTGTCTTCTCTTCCAGAGTTTTGGAGTTGGCTGTAACAGGGAAAGAGAATGTGGAAAATGTAAGCCATTATCCCGGAATAGACATATCTCAGCTCTCCTCTTTTTCCTGGTCAGAATAAGGGACATATTCATGCTTACCTTCAGGGGAACTGGGATGGTAATTCTCTAAATTCCACAAGGAAAGGGAAATATTTGTTAATTTACTCTAGCAAGCTTGGGTTGCTTTTATTTTATTTTTAACTAACCCTCCTGGACATTGGCACAAAATATACTGATCAAAAATAAAAATTCATGTCTTACATGTAATAATTATTCAATAAATATTAATGAATAGCAGTTTATTAGTTTGATATTGCTGCATAACAAATTGTCACCAATTTAACGGCTTAAAACAACACCCATTTATTATGCCACAGTTCTGTAGGTCTGATGTTTGGCATGGTGTGACTGGGTTTCCTTAGTATCACAAGCCTAAAATCATGCTGTTGGCCACCCTGAGTTCTCATCTGGAGGCCCAGGAGAAGAATCAGCTTCCAAACTCATTCAGGATATTGGTCGAATTCAGTTCCTTGTAGTTATAAGACTGAGAGTCCCCTGGCCCCTCGCCCGGCTAGATGTCAGCCAGGTCAGCTCTCAGCACCTAGAGACTGCCCACATTCCTTGCCATGGAGACCTCTCCACCTTCAAAGCCAGCAACAGAGAATCTCCCTAGCATCAAATCCCTCTTATGCTTTCAATCTCTCTGGCCTCCTCTGTCTCTCTGACCTCTTAACCCATATTTTAAGGACTCATATGATTACGTCAGGCCCACACAGGCAATCTCCCTTGAAGGTTAACCGATTTGGGGCCTTAATTACATCTGCAAAATCCCTTTTGCCATATAAAATAACACAATCACAGGCATGGTATTTCATTTTATTCAGAGGTTCCACAGATACTCCAGCAGAGGAGATTATATAAAGGTGAGGGGCATCAGGGGTCGTTTTAGAGTTCTGTCTACCATAAGCAGCCTGGGTTCAAGACTTGGGTTCAAGACCTAGCTCTATTAGTTATTAACTCCATAATTTGAGGCAAGCCATGAAGCCTTTCTTCTCTCAGTCTCAATTGCCAAAACTATAAAATAGGAATATTATTCCCAACACGGCTAACTCCATAGAGTTATCAGGAGTTGTGAGAATCAAATGAAATTATGTGAAAACACTTTGTAATATATTGTGTGTATTGATCTTTAAATGATTTCTTTAAAGATCAAACACAAAGTGTTTATGAACACTTTGTAAACTTTAAAGATCAATACAATGTATTATTATTGAGTTTAAATTCAATTTAACTTCTGAGAGCCTGTGAGACCAGATTTTTTTTTTTTTTTCTTTTGAGACGGAGTCTCGCACTTTCGCCCAGGCTGAAGTGTAGTGGCGCGATCTCGGCTCACTGCAAGCTCTGCCTCCAGGGTTCACGCCATTCTCCTGCCTCAGCCTTCGGAGTACTAAGGCGCCCGCCACCATGCCCGGCTAATTTTTTGTATTTTTAGTAGAGACGGGGTTTCACCGTGTTGGCCAGGATGGTCTCGATCTCCTGACCTCGTGATCCACCCGCCTCAGCCTCCCAAAGTGCTGGGATTACAGGCATGAGCCACCACGTCCGGCCAAGACCAGATCTTTTAAAAAGCAATGCCAGAAGAGGAGCAAGGTATTAGGGGCTGAGGAAGGGTCCTGAGAGACACAAGGCTTTTTGGCTTTCTGTATACACAGAACACAAATTTGATGAGCTAATCATAAAATAAGTGAAAGCATATGATACATATTTCTTTTCTAATGCATGAAATAGGTGTAAAATTTTAGAAGATCACTTTGGCAAGAGGTTTTTGGCTTCTGCTCTATATAATAAAAAATACGCCTTACTGTATATTTATGTGATGTTTTCTGAAAGAACTGAAACACTTTACAGACAGTGCAATTCCACTACCAAATATGCCAGTGAGATAGTGGCAGACGTGAAGCATTTGTCTACAGACAAGGTTAGCATATAGACAAGGCCATCTCAGAACACAGAACCCAACACTGCACATAAATGTTTTCCTTTTTTCCTTGATTTGGGGTATCTCCCACAGTTAAAGAACAGTTCAGGACTTTTATGAACCCTCAAGCCCACCCTAAGAGCACATGTCTACCCCATATTCCTTTTATATTAGAGGTTGAGCATGAGAGCAATTGCGTGCTTCCAGTTGGACATTCTTACTTTCTTATTGGTATTAAATATATACACATTCCCATTGATTGAATGGATTCTGTGAAGGTATCACTTAATGCACAGTCTTTGAGGTTGCTGGCTTATAAACAAGCACACAAAGTGATTGTCAGACACTCAGCTATGTTCTGAGATATATCCTTTGGTTTAAATTCCTTATCAAAGACACTAGCAAAGACATTTGAGTAAGTTCATTACTTACAAAAACATACTCTCAACATCACTTAAACTGTTTTCTCTTTAATACTTTCTCCCTACCCCATGGAGGTTGGAATGTAGCTGATTTTATTTCTAAAAAACACTACCGAAGAGGAAATAATTTTCAATATGCACCATGAGAAATGAGGTTGGATATAAAGAAGAACTTTCTAACAGTAATAATTGTTCAATCTTGCAGGGAGCAACTGACAGAGCTTTAATGACTTGCTCTCCGGGAGGAATTAAATGGGGAAGCTATCTACAGCACTGATCCTGGTGTGATCCTAGAGATGAATTTGGAGAAACTAGAGATCAATATCTAGTGGCTTCCTTCTATAATTCTATTATTTTTATTTATTTAATTATGAATTTTAAGGCTGAAGTTAAAATGGCTTCACATTTACACTAAATTTTTATTTCTAAAATCCTTTAAAAAACATTTAATTAGTTATTTTAAAATCACTTTCCTCCCCTCTCCAAGCTGAGGGTTCTAGTTTTGAGATTCCTCATAGGTTCCTTCACCCAGTGGATTTGCTTTTCCCTCAGTTCTGCAATTTCCAACATTCTAACACCAAGAAACCAAGGTTGTACTAGATTCTGCAGGATTGTCATAGGCAGAAATACTACTATGGGAGCATGTACTGATAATGGGCCTACTCTTGGTGATTATTTGGATCCACAAGTGCTATCAGAAATAGGTATCACCTGTAACCTCAATAAGTAAATAAAACTATAAATTCTAATGGCATACGTTCTTCCAAATATAAATAGTAATACTTTGTTATTATTTTTACCTTTGACTACTTTTTAATTTTATTATTGACTAAAAATATAATTATATATAAGCAGTTAGAACCTCCCAAAATGTTAGATCATTTAATTTCTGAAGCTGTGACAGACTTCATGGAATTTGTCTTATATGCTCAAAGTCATCTTAAATTTCACAGATCATTTACATGCTTAACAGTAAAACAGGGATCAATTAAAACTCTATCTTTTTAATAGTAAATTTCTAATCTTATACATTCTTATGATTGTAAATGACAGAATAACTTTCAAGTTTGGGATATGCATAGAGCTTGACTATTGATGAATCTTAATAATGGTGACATAGTATCTTATAGAAGGTTATTTTTCTTTGCCCTATGCTAAGGCTATATATACAACAAGATTTTTAAAAGTGAATTTATAGCCAATTAACTTTGGAAAAGAAAATATAATAAAAAGACCACCCAGCTGATACTAGCCCTTAAATAACCTGCTAAAAAATACTTGTATACTGAAGTGAGATCCAAATACAGTTCTGATGCTTTTTGTTTGTTGTTTTTAAGATTATTTGCTTACTTCTTGGTAAAACAACGACAACAACAAGTTGCTCATGTAGCTGTACAATATTTGGTGAACCAAAGATATTGTGTATAGGCCATAAATCAAGTTGTCTAGCCATGTAATTATAAGATAACATGACAAAGCACAATAGTGCAGAAAATACAAAGTGCTAAAGTGTTGAATAGGATCCAAAGCAGTAAATAATTAATCCACTCTCAATCTTACTTTTTTAAAAAAGAAATACACCATCAGCCCTAGCCTCATACACACATACAAACACACATATATTCCTTTCTGACACTCACAGACTCTCATCCTCCCAACACATGAAGGTGTACAGGGAAAAACTAAAGAGGCTGGTGTGGCCCAGAAAGCCTGAAGTGTTTCTCTCTGAAATTGTCTCCTGCCCTCCTGAACATCACCTGTAAGATTCTTCTCACATAAAGAAGATGAATAATAATAAGTCAGAGTTGACTTTATTGGTGGATCCTAAGCTTTGTTGTACATTTTATTTTTTAAAAATCTCTTCGGTGCCTCTGTATTAGTCCTCAGAAAATTTAAGAATCTTCTGGTTCCTGAAGGTTTCCATATTTTATGAGTATGCCTGAAACTAATCTAAAGTGTTACTGCTTTATTGCACTTCCTTTAGCCAAGACTGAGTGAAACAAAAACAGTAGGACAAATTCTGAATCTGTGTCATTCCTGAGGCAAGGCCACTGAGGCAAGCACTTTGGCTGTCCTCATCTGTAAAGAGCTAGCATAAGCATCCTAGTGTATGGGCTTTGATTGTCAAAATGCCATCACCCACTTCAACAGGGGGAAATGCTCACTAGGGGCCTGGCACTCCACAAGGCGTATTTGTGTATTTAATTCTATCAAGAGCCATGTGAGATGTATTATTATCCCCATTTACAGAAATGAAAACTGAGATTCAGAGAAAATACGATTTATAGTAAGCTTGATTCAAATGTTAGTCTGACTGACTACAAAGCCCATATCCTTTCCCTTACCCCTTCCTTCAAGCTACTTGAAGAACCAACTATATATATATTTTTTGTCATTCAGTACTATTTGAATGCCTACTTATATATCCAGCAGGGCTTCCATATGCTTAGCTAGGAAGTCTTTATGGCAGAATTAGGAAATTCTGGGCTGATAGACTCCCAAAATAAGGGTTAAGTGAACTAGCTGTAACAACTTCAACTGTCTTTTATCAAAACTATACCTAAGCCTTAATGCCTGGGAAAGGATGACTCACAAAACCAGAGGCTCTTGTTGACTTAAAGGAGAGCTGCACTGTGTGTCAGGGGCAGATCTGCTTAGTGCAGACTTTGATGAAGGACCTGAATTGACTCGCACAAGCTAAATGCCTGATATGGGCCCTCTCAAAAAAAATTTGGAAGCAATGCTGCTCTCTTGGATGGTGCTCTTCCATGGAGCCAACATACAGTTATTGTCCTAATGTGTTGATAACAGCCAGAGTGACATCAGAATGTGAGGTCTTCAGGACAAAGACCTCATCGTGGTTTTGGCACAGGGTATCCTATTGAGCCTTGTATGTTTATGGAGAATATTAAATAACCATTTAATTGGTGATTGGGGAATAACAGACTGAGGGCCGGAGCATATAAAGGGGTGGGGTCAGAGGAATTTTTTGACAAGGGAAGATAAGAAGCTACAGGCTATGGGAAGCTTTTATGAGATAGAACAGTCTCTGTGCTGAGACTCTAGGCTGGGTGTGGAGGTATGAGGCAATTAGGTCTGCAGACTAAGTGAATAAAAAAACATTTCCAAGAAATGTTAAAGGTGTGAAGAATTTGAGAAGACAGATGGAAGAGGAGAAGGGCAAGCTGACTTGACAGGCTTGTTAGCAGACTAACTGAGATTTCCTGACCAGGAGAAGTGCTAAATGAGGAGAGTCATGTATTTTTCCTCAACAAAGAGAACACTAAAGAAATGCTGCAAAAATTCCAGAGACACTAAAATCACCACTTATTTTATGTGGAAAGGCAAGAGGCTACCAAAAATATATTTTTTAAGCCAGATGGCTTCGCAAAAACTCTAGCCCTGATTGAGACAGGAACAGATATATTCCGGTTACTTTACACCCCTACCAACAGTATTGAGCCCAGTGCTTTTGTGTGGTGCTAATGAGTGACTGATTAAATCTGCAGTCCCAGATTTACAGTGGAACTTCAGGCCAAAATGTGGAAGAGTGATGTGATGTTACATAAAGGTAGATTCAGAAGACACACAAGGGGGAAACAAGAAAGGACTCTTTTTTTTTTTTTGAGACAGAGTCTCGCTCAGTCACCCAGGCTGGAGTGCAATGGTGTGATCTCAGCTCAATGCAACCTCCACTTCCCGGGTTCAAGCAATTCTCCTGCTTCAGCCTCCCAAGTAGCTGGGATTACAGGTGCGTGCCACCACACCCAGCTAATTTTCTTTTGTATTTTTAGTAGAGACAGGGTTTCGCCATGTTGGCCAGCCTGGTCTCGAACTCCTGACCTCAGGTGATCCACCCGCCTCGGCCTCCCAAAGTGCTGAGCTTACAGGCATGAGCCACCGTGCCTGGCCAAGAAAGGACTCTTTATTTCATTTATAGATTGTGAAAGTATCTCATTAAACTTTGAGTCCGGACCCTGGGCATTATGCGGCAACCTTGGCTGTGTGGTATCATACCGTTTATCAACAATGAAAAAAATTTTGCTCTTAATGTAAAAATACTTAAGAAGAATCCTGGGCTGGCTGGAGGAGCTAGTCTGAGAGGTGATGTAAGGCCACAGTGGCAAGCATTGGGAAAAACATGACATTGTCAATCCTCAGTGGTTCAGGCAGGAATAACCAAATGGGATGTAGGGAAGGACACCAGATTGTAAAGAGTGGTGGGGGCATGACTTTAGTCTTGAAAAGGCCAAGAATACAGTATAGGCAACCAGAACAGGAATTTGCCAGAAGAGATCAAGGAAGATGCCAGCAACAAGAGGAAAGCATTGAGATCACGACTCTGACCAGGCATTCAGGAACTATCAGGAGAAGGGGACTCTGAAGATGGGTGAACTCTAATTCAAGGCCAAACAGAAAGAGTCATCATGAGGAGCGCAGACCCACTGTCAGACTTAGCAAACAGTCCTGGAGCCCAGCCTTGGGCTCTGCTGTCTATTTCATAGGAACACACAACAGTAGCCCCATGTGGCTGCTGGGAGCAGTCCTGGCCACAGAATGGGGATTGGAGTAATGCAGGTTTTGTCTCAGAGAAGATGGACTGGAGAACTTTGATGGGCACTAGCACTCAGGGAAGGACATTACGGACCTGATGGTGAGGAACTAGGGAAGGCAAGGACGACTGAGAGAGGCCAAAAGATGCTCAGAGAAGTTGGTGAAAGTCTCTGGCTTATGACATCCAGATTAGTCCTATACAGTTCAATACATTATCAGCACCAAGGACATAAAGATCATATAAGGGATTCTATTTTATTCCTTCAGTCTAATTTTTATATTAGAGCCTCCTCATTTGTTTTTCTTAATTGTGGCCAATAGACTTCAAGATGAACTCTGTGACCCCTCACCTCCTGGTATTCACACTTTTGTGGAATCTCCTCCCCTTGAGTGCAGATAGGGTCTGTGGCTTGCTTCTAACCAATGCATTATGGCCAAGGTCATGGGATATTACGGCCATGATTTCATTATATTATATAAGACTGTATTGCTAGCAGACCTGCTCTGAAATCTGTGTGTGTGTGTGTGTGTGTGTGTGTGTGTGCACATGCGCACGTGTGTGTTTCTCTCTTTCTCTTTCCATTGCTGGCTTTCAGGAAGACAGCTACCTTGAATCGCACAGCTGCAAGAATATGAACTTTGCCAACAACCTGAGACAGCCTGAAAGCAGCTCCTTACCTAACCGAGCCTCCAGATGAGACCCAGTCCTGGCTGACATCTTGACTGCAGCCTTGAGAGGACCCAGTTAAGCTGTGCCTCGACTCCTGAGCCACAGAAACTGTGAGATAATAGATGGATGTTATTTTAAGCTGCTAAGTTTCTGATAATTTGTTACACAGTGTAGAGAACTAATATACTGGTACTACTCTCTATTTTCAACAATATCTATTCTCAACACAGCAGCCAGAGGATCCTGTTAATATGTACGTCTTTTTCTATTTAAAACAGTCTGGGGTCTTCCCCAACACAGAGCAATAGCCACAGTTACACCACAGCTCACATGGCCACACACACACTGTCTCACTGGCCTGGCCTCCTACTGCTTTCTCCTGGCTCACTTGATTGATACTGGCCACCTTTTCAATTCCCCAACATGCCAGGCATGCTCCCTGGGCCTTGGTTTCCTCTGTCTGGAATACTCTTCCTTCCAGTATCCATGCAGCTCACTCCCTCAGCTCTTGCACATCTTTGCTCAAATGTCATTCTCTTGATGAGGCCTTCCCTTTTTATTCCCAATAAAAAAATTGCAATACTCCTCCTACTCCACCACTCTTCACTGTCATGTCCTGCTTTTCTTTTCTCCATAGTACTTAAACCATCTGACATACTATATGTTTTACCTATTTGTTTATTGGCTATCTCTCCACAGCAGGACATAAGCTCCCTAAATGCAGGAACTTTTTTATCAGCTTTTTCCATTGCTTTATCTCCAGTGTTTAGAGCAGGTCTGACACATAATACATATTCGGTAAATATTTGTTGAAATAAATTTCAAATATTTATATGAAATCTGCTCTTAGATTATATTTCCAGCCATATTGTAAAATCTTCCATTTAAGTATAATATAGGCATCATCAAAAAAACCTCAAGACTATTATTTACATTATCTGCTCTAACAACAAAGACATGGACCATTTCAGGAAAATCACTTTCTACTGTAGAAGAAAACCACATCAATCCAATTCAGTGAAATCCACCACATATCCAAATTTCCCTTTCATTATATGGATCTGAAAGCCGAACTCTGCTACCCTAAGAGTAGGCTGCTCAATAATGAGCTGGCAGAAAACTGAAGCACCAAAATCAAGACACTTTCTATACAACAATGGTGTTCTCAAAGTAAAGTTCTATCAACTTTCTCTATGATTGTAAAATGAGAAAGCTGTTTCTTTAAGCAATTTTAAGAGTAAGCTTTGGCAGCACCCACTTATCACTAACTGGCAGAACTAAATATCTAAGATCTTGAATCTAGAATCTCTACCAATATCTGTTGGGCAGCAGGAGTTGAGGCATGATCCCATGGCCCAGCACCATACTGAACAGGACTTGTGGGGCAGGGAGGTAGCAAGACCCAGGAGCTGCTGTGTGGCAAGCAGAAGTCCAATAATTGCACATACCTAGAGAATAATCACCGGAAAAGACAGAGGACAGAGCCCTGGTGTAGTGGAAAGAGAGTGGACCTTGGAGTCAGAAAGACCTGCTTTGTTTGAATCCAAACTCTGCTCCTGACCCCTCACCTTAGGAAAACTACACTACCTCAATTTCATTTCTTCATCTATAAAATGGGAATACTGTACCTGCCTCAAGGAGTTGTTATAATAAATAAGTGTGATAAAATATATAAATTCCTTGGACTGGTGGCTGGCACATAGGTAGGAGCTTAGTCAATGGTAGCTGTTATTCAAAATAAAGACATTAAAAGAACAACTTCAAGCAATGCATCATCAATGTGGAATAAAAGCATACACTAAAGACAACTTTGAGCAATGCATCATTGGTATAATAATAAAAACAGCATGGCTAGATTTGAATAAAATGACACAGATCCCCAGTGAGAGCACAGAGCTAGAAACCAAAGAACTGTCTTCACAAATATGCAATGTGATGTAGGCATTTGCCCTTTTCTTGACATATACGAATGATGACTGAATAGTAGGATTTTCTAATACTATAAACACTGTCATGTTTTTATGTTCCTGGAAAACTAATACTGTGCTTGGATTTTAGTTTACTTGGGGTTTAGTGTAGATGTACTTCACTGTATTTGTAGGATACAGATTCCAAATTTCTTTCAAGCCTTAACACTAGTAACGGCTGGACCTAGAAAACCTTTACTTTATTAAGGTAAACTTCTGGAGCATATACAGATTAATTCAGTGAACTTAACCTCTCATATTCACACCATCATGCCTGACAAGGATACATTGACATATTAAGCAAGGGATGTAACAGCACAAGAGATCCAACTTCCCAGAGCTGTGTTCTATTGTTACCATCAGACAGAGCAAAGGAGTCCCATAGGGACTTTATGAGCTGATCCAAACAATAACCAGACTTCCCAGCTGGGATGAGGGCTCTCAGCTGGGTGTGGTTTCTGGAAACAGCCTCCTGGACTGCAGCCATATTTTCTCAGCATGTGCTGCCTCTGGGAGGTTTTCTTTCTTATGTTGAAGGTAGTGTTCTTTGTGATGGTGCTGGCAATATTATTGAGGTGATAACACCCCACCATGGTGTCATGAGAGCCAAAACACCTCTCTCTGACCTTTTTGTTTCTGTAGCCAGTGACTTTGCAGAAATGTCTGTGGCAATATCAGAACCACACTTGCCTTTGCAATCTCTCTCCATGCTGACCACATAGGAGATGCAATGGTCTGGATAATGCTTTCCAAGCCTGCCCACTCTGTCCACTCCTCTCAGGCCTACTTGCAACATGTTAGCTGATACAGCAGAGAGAAGAGTCTAGTGGTTCCCAGAATTTGGGATTTAAAATACAATTTTTCCAACAAAGAACATTAACAAGAAGCAAGTGCAATCTATTTGGTTGGTCCAAAAGTAATTGCAGTTTTTCACGGCACGAGAAATTCAAGAAGCATACACAAGTATCAATAGCTGAATTGATGAACCAGAAGAAAGAATATCAGAGATTGAAGATCAATTTAATGAAATGAAGTGTGAAGACAAGATTAGAGAAAAAAAAATGAAGAGGAATAAACAAAGCCTCCAAGAAATATGGGACTATGTGAAAATACCAAACCTACGATGATTGGTGTGCCAGAAAGTGAAAGGAAGAATGGAACCAAGTTGGAAAACACCTTCTTCAGGATATGATCCAGGAGAACTGCCCCAACCTAGCAAGAAAGGCAAACATTCAAATTCAGGAAATACAGAGAACACCACAAAGATACTCCCCGAGAAGAGCAACCCCAAGACACATAATTGTCAGATTCACCAAGGTTGAAATGAAGGAAAAAATGTTAAGGGAAGCCAGATAGAAAGGTAGGGTTGCCCACAAAGAGAAGCCATCAAACTAACAGTGGATCTCTCTGCAGAAACCCTACAAGACAGAAGAGAGTGGGGGCTAATATGCAGCATTCTTAAAGAAAAGAATTTTCAACCCAGAATCTCATATTCAGCTAAACTAAGCTTCATAAGTGAAGGAGAAATAAATTCCTTTACAGACAAGCAAATGCTGAGGAATATTGTAACCACCAGGCCTGAATTACAAGAGCTCCTGAAGGAAGCACTAAATATGAAAAGGAAAAACCAGCAACAGCCAGGGCAAAAACATACCAAAATGTAAAGACCATCGACACTATGAAGAAACTGCAGCAACTAATGGGCAAAATAACCAGCTAGCATCATAATAACAGGATCAAATTCACACATAACAATATTAACCTTAAATGTAAATGGGCTAAATGCCCCAATTGAAAGACACAGACTGGCAAGTTGGATAAAGAGTCAAGACCCATCAGTATGCTGTATTCAGGAGACCCATCTCACATGCAAAGACACACATAGGCTCAAAATAAAGGAATGGAGGAAGATTTACCAAGCAAATGGAAAGCAAAACAAACAAAAAAAAGAGCAGGTGTTGCAATCCTAGTCTCAGATAAAACAGACTTTAAACCAACAAAGATCAAAAGAGACAAGGGCATCACATAATGATAAAGGGATCAATGCAACAAGAAGAGCTAACTATCCTAAATATATATGCACCCAATACAGTAGCACCCAGATTCATAAAGCAAGTTCTTAGAGACC
Source organism: Homo sapiens (assembly GCF_000001405.40). NCBI lineage: Eukaryota > Metazoa > Chordata > Mammalia > Primates > Hominidae > Homo > Homo sapiens. The sequence continues at coordinate 84,841,288 of NC_000006.12, read as the reverse complement.
TACAAAGAGACTTTGACTCCCACACAATAATAGTGGGAGACTTTACCATCCCATTGTCAATATTAGACAGATCAACAAGACAGAAAATTAACAAAGATATGCAGGACTTGAACTCAGCTCTGGACCAAGTGGACCTAGTAGACATCTATAGAACTTGCCACCCCAAATCAACAGAATATACATGCTTCTCAGCACCACATAGCACTTATTCTAAAATTGACCACATAATTGGAAGTAAAACACTCCTCAGCAAATATAAAGAAGTGGAAATCATAACAAACAGTCTCTCCGACCACAGTGCAATCAAATTAGAACTCAGGATTAAAACCACACAACTACACGGGAATTGAACAACCTGCTCCTGAATGACTACTGGGTAAATAATGAAATCAAGGCAGGAATAAATAAGTTCTTTGAAACCAATGAGAACAAAGACACAATTTACCAGAATTTCTTGGACGCAGCTAAAGCAGTGTTTAGACGGAAATTTACAGCTCTAAATGCCCACAGGAGATAGTGGGAAAGATCTAAAATTGACACCCTAACACCACAATTAAAAGAGCTAGCAAGAAAAGAAGAAAGAGCAAGCAAATTCAAAAGCTAGCAGAAGACTAGAATTAACTAAGATCAAAGCTGAACTAAAGGAGATAGAGATAAGAAAAATACTTCAAAAAATCAATGAATCCAGGAGCTGGTTTTTGAAAGATTAACAAAATAGACAGACTGCTAGCCAGGCTAATAAAGATGAAAAGAGAGAAGAATCAAATAGACACTATAAAAAATGATAAAGGGGATATCACCACTGATCCCACAGAAATAAAAACTACCATCAGCGAATACTATAAACACCACTATGCAAATAAACTACAAAATCTAGAAGAAATTGATAAATTCCTGGACACATACACGCTCTCAAGACTAAACGAGGAAGAAGTCGAATCCCTGAATAGACCAATAACAAGTTCTGAAATTGAGGCAGTAATTAATAGCCTACCGACCAAAAAAAGTCCAAGACCAGGCAGATTCACAGCCGAAGTCCACCAGAGGTACAAAGAAGAGCTGGTACCATTCCTTCTAAAACTACTCCAAACAATGGAAAAAGAGGGACTCCTCCCTAACTCATTTTATGAGGCCAGTATCATCCTGATACCAAAATCTGGCAGAATTACAACAAAAAGAGAAAATTTCAGGCCAATATCTCTGATGAACATTGATGCAAAAATCCTCAATAAAATACTGGCAAACCGAATGGAGCAGCACATTAAAAAGCTAATCTGGCTGGGCACAGTGGCTCACGTCTGTAATCCCAGCACTTTGGGAGGCGGAGGCAAGTGGATCACGAGGTCAGGAGATCGAGACCATCCTGGCTAACAGGGTGAAACCCCATATCTACTAAAAATAAAAATAAAAAAATTAGCCAGGCATGGTGGCGGGCACCTGTAGTCCCAGCTACTTGGGAGGCTGGGGCAGGAGAATGGCATGAACCCAGGAGGCAGAGCTTGCAGTGAGCAGAGATCACACCACTGCACTTTAGCCTGGGTGACAGAACGAGACTGTCTCAAAAAAAAAAAAAAAAAAAGAAGCTAATCCACCGTGATCAAGTTGGCTTCATGCCTGGGATGCAAGGCTGGTTCAACATACACAAATCAATAAATGTAATCCATCACATAAACAGAACCAATGACAAAAAAACACATGATTATCTCAATAGATGCAGAAAAGGTCTTCAATAAAATTCAACACCCTTCATGGTAAAAACACTCAATAAACTAGGTATTGATGGAATGTATCTCAAAATAATAAGAGCTGTTTCTGACAAACCCACAGCCAATACCATACTGAATGGGCAAAAGCTGGAAGCATTTCCTTCGAAAACAGGGCACAAGACAAGAATGCCCTCTCTCACTACTCCTATTCAACATAGTATTGGAAGTTCTGGCCAGGGAAATTAGTCAAGAGAAAGAAATAAAGCATATTCAAATAGGAAGAGAGGAAGTCAAATTACCTCTGTTTGTAGATGACATGATTGTATATTTAGAAAACCCCACCGTCTCAGCCCAAAAACTCCTTAAGCTGATGAGCAACTTCAGTAAAATCTCAGAATACAAAATCAATGTGCAAAAATCACAAGCATTCCTATACACCAATAATAGACAAACAGAGAGCCAAATTATCAGTGAACTGCCATTCACAATTGCTACAAAGAGAATGAAATATCTACGAATACAACTTACAAGGGATGCGAAAGACCTTTTCAAGGAGAACTACAAACCACTGCTCAAGGAAATAAGAGAGGACACAAACAAATGGAAAAACATTCCATGCTCATGGATAGCAAGAATCAATATCGTGAAAATGGCCATACTGCTCGAAGTAATTTATAGATTCAATGCTATTCTCATCAAGCTACCATTGACTTTTTTCACAGAATTAGAAAAAACTACTTCAAATTTCATATGGAACCAAAAAAGAGCCCACATAGCCAAGACAATTCTAAACAAAAAGAACAAAGCTGGAGGCATCACACTGCCTGAGTTAAAGCTATACTGCAAGGCTACAGTAACCAAAACAGCATGGTTCTGGTATCAAAAGAGATATATAGAACAATGGAACAGAACAGAGACCTCAGAAATAACACCACACATCTACAACCAACTGATCTTTGACAAACCTGACAAAAACAAGCAACGGGGAAAGGATTTCCTATGTAATAAATAGTGTTGGGAAAACTGGCTAGCCATATGCATACAACTGAAACTGGACCCCTTCCTTACACCTTATACAAAAATCAACTCAAAATGGATTAAAGATTTAAATGTAAGACCTAGAACCATAAAAACCCTAGAAGAAAACCTAGGCAATACCATTCAGGACATAGGAATGGGCAAAGACTTCATGACTAAAACACCAAAAGCAATTGCAATAAAAGCCAAAATCGACAAATAGAATCTAATTAAACTAAAGAGCTTCTGCATAGCAAAATAAACTATTATCAGAATAAACAGACAACCTACAGAATGGGAGAAAATTTTTGCAATATATCCATCTGACAAAGCTCTAATATCCAGAATCTACAAGGAGCTTAAACAAATTTACAAGAAAAAGACAAACAACCCCATCGAAAGGTGGGTGAAGGTTATGAACAGACACTTTTCAAAAGAAGACATTTATGCAGCCAACAAACATATGAAAAAAAGCTCATAATCACTGGTCATTAGAGAAATGTCAATCAAAACCACAATGAGATACCATCTCATGCCAGTTAAAATGGCGATCATTAAAAAGTCAGGAAACAACAGATGCTGGAGAGAATGTGGAGAAATATGAACACTTTTACACTGTTGGTGGGAATGTAAATTAGTTCAACTATTGTAGAAGATAGTGTGGCGATTCTTCAAGGATCTAGAACTAGAAATACCATTTGACCCAGCAATCCCATTACTGGGTATATACCCAAAGGATTATAAATTATTCTACTATAAAGACACAAGCACACATATGTTTATTGTGGCACTATTTACAATAGCAAAGACTTGGAACCAGCCGAAATGCCCATCAATGATAGACTGCATAAAGAAAATGTGGTACATATGCCCCATGGAATAGTATGCAGCCATAAAAAAGAATAAGTTCATGTCCTTTGCAGGGACATGGATGAAGGTGGAAACCATCACTGTCAGCAAACTAACACACAACAGAAAACCAAACACCGCATGTTCTCACTGATAAGTGGGAGTTGAACAATGAGAACATATAGGCACAGGGAGGGGAACATGACATACTGGGGCCTGTCGGGGGTGGGGAGCAAGGGGAGGGATAGCATTAGGAGAAATACCTAATGTAGATGACAGGTTGATGGGTGCAGCAAACCACCATGGCACATGTATACCTATGTAACAAACCTGCATGTTCTGCACATGTGTCCTAGAACTTAAAGTACAATAAAACAAAAAAAATTTTTTTAAAGTAATTTTGGTTTTTGCCAAAGTAATTGCAAAAACCGCAATTACTTTTGCACCAACCAACACTATGGGAAAACAATGAAGTTTAGCCTTTGGAGTCAAACTATCTAGGTTTATCTTCCAACATTGCCACATAATAGTTATGAGACCTTGAAAAAATATTCTTAACCACTCTGTCCCTCATCTTTAGTCTCTTTTAAATGAGGATAACAGTCCTATTCCCCTCCAAGGCTTCTTGCGAGAATTACAGATAAATTACCTGCTAAATATAGAAAAGCACTAAGCACAGTGCCTGGGACGTGCTACTCATTCAATCACTGTGGCTCGTTATTGTCTTCATTGTTACAGTTTCATAAAAGAAAGATTATTTTAACATCAAAAAAAGTAGAAAGTATCTCAGAGTACGGAGCAATTCTTCCCAAGAAAACACAGTTGGCAAAATAAGTATATTGGTATAATACATATTATACATATAAGCAAAAAATGATGACTTAAAATTTCATTTTATAAATGATAAAATACAACAGTTTCCTTGAGACTTGTTGGCCAGTTTGCAGACACATTTAACATTGTTACTTGAAGTGAAAGTCAAATTCAGATCAGCCTTGTACTTCCTGATTTAAATAGACATTGTTGAAAATACAGTTTCTCTTAGGCTTACTTTGTAAAGTGAAAGTAATACAGTACTAATACACCCAATTCAAACTATTTGGAGCTAATTATGAGAAGTCAAATATTAATAGCTCCCAAGGATGGCAGTTGGCAGGTTTCAGCTTCAGGCAGGTAACAGGAAGGAGCCTTTGGGCAATCCTGACTCAGAGCCTCTGTTTCAGGGCCCAGTCCACAGGTAGGTTGCCCTCATCTCTCTGCCACAGACCTATGACTGCTGCCCTAATACATGACCAGACATGTCTGGCTCCAGAAAACCTTGAGTAATGGTGCTTTTGTTACCCTTTCCTTGTCCATTATCACCCTATTCCTGTCTACCACTTGCAAAAAGGGTGGTGTAAGAATGGAAATATCACTCTATGTGCTGGGTGATTTTCATACTGTTGGAAAATCTATACTTGGGGTTATGTTACTGTATTTTAATTCTCGCTACATGAAAGAGATAAAAGGGTACAGCACTGTAGATTCCTGTCTGACTTTGAAACATGTTTCAAAATACCTTAAAGCAAGAAAATATGTTAGTTGACCTCTCAGGGTCTCTCTCAGCACCAGTCATCAATATCAAGTGTCATAGTATTAGCTGATAACAATTATATTGGAAAGATCTAGAAGAGCAATGGATAGTAAACCAAGAATTAGTTTAGAGACCTACACCTGAAAAATTTTTGAAATAATTGATGATTACAACAATAACAGTAGTTTTCATCGTTACCATTATCCTTGTTGTTTTTAACATGAAAGAGTAATGTTTTAGTTAGGATGCCAGCTGAGAATAGAATTCACCAGAAGGTTCAAATGAAGACACTTTTTATCTAGGTGTAGGTAGGGTTAGAGAATAAGCAAAGGATATGAAGATATCCACAGAGTAGTAAAAGCAGGATGTCTAAAAGTCCAAGGGAAGAAAATAGCACTCCCAGAGCTCACTGAGGGAGGGCTGAAGACATGGAATACGGGCTACTTGTTGAGAGCCTTAGCTAGGGAGAGACCCAGCTGTGGTCAGAAAAGCAGTGCTGAAATAATGAAGGGGGAGGAAGAAATACCTCAGTAAAGCTCTCTGTTTTCTCCCACCTGCAGTCTATAGCCAGTGCCTCCTAGTGAGTGAACTCAAGTGGAGGGCAACCAGGCAGGGGGCCCAGGTTATGTAAGTGTAGGGGTCAGTTTCCTCAGCACAGGGCAGAGCAGGGCAGAGCAGGGCAGAGAATGGACCTAGGACAAACAGAGTAATTAGGACAAGCCTTTACTACATGCTACACCCTGGGCTGAGTGTTTTGCATGGATTATTTTATCTAATCATCAAAAAGACTCTGTGTGGTAAGTACTAGTATTAGCTTTGTTTTCCAGGTGTGAAAACCAAACTTACAGATGTTAAGCAATATGCTCATTGACCCATCTGCCTGCAAGTAGTGAAGCCAGGAATTGTGAACTCTGATAATTTGATTTCACTAGGTAGTTAAAAAGGATAAGCAAATAAAGTTCGAGATGTGTATTAGTCTATTTTCACACTGCTATAAAGAACTTCCCTGAGACTGTGTAATTTATAAAGGATAGAGGTTTAATTGACTCACAGTTCCACATAGCTGGGGAGGCCTCTGGAAACTTACAATCATAGTGGAAGGTGAAGGGAAAGCAAGGCACCTTCTTCACAAGGTGGCAGGAGAGATAAGAGAAAGCAAAGAGGGGAAAGCCCCTTATAAAACCATCAAATCTCATGAGAACTCACTCACTATCATGAAAACAGCACGGGGGAAATGACCCCATGATCCATTCACCTACCTCCCTCATGGGGACTACAATTCGAGATGAGATTTGAGTGGGGACACAGAGCCAAACCATATCAAGATGTTATGCTAGAACAAGGTGTCAGCAAAACATAATCCTTGGGGCTAAATCCAACTTGCCACCTGTTTTGGTAAATCAAGTGTTATTGGAACATAGCCATGCCCATTTGGATTACATTTTGTCTCTAGCTGCTTTCACAGTGAGGCAGAATTCAGTAGCTGCCACAATAAAGAAATGTCCCACAAAACCTAAAATATCTACTATCTGGCCTTTTACAGAAAAGGTTTGGTGACTCCTTCACTAGAAAGAAGTAAAGATTTTACTTGGAGGCTTTCCCTGACTTCTACACTTCTTACTGTCATCCTACAAAATATTCAGAATGAACCCCCTCCATTTCAGACACAGCACACGCCTGCCTGATGCATTTCAGGCAAAGGAAGGCACAGGCATGGCACCAAACTACAGATTAAGGCAGCTGATTAGAAATAAATAATTAATTTCAATTCTGAAAATAATTTTTATTATACAAATTTTGGAATATATTAAAATGGTGAGATAGAAGATTAAAATTATGCTGCCCAACAATATTTTCATTATACATAAACACATATAATTTTTACTTTTCACAACAATGAGTTTATACTATGCATACTACTATTGTAATCTATCTATTGAACTGTCATTTCACCTAAATGTTTCACAATATATTTTCCTTCAGGGTTATTTTAATGGTGATTGAAGTAATTCAATTAAAATAATTATTATTTATTTAAATAAAGCTAGTCCTACCCAAAATTTATTGAACACCTTCCATGTGCCAGGCACTCTCCTAAGTGCTAGGGATGAAACAGTGAACAAGAGAGAGATTGTATCTACCTTCAGAGAGCCTTTATTCTAGAAGGGAAAACATAGAATAACAGAAAAATAAATAAAACCATTGCAAACTGTGATCAATGTCATAACAGAAAGAACTAATAGAGAAAAATTATGCAAAGGTGTTTTATATAGCCTGGTCAGAAAACGTCTGTCTGTGGAGAAGGCATGTTAGTTGAGATCGAAAATGATGAGAAGGAGTGAGTTATGCAAAGGATGGGGAAAGAGCATTCCATGCAGAGGTAACATCAGATGCAAAGACCCTGAAGATTCAAAGGAAGCTTATTCAAGGAACAAATCAAAGATCAGTGAGGCTTAAGTTTGGTGACTACTGAGAAGAAGGTCAAAGGTCTGTAGAGTATAAATACCTAGGATATGCAATGAAACACTACTTAGCAATAAAAGGAATAACTTGATACAGACAGTAACATGGATGAAATCTTGAAATCATTATGCAGAGTAAAAATAGCCAGGCACAAAACAGAAGACATGGTACGCTTTCATTTATATGAAATTCTAGAACAAACAAAACTTATCTATGGTGATAGAAATTATAATAATAGTTGTCCCATAATTAGGGAGTAGAGCAGGGGTTAACTAAGGAGGGACATGAGGGTATTTCGGGGGGTATTGGAACTGTCTTATATGATGATAGGAGTGTTTGTTACATGGGTGAATAAATTTGTCAAGGCTCATCAAATTATACACTCAATATCTGTGCATTTCACTGTGTGTAAATTATACTCTAATACAAATTTTTTAAAAACAAAGGATGCATAAGCACAAACACGCACAACCACACACACACACATTGTGGCTGGGGCCATTTCTTGAAGGGACTTTGAGCTCATGGACTGAGTGTAGCTTTTATTTTCAGGGCAATGGAAGGCTCCAGAAGGTTTTAAGGAGTGGAATGATATGACTCGATTTATAGTTTAAGATTCCTATTGCTGCTGTGTGGAGAACATATTGGAGGATGAGGAATGTGGAAGCCCCAAAACCAGTTAGGACCTACTGTAGTAGTTCAGGTAAGAAGTGATGGTGACCCTCAGGACTAAAGTGGAGGCAGTGGGCTAGATCAAGCATATATCCAAAGTCAGCCTCTTACTAAGTGACAGTTGTTCTGTTTCCTTTTTGTACTATTTCTGTTATAAACCGTGGTACAAAGAACATCTTAATAGATCAATATTTGAGCATATCTAATGGTTATATTCTTGGATTAAATAAATTCTTAGAAGCAGATCTACTAAAATAAAGCAAAGAAACATTTTTATTTAGATACATGTTATTGAATTATCCAAAAATCAGCAAAATAACCATGAGTGCCCATGTTTCTAAATCTCCACAGAAACAGGCCATTCTAAATAATAATATGATGCTTACACTAATTTGTTTGTTGAGCTGAAGAATAGCCTCTTGGTGTTATTAAAAATTACCATTTTGAAGATAGTCAAATAGGAACAGCTCCAGTGTACAGCTCCCAGTGTAAGCCATGAAGAAGACTGGTGATTTCTGCATTTCCAACTGAGGTACCGGGTTCATCTCACTGGGGAGTGCCAGATAGTGGGTGCAGGACAGTGTGTGCAGTGCACCGTGCGTGAGCCGAAGCAGGGCGAGGCATCGCCTCACCCGGGAAGCACAAGGGGTCAGGGAATTCCCTTTCCTAGTCAAAGAAAGCGGTGACAGATGGCACCTGGAAAATCAGGTTACTCCCACCATAATACTGGGCTTTTCCATCGTGCTTAACAAACAGCACACCAAGAGATTATATCCTGCACCTGGCTCGAAGGGCCTACGCCCACGGAGCCTCGCTCATTGCTAGCACAGTGGTCTGAGATCAAACTGCAAGGCAGCAGCGAGGCTTGGGGAGGGGAGCCCACCATTGCTCAGGCTTGAGTAGGTAAACAAAGTGGCAGGGAAGCTCAAACTGGGTGAAGCCCACCACAGCTCAAGGAGGCCTGCAAGCCTCTGTAGGCTCCACCTCTGGGGGCAGGGCACAGACAAACAAAAGACAGCAGTAACCTCTGCAGACTTAAATGTCCCTGTCTGACAGCTTTGATGAGAGTAGTGGTTCTCCCAGCATGCAGCTGGAGATCTGAGAACGGGCAGACTGCCTCTTCAAGTGGGTCCCTGACCCCCGAGTAGCCTAACTGGGAGGCACCCCCCAGTAGGGGCAGACTGACACCTCACATGGCCTGGTACTCCTCTGAGACAAAACTTCCAGAGGAACGATCAGGCAGCAACATTTGTGGTTCACCAATATCCGCTGTTCTGCAGCCACCGCTGCTGATACCCAGACAAACAGGGTCTGGAGTGGACCTCCAGTAAACGCCAACAGACCTGCAGCTGAGGGTCCTGACTGTTAGAAGGAAAACTAACAAACAGAAAGGACATCCACACCAAAAACCCATCTGTACGTCACCATCATCAAAGACCAAAGGTAGATAAAACCACAAAGATGGGGAAAAAACAGAGCAGAGAAACTGGAAACTCTAAAAATCGAGTGCCTCTCCTCCTCCAAAGGAATGCAGCTCCTCACTAGCAACAGAACAAAGCTGGATGGAGAATGACTTTGATGAGTTGAGAGAGGAAGGCTTCAGAAGATCAAACTACTCCGAGCTAAAGGAGGAAGTTCGAACCAATGGCAAAGAAATTAAAAACTTTGGAAAAAAATTACATGAACGGATAACTAGAATAACCAATGCAGAGAAGTCCTTAAAGGACCTGATGGAGCTGAAAAACGTGGCACAAGAACTATGTGACAAATGCACAAGCCTCAGTAACCTATGCGATCAACTGGAAGAAAGGGTATCAGCGATGGAAGATGAAATGAATGAAATGAAGCATGAAGAGAAGCTTAGAGAAAAAAGAATAAAAAGAAACGAACAAAGCCTCCAAGAAATATGGGACTATGTGAAAAGACCAAATCTACATCTAATTGGTGTACCTGAAAGTGACAGGGAGAATGGAACCAAGTTGGAAAACACTCTGCAGGATATTATCCAGGAGAACTTCACCAATCTAGCAAGGCAGGCCAACATTCAGATTCAGGAAATACAGAGAATGCCACAAAGATACTCCTCAAGAAGAGCAACTCCAAGACACATAATTGTCAGGTTCACCAAAGTTGAAATGAAAGAAAAAATGTTAAGGGCAGCCAGAGAGAAAAGTCGGGTTACCCACAAAGGGAAGCCCATCAGAGTAACAGCTGATCTCTCAGCAGAAACTCTACAAGCCAGAAGAAAGTGGGGGCCAATATTCAACATTCTTAGAGAAAATAATTTTCAACCCAGAATTTCATATCCAGCCGAACTAAGCTTCATAAGTGAAGGAGAAATAAAATCCTTTAGAGACAAGCAAATGCTGAGAGATTTTGTCACCACCAGGCCTGCCCTAAAAGAGCTCCTGAAGGAAGCACTAAACATTGAAAGGAAAAATCAGTACCAGCCACTGCAAAAACATGCCAAATTGTAAAGACCATCAAGGCTAGGAAGAAACTGCATCAACTAATGAGCAAAATAACCAGCTAACATCATAATGACAGGATCAAATTCACACATAACAATACTAACCTTAAAGGTAAATGGGCTAAATGCTCCAATTAAAAGGCACAGACTGGCAAATTGGATAAAGAGTCAAGACCCATCAGTGTGCTGTATTCAGGAAACCCATCTCATGTGCAGAGACACACATAGGTTCAAAATAAAGGGAAGGAGGAAGATCTACCAAGCAAATGCAAAACAAAAAAGGCAGGGGTTGCAATCCTAGTCTCAGATAAAACAGACTTTAAACCAACAACGATCAAAAGAGACAAAGAAGGCCATTACATAATGGTAAAGGGATCAATTCAACAAGAAGAACTAACTATCCTAAATATATATGCACCCAATACAGGAGCATCCAGAGTCATAAGGCAAGTCCCTAGTGACCTAAAAAGAGATTTAGACTCCCACACAATAATAATGGGAGACTTCAACACCCCACTGTCAACATTAGACAGATCAATGAGACAAATTTAACAAGGATATCCAGGAATTGAACTCAGCTCCGCACCAAGTGGACCTAATAGACATCTACAGAACTCTCCAACCCAAATCAACAGAATATACATTCTTTTCAGCACCACACCACACCTATTCCAAAATTGACCACATACTTGGAAGTAAAGCACTCTTCAGCAAATGTAAAAGAACAGAAATTATAACAAACTGTCTCTCAGACCACAGTGCAATCAAACTAGAACTCAGGATTAAGAAACTCACTCAAAACCGCTCAACTACATGGAAACTCAACAACTTGCTCCTGAACGACTACTGGCTACATAATGAAATGAAGGCAGAAATAAAGATGTTCTTTGAAACCAGTGAGAACAAAGACAAAACATACCAGAATCTTTGGAACACATTCAAAGCAGTGTGTAGAGGGAAATTTATAGCACTAAATGCCCACAAAAGAAGGCAGGAAAGATCCAAAATTGACACCCTAACATCACAATTAAAAGAACTAGAGAAGCAAGAGCAAACACATTCAAAAGCTAGCAGAAGGCAAGAAATAACTAAAATCAGAGCAGAACTGAAGGAAATAGAGACACAAAAAACCCTTCAAAAAATCAGTGAATCCATGAGCTGGTTTTTTGAAAAGATCAACAAAATCGATAGACCGCTAGCAACACTAATAAAGAAGAAAAGAGAGAAGAATCAAATAGACGCAATAAAAAATGACAAAGGATATATCACCACCGATCCGACAGAAATACAAACTACCATCAGAGAATACTGTAAACACCTCTGTGCAAATAAACTAGAAAATCTAGAAGCAATGGATAAATTCCTCAATACATACACTCTCCCAAGGCTCAACCAGGAAGAAGTTGAATCTCTAAATAGACCAATAACAGGCTCTGAAATTGAGGCAATAATTAATAGCTTACCAACCAAAAAAAGTCGAGGACCAGATGGATTCACAGCCGAATTCTACCAGAGGTATAAGGAGGAGCTGGTACCATTCCTTCTGAAACTATTCCAATCAATAGAAAAAGAGGGAATCCTCCCTAACTCATTTTATGAGGCCAGCATCATCCTGATACCAAAGCCTGGCAGAGACACAACAAAAAAAAGAGAATTTTAGACCAATATCCTTGATGAACATTGATGCAAAAATCCTCAATAAAATACTGGCAAACCGAATCCAGCAATACATCAAAAAGCTTATCCACCATGATCAAGTGGGCTTCATCCCTGGGATGCAAGCCTGGTTCAACATACGAAAATCAGGAAACATAATCCAGCATATAAACAGAACCAAAGACAAAAACCACATGATTATCTCAATAGATGCAGAAAAAGCCTTTGACAAAATTCAACAACCCTTCATGCTAAAAACTCTCAAAAAATTAGGTATTGATGGGACATATCTCAAAATAATAAGAGCTATCTATGACAAACCCACAGCCAATATCCTACTGAATGGACAAAAACTGGAAGCATTCCCTTTGAAAACTGGCACAAGACAGGGATGCCCTCTCTCACCACTCCTATTCAACATAGTGTTTGGAAGTTCTGGCCAGGGCAATCAGGCAGGAGAAGGAAATAAAGGGTATTCAATTAGGAAAGGAGGAAGTCAAATTGTCCCTGTTTGCAGATGACATGATTGTATATCTAGAAAACCCCATTGTCTCAGCCCAAAATCTCCTTAAGCTGATAGGCAATTTCAGCAAAGTCTCAGGATACAAAATCAATGTGCAAAAATCACAAGCATTCTTATACACCAATAACAGACAAACAGAGAGCCAAATCATGAGTGAACTCCCATTCACAATTGCTTCAAAGAGAATACAATACCTAGGAATCCAACTTGCAAGGGATGTAAGGACCTCTTCAAGGAGAACTACAAACCACTGCTCAATGAAATAAAAGAGGATACAAAGAAATGGAAGAACATTCCATGCTCATGGGTAGGAAGAATCAATATTGTGAAAATGGCCATACTGCCCAAGGTAATTTATAGATTCACTGCCATCCCCATCAAGCTACCAATGACTTTCTTCACAGAATTGGAAAAAACTACTTTAAAGTTCATATGGAGCCAAAAAAGAGCCCGCATCTCCAAGTCAATCCTAAGCCAAAAGAACAAAGCTGGAGGCATCACGCTACCTGACTTCGAACTATACTACAAGGCTACAGTAATCAAAACAGCATGGTACTGGTACCAAAACAGAGATATAGACCAAGGGAACAGAACAGAGCCCTCAGAAATAATGCCACATATCTACAACTATCTGATCTTTGACAAACCTGACAAAAACAAGAAATGGGGAAAGGATTCCCTATTTAATAAATGGTGTTGGGAAAACTGGCTAGCCATATGTAGAAAGCTGAAACTGGATCCCTTCCTTACACCTTATACAAAAATTAATTCAAGATGGATTAAAGACTTACATGTGAGACCTAAAACCATAAAAACCCTAGAAGAAAAGCTAGGCAATACCATTCAGGACATAGGCATGGGCAAGGACTTCATGTGTAAAACACCAAAAGCAATGGCAACAAAAGCCAAAATTGACAAATGAGATCTAATTAAACTAAAGAACTTCTGCACAGCAAAAGAAACTACCATCAGAGTGAACAGGCAACCTACAGAATGGGAGAAAATTTTTGCAACCTACTCATCTGACAAAGGGCTAATATCCAGAATCTACAATGAACTCAAACAAATTTACAGGAAAAAAACAACCCCATCATAAAGTGGGCGAAAGATATGAACAGACACTTCTCAAAAGAAGACATTTATGCAGCCAAAAAACACATGAGAAAATACTCATCATCACTGGCCATCAAAGAAATGCAAATCAAAACCACAATGAGATACCATCTCACACCAGTTAGAATGCCAATCATTAAAAAGTCAGGAAACAACAGGTGCTGGAGAGGATGTGGAGAAATAGGAACACTTGTACACTGTTGGTGGGACTGTAAACTAGTTCAACCACTGTGGAAGTCGGTGTGGCGATTCCTCAGGGATCTAGAACCAGAAATATCATTTGATCCAGCCATACCATTACTGAGTATATATCCAAAGGATTATAAATCATGCTGCTATAAAGACACATGCACATGTATGTTTATTGCGGCACTATTCACAATAGCAAAGACTTGGAACCAACCCCAATGTCCATCAATGATAGACTGGATTAAGAAAATGTGGCACATATACACCATGGAATACTATGCAGCCATAAAAAATGATGAGTTCATGTCCTTTGTAGGGACATGGATGAAGCTGGAAACCATCATTCTCAGCAAACTATCGCAAGGACAAAAAACCAAACACCGCATGTTCTCACTCATACGTGGGAATTGAACAATGAGAACACATGGACACAGAAAGGGGAACATCACACACCGGGGACTGTTGTGGGGTGGGGGGAGGGGGGAGAGATAGCATTAGGAGATATACCTAATGTTAAATGATGAGTTATTGGGTGCAGCACACCAACATGGCACATGTATACATATGTAATAAACCTGCACATTGTGCACATGTACCCTAAAACTTAAAGTATAATAATAATAAAAAAGAGAAAAGCACTAAAAAAATTACCATTTTATTACTACAAGATTAGAATATTTTCATATTGTTTAGGCACCTGCATTTAATTTTGATTTATCCATCTCTTTTTTGAAAGGTGGTTGTTTTTTAGTAACTCTTGATTCTATGATGTTTAATATTTAAGCTACACAATAATAGACTCATTAAAAAAATGTGGTACATATGCACCATGGAATACTATGCAGCCATAAAAATAACAAGATCATGTCTTTTGCAGGGACATGGATGGAGCTGGAGGCCATTATCCCTTGCAAACTAACACAGGAACAGAAAACCAAATACTGCCTGTTCTCACTTATAAGTGATAGCTAAATGATAAGAATATATGGAAACATAGAGGAGAACAATACACACTGGGGCCTATCGGAAGGTGGAGGGTGGGAGGAGGGAGAGAATTTAAAAAAAATAATGAATGAACACTAGGCTTAATACCTGGGTGATGAAATAATCTGTACAATAAGCCCCCAAGACATAATTTTACCTACATAACAAACCTGTACACATACCCCTGAACTTAAAATAAAAGTTTAAAACAATTTTTTTAAAAATTAGGTCTCCATTCCTAAGCCTTGTAATGAGTTTTATGAGTTTCTTCCAACAACAACAAAAAAAGTGAATTGTACATCATAGATGCATCAGGTAGCCAGGCCAGGTTCCACTCCCTCATGTGAGACTTCTTTTGGCATACCATCCTGGGTCAGCCAATTGAGTTCCCAGTGAGTCACAATCTTCTAGCTGAGTCAGCATCCTTCCCACAATATCTGTGTGAATGTTTCCTGTTTCTCACTTCTTATTTTTACACAGAGATAGCACCAGAGAGGTCAGATGGTAACTTTGCATGAGAAGATTCCAGAAGGTCATTGTCTGTTCTCTGTTTTCTATGCAAAATGGAGTTTGTTTGAATGGTTGAACCCTGTGAGCCTGCTCCTGCAAACGTAATGTTTCTCAGCATTTGCTTTTCTGCAGTGGTAATTCTAGTGTGGGAATGGAACTGGAATCTGGTTTTCTGTTGTGTTCCCCAGTGTTTCATTATTTGAATCCCTTTCTTTTCAATATCTATACATTCTTATTGGGCAAAGCTGTCAATGTAGATTTAATGTTCATTCACTTGTGTGTACTAACAACACACCGATTTATAGTAAAATTATTTGTGTCAAGCCTATTTTCTGTATTTTCTACCTGATTTTTATTAAAATAAAAATTCATGGATGTTTAATAACTCCTTCAAGACCAAGGATTTCCATTCTTTTATAGAAGACTCCTAGTACGATATTCACCTTTGCTCCCTATTCTCCTGGCAAGCCTCTCATTTTGTTCCTATTAATATTTAGTAAATGTCTTGGGTAGCCATTATTTTTAGTAGAGGAATTAAATTCTTATGTATTAATATTTCTATTTGGAAGCTTATATTTTTTTCCTTCCAAGTTTCTTTGGTTTTTTTCAAAGTGGTTCCAGAATCTCCCCAGTGTTTTCCACAACAATTTGACTTTATTAAACTGGTTATTCAGATTCTGAACACACACAGTACAGGTACGGCTGCATCACCAACTAGCAATTATTATTATAATTTATGACTCTGGAGACAAAGTTCCTTAAGGACCAAGAGCATTTCTTGTGAACCTTCGGATGCCTTCAATTCATCTTTAATGGCAAGTGCAGTGACTGCCATATGATGGACACTCAATATATGTGTGTGGATGGGACCTAATGAAAGAATGAAAAAAAATGATGAATGAATGGTTAATTAAAGAAATAAAAATACAGTCTGGGACTCTGGAATTCTCTATGGAGGGACCCCAGGCATTTTCTCCCCTTAGCACCATGTTATAACCAGTCACACCCTCAGAACGCTGAAAAGCTTAAATATCCAGATAGAATTTCACACAAATTGTTATCAAGTACCTTAAAGTAGGATAAGCTTACTTATAATAAGAATTTTATTAGAAGCCTGAAATCCTGGGTATTTTTCTCCTATGTTTAGTATGACATTGTGCAAGGAATTTAAATATGCGGTACCCACATCATCCTTCTATAAAACTCTTAACTCATAGTTAAGATCTACAAAAAAAAAAAAATTGAGAACTTTTTCTGAGATTGCTTTGTAACTGCTAAATTTGTATAAGAAAATCTTGAAAATGTTCACCAGCAACCATAACCATCATTAAAAATCAGCAAATATCTTTAGATTTCTTTATAAAACATATATTTAGGTATGAAGAACATGAAGAAAAAGATATGATGCTAATCAGTTAATGAAGTATGTATAGAAAACAAGTTTTGTTTAAAAATAAAATATTTATATGATAATATATGCCTAGCCATAGTAAAGTTCTTTGCTGTAACCTAAAGTTTGATAAACATAACTAATCTAGCATGAATGGGATGGGACACCAGGAATGATGACAAACAGTGTCTATTTCCTAGAAATAAAATTTGGGTTCTGGGTGAAAGCACTCTATGAGTCTCAGGTATAATTCCAGGACCAGGAACTAGATGATGTGCAAAGATCCTCTGGATGGTATGGGCTAGTTATTTAGTAGTTCTATGATAATATTGCAGCCTCTCATGCAATGCTCTTGCCCTTAGTATTTATATTCTCTTCTAGAAGAGAAAATGACGTAAAGAACAAGTCCCTAATTGTTTTGGTCAGGGTTCCCTAGAGGGACATAACTAATATGATAGATAAACACATATAAAGGGGAGTGTATTAAGTATTAACTTACATGATCACAAGATCCCACAATAGGCTATCTGCAAGCTTGAGGAGCAAGGAGAGTCAGTCTGAGTCCCAAAACTGAAGAACTTGGAGTCCAATGTTTGAGGGCAAGAAGCATCCAGCATGGGACAAAGATGTAGGCTGGGAGGCTAGGCCAGTCTCACGTTTTCACGTTTTTCTGCCTGCTTTGTATTTACTGGAAGCTGATTAGATGGTGCCCACCAGATTAAGGGTGGGTCGGCCTTCCCCAGCCCACTGACTCCAATGTTAATCTCTTTTGGCAACACCCACACAGACACACCCAAGATTAATACTTTCTATCCCTCAATCCAATCGAGTTGATACTCAGTATTAACCATCATGCTAATCTAATTAAAATCATGTGAACAATGCTTGTAAAACAGTAGATCATAATATAGTGGATTATAACATCAACTGAATGGGACACAACAAGCACTTCTTTTAAAGTGAAATAAAATAGAATAATGAAAAAAATGCATTACATGGAATAACACTAAGTGTTATTTTGTGACAATGTTGTATAAATTGTGTGTTTTTATATAGATCTGTATCAACTGTATGTTTTGTTTTTTGAATGTGGGTTGTGTCCAAAAAACTTTGAAGGTCCCTGAATTAGGAGTCCAGGGCAGATTTGTTTTAAGAACTAAAATAGAGTCACCTCCCAGTAGGGGCTTACAGACACCTCATACAGAAGAGCTCTGGCTAACATCTGGCAGGTGCCCCTCTGGGACGAAGCTTCCAGCGGAAAGATCAGGCAGCAATCTTGGCTGTTCCGCAGCCTCCGCTGGTGATACCCAGCCAAACAGGGTCGGGAGCGTACCTCCAGCAAACGCCAGCAGACCAGCAGCAGAGGGGCCTGACTGTCAGAAGGAAAACTAACAAACGGAAAGGAATAGCACATAGACTCTAAGACCTCATCCAAAGGTCACCAACATCAAAGACCAAAGGTAGATAAATCCACAAAGATGGGAAGAAATCAGCACGAAAGTGCTGAAAATTCCAAAAACCAGAACACCTCTTCCTCTCCAAAGGATCATAACTCCTCGCCAGCAAGGGAACAAAACTGGATGGAGAATGAGTTTGACGAGTTGACAGAAGTAGGCTTCAGAAGGTGGGTAATAATGAACTCCTCCAAGCTAAAGGAACATGTTCTAACCCAATGCAAAGAAGCTAGCAACCTTGAAAAAAGGTTAGATGAATTGCTAACTAGAATAACCAGTGTAGAGAACAACATAAATGACCTGATGGAGCTGAAAAACACAGCATGAGAAGTTCGTGAAGCATACACAAGTTTCAATAGCTGAATCAATCAAGCAGAAGAAAAGATATCAGTGATTGAAGATCAACTTAATAAAATAAATGGAGAAAACAAGATTAGAGAAAAAAGAATAAAAAGGAATGAACAAAGCCTCCAAGAAATATGGGGCTATGTGAAAAGACCAAATCTGTGTTTGATTGGTGTACCTGAAAGTGACGAGGAGAATGGAATCAAGTTGGAAAACACTCTTCAGGATATTATCCAGGAGAACTTCCCCAGTCTAGCAAGGCAGGCCAACATTCAAATTCAGGAAATACAGAGAACGCCACAGAGATATTCCTCGAGAAGAGCAACCACAAGACACATAATCATCAGATGCACCAAGGTTGAAAGGAAGGAAAAAATGTTAAGGGCAGCCAGAGGGAAAGTTCAGGTTACCCACAAAGGGAAGCACATCAGACTAACAGTGGGTCTCTCTGCAGAAACCCTACAAACCATAAGAGAGTGGGGGCCAATATTCAACATTCTTAAAGAAAAGAATTTTCAACCCAGAATTTCATATCCAGCCAAACTAAGCTTCATAAGTGAAACAAATAAAAACCTTTACAGATCAGCAAATGCTGAGAGATTGTGTCATCATCAGACCTGCCTTACAAGAGCTCCTGAAGGAAGCATTAAATATGAAAAGGAAAAACCAGTACCAGCCACTGCAAAAACATACCAAATTGTAAATAACATTGACACTATGAAGAAACTGAATCAACTAATGGGCAAAAAACCAGCTACCATCATAATGACAGGATCAAATTCACGCATAACAATATTAACCTTAAATGTAAATGGGCTAAATGCCCCAATTAAAAGACACAGACTGGAAAATTGGATAAAGAGTCAAGACCCATCAGTGTGCTGTATTCAGGAGACCCATCTTACATGCAAAGACACACACAAGCTCAAAATAAAGGGATAAAGGAAGATCTACCAAGCAAATGGAAAGCAAAATTAAGCAGGAGTTGCAATCCTAGTCTCTGATAAAAAGACTTTAAACCAACAAAGATCAAAAGAGACAAAGAAGGCCATTGCATAATGGTAAAGGGATCAATGCAGTAAGAAGAGCTAACTATCCTAAATATATATGCACCCAATACAGTAGCACCCAGATTCATAAAGCAAGTTCTTAGAGACCTACAAAGAGACTTAGACTCCCACACAATAATAGTGGGAGACTTTAGCCTTCCACTGTCAATATGAGACAGATCAACGAGACAGAAAATTAACAAGGTTATTCAGGACTTGAACTCAGTTTTGGATCAAGCAGACTTAATAGACATCTACAGAACTCTCCACCCCAAATCAAAAGAATATACATTCTTCTCAGCACCTCATTGCATTTATTCTAAAATTAACCATATTATTGGAAGTAAAACACTCCTCAGCAAATGCAAAAGAATGGAAATCATAACAGTCTCTCAGACCACAGTGCAATCAAACTAGAACTCAGGATTAAGAAACTCACTCAAAACCACACAACTACATGGGAACTGAACCTGCTCCTGAATGACTACTGGGTACGTAACGAAATGAAGGCAGAAACAAAGATGTTCTTTGAAACCAATAAGAATGAAGACACAATGTACCAGAATCTCTGGGACACATTTAAAGCACTGTGTAGAGGGAAATTTATAGCACTAAATGCCCACAAGAGACAGCAGGAAAGATCTAAAATTGACACCCTAACATCAAAGTTAAAAGAACTAGAGAAGCAACAGCAAACAAATTCAAAATATAGCAGAAGACAACAAATAACTAAGATCAGAGCAGAACTGAAGGAGACAGAGACATGAAAAACCCTTCAAAAAATCAATGAATCCAGGAGCTGGTTTTTTGAGAAGATCAACAAAATAGACCACTAGCCATACTAATAAATAAAATAAAGAAGAAAAGATAAATGAATCAAATAGATGCAATAAAAAATGATATAGGGGATATCACCACTGATCCCAGAGAAATAAAACTGACAACAGAAAATACTATAAACACCTCTACACAAATAAACTAGAAAATCTAGAAGAAATGGATAAATTCTTGGACACATACACCCTTCCAAGTCTAAACTAGGAAGATGTTGAATCCCTGAATAAACCAATAACAAGTTCTGAAATTGAGGCAGTAATTAATAGCTTACCAACCAAAAAAAGTCCAGGACCAGATGGATTCACAGCCGAATTCTACCAGAGGTACAAAGAGGAGCTGGTATCATTCCTTCTCAAACTATTCCAAACAATAGAAAAAGAGGGACTCCTCCCTAACTCATTTTATGAGACCAGCATCATCCTGATACCAAAACCTGGCAGAGACACAACAAAAAAGGAAAATTTCAGGCCAATATCCCTGATGAACATCAATATGAAAATCCTCAAAAAAATACTGGCAAACCAAATCCAGCAGCACATCAAAAAGCTTATCCACCATGATCAAGTCAGCTTCATCCCTGAGATGCAAGGCTGGTTCAACATATGCAAATCAGTAAATGTAATCCATTGCATAAACAGAACCAATCACAAAAATCACATGATTATCTCAATAGATGCAGAAAAGGCTTTTGACAAAATTCAACACCCCTTCATGCTAAAAACTCCCAATAAACTGTGTATCAGTGGAATGTATCTCAAAATAATAAGAGCTATTTATGACAAACCCACAGCCAATATCATACTGAACAAGCAAAAACTGGAAGAATTCCCTTTGAAAACTGGCACAAGACAAGGATGCTCTCTCTCACCACTCCTATTCAACATAGTACTGGAAGTTCTGGCCAGAGCAATCAGGCAAGAGAAAGAAATAAAGGGTATTCAGATAGGAAGAGAGGAAGTCAAATTATCTCTGTTTGCAGATGACATGATTGTATATTTAGATAACACCATCATCTCAGCCCAAAATCTCCTTAAGCTGATAAGCAACTTCAGCAGAGTCTCAGGATAAAAAATCAATGTGCAAAAATCAGAAGCATTCCTATACAACAATAATAGACAAACAGAGAGCCAAATCATGAGTGAATTCCCATTCACCATTGCTACTAAGAGAATAAAATACCTAGGAATACAACTTACAAGGGATGCGAAGTACCTCTTCAAGGAGAACTACAAACCACTGCTCAAGGAAATAAGAGAGGACACAAACAAACAGAAAAACATTCCATGCTCATGGATAGGAAGAATCAATATTGTGGAAATGGCCACACTGCCCAAACTAATTTATAGATTCAATGTTATCCCCATCAAGATACCACTGACTTTCTTCACAGAATTGGAACAAACTGCTTTAAAGTTTGTATGGAACCAAAAAAGAACACACAAGCCAAGACAATCCTGGGCAAGAAGAACAAAGCTGGAGGCGTCACACTACCTCATTTCAAACTATACTACAAGGCTACAATACCCAAAAACAGCATGGTACTGGTACCAAAACAGATATATAGACCAAGGGAACATTACAGAGGCCTCAGAAATAACACCACACATCTACAACCATATGATCTTTGACAAATCTGACACAAACAAGCAATGGGGAAAAGATTCCCTATTTAATAAATGTTGCAAAACCTGGCTAGCCATGTGCAGAAAACTGAAACTGGACCCCTTTCTTACACCTTATACAAAAATCAACTCAAGATGGATCAAAGACTTAAACATAAGCCTAGGACCATAAAAATCCTAGAAGAAAACCTAGGCAATACCATTCAGGATGTAGGCATGGGCAAAGACTTCATGTCTAAAACACCAAAAGCAATGGCAATAAAATTCAAAATTGACAAATGGGATCTAATTAAACTAAAGAGCTTCTGCACAGCAAAGGAAACTATCAGCAGAGTGAACAGCCAACCTACAGAATGGAAGAAAATTTTTGCAATCTATCCATCTGACGAAGGCCTAATATCCAGAATCTACAAAGAACTTAAATAAATTTACAAGAAAAAACAAACAATCCTATCAAAAAGTGGGCAAAGGACATGAACAGACACTTTTCAAAAGAAGACATTTATGCAGCCAACAAACATATGAAAAGAAGCTCATCATCACTGGTCATTAGAGAAATGCAAACCAAAACTGCAGTGAGATACCATCTCATGCCAGTTAGAATGGCGATCACTAAAAAGTAAGGAAACAGCAGATACTGGAGAGGATGTGAAGAAATAGGAACGCTTTTACACTGTTGGTGGGAGTGTATATTAGTTCAACCATTGTAGAAGACAGTGTGGCAATTCCTCAAGGACCTAAACCAGAAATACCATTACTGGGTATATACCCAAAGGATTATAAATCATTCCACTATAAAGACACATGCACATGTATGTTTACTGTGGCACTATTCACAGTAGCAAAGACTTGGAACCAACCCAAATGTCCATCAGTATTAGACTGGATAAAGAAAATGTGGCACATATACACCATGGAATACTATGCAGCCATAAAAAGGGATGAGTTCATGTCCTTTGTAGGGACATGGATGAAGCTGGAAACCATCATTCTTAGTAAACTGTCACAAGAACAGAAAACCAAATACCGCATGTTCTCACTCATAAGTAGGAGTTGAACAATGAGAACACATGGAGATAGGGAGGGGAACATCACACACTGGGGCCTGTTGGGGGGTGGGGGCCTAGGGGAGGGATAACATTAGGAGAAATACCTAACGTAGATGACGGTTTGATGGGTGCAGCAAACCACCATGGCACGTGTATACCTATGTAACAAAACTGCACGTTCTGCACATGTAACCCAGAACTTAAAGTATAATAAATTTTTTTAACTAAAATACTAAAAATGGAGAACTGTAGCTCAGATTGAGTGACCACGCCATTTCTGAAAATGCTGTGGCTGTCAAAACATGCAAGCTGCAAAGTGAGTTCCCATCAGCTACACAGGAGCGGTACCAGCTGCCCCCACATGCAAGGAGCATGGAGAATTTGGCCCAGTCTTCATGACAACAGCAGCATGTGGCTCTGTTGGGAAACTCCTTCTCACCACTACAGGTTGAATCGCCCAAACCCTACATTCACAATGAGAGAGCAAAGGACAGAGGATAGGAACAAAGCATGTGAAAGATTTAAGAGACCTTGGAGACCACACAACCCACCCCCACATTTTATATCCTAGCCAACAAGAGGGTGTGAAAACCTCCTAGTGTCCAAAGATGGCTTCAGAGCTTCTCTCCCTTTCCCCTACCTCCACTCCTCTACTAGATAATCCTGCCTGACATGTGGGATTTAATGGGATAGAATTATGTTGGCATCCTCAAAATTGTGACATTTCCACTTTACATAAAGCTAATTAGCATGAGGTCTTTCCCAAGCCAAAACTTGCCCGTGATTACTAAATGATGTACAGTTGTTTGCAATACAGATAACGTTCCAATAGGGACCTCACTAAATATCCTCTAAAAACTCCTATTATCCAAGACCTCTGGCTGAACTTCAAACCTCCGTTAAGGAGTGAAAACAATGGTGCTGTACTTGCTAACTGCCAACCCCTTCACCTTCCCTAGTTCCACTCCAAATTTTAGAAATGTTAGGTGAATTATCCTATTTACCTTGTAAAAAAAAAAACTGGACAAAGTGAAGCATCAACCCCTATAAGAGTGTAGTTCATTAAAGCTAATTGTGTTGATTGAATTTAATACTCAATTCTGGTTAATACTCAATTCTGGAGTGCCTATAGAAGGAAAAGCGTGACCATGTATTATTAAGTTCTTAGTAGCTTTTGGCTTTCTTTATAACAGTTGTGTTCCTGTGTTGGTCAGTAGTATCTTCAGGGTTATAAAATAAAAAAAGAAGTCTGAACAATTCATTGGCAAATTTCCCAAACTTAGGTCAGCCTCGAATATATGAGAAATGGTGCTACATGGAGGGCAAATATAAAAAGAAAATCAGTTTGATTTTCCAAAATCTATGCTAGTTTGGCTGGCTGCTGGCTGAACTCCTGCAGCAGAGAAGGACAGTGGTCAGTGTGCAGTTCCAGCAATCAATACCAAAGATGCATTTGTGTGATAGTACTAGACAGTATCTTTAGATTTGTTGGGGAGGTTACTGCTAATCTAAGAGTTTTTCTGCTTGTCACTGATATTTTCCTTAGAGTTTCCTTAGGGCAATATGAACAGATGCCAATTGCAAAATTATGTTTGAAAAAGGAAAGACTGAAAATCCATACTGACCAATATTTACCAAATATTGTGCGACTACAAAAGTACTAAGACTTTCTAAAAAACAGACATACAAGAACTTGTGCAGCTCAATGATGTCATCTGTAATGCTCCAAATATCTGACTCTGCTTTCCTTGTTTGGAATATAATTGGAACTCATTCCTTGAGTCTGTAGAATTTTGATATCTTGTGTAAGTTGTTTAAACTCTCAGTGCCTCCATTTTCTCATCAATGAAATGGAGATTTTTTCCCATAGAAATCTATCTTGGAATATACATGCAGCATAATTGCAAAAATATTTTTGAGGATTAAGTAAAACAGCATATGGAAAGTTTCAAACATAGAAACTAGCTTATAGTAGGACCTTCATACATGGAAGATGTAATTATGTTTTATGTACATATGGCTCCTTCCACAAAACATGAATCTTCACTCTCTGAAATATACTCAGAAGCAAAAAATGAAAGTAAAAATGTTATTCTGCCCATCCCTCAACCTCGCCCCATTCTGTCCATTCTCTACACTACAACTAGCTTTGCAGAGGTTGGGGGCTGGGGTTTGTCTGCCTAATTTCTCTGCTTAAAGACTTCTTCAACATGTTATACATTTGGAATTCTTAACCATCTGGCCTTGGCCTAACTTCCTAGCCTAACTTCCATACTGAGAATCTCATTGTTAGTGTGCTATCTCATGCCTTGTTGGTTTTGAACTCAATTCCTCATTACTTGCAATGTCTGTCCCTGATTCTCCCTCCAGCAAGTGCTCTGTAATAGTACCTCTTTTTCCCACTCTGCAGTTCACCATTATTCTCTCCCTCCACTGTGCTCCAGGAACATGCTGAGGCATTAAAAATACTTGCTTGCATACTTGTCCCCTCCACTAGAGTAAACAGTAGTGTCTTAGAGTAGATACCATGGCTAATATTGTATGGAGAATAAAAGCATATATTCTGGAGCTCTGCCTTTTACTAGCTCAGATGGATGACTTAACCAACCGCTCTAAACCTCATCTAGAAAACAACAATCATAATAGTACCTGCTTCATAGGATTACTGTGAATATTAAACAAAACAATGGGCACTCAGCACTTCACAACATTTTGTGACGCATTCCAATAACTGCTAGCTACTTTGTTTTATTTGTCTGTTTATTCCTTGATGCTTTACAGTACCTAGGGCCTAGAACATAGTAGGTTTGGTTAATATTGAGTAAATTGGCAATTCAAGAAACATTTCAGAGATCTATTTATTTATGCTTAAGAAGTTTTTAAAATATATATATATATTTGTGATTCACTCAAATAATACATTATAGCAGCTTATAGTTCATATAGTTCATGTAAGGAGAGATATGATGAAGTTTGGAAGAAAGATGATCCATTTTAAATGTATTCTCATTGGAATATGTATGTTTTGAGTAGCTATAACTCAAAAAATGCTACTTTTCTGAAAAGTTACTCCTCTGGGAATTGTGAAGTGAATGAATTATTCACATTGACTTCACATAAAAAGGTCTTCCCGTGGGAAAATGTGACTGCAAAAGTGTAAAAAAAAGGAGGGGGGCAATGATCCCATCTGTAGTGGTTAGAGCTACAAGAGACATCCTTAGATTAATTGGGCTTTTTACTGTCACAGTGTCCCTCAGTGTTTTAAAGGTTGTGTGCATTATTGGTTGCTTTAATGGGGAGCTGAATACCTGGTGTAATATGTCTCTGGCCCAGGATGGTGCCTGATAACCCTAATTCATGATTTATATTTGTATTAGTCTGTTCTCATGCTGCTAATAAAGACATACCCAAGACTGGGTAATAAAGAAAAGAGGTTTAATTGACTCACAGTTCTGCAAGGCTGGGGAGGCCTCAGAAAACTTACAGGCATGGCAGAAGGGGAGGCAAACACATCCGTCTTCACATGGTGGCAGGAAGAAGTGTATTTTTAAAAATAAAACCTGACTCTGTAAATTTAAATGAACTATAATTTTACTTCTTTTTAACCCTTTATTCTATCCCTGTGACTCTTATTTCACCATCTATTAAATGTGCATACTTGTTTCTTCACTGGCAGATAGTAGATAGTGTAACCTTTGTTTTATATATGCAGGAGGCAAAGGTTTCATTATGTTAAAGATTTGTGTTCTGTACCTTTCCCCAGTAATATATTTCAGATAGAAAATCTGCATTCTTTATCAGTCTGGCCCTATAACTCCATAGATTTGAATTATCCTCAAAGTCTGGTTATGCATCAAAAGATCTCTTTTTTTTTTCAGAGTATAATGCCTAAGATGAAAAGCTGCGAGGCTGTTCATACACTGTTCTTTGAGGAACAGCTTTTCACAGATGGAAGGGCATAAAAATGATGGGCTGTTATCTTGTAGCCTGAAACTTCACTCTCTGAACATATGAAATATTGATATTAAATCAAGCTGTACCTGGTTTCTCCCATATGAATCCTTCCAAGTTCTTGACCTCTGTTCTGTTGCTGTTTCATTTTAGGCAGAATTCCAGTGGCAGAGTAGGGATTGGCGGGTGGTGGGGAGGGAGGTGCAGGATATGTGGACATCAGTAAAAGACAAATTGAAATAGGACTAGCCTGTCTGTGTATTTTAATAAATTCAGGGCTGGCAGAGAACAGTAAAAATAAGCATCATGACAATATGGTCAGATGGATAAACATTCGCTCAATGTGAACTTTTTGCTCACTTTCAAAGACATCACCAAAAGCTGACATATAGGACTTCAAGTATTCATAAGTAACAAGTTGTGAGAGAAAATAAATTCTATAAAAAATTCTAATTAGACAGAAAATTAGTTAATGTATTCTTGCTGCTGTAAAAAAAAAACAAATTCAAAGCTTATAATGGCTCAAACACTCCTTTCTCACGCATGTGCAGATGAAATGAGTATTCCTGATTAACTGGGGCTCTCCTGTGAACACTGATTCAGAGGTGTGGGTTCCTTCTATCTTGAGGCTCCATGAACTTTAATAGCTTTCAAGGTTACCATGCCCCTCTGCATTAAATCATGTGAAGAAAAGGAGCACAGAGAAACAATAAGGTGAAGTTTTTATGCACCTGGCCCAGAAATGCTACATATCACTTCTACTCACATTCCATTGGATAGAACTCAGTCACCTGGCTACACCCAAGTGCAAGACAGTCTGGGGAACGTCTGGCTTTTTACAGCAAGAAGAAAAGCTCTTGCTGATCATCGAAAAGGCTTTGCCCCAGCTAGCATACTTTCCACAAGAGCATTTTCAGAAATTTTATTCAGAGATAATTTGACAAGATTATAAAATAGGTGAGTTATTGGTATAAAGAGTCCTTCCCATAAAAACAAAACAGAGCAAAACCAAACCAAAAGACAGCTCTGATTTTTAATAGGTCCTGAGGATATAGTCTGTCCTTTCAGTTCTTGTAATTTTCTTACCATTCTGTTTGGAAGCAATACAGTAGAAGGGAGCCATATACACCTGGAAAGACCTTGGATAAATTCCTCAAACAACTGATCTTTACTTTCCTCATCTATACAATGACATAAGAGTGGTGTCTGGATCCTCCACTGTTATTATGTTCAAATGCAATGGTTTCTGATGCTAAATTAAATACAGCCTAAAGCTGCCTCCTCACATATTTTAAGTTCAGCCTAAAGGTTTCTCCCTACCTTAACCTAACGGGATGTATAAACTGTAACCTAACTGGATGTGTAAACAGACTGTAACCTACACTTGCAACAAACAGGCAAGTAACAATTTGCTAATTGTTCTTTGCTCAATTAAACCCTGTT
This sequence comes from Homo sapiens, assembly GCF_000001405.40. Classification (NCBI taxonomy): domain Eukaryota; kingdom Metazoa; phylum Chordata; class Mammalia; order Primates; family Hominidae; genus Homo; species Homo sapiens. The sequence continues at coordinate 84,812,423 of NC_000006.12, read as the reverse complement.
AAATTCAATTTGTTTGAAGTTTTTCTTTTAACACTGGTAAAAGACCCCATATCCAACATAGTATTTTGTCTATTGTAAAGACTCAATAATTATTAACTATCATCCTTAAACTTTAGGACATTGCTCATTAGAATTTCTCTCATTGCTGGCATCTGAAGTATAATATATTCCTTCATTAGGCTTCCAATTTCCAACTCTACCACAAGATTTTGAATCTTATAGCTTTTCTACCAATCACTGGGGAGCTCTATTTTTAGGGTGAGGTGGTCCTAATAAAACTGAGACTGTGCATGGATTCAAGTCTGCTTTCCCCTCTCCCCCTACACCCTGGCCTTGGACATTCTCTTTCATTTCTGTAAGGGGACAGAACTCAGGACATATGGATTAGTACAAACCTAACAATGTTACCAAGCAAATAAATCAAAGCAAATATCCTGTGATCCTATCATGCATGTAAACTTATGCCAAGGGCTTGTCAAATACCTTTTCATTTAAACCTTACAATAACTCTGAGGCTGATATATAACCCCCATTTTATGTTTAAGGAAATTGAACTTCAGGGAATCTAAGTAATATTCCAGTTTCACATAGATAAGAAAGCAGAGACACAATCAAACCCAAATCCATCAGCCTTCAAAGCTGAAACCATCACACTCTAGGAGATCTGCCTCTCATTGGCATAAGAAAGCAGAGACAGCAATCAAACCTAAATCTGTCAGCCTTCAAAGTCCAAACCATCATACTCTAGGAGATCTACCTCTCAATTGGCTACACTGAGTCTAGTTCAAACCTTGGTACTTAGTACCTGGTAGAACAGCTACAGAGTCACAGAGACACAGAAGGGAACCAAGAGGAAGGAACTGAAATTTCTGGAGTATTAGTCATAAAAGCTTTCTATATTGGTAACAGGTAACTACTGTTCTTTCCAGTGACTCCTAGAAAGGTAACAGTTATTCCAGGTTTTTTAAGGACACTCATCCAATAGCAGACTACTTACACCCATCCTGGGGATAAATTGTACACCCTTTGGAGGTTAATACTTTCCAGACCTAAGGTGTAATTTAGATGAAGAATTCACTAATTGGCTCTCAGGGGGCCCATCCACCAACAGGAAACTATTTTATTTTCTAAACTAAATTATACAAGTTTTATATCTAGCTTTAAAACTTTGTATTTTAAAATCAATCTTGTACATATTCTTTGAAGTATGTTAGCAAAATAAGACTGACGTCTTTAGGCTGAAATCCACTCAAAGTTTACCATCTATCTCCCTTATATTGGTTCTCATCCAGAAGCTTCTCTCACTCTTCCATGCTCTGTTGCATTGGTTTGTCCATCTTAAAAATCAGTTGGAAAATCAGAAAATGTCACTTACATGAAGCAATAATCAATATTTTTTTCAACATACATGGTTTTTGTGACTCAAGAATTAGGATTAATTTTCTTGAAGAAAAATAATTATGTGATGAATTAAATACAGATCTTCAGCTTTCCATTAGTTTGTGAGCATTTTGTTGAGCATGAATTAAATGAAGACATCTTAACACATTGAGCATAAAAAGAAAAAAAGGACATGTTTTGCTTCCTCACAGAGGCAAAGGTGGAGAAGTTATACATACACACAATATGATCTAGAAATATTTACTAAGGAGTAAATAACAAATGATAAATCCTCTTATAAGAAGCAATAAGTCAACAAATGATAAACTCTTTCATAGGATGCCACCTTAAAGTATTGCTCTTGGGTTAGATTATGAATCTCTGGAAATAAATAATTTAACTGAAATTCAAATTCCCTTAATGTGCTATTAAACAAAATAAAGAACAATAACCTGCTTTAATATTTAGGATTCATAAGAATCAGTAAATAAACAGGAAATATAAGAATTAATTCCATAAATACACGTTAAGAAAGAGGAAACCCCATTAATGGGAATTATTCTTTTTCTGTGTATTGACATTTAAAATTGTTTTTAAAAATCTCTTTAATTTAGCAGAAATGGGTAAAATTTTGTTGTATAATTTCAGTTTCTGTATGCTTATTGTTCTTAAGTGAGAAAAGAAAGACCTAACTCTTGATTCCACTGCTCTCATGTGAGTCTTCAGAAAAAAAAGGGGGGGTGTTTTTAAGAAATGACTCCCAAAGAAAGACCAAGGGAAGAATATAATATGGATCCTAGAAAAGCAGAACCATAAGGAAAATATTTTAGCCAGAAACTTCATGCTGTAATATTATAGTGTTGATAGGTTGATTTCATTAGCCAATGTTGATAAGCACTCCAATTATAGATTTAAATCAAAATAGAAAATATAGATTACTCTTCATTTAGGAAAAAATATTCCACCAAATGGATGAGAGAAAAAACCTAGGCTTAAGTTATACAGCAGTCAGGATATGCATAAAAAAGAAAATGGAGATCAAGTAGTTGTGAAGCAGATGTACTCTTTTTCTGAACTCTTTCAAAATACAATGGCATTAAATTATTGACACAAAGTCAGTTTGTCTTGATTCCAGTGGTCTTGATTCTGCAATTAATAATTTGCACTCTAAATTTAAAATGATCAGAAGCAGTGTGTTGAAGATGACAGACTTCTGGACCTGGAGTCCACAGGCATCATCCACCACTTCCCTGCTGTGTCTCTTATCCCTGTGTGCTGTACCCCAACGTCGTGTATGCTGGAGTGTTCTCCATCCTGCCTGCTGCCTCTTGCTGTCCATCATTCTGCTCTCAGGGTTCTGACAGGCTAACGACCCAGAGCTGCTGGCTGACTGCGGTAGGGTGAGTTTGGAAGATGGGTGGTCACACAGAGAGCTCTAGAGGAAAAAGCATGCTAGATGAGGTCTTTAAAAGTCTTTAGAAAAGACAGCTCATGCATTTCTAGAGTCATAAATTGTCACACTAAGCCAATGATCTCATTTTAGTGATATTTGTTATTGAAAGAAATATGGGTAACAACTTGTCTTAAAATCATTTCATGATGTCGTAGTAAACAATATCAAATCAGCCCAGGGCTCTGGCATTTTACACTGCTTTTAAACATTAGCAAACAAACAAAAAAGAGACCTCTTCATCCTCCTTGAGCAAAAAAGAGGTGGAAATGCAAAATCAAATCATCATATCTGTTTTAAAAAACTTATTTCCCCATTTTTGCCATGAAGTAGTACACTGTTTGCAAGGTTATTTTTATTTTGTATGTATGCTGTAGTGCTCAACATTTTAATTGCCACTTCCTCAATAAAATTATTGGAAATCTTCCATCTTGCCATTAGCACTTGCAAAATAACTGTTAACAATATGTTATCCAGACACAGAAACTTCATAATTAATGTTGGAATAGCCTTCAAAGTCTAGTGACTAAAATATATCCTATAAAAATTACTGGACTTCATTCAATGCTGCTCTGCTGTTTTAAAGTTCAATAAATGTGTTGAGGGGGAGATATTTGGCAAACTAAGTTAGGCAGTCTGGCAGTGAGACCCGAGATGCTGGAGAGTTTGGTTTCTCTTGCGCGGTAAATGTATGAAAGGCCGCCAGAGTTTCAGTGCAACCCGTGAAAGGCTGAAGGAGAGCTGACCAAATGCAAGTCCCATTGGGATTCTGAACAATCATTCGGGGCTATATTCCCACCTTGTCAGTTGATGAGGCTCTTGGGGCAGTTTCCATTTAAGCAATAAAACACAACAGGCCATGTATATATCTGGGTGATTATAGCATAACTCAGATTGTGTTATAAGTCATGAGGCTGAAGGCCAAGTGTCTTAACTTCATGAGAAGTACAATATTGGCCCTGAAACACATTGCCTGAAGTGTCTTATTGCTGTCAAGAAATGGAATTTCTACAGTACATTAAGAAAAGGAAAACACTTAGCACAGTGGATTTAAAATAAGCATGGCTATGACATCACTGACAGCTAATCAAAACTCTAATTGCAACCAGAGTTCTGAGGCTATTGTATAAAAGGTCTTAACAGACACAGGCACAAATACAGGGACGAATAATGTTAATGCCCTATGCCATGAGAAGAACTTCAGTAGCACAGGACACTGAAACAAGAATGGGGTGGGCTAGCACAGGACACTGAAACAAGAATGGGGTGGGCTGGCAGGCCAATCTCTTTAGCATTGAGCTGATAATTTTGCAGTTAACTCACCTTGAGCAATTAAACCAAGAAAAAGGAGTGCAAACACTCCTTGAATATTCTTTCTGCTTCAGTTGCAATCTTCATGTTCATAGAGTTAAATATTTCTTTAAATTATTAACAGATTAAACATAATAAATAGAATATATATATCTGGAATTCAGATGCCATAGAAGAGATGAAAGGTTATAATGAACTGAGAAGAATTTGAGGGTCACATGTTGCTCATGATCCATGCAAGGAATTTCTAGTGATATTAAGTTAAAGTTGTCCAAAAGGATTGAAGTCAGTATGTGGTCATAAGGACGCAGTTCAGATTTTACATCTGAATCTGCCTAACACCACAAAGTGGAACGTACATTTCAAGGTCCAGTTAACAGCCTCAATAAATTTAGCCATGCCAAAGCACATACTGAGAAGGTATGTTAAGAAGGTGCCATGGGGAGGCACATAACATCATAAATGAAAGCAAAAAAAGGCTGGTCTCAGGAGTCAGAGGATTTGGGTCTAATGATTTTCTGGGTCACCATGGATAAATACTTAATTTTTGTGGGCTTTAGTTTCCCTCAGGCTGGCTCCCCTGGATTCTGGTTACTGGCATTGCTTCCTCAGACCCAAAATGAAGCTACTCTGTGTCATTTCCTAAAAGTTCACTGACAATGCCATAAAGAGGGAAAATATAACTGGGAAATGCTGCCCTTGACAAATCATGGGATAATATGTGTATATTTGTAGGTGAAAGTCAGATAAGAACTTTACCTTCAGTTTATAGCCTTATAAATAAGCAATTACTAATGTACCCTTACTAATAGCATCAGAGCAAGAAATTCTGCATGTTCTTGTGGGAGAAAACAAGTAGGAATTTGTCCCATCAAAGAGTCCCCTCAAATTCTGGAGCAAAGGCCCCACAAGAATATGTAGCTCCCTTCTCAATATATTGAACATTTTTACCTACATTATATTCATCAGCTATGGTTATACTCATTTATAGGTAATAACTGTACACTACCTGTGATAAAATATTTCTCATAGTTTTGTGTATTTATGTATTTATAATCATCTTTATTTACATTAGCTTGGGTTCCATTGGAACAATAAAGATGTTAAATGAGTAACCAAATGACTAAAATTGGAGCTAAGTACAATTTTAATTCCTTAAAAATGTTGTGCTTTTACATCTATACTCTTACGAAATAGAACAATTGTTTGATTATGCCAAAATTTTATATCTCAGTATTTCAAAATTTAGCTTTGTTTAGACAACCCATGAAAGATTGTTATGAGTCCTGTTAGTCAAATGAATTAGGGGTCAAAGCCCCTAATGAATGTGGGGCCTAAAACCTAGATGACAGGTTGATAGGTGCAGCAAACTACCATGGCACATGTATACCCATGTAACAAAACTTCATGTCATATACACCTATCCCAGTACCTAAAGTAAAATAAAACAATTAATAAAAAGAGTCCTGTTGCTTTGAATGGCATCTGAAGTATAAGGCACATGTTAGTCTAATTTGAAATAAGCCACATTTCCAAATTTAGTTTTAAATAATGATCCTGTAATGGGTATTTAATAAATGAGATTCCTTATTATTATAACCTTCTACACATGTAATGATAGACAAAGACAAAAACTGTAATAATTAAGACAAACAATTAGATTCTAATACATATTCAACTAATGACTTAGGATGTAAAATATTGTCATAATCTCTAAATTAGTCACTGAATAAGTTGAATAAGAATATTCCACTAACACTACCATTAAGAGAGTGTTATAGCTCATGAAAAATGAAGTATTATACAGAGATAGAAGCACTAGGGTCTAACAACCAGCTAATAATGCATCAGTCAGAGCCACTAAGAAGTTATGTATATTCTTTTGTTGTATACCAATGCAATAAGTATGTACAAAGCTGCTTTCAAAGGAGGCACGTCTAATACTTCTAGTAACAGTGTAACATAGTTTCACCTTTGAAATGATCTGCCTAGGAACATACATGGGCTGCCACAATGTGACCAGTTCCTAATTATTTGAACTAATGAATATCCTGGATAAGTTAAGTCAACAAATAAACCCAGATCTCTTATTTTAGACATTGTTTACAACATACTTGTTAGAAGCGTTGCTGGGGTGTTGATGATATTTGGTTATAAGACCCAAAATAGATATATTCTACTCCAACAATCATCCCTCTGAAGAGGTACTTGGTGGGCCACCACAAACACAGACACACACACACACACACACACACACACACTTGCACGCACACACACACACAATAGGCACAAGGGAAGCAAAGCACAAAGTGTTGGAGGGCTGGGAATCGGGGGGTGTTTGTTTTTTACTGGCTTAGCCATGGCCAATCACCTCCAGTACCAAGTGAAGGTAAAACAAGTTTGACTCTTTATTCAACATAATCTAAATAAATAAATGGAGCCTTTTCTTTATCCCCAAGCCCTTACTGACATTAGGCTGTTATCATCTTCTGGCCAGACATATGGTACAGAAATCAAAGCAATGATTAACAAATGCAGGTATGCTTTGGGAGAGAACAAGACAGCATTTGGCGTTCTTGCTGCACTAGCAGCAAGATGCAGGGTCACGGTAAAGAGTTCATAAATGCATGGTCATGAACAAAGTGACCCTGACCACCAATCAGTCATCCCAGACTATGAACAATCAGCTTAGCAGCCCTTCCTTGATTGGGGACGAGCGTGGAAGAGGCTGAGCAGAGAGGGATTGAAAAGGTAGGAGGATTCTCTCTCTGCTTCAGTTTTCTCTTTGACCAACAATCTATCAGTTCTATATGTTTAATGAGATAGGCTGGGAAATGGAAAATAATTGTCAGATTTTTTTTAATGACATATTAGTTGGGGTCAAAAGAAAGTCTGCTTGCTAACGGTGATCTCACAATGAGTAACTTTAGGAAAGAAAACATTAGGAAGGTGGAAGTTGTGGGGGAGGCAATAGAGATCTGGGAATTACCTGGAGTGGCATTTCATGGCAGTCTATGGACTATAAAATGCTACAGGGATAAGCTTGCTGATGGCTCATAATTCACTGAAATCCCTTTCCCCCACCAACCCATATATACCATGTAGCATAGGGATAATGAGAATATGAGTCCACCCCACATGAAGGAGCAGGTGGACCATCTGTTCCACAAACAGAACCTGTCTACTGTGTAATCATTAAAATGATGTAACTTACATCTTCCTCCTCTGAATGAGCGAAATAACTTTTTTCTAAAGAAAGAAAATAAGAAAGGCTAAAAAGATGGGAATCAAATACCAAAGAAGAAAGGGAAAGCAAGAGCCTAAAAGAAACCACAAAGAAATGAGTCAGACCTCAGTAGTTAGGGTGATTGGTACTGTGATAAATCGAATAGTTTCCCCTGAAGAATTCATGTCCACCCAGAACCTGTGCATGTGATAATATTTGGAAATACTGTCTTTGCAGAGGTAATCAAGTTATGACGCAGTCATACAGGATTAGAGTGAGCCCTATATTCAGTATGACTGGTATCCTTACAAGAATAAGGAAATTTGAACACAGACATAGAGGTAAGATGGAAATGTGAAGATGGAGGCAGAAATTGAATTATGCTGACATAAGCCAAGGAAAGCCAAAGACTTCTGGCAACTACCACTACCTAGAGGGATGCAGAAATCGATCTCCCCCTGGGGTTTTCAGGGAGAGCATGGCCTTGCTGATACCTTGATTTTGGACTGCTAGCCTTAAAAACTGTGAGAGAATAAATTTCTGTTGTTTTAAACTACCCAGCTTGTGGTAATTCATTATGGCCCTAGGACACTAACATAGACACTAATGGTGCATTACTAGAACTTGTATGTTTATTACATTGCTTTTTCTTTACATGACAATTTATTCCATTCACGCATGTACACACACACACACACACACACACACACAAACACAATTAGCCCTTTCCATCGGAAAGTAATACTATTTATCCACTCCCAGAAAAGCATGCCCTTGGAGTTTTTTTCCCATTAGTGGGAATTTATTGGTACCATATTATCCCTCCACTTTCTCTTCATTTCTCTTGTAATCATCATCATGCATTTGCAACACAGACTATAAGGATATGAGTACAATTTTTAATTATGGAGCAGAATGTTTCTCTATGCTATCAGGCTTACATGAAGATAAGATCTACAATCCAGTCTCATTAGGACTATTATCTCCTGAATGACCGAATTAACTGATCCAAGCCACAGTGAGGTCATGAAAATGATTACAAAGATTACATAGACAAATTGCATTATTTATCTTCAGTATTACTTTTCTTTCACTATAATATATTTTGTATTCAAGAACTTGGATAAAATAGCCTTGCTTCTCTAAGTTGCAGTAATGCCTTTTTATGTGCTTAAAGAATTTTTTCCTCTACCTCATGGTACTGATTAAGAATTTCTTCTCTAAATTAGCTTAATTTGCATCAAGGGATACATAAAAATGAATGGCACTAACCATTATCTTATAAATGTATTCAGAAATAATGATGATCAGAACTATCCTGCTGTGAGTTTTATCAATCACAGGAATATTGGCAAGGGTAGATTTATCATACAATGGGCCAACGGGTACCCAACTTTTGGTTGCACTTAGATGTTGCCAAGTATCCTGACTTGAGCTGAGGTTTTGGTCAAAAGCCCAGCTCTCAGCATTTTTATCTCAGTCCCTATGTCTGGGTCCTAAATACAAATGATCATCATGATAACAGTAATGAGAATGACAGCTAACATTCATTGAACACTTGCTATGTCTTAGGAACTGTGCTAAGAATTTTACCTATATTAACTCACTTAACCATCACAAAACTTCTATGATGTAAGTGCTATACTAGGAAATAGATTTAGAGATGAAAGATAATTGTACCTGATGGGATCCATCCCAGCAGGGAACAGAAGGAAACTTCAAAAGAGGTAAACAAAGATAATTAAATGAAGGGCTATTTACAAAATTGTGGGAATGGTTAAGGGAAACCAGCAAGCAATGGTGAAGGGATAGCACCATTAGAAAGTCCTTATTGTCCCAATCTGGAACATTGCAAGACCAGTCAACAGCAGCTGAAGCCTTTGAGACAAGTGCACAGTGATTGACAAACTGTGGCCTGGAAGGCAGGCATCTGGGAGAATAACTACCCTCCCCTCCCGCTCTTTTTCCTCTCTTGGATCTTCTGAATCATCTCCCATTAGTTGAACCCAACTGTAAACCAGAGGTAAAGAGAACTTGGCAATGCAGTCCCTAGAGGCCAGCCTCCAGGCTGCAGAGCAGGGTGGAGAAGACTGGAGAATAGATTTGGAGAAACAGATGAAGCCTAGTACAGTAATTTACCCAGGACATACAAAAGCATTTTGGTGGGTGAAAGCAAATGCAAATCTGGGCAGGGCTTACATTTTTAACCACTACACTGTTTATGAGAAGGAAGAAAATTCTGATAAAGAACCCAAGAGGTATTGCAAAGAATGATGTTTCTCTCTCCTACCCTTGTAGAAATCCACCACAGCCTTCCTGCTCCAGCTGAACTAATCTTTGCAGAGAGCTCCTCTGATGCAGACAAAGAGGGTTTCTGCAGAAATGAGGGAACACACAGCCATACCCCACTAGAATGTAAGCTCCCTTATTATGGAGATTTTAATAAGCTTGTTCACTGCTACCTCCCTTAGAATTCAGTTGCTGAGATAAAAGAACTGTCTTTTAGACCAAAAGATAATGAGCTATCCATCTTCAAAATGAAACCACCAAGAAACAGAATTTAACAAATGAAATATTCTGACTCCCTGCTTATCTTTCTTGTTTCCAGTCCCTCATTTCTTTGATCCTTATAGTTGTGAAATGGTTCTAGTCTTTAATTAACTGTTGAATATTTTTACAGGGAAAATCTATTGAGTGTGATGTGTTATGTTTTGTGCTAAGAGCTTTATGTACATTATCTTACTTGGTCCTTACCACAGATCTTTCTGAGGTAAACACTATTATTAACTCAATCTTATTGTTAAGTACACTAAGATTCAGACCCAGGTATATCTGACTCCAAATGTTAAATAAACTACTTACCTCATACTGCCATCTGATTCTGATTCTTAATATCACTGTTAAAAAGCAACAACTGAGCCGGTCATGAAGGTTCATACCTGCAATCCCAGCACTTTGGGAGGCCAAGGCAGGTGGATTGCTTGGACCCAGGAGTTCTCAACCAGCCTGGACAACATGGAGAAACCTCACCTCTGCAAAAAATGCAAAAATTAGCCAGGTGTGGTGGCGCATACCTGTAGTCCCAGCCATTCAGAGGACTGAGGTGGGAGGATCCTTTGAGCCCAGGAGGTGGAGACTGCCGTGAGCCACGATTGTGCCACTGCACTCCAGCCTGGGTGACAGAGCAAGACCTTGTCTCAAAAAATAAAATAAAATAAATACATAAATAAGTTAATGGAGAGTTATGTTCATGGACTAGAACTTCAATATTACGAAATATATTGTTCTATAATATGTCTCTCATTGTTCTATAAAGTTATATTGAAATATATTTTTTAAATTCCTTCATAAATAGAGAGATATGCCATGATTATATATTGAAAACTCAACATAGAAAGGTTCTAATTACCTCCAAATTCAGCCATAAAATGATAAAACTACATGAAAAATATTTTGGAAAATATAAATACAAAGAAAATATACAAAAAAAAAATAGAGGTGGCTAAGTTGTTTTGATGCCCTATAGGTGGATGATGAGTAACTGTGAGTCATTAACAGACAGTTAAAACCTAACCGTGAGAATCAGGACAACACTTTGGTAGCTTAAAAAGATGCCCTTATCTCTGAAGTGGAAGAGTAGACACAGCTGAGCAACACCCTAGAGCTTCGACAGTTGAGTCTCAGAGCTCCAGAGACACTTCAACTTTCACCCAAGGCAAGTCTGTTATGCTAAGAACCCTGGTTGGGACACCCTAAACTACTGGATGGGACACCTGGATGGATTACTCTGAAAACGGTTCTGCAGTGTTTCCTGAGACTATTGGAATTGTGTGTCATCTCATTTTGGGTAACAGTACGAGAGAACTTCTTCACCTACAAAAAGGATAGGTCTCTCTTGTTAGAAAGAAGTATACAAGAGTGCACATGGAAGCTGAACAGTTTCCCTTGATGACTTTGCAGCCCTTCCAGTGACCACCTCACTGCAGTCTTCCTGTTGTCAACACTGGCGCACCCCAGAACTTGCACTGGCAATGGCGCCCTAAACCCTTCTCCATGCTCACCTACCAGCCCCAGTTCACCTATACCCCAAAAGGTTGTTTTCTGCCACCTGACAAAAGCAGAACAACTTTGGCCCAAAAAAAACAGCAAACATCTCAGCCATCCAGTTGCAACCATACCTACTCCACTGAGGTCTGAACCCTGGCCTTGGGAGGACACCTTCTTTCCAAGATGTTCCTTCCTTGGATATGTTTCCTCAGTCCTAGGAATCACTTTAGGGTCATTTTTATATCTTTATAGTTATTCCTGTACCATAGTTTAATAATTCTTTACTTTTAAAACCCTTTGTTCGTATTACATTGTAGTTTCTGGTTTGTAATTAGACCCAGATTGGTAAAAGGTACTATATCAAGGGATCCAGAATGTAAGATTAAATAATCAAAAATTTACTGGCTTAAGGACACTTTCTTGGTGAATTATATTTAGTACTCTGGCAAAGACTCCAGGTAATACAACAAACTCACTGCTAGAGTAGCTCTTTGATGCTCGAAGAAAGTTACGGCAAATGCTGAGAAAAGTGGAAATTCCTGAGTTGCCTTGGCTTATAGTAGAGGCTGAGGGAAGAGTGTGTGCTGGAATGGATATATTGTTAAGACTAGATGATTATGTTCTACATAAAGCCTGGAGAGCATACCATTCACTAAGGCCATTAAAAATGCATGGGTGGGAGTAGTATGAGCATCACTGAGAAGTACGTGCTACCTCTCCTCAGAAGGCTAGGGCTGACTTTAGGGAAGGCAGTCATCATTAATATTCATGATGATGATGGGACCTGAAAGTAATAGAGGCTAGGTGGGTGTATTTAACCAACAGAAACCAGGAAGGTGCAATTGCCATAATCCCTTGCAAGGTTGTTGAGGTAGCTAAGAGTCTTGTCCCACAGGGAATTGTGAAGATGGTTATTAGGACATGGCATCTTCAAGTTATACAACAGACGAGTAGCCAGAAAGTGTGCTGTATAACCTCTACAACAAGTAAAAAGGGAAGAATGGAAGAACAAGAAGCTGAGGACAGTCACCCTAATTAAAAGTTACAATCTCTTGCTCAGTTTCTGGAGTTGGGCCAATTTGTAGATCCAAAATGCCTTGACTTCAAGGGGTCCCTAGAAGAAGAACACTGCAACACTGCAATAAACATATACCGTAATGATTTCCGCAGTCCTTCCCCAAAGAGATATATGTCCATATACTTGGGTGACTGGATACACTGGGAAAAGAGGAATACCCAGACATATCAAGACACAAGGTCTGAGTTGACACTGGTTCCCAGAGACCCAAAGCATCATCATAGACCCTTTTAAAGAGGGAACTTTCAGATGCCTGATAATAAATGGAGTTCTGCTTAAAATCTAGCTTATAAGGCACATGGACCAAGTGGTCATTTCCTCAGTTCCCCATTTTATAACTGGAATTGACATACTAGGCAGATGGCGTTACCCTACATTGAGTCCTCAGCCTATGGAGTAAGAGCTATCATAGTGGAGAAAACTGAATGGAAACCTCTGAAACTGTTCTTGTCCCACAGACCAAGACAGTCAATCAAAAACAATTGCGCAAACCGGAAGGGAAGGCAGAGATTAGTGTCTCCATTAAAAAGATGCCAGGGTAGTGCTCCTGATTACATTTCTGCTTAATTTGGCAGTCTTCTCCCTGCAGAAAGCAGGTGCCTCTTTCCAGCCTTAAGCTTCTTTATCCAGAAACAGACCAGAGAGTGATTCTGTTGTCATGATTATTACACATGGAAATTTCATCACTTGAACTCTGATTTATTACTCAAATTATGAATACTTGCAAATCACACCAAATTAGGACTCTTTCATTTTTTGTAGAGTTTTTTGGTTTTGTTTTGTTTTTCTTTTCTTTTCTTTTTTTTAAAGAGCTCGAGAAAGAGAACAACCTGGGTATGCTTTTGGACAGGGAAGATTACATTCTGGACACATTATATTCATCTTGACTGCACTCCATCAACAAGAAAATTCATGACATTCTCAAAAGTGGCACATTGCTGTTTGGTGCTTTGCTTCTCCAAGTTCCTCTACGTGGATTGTTTTTTTCCCTATATTTTGCCAGATACACTGCAGCTTCTATTTTCAGACCCAACACAAGGGCTACCTTGACCAGGACACTTCCCTGAAACTTCATCTACACACCACACGAGTTTAGTTGTCCTTTCTTGGTGCTCCAGCAATATCCTCTGCAATTTAAAAACTGCCAATAATATTGCACTTATTTTATAACCACATTTTAATATATCTGTCTCCTTCTTCAACTGAGAGCTCCTTGAGGGCAAAAACTGTGTTGCATTCATCTTCGAGCCTCAGTGGTTTAGGATAGTGCCTGACACATGCCTGGTAGTCCATAAATACTTGCTAAGTAAAGGAATAAATAATAAAATAAATTTAAATGTTCTAGTGTGATGCTTGGATTGTATACCAGATCCTTAGAATGCAGCACTTTATGAGCAATTTCCTCCAGAACACATTAGACTGTTTCATGAATGTGTATGTAGGCAATTTTCCAGCTCATTCTTTTGAACTGGAACAACATCCTACTCCAGACCACCCAGCGAGGACCAGTCTCTTTGCTTACCACTCCACACCCAGACTGAAACATTGGCCTTCAGTTGATTCCAGGTGGACTTCTTGGCACACACCATCTCCACAGATGTGTCCACAGAAGGTCAGAAGAGTTATCAACAGCAGAATTATTGATTAAATTGTGGGACATAGTGTGTTTCCTGAGGGCCTGGGATACTGCTAGAGCCTCACACCTGCTTCATCTGTTAAGGGTCCCTTTAGGTGATGCCACTTTTTACTTCCAGCTTAAAGCATCATTTTACCAGGCTCCACAAAACTATGTCTGTCATGTGCCCAGTGAGAAAGTTCTGTCATGGCAGTTAGGTCAGTTGCATATCTTAGGTTAGATCTTATATTAATTCTCAAGCCATACAAGCCTGATTTCACCACATAGAAGAACCTGCTGCAATCAAAGCTACAACCAAGATCTGCATGCACCACATACAGGAAAGAATTACAGCACAATTAACATAAATATTTAACTGTTTAAACATCTGTGCACAGCAGCTAATAATATGTTGGTTACTCTTTTATACCTGTTTCCCCTGCCTGATTTGTTTTTCCCAGGTTCAAAGTATAAAAATATGAAACATCAATGAATTCAGATATATGTCTCTACCAGAGCAGAAAGGATCCAACTATATGTTAGGATCAAACAACTTCACATAGTTAGATCTTTTATCATCGTTCAGGGACATCAGGGAAGGAAGTGGGATTATCAGCTTTTGAAATACACTAACCTAGATTCTTATCTAGGCTCCACCACTTACCAAATATACAACTTTGGACAAATTATTTCATCTCAGTTTTATTCATTCAGCTGCTTCCATCTTATGCTGCTCCTCATTATGAGATATGATCTTTGGTCTTGAATATATGGTTCTAAATGGGAAAAAAGACAGAAAAACAAGTAAAATACAATTTAAACACTTTCCAGTTACTCAGGAAAGTATTGGCTCAGGTTTCTAGGAAAACAGAACAGGCATTCAAGTTAAAAACAATATATACATGCCTCTCCCAGAGGCTCATATAGAATATATACTATGGAATAACAATATCATGAACACTTAGGATCAGAGCTACCCACTTAGTCATCATTCTGACCCCAAATGAGTGTTTATATCACTTGGCTATGTAATGTGCTTTTTAATGTGCAAATAAAGCCCATCAAGCAAATTCCAAATGTCTGTGCCATAATACTCTGCCCTCCGGACGTCTCAGCATAATTGATCCCAAATTGAATCTGCCTACAAGTTAAGATTCAGTAGCTAGTAAATCTACTACTTACTAGCTACTTGACCTCAGCTTCTCATCTGTAGAATTGTTTATAATACATATCTCATGGGGTCAGTGTGAGGATCAAATGTGGTAGCATATTCATTTTAAAACATGCCATCAATAATTGTCAAGCTCCTAATTGTGTCTTCAGCATTATGGATAGAGTGATAAATGAGAAAGAATAACCACTCATGAGGAGTCTTAAATCAACATTCATAGCACAGTGCCTGCCACAATATTCTGCTCTACAAATAGTAGTTTGTAGGATTCAAAATCTGACAGCCAGAAGGACATTCAACTGTTTATAGTCACAAGAAAGATACATACCCTTGCCATATCCTGATCACATGTCTACAACAAGGTTCTGTGCCTGTGGTCCCCATATCTATATTACTCAATTTTGTGATCATGGGCACACTCAAAGATTATTGCAAAACAATTTAGTTCCAGAAGATTTCAAGGATGATTTATACCAACTGCCCAAGGCTGGGCAATTTACAAAAGAAAGAGGTTTAATGGACATACAGTTCCACGTGACTGAGAGGGCCTCACAATCATGGCAGAAGGCAAGGAGGAGCAAGTCACATCTTACATGGATGGCAGCAGGCAAAGAGAGTGAGAAAGAGCTTGTGCAGGGAAGCTCTCATTTTTAAAACCATCAGATCTCTTGAGATTTATTCACTATCATGAGAACAGCACAGGAAAGACTTCCCCCCATAATTCAATTACCTCCCACTGGGTCCCTACCACAACATATGGGAATTCAAGATGAGATTTGGGCGGGGACACAGCCAAACCATATCACCAACCCACACTTAAAAAGCTCCCACTGATAAATACTTTTGCTGCTATGTATGTAACATTTATTTAAACTTAATAAAAGGAATAGTATTTATTTCCAAAAATATCCCCTCAAGTGGTATGATATCACTTATTACCTATGCATAGTTTTATGTATATCAACCTAAACTGCATGTTATATAATTTCTTCTAGCTGAGCTTCTGTTTTTCTCATTCTTCCATAGAGCAAGTTATCAGATCTAATTTTGAAATATGAAAGCTATTATTCAAAATGTACCAATATTTCCAGGTGCACTTTATGGAAGTGCAGAACTATTTCTCAGAAGCATAAAAGAGTCATTGAAAAATGCTTTAAAGTGCCAACAAGTTAAAAGTCTGTTGAGTTGAGCAGGGTCAAGCTCAGTGGAGTGGAACATTGAGATCTATTTGTCCCAGTCCCACATTCATGATGGGCCTCATATTCAGACTGTTGACAGCCTATGGTAATAAGGGAATTATAATAATTATAATAAGTTTTACTTTGAGAGGTAAAAACATTATTTTATTGCTTGTAAACATTTAAAATATACTACAGTTATTTTAACTCCATGTAATGTTTATTATCTAATACCCTGCAAGCATCAAAAACAGCCCAGGCTCTCTCAAACTTACAGAAGACCTGGAGGAGACAAAAGATGTTCAGACAGCCTTTATATTCTAATATATTTGATTTGTCAAAGCTTCAAGTTGGAACATTAGTGATCAAACAATTTCTCTAGTGATCAGAATTTTGGAAAACTTACACAAGTGAAGGTCATGAGAGTGATTTATAGCAAAACCCCAAATTAATGATTTACTATTAGAAGTACAGCATATCATTTACACTAAGAACAGGAAAGCTGTTAGGAAAGCCTATTTAGGGGCTCCCATCATGAGTAGAAGCAATTTGCTGATGTTATGTTTTTTGTTCTTCAACAAGCATTTATTGAATACCTAAAATGTTCTAAGTAGCACATCAGGTATAATGGCCAGTGGTAAAGAGAGCAGTAGAATTGGTCTCTTTAGAAGATTTCACTGGCCATTACAGTGGATGCTTAATCCTTAATGCTGAGCTAAACTTTGATCCTTAATGCTGCAGTTACTCCTGTAGGCATAATTAGTAGTTAGGTCCCTACTCTACCTCATTCTAGACTTCCCTCATCCTTGGCTGGCATTGTGCTGACTTAGTGGAATTAGACAATCATTCCTGAGAAGTCAAAGCCTTCAATTATACTGCTATGGTGGATGGAATTGCCCACTACCCCTTATCACTGGCCACAGAAGCACACCAGTAGACAAACCAGTGAGTCCTTTGGCTATCAGACATAATTATTCCATGCCCCCAAATTTGTAGTCACAACCCAAGGTCCTAATGATAATCAAATTCACTATGCCTGGCTTTGTTGGTCTAGTTATGCTTAATACAGAATGGCCAGGTAATAATTACAGCTTTCAGGTCAGTGGATCTGACTTTGTCTCCTAGAAGAAGTCACTACCATCTGTGACCAAGGAACTCTAACTCAGCAGACCCTAAAGAGGCAGGTCAGGGAAACAGAAATTCCATAAATGGACTACTGGGAATGGATAAATCCTACTTCTACCTTATATTAATTTGTATCATCATTCAAGAAATACTTTCTACCACTCCAAGATGGTATTATTTGTTCAATTTATTTATTAAGGAAAATGCTTGTGGTAGATAAAAGGAAGAGGAAAAGGAATAAACAGTCAGAGAGTGCAATTCAGGTCTGATATCTGTGAAAGGAAGTAGGGAGGCCGGGCGCGGTGGCTCACGCCTGTAATCCCAGCACTTTGGGAGGCCGAGGCGGGCGGATCACGAGGTCAGGAGATCGAGACCATCCCGGCTAAAACGGTGAAACCCCGTCTCTACTAAAAATACAAAAAATTAGCCGGGCGTAGTGGCGGGCGCCTGTGGTCCCAGCTACTTGGGAGGCTGAGGCAGGAGAATGGCGTGAACCCGGGAGGCGGAGCTTGCAGTGAGCCGAGATCCCGCCACTGCACTCCAGCCTGGGCGACAGAGCGAGACTCCGTCTCAAAAAAAAAAAAAAAAAAAAAAAAGAAAGGAAGTAGGGAAGGTGAAATGCTATCTTTGCTATGTAAATGAAATTGCTTTTATTTCTTCCTACTGCTGGAGATCAAAGGAAAGCGTTCCCCAAATTAATAGTTGCATACCAAGTGTCTCGATGCTGTAGTAGCCAAAAATGAAGCTACCAATACCCACCACCACTAACACACACACACACACACACACACACACACACACACACACACACACTACATTTCCAGTAGTCCTCTTTCATCAACCATGATCCATCTGGTTTTTGCAGAGGTCTGGTTGGTAAATTTAATGGAGACATGATGGAAACCACTTTACATCTTCTAAGTGTTTGATAGCAGTGCTCATTTCAATACCCCTCAGGATGCTGTATGCTTTTGGTACACTTATCCTGGTCAAGAGAGTGGAGGTTAGCCCTAGGAGCTTGTAATTGGCCCTTCATTGTGAGGAGTCTATCATCTTCTAAGTATATATTTGAAGTATAACCATGGGGTAGATCTGCGAACTGCGTGGACCCACAATAAGAAAACCTTGGACTAAAAGTCCATATAGTATCTGAACGTCATAAATCTCCACTCTACCCAGAGAACCAGCATGGTTCAGATCTCCTATTATAAGTGTCAGCTCAGCCGCCATATCTTGCAGTCTTCAAAAAGTCTAGATGTTCCATTTTTCCCAGAGTAAAATTACCCTGGTCACAGGGTCTTTGAGGAAAAGACCTGAATACATTTATCATATGTATCTGAGTTGGCACTTCAGGTTGTTTTTCCAAGAGGAATAGCCTCTTTTTCACTAGACTCTGCTGCTGTGAACTATACCCGGTCTGGAAACCAGGTAAGGTAATGATTTTTCCATGGCTACAACTGATGTCAGCTGTCTGCTTTTTAGATATCAATTATTTTTGTTATGCAAATCAAGCAACACTCAAGTCAACTTCCCCTCCATCTTGGTCCTAAGAAATTTATAATCTATTAGCCATCACCATAGGTCTGTGGTCAAGGCTCACTGATTGCCACTCTTGTCTTACTGCCCATTATAGTAATCATGTTCCTTTTACCTCTGATAACTAATGCTGCTACCAGCCTCAGTTGTTATATAATAACGCCATCCCCATTGATATTGGGATCCAAGTTCTATGACCTTCAGAGGACAACCACAGCCAAAGGTCTCAAAGATATTGGAGGTTCCCTTCACCAGTGCTTACTGCTTTAGAGAATGGATTTTTCCCTCTTGCCTCTCAGGGACATAGTCAGGGGTCTCAGGTGCTAATTCAGTTCTAAGATTTCCACCACACTAAGCCTTCTGACCTTCTTCAATACTCTGCCAAAAAAAGTTCTGGCATTACTACCTTACTTACTGTAGGCCACTGCATATCCAAGTTTCAAGGAGTTATCTCAACAAATTATTAAGACTAGCTATAGACATACTCGTTAGAACACTGAACTGGGTGAAATCCCTATGAATTCTCTCTTACCCAACCCATATGCTTCACCTCACCCCAGTTAACCCCCTCAAGATCCCATCCTGCATGTAATCCCATGTTCCTGCTGGTGTGTGTGTGTATTCATTAATATATATATATTCATATTCATATATATGTATATATACATACATCCTGTTTCTACAATTCTGTTGGTATGTAATTGTTTCTTCTGCATCAGTCTTGTACTTCCCTGCTTAGGCTGTGCTGGGAGCTAACCCTGGTTATTGTCTGGAAGCAATGAAATATGGTGGGGACAGATCTTAATGACAATGAACATCATCGTCTGGGGCATTGACTTACTCGAAGTAATCACATACTCTCCAAGGCCTGGCAAAGGGTTACACATACTCTCCTTGACCTCCTTGGGGTTAATGGCTCTCAGGCATATTCACCCAAGTGTTTGTACCCCAGTTCTCAGAACTCTTTTTCTTATCAGAACTCTCATTTAGACACAGAGGAACTATTGAGCCTGCACATTTAGTTTTTTTTACAGACTTGCCATCTTATAAACAGATCGAGGGACTGAATTTCAGTCCAGTCAGTCATGCAGTTGCAGGAGATGAAAGTTTTGTTAAAATTGCCATAAGGTCCTCTGACTGTCACAGCATGACATAGGTTATCAGTCAGCTGTCTTAAGCCCATATTTTTTTTTTGCAAGGCTTCTGTTGATGTCAGAAGTAGCCATCAACACTGCAATCCTTATAATTATTGTTTTCTCAGATAATGTTCAAGTACAGGAGATATATTCTAATGCTATGTCACTCACCTGTACCTCAGCCAAATTAACCATATGTAACAGCTTTAACAACATATTAAAGCATATTAATATAGTAAAGCACACCAGGGGTTAGTACCATGACACTTCTATACCAATTGCCTTACACTGTGTTTCCTACAGCTTTGTAACTCAAAATGTGATCCACAGACCAGCTGCATTGGCATCACTTGGGAGCCTGTTGGAAACACAGACTCTCAGTCCCCAGCCCGAGTATTGAATCAGAATCTGTACTTCATTGAATTACTCAGGTAATTTTTATGAACATTAACATATGAGGAGGTTTACTCTAGAAAACAGATCCTGAAGCAAAGCTTATATGCTGCCACTTTTTTGGATAATACAACCCCAGTGAAACAACAGAAAGGGAAAACTGAGGTGGAAAAAAAAAGGAAAGCAAATGCATTGTCAATTCACCGTAACTCCTCAGGAAATCACAGGCTCAATAATTGGTCACATGGTATTTCTTCAGGGAGACCACATATAATCATAGTAATTTGGAAGACTCTGTTGTTGGGAGGAAATGGGGGAAGTGAGCAATTTATGTGCTGACTCATCTTTGGTTTCCTATCTATTGGTCAAAGACTTCCACAAGAGGCTTTAGTTTCCCAGCACTTCTGGGTGTACTACCTAGCCCCTTTACACAGCCACCCCAGAAGCCAGAGTTTCTTCAGGTCCTGTGAGACCATACCTAGTTGCTGGATCGTACCCAGACATCCAGGGAAAGTCTCTGTTATAAAATATGTTAACCAAAGTAAATCTAGAGGAAGAGCATCTTAGAATAAACAGTATAGTGAGGTGAAGACTTTACAAAATCTATTAATAGCTGCAGAGAAGACAAGGTAAGTGAAAATGTATTGCTTATTATTTATAGAAAGTTTCAGTTGAAACTTCAATTTTGTCATATATCTTCTAGAGTAATTTATATCAGTCTCTTTTCTGCAATGTTACATGTTCTAATCTTGAAATATGAAAGCTATTGGTCTACAGTAAAATAAGAGATAAAAGATGGTGCATTTGTAAGGCAAAACAGAAGGATTTTTTAAAGAAACATTCAGGGAAAAACGGAAGAACCCTTCACAAGTAAAATATGATAGCAGAAATGAAAACTATATGGAAGGAATGGAAGTAAATTTGAAGAAATTTCCAAGAATGTAGAGCATAAGGACTAGGTAAAATATGAAAGAAAAAGTATATGTAAAAAAAACAAAATACATAGAAGTTCAGTTCAGGAGGTCCAACAAAAGAAGTTTTAGAAAAAAAAAAAGATACAACGCTAATGGGAAAATCTACAAGGTAATTTCAGAAAATTTTTTGTAGCTGAAGGACTTGAGACTCTAGGTTGAAAGTGGCCTAATGTTCAGCATAATAAAATTTAAAAAGATCTACATCAAGATACGTCACCATGAAATTTTAAAACAGTGGGAAGAAAGAAATTATAGGACTTCCAGTAGGAAACAACAAGTTACATCCAAAGAATCAAGAATCAGAAAATCAGATTTATCTACAGCAACATGGAAGCTAGAGGAAAATTGATACAAATAATGGATTTAATGACTTTAAAAATTGATATAATACATTTGGAGGAAAATTGATTTTCACCTGAAATTCAATATCAGCAAAACTTAGTCAAATGCAGGAGTAAAACGAATACATTTTAAAACATTCAAGCTCTGAACATTTTTACTCAGTGTGTGTGCTTTATCAAGAAGCTATGGAAAGAGGTATTCCACCAAATCAAATAGTACACCAAGAAATAGAAAACACTGAGTCCAGATAACAGAAATCCAAGAACAGAGAGAGAAAAAGAAATTCCCCAGGACTCCCTTAGATCCCAGAACCAGAACTGTGCTCAGAGAGTAACTGGGACAGATTAGAACAGGTCAAAAAACTCTGGGATGCAAACCTAGTAGAAAGTGTAATGTGTCTGAATATATTGAAGAGAGGGTTTGACATTTAGGTATCAAACAAGCTCACCTGCAATACCATTTACATAGTCATAATAATGTAAATACTAATATAGATCTAAGTAAAATTGTGATATAACTATATTCTGAGGAGAGGAGATGAGAAGTCTGCAAGTGAGTGATGAGGGAGAGAAAGAAGAGGTGTGAGAGAGAACTAATTTCCCCCCCACCCAGTGTTGAAAGTTAGTAGATAATGCCTTAAAATGAAAAATTAAGAATCTTAAAAACATGGTTTATATGTGAAAAAACTATTTTGCTAACACAATTTCATGTTTTAATTATGTTGCTATGAAGTGTTTGGTACCATCTGGACCCATTCCTCTTCATTAATCATATTTTTAAGTATGCACACAAACACCCCTCTGCCCCAACGTGTTGCGTGCACACACATACGTGCATGCACACACATTTTATTTTTAAAACAGTTTTACTGAGATATAGTTCACATATCGTACAATTTACTCATCTAAAGTGAATTTAATGTTTTTAACATATTCACAGATACATGTGAGTATCATTACAGTCAATTTTAGAACATTTTAACCACCCCAAAAAGAAACCCTGTATGTCTTAGCTACCATCTCTCCCCACCCTCCCTCAACCTCCTCCAACCCTAGGTAAATACTAATCTGCTTTCTGTTTCTATAGATATGCCTGTTCTGGACATTGCATAAGAATAGAAGCATGTAATATGTGGTATTTTGTGACTGGCTCCTTTCTCTTAGCATAATGTTTTTCAAGTCTCATCAATGTTGTAGCATGTATCAGTACCTTATTCATTTTTATGGCCAAACAATATTCCATTGTGTGGATATACCACATTTATCCATCCATTCATCAGTTGGTATTTGGGTTGTTTCTACCCTTTGCCTATTATGAATAATGCTGCTGTAAATTTTACATTTGTTTCTGGGTGAACACATATTTTCATCTCTTTTGGGTATATATTTAGCAGTGGACTTGTGGACTCATATGACAACTCTATGTTTAATCATTTAAGGAACTGCCAGACTGTTTTCTAACACGGTTGCACCCTCTTTTATACTCCCACTAGCATTGCATGAGAGTTCCAATTTCACCACATCCTCACTAGTACTTGTTATTATCTGACTTTTTTTTTTATCATAGCCATCCTAGTGGTGTGAAGTGCAATGTCATTGCAGTTCTGATTTACATTTCCCTAGTGGCTAATGACGTCAAACATCTTTTCATGTGATTATGGGCTATTTGTATATCCTCTTTGGAGAAATGTCTATTCAGATCTTTTGCCCAGTTTTAAATTGGGTTGTCTTTTTATTATTCAGTTGTAAGAGATTTTTATGCATTTTAGATGCAAGACCTTTATCGGAAATATTATTTGAAAAATATGTGTAGAATTTTGTTTTTACTTCCGTAGGTTTTTTTGGGGAACAGGTGGTATTTGGCTACATGAGTAAGTTCTTTAGTGGTGATTTGTGAGATTTTGGTGCACCCATCACCCAAGCAGTGTACACTGAACCCTATTTGTAGTCTTTTATCCCTCACCCCCTTCCCACCCTTTCCCCATGAGTCCCCAAGTCTATTGTATCATTCTTAAGTCTTTGTATGCACATAGTTTAGGTCCCACTTATGAGTGAGAACATATGATGCTTGGTTTTCCATTCCTGAGTTACTTCATTTAGAATAATAGTATCCAATCCCATCCAGGTTGCTGTGAATACCATTAATTCATTCCTTTTTATGGCTGAGTAGTATTCCATCATATATACATGTACACAGTTTCTTTATCCACTTGTTGATTGATGGACATTTGGGTTGATTCCACATTTTTGCAGTTGTGACAAGGGACTAATACCCAGAGTCTACAATGAACTCAAACAAATTAGCAAGAAAAAAACCAAACAATCATATCACAAAGTGGGCTAAGGACATAAATAGATATCTTCAAAAGAAGATACACAAATGGCCAACAAACATATGAAAGATACTCATCATTACTAATGATAAGGGAAATGCGAATCAAAACCACAATGTGATACCACCTTACTCCTGCAAGAATGGCCATAATCAAAAAATAATAGATGTGGGCATGGATGTGAACAGGGAACACCTCTACACTGCTGGGGGGAATGTAAACTAGTATGCCCACTATGGAAAATGGTGTGGAGATTCCTTAAAGGTCTAAAAGCAGAACTGTCATTTGATCCAGCAATCCCACTATTGGGTATCTACCCAGAGGAAAAGAAGTCTTTATATGAAAAAGATACTTGAACATGCATATTTATAGCAGCACAATTCACAATTGCAAAAATGTGGAAAAATATGTGTAGAATTTTATTTGGCATGTTTTGGTAACTCTCTAAATGATCACAATCTCCATTTAGACATATTTTCTGTATTCAAGTTAACTTCAGCATGTTTTGTAATTAAACCCTTAGAATTAAAATTAGATGTGTTGGATACATATTAGCTGTGTTGCTTAGGATGCTACTTCACTTTTCTAAGGCTTAATTACCTCACCTGTAAAATGAGTCTAGAGATAATATCTACTATATGGTGATGTACTAGTGATTAAACTGGGCTAATAGAGTAATGATTTGGCTGCAATTTCAGACAAAAATAGCAATAGCTACTATGTTTATTATTGTTGTTATTATTACGATGTGTACTCTGTTCCAAGTATGTTTATATTATCTAATTTAAACCCTCAGAAAATTATATAAAACCAATATTATCATAGATAATATTTTCCTTCTCTCAAAATTCAGGAACACTTTAAAATATTATTGTTCTATAACCATAAAAAAAGCATTCAGGCCGGGCGCGGTGGCTCACGTCTGTAATCCCAGCACTTTGGGAGGCAGAGGCAGGTGGATCACGAGGTAAGGAGATCGAGACCATCCTGGCTAACACAGTGAAACCGCCTCTCTACTGAAAAAACAACAAAAAAAATTAGCCAGGCGTGGTGGCGGGTTCCTGTAGTCCCAGCTACTCAGGAGGCTGAGGCAGGAGAATGGCGTGAACCTGGGAGGCGGAGCTTGCAGTGAGCCGAGATCGTGCCACTGCACTCCAGCCTGGGCGACAGAGTGAGACTCCGTCTCAAAAACAAACAAACAAACAAACAAAAAAAGACGCATTCAATAACCACTGCCTGGCTAAAGATAATTACTGGATTAGGATATTCGTTAAAATTATTTAAATTTAATTTTTCAAAATCCTGGTTTATTTACCTATCCTTGTGGAGTTTAATTATTTAAACCTAGTATGACTTAAATATATACTGTTTTGTTTTTAAATATATACTGTTTTATTTAATGAAAAATATTGACAGTGTTTATTTTGGCATCCAGTTAAATTCTTTAGCAAACATTCACTTTTTTATTAAATAGATTTTCATAGTCTTTCCTCGAACATGTTTTAGTGATTTATATTCACTCATCACATTAATAAACTAAATGATAAGCAATTAATTAAAATGTTTATTTAAAATACCAGAGGATAATATTTCAGTAGACAGAATTTTTTAAACAGCACATGTTAAAAAAGAAAGAAGGAAAACGTTTTGTGGCATGTACTATAAAATTCCATTGTCTCTGAAAACAGTCATCATGCCTTTTGTATTTGCTGAATTTTTAATTTACAGATGGCATTAGAGTACTAATTACAAAGACACCTTTTGGAGGGCTGCAGAAAGTTTCTATAGGCAGTTATTAAAACTAAATACATTAATCTGTGTAAAGGCTATTTCGTCTTTGGATAAATAATGTATATGCTCAGATTCCACAATTATTTGAGAACCAAACACTGAAGTGAATGCTGTCATATCCCTGGAATATTATTTCTTTTACTCCTAAGAGCAATGAGTAGAGGCAAGTTTTATTATTACCCCTATTTATACAGAACAGAAAACAGAAGTTAAAAGAAGTTGTATGTCTTGGCAAAAGTTCTTCAGCTCCGAATATTTAAGAAAAATCTATTCTGTTGCTTGCATCAGGAGTAGGTGATGAAGTCTTAATTAGTGAGTAGAGTGGGCTTTTCTTTCCTTCTTCTTCTTCTTTTTTGTCCAACAACTCTTCTATCCTTGGTGCTCTATAGCAGTGATTCTTCAAGTATAGTCCTGGATCAGCGACAGCAGGATTGCCTGGTAACTTGTTAAGAATGCAAATTTCCCAGGCTTACTGAATCAGAATAGGAGGATAGAGGGTGGGTGTGGTCCAGTATTCTGTGTTAAACAAGCCCTCCAGATGATTCTAAAGTGTAAGAATCACCACTCTATAGAAATTGCTCTCTCAATGATCACTGTCAAACTCTTAATTCCAAAGTCATTGACCTTAGTTTCTATGAAATTTGCCTCTTTGGTGGCATTTAATATAACTCACCAACATCTCATTCTTCAACATCTCATCTCTTTCAAGAAACTGTTTTCTTGAACACATTTTTGTCTTTTCACCCCTTCTGAAACATCCTCTCACTGGTTTTCCTCTTTATTCCTAAAGGAGGAGATTTCCTAAGGTTCCTAAATTCTCTTTTTACCTCTGCTCAGGATTGTTCATTTCACCAGCTCTCACAGCATTATACATATATCACTGACTTTCAAGTCCCATCTCCTCCTGAGAACTTTCAATTCGTAAATTATTTTGTCATTAACACCATTTGTTGGGACACTACAGGAAAAAAGAAAAACATGCCCTCAGGAGCAGATTATAGAAATTTACAAAACATTTGTATGACCATTAAACCTTCATGTTTTGTGGGCATTATCTCAGCATTCCCCAAGTTACTAAAATCACCTTTCTCCCTAAACTTTATTTGCTTTTTGAGTCCAATATCAGTTAAAAGTACCATCATCTACACTGAAACTATCTGACCCCTCACTTTCCTTTATCGCCCATACCTGGCCAATACCCAAATCTCTTTGTTTCTGTAAAAACATGTCTCACATGCATCTCCCTTCCTCACGGCCGATGCCTTGTGTCATGTTCTCATCTATGCTGTAGTAGATTGTAGTATATAATAGACTGCAGTATATTACTACCTGCTTTTCCATTCTTTTCTCCATCTAATGTATCTTTCACAGTGTTGTCTGACTTATTTCCCTAATATTTAAGTTTTAGTATTTAAAGTCACAACATTACTCTGCTTAAAAACACCCAAATAAACAAATGAAACACTTTAATACTCCAAAGTGCCCACAAAGACAAAATTCATAAATGAAACACTTAAAATTCTAAATGTAGCTTTAAATTCACCTTTCCCACTTATACGCTGGGCTGTGGTGGAAGGCATCAAGGCTCCATCTAGCTTGTGGCTGTGCCTTACATGGCCTCCATTCCCAAGACAGCTAAACATATAAAGGAATTATGTCCACTTTCCAGTTATTTTCCTTTCAGGAGGCTTCCCATAAGTTGTCACACTGAGGTAGCTTAGAGAGGGTGATCATAGCCTCCCTTAAAGGGGCACAAACTTGCCATAATGATGGAGAGAGCAAACTGCTCAACAGTGCACAAATTGCACCCTGATCTTGTGGCTAGAACATCCTGCAACAAGGGAGTAAAAGAGCAGAAGGGAAATCCTCATATTCACACAAGTACAGAAACCCATGAGTAGTCTCCTTGGGCTGACCTATGCTCACTATAATAATAAAAAACACACCCCTGGGTGGAGAATTAAAATGTTAATGAGACATGTCATATATGTACTAGTATGTACAGCAATATCACATGCACATCCAGGAGACCACTCACAATATGCTTAACAACAATGCCCATTCCCATCCCTTTATAAATAATCATGCAAGATTCCCATAAAGGAAGTTTCCTCAGTGCCATATGGTATTGTCTCATTCTAGAACAGTCTGCTCTGACCAAACTATCAGAGTGTATGTTCACTTTGCAATAAACTTCTTTACCTACCTTCACTTTGGACTTGCTCTCAAATTTTGTGTGTTGAAGTCAAGAACCTGAACCAGCCCACTGAAAAAAGCACTTCTGCTTACATCCTATCGTCCAGAATTTAGCGCATGACTGCAGCAACTGCAAGGAATCTGGGAAATGTAATTTCTATTCCAGGAGTTATGAGTTCAGCTAAAGATTACGGGTTCCGATACTAAGGAAGAAGGAGGAATAAAAGGTGCAAGACCATCAGCATCCTCTTACCCAGTGTTTCAAGCTTCCATTCTCGGAGAAATTCCCTAATACACAGTCTCAGTCTCACTCTCCAACAATACATAAAGGAAGCATTTCTGTATTTGAAAGATAAGTGCCCCTCCCACATCAGCATTTTACTGTCAGAGTAGAAAATACCTTAGAGATCATCTCCAGTGATAGTCTACAAACGGTTTGTTACTAATGCATAAAGAGGTAAGATCAAAAGTTGAGAATAAACACTTAAGAATTCACAGAAATTTTACATTTCTGTAACATCTAAGCTCATGATCAGTATACTTACCTCGTTGAATAGAGTACATACCAGTTTGAGTGTAATCTAATTCTCTCGGTAAATCATACATGGCACAAGCTGTGTGTAAGTCATGTATACTAGGACCATGTATCAGTCCAAAAAGAATTGGAAATTTTTTAAATTAGTCCTTGACAGAGTTTGAGAAGCATGGATCTAAGCCAATTTAAGGGAAGATCTGGGGCCAGAACATGGGGTTTCTGACTTCTGGACCAGCATTAGCTGTCAGGTTCTTAACTCTTCAGATGCTGGCATTGATGCCACCAATCCACATCTCTGACCACCTGGGGGTTCCATAGCCATTCCTCATCAGAGCTCTAAACCTACTGTGGCTACTGCTGAAATCTGATTGGCTTCTTTCTATCCAGACTTCAGTGCTCCTGGGATGGGTCTTGCACACCTGAGTTCTATGGGATACATTCCCCAGCATTTGCCTCCACTCCTATCTCTTACCTTCAACACCATTCTAGATCCTTCCCCAAATTGCACAAACTGTAGAAAAATTATGACTCTCCTACCCAGCTTTAAAAATTCCCACTGCCTAAATGACACCCCTGCAGTATTCCCCCTTCCGTAACACACACACACACACACACACACACACACACACAAACACAAACACACATGTGAAAAAAGCAGTTTGGACACAATCCACTCTCATTTGAATCAATAGTCACCCTTTACTGGTCTGACCAAGTTGTTAAATAACTAATTCACTGAATTGTTATTGATTTTTTTCAAAATGTTAGTTTTAGTGAAACTAATCAGTAGTAGATTTAGCGAAACTACATCAGCAGTTTTCACAGATGATTTCATAGGTCTGTTCATTTCAATGTCAGTTTCCCATGTGATTCACATTTCAGATGCTGAAGCATTTTTCCAGGATTTAACATTTAAAACATGAGCAGACAAGCTTTCCTTTAAGTACAGTTTACAGCCTTCTCTTTTCCCAGTGGCATATGCCCCATCCTTGCCTCTACTTCTGCTAGTGAGAAGCCTTTTAAAGCGCTCTTCTTTCTGGTAAAATGTACTTCCTGGATGGTTACCCTGCAATTGGTAATCTGGCAAATTGATTTTCAGACAACTGATCTAGAGCCACCACCAAGGGCTACCTCCTCTCATAGTTAAATTATGTCTTTATTCACAAAGCAAATGTTTTCAGCAGCCTGGAAGCAAATGTTTGGTGGAAAAATTATTCACCAAAATTACTGTTTTTACATATATTCAGGATGCCAAATAGGATATCAAAAAATTCTCCCCCCCATCCCACCTCCCTAAAATATGTTGCTTCCTGTTGGCTTCTTCCATGTGCTGAAATGAAGGGTCACAGCTGTTTGTGTGTGGATGTGGGGGTGTGGAGGGGGGAAAGGAGAAAGCAGAGAGGAGAGAATGACATGAGGAAGTACAAGAGTAAGGCCTCTCCTTGCCTTTACTTTATGTGGCACTTTACCATCCTAAAGCACTTTCAAATATATAGTCTCATCCAACCTGCAGAGTCAGTTAATGCATTTGCCAGGGCCCACATTACGCTCTTCATTTTTCATTTGAGGAAATGGAGGCTCATAAAAGTTAAAGAACTTACCCAAAGTCATACAGGTAGTAAGTGAAAGAATCTGTACCAGAAACAACCTCTCAATTCTTATGGTTTGCTTTGTCCTGACTCCTACTTGGACACTTTTTGACATTTTTCCCTAAAAGAATATTACCCAAATACTTTTACCTACATTTCCTTTAGGTACTATCATGGGTTTGCCTCTGACTATGCTTTCCTTGCTTTATTAGTAGAGTTAATTGATTTTTTATTTACCATACAGTTTACTTGGCTATAAACTCCTGAAGGCCAAGGCCACATCTTCTCTGTGGTCAGTACAGTTTGTAACATGTATCTCCTGTCACTCGGTGGATCTCCATTAAATTATTTTATTTGGCTAGAGGCTTCCTTAGGTGCTTTTGATATGGCCAGTGAACATTAGCCAATAAAGCAATTTATAAGATTCTGGAGGACTTGTAAGACTACCATACAAGTTCAGAAATAAGAATAATGTTAAGCTATTTTAAACAATAAATGCAATTGTTCTAAAAATAGACAACACATATGTTTTCCTAGTCTCTTTGACCCAATACAGATTAGCTTGCAATGTCCATTTTCTCTCCTAGAATAGAAAGATTTCTAGTTTTCTTCTCTGCTGTAGTTATCATCTGGAAAATTTGATGGTACTGGTGTTGAACCAACTATCCTAAATGGTATTACAATATACTGTTCGGTGAGAAGGTAAAATGCAGACTGTAATGGAAAAAAAAAACTTAACAAGAACACTGCAACCACTTTAGAAGTATAAAGCTCCTTCCACAGGGTAGTTGGGACACTAAAACTTCCATCAAAGCACAAGAAAATAACATCAGTGCTCTGTTATCCTCTCATAAATTAACCAGACCTGAGCAAAGACATAGAGCAATGTCAACCCTTGTCAAACCAATAACAAGATTTGACATCTGTTAAATCATTAAAGATACAAATAAAGTGTTAACCAAGACAGTCTGAAGGGCGAGTGCTGATAGCATGTATTAGTACTAAAAGTAAAAGACCAGAAAAGAGGTGATCAAATCATGGATTTTGGAATATCACTACAGCTTGTTGGCAAAACTTTCCCAAGTTTCAAGTCACTGGCAACTACTTTGGTAATAAAAAGACTATGGAAATCTGTAATAGAATGGCTTTGGGGGCTTTTAACACTGATATGGCTGTTACCACAATAAGTGGGTATCCCTTAGTTCTTCACATCCTCATCTTCCTGCGGGCACCTTGTTTCAATTCCATGACATGTATTTCTCCCCGACCTCAAAGAGAACTTTGTCCTTGAACCAGTTCCATAAGTGCAAAGCCAAATAATGGCCTATAGCACTCCACCTAGTTTTTACACCTGATTCAACAGTAGATTCTACTTTCTCTGTCATTTGAGTCCAGGGGCATACTGGCCTTGGTGTTTCTCCAGCACAGAAAAGATAAAAATTTCCCTTTAAAACTTATGACAGACAGAAAGCTAGGTAGTCATCAAATTGTTTTATTTCCTTTTTCCTGGGAACAAAGAAATGCTACATTTCTCCAGATTCTTCTGCAGGTACATGGGGCTTTGGGGATGATTTCTTGCCAGTAGAATGTGAACAGAAATTACAATGTCACTTCCAGGCTGAGGTAATTAAGAACAGGTGCACTTTCTCTATACTCTTTCCTCCCTTTCCACTGCAAACATGGAAGTCAAGTTCCATGGAAGTCAACTCCACAAAAAGGAGTTCCATGGAAGTCAGCTCCACAAAAAGGAGTTAACTTCTGGGTCCCTGAATCACCAATTGAAAGAAGGATGCACAGAAGAGCCACCTGATTCACTCGGCTCTTAAGTGAGAAGAAAACTATTGAGTTATTCCACAGTTATTCAGGGATTGTGTTATATTGCGGTTAGCATTAATTTTGATGACTAATGAATAACTGCTAGAATGTTGATAGTTTCTAAAATAAATAATCCTAAGATTTACAAGATAAATGTACTGAAAATCTACCATATAAAGATTTAGATGATACATGGATGGGAATAAACATACATCCAATTGAGCTCAAGGAAACCTAACTGGCCTGAAGGGGAACAGAGATCAGCTTCCATGTGTCAATACATGGAGATTCCTACAGCTACAAGGGGAGGTACAAAGGAAGTACTATTTCACATCATACCCCACCACACCCTTGGACCTGGCAGTCAAGGAAAAGATCTTCAGCAAGAATAGCCAGAGTGCGTTAGCTCACTGAAAAGGACTTTCACTGCTGTGTGGGGATGGGGCTAGGAAAAGAGAAGCAGGAGAACCCAGAGCAGGAGGGAAAGGCAACAAAACTGGACCACTTTAGCAATGCCTCCAACATGCAAGATCCAAGCTTGTACCCAGGCTCAGCAATGGGAAATTGGTTTGACCATGGAGATGGCATCAGTAACAGAGGCAACAGCAAAGTTCAGCCACTTGGTGGCATTCAGCAGTAGCAGCAGAAGCTCCAGAAGCACCAATCTTCTAGGGAAAAAGTGTGTGAGTTCTGGGCCAGCTGGCTTAGGCTGAGGCTCTGGGTTGGCTACAGCATAAAAGGCTGCTTGGGGGAACTTCAGTTTAAGGTGAGTATAACGGCCTGATGGAGGCAGGGCTGCAGTCCCAAAGACCTCACTGGTAGAAGGAGTTAAAATAAAAAAAAGACTCTTCATAGGGATTTATTGTATCTTCTCTTAGCAGTATTACTCTAAAGATCTAAAGAGCAGTCTACTGGTTATTCTGGAATCCATTACAGAAGAGGAATCTAGAGACATACATTTCAAACAAGAGTAGAGCTGTCTTCTCACTCCTTTTTTTAAAAAAAATCTCCATTTCCCTGGGAGAGTTTTACAGAGCTGACAAATATGGACAAAGAAACCATGCCACAGGAACAGGCAGGCCTCTCCGTCTGCCCATACTGGGGACTAGGAAGACACAACTCAATACCCACTACCTATCTTCATCAGATGAGAAAAAATTTCCCCCCATGTGTCTTTCTCCTTTCTGCCATCATAAAGCCTCCTTCTTTTCTGCCACATTCTATACATTAGCTAAGGGAAAGAGGTGAATAATTGTTCTAGACCATTCAGCCTGTACCCTTCAAACAAAAATAACAACCACAAGCATGACTGTATATATCCTGGCTGACATGGAGACAAGACAGTAATACCTGACAGAGAAGGAGCCTATGTGTACCAGTGCCCCCAAAGTCTAGCTGTCTCTGCCAAACAATGGGAGAGTGTTAGCTTGCTCTCTAATTATTTTTATTTTTTTGAAGCAGGGTCTTGCTCTGTCACACAGGATGAAGTGCATTGGTGCAATCATGGTTCACTGCAGCCTCAACTTCCTCGGCTCAAGCGATCCTCCCACCTCAGCCTTCCGAGTAGTTGAAACTACAAATGCATGCCACCACAACCAGCTATTTTTTGAAAAAACAGAGACAGGGTCTCACTATGTAGCCCAGGCTGATCTCCAACTCCTGGGCTCAAGCAATCTTTCTGCCTCAGGCTCTCAAAGTGCTGGGATTACAGGTGAGAGCCACTGTGCCCAGCCATTGCCCTCTTTTTAAATCAAATTAGTGTATGTTATAAAGGGTCAGATTTTATTCACTCAAAACTACTTATTGAGCACAGTTGTGCAAAACATGGAGCTGGCTCTTTTGGAAACACTGATGTAGACACCTGTCCTGAACTCATGGGGCTTATGCCTAACAGAGAAGATAAGAAATAGTTTGCAATCACTATAATACAAGGTAGGAGTGCTATATCCCTTAAAAGAGGAAGACAGAAAATGCCATGGCAGTTAATTCAGAGAAAGATGAAGTCACTCTCAGCTATAAAGTGGATTCAGGACCATAAAATGTTGGTGCTATGTGTCACCACTGGGATCATCCTGTCTAAATACTTCAGGCAGAAGCTCAGCATGTTGAGTAGTTACTCAAATTCATAGAGCCAGTGACAGAGCCAACAAGCCTCGGGCACCCTCTTCTGACTCCAAGTCCTTGTCCTCCCTGCTATGTCATGTGGCTTCTTGGAAGTTTAGTCATGGGGCTGCATCAAGCTGAAACAAATTATCTGCTGTTCTAGATTTGGCCAATCAGTACATAAACATCATGAGGTTTCTGACCTTAGGAAGCTTACAATCTACTAGAATACATCAAACATGCACATATACTTCTCCATACTTTTCTAAGATACAGCTAACCTTGGGAAATATAATATAGGGTCTTAGATACACTGGATTGATAGTTAATCTATTATCAACCCACAAGTTTTTGCAGGAAGAGAAGGGTAAGAGTTTAGTGGATGCTTAGCAGGTGAAAGAAGGGAAGACAGAAGAGGAACAAAAACAGAAGACCTCTCTGGAGGCCAATTGCCTGGATAGTCTTAGGTGATAGATCCAGAACAGAGAGCTCATCTCCATAAAACCTGGCACCACTGCTGGGTCTTAGCAAGTACTCAGTTTAAAAGCACTACACAGGAAGTGGCAGGATGAGGAAGGATGGTGGGAAGAGAGTGTGACCTTTTTTAGGCTCCCCCAAATCCCCAGTACTGAATACTTTAAAAGAATATTGACTTTCTGTAGTGACATGCAAAACCTCCCACTCCAAAATAATATTCTTTACCTTCTTTTGGATATACTTACCTCCTTTTGGAACTAATTCATGCCATGACTTATCCCAATATTAAGGTGATTCAGCTAGCTGCCATCCCCACTGGTGACTAGGAGTGGGGCTGCTACAGAGAGCAGTCAGGGACTGGCCCACTCCTGTACTTGCTGATCTAAGACACATCTTACCAGCACTCACTGCTCTCTCCCAGAAACTGGCTCCACTCTTTAACCACTATAGACAAGCAGGGAGCGTGAGGGAGCTCAGAGATCTTGCTCATCTGTACTGACAGATCTTGGAGCTCAAATTTTAGCATTCTCCTTTGCTCTGAGGTCCAAAAGAAGAAGTACCCTTGAATGCTATGAAATTGTGAAAAAGGAGAAAGGAAACTAACATTTGTGGTACATTGATGACAATTAAAACAACAATAATAGCCTAACACTTATAAAAAGTTTCTGACATGTCAGGCTATAGAATAGTCTCTCTTTCAGCTAATAGGATAGATTTTCTCCATTTTAATAAAAATATGGGGTCTCAGAGAGAGAGTGAGAGAGAGAGAGAGATGAAGTGCCTTGCCAAGGGTTACAGCAGAGCAGGAAGTCGGCACTCAATCCAGGTCTGATTCCAAAATTCAGACAGCAAACTGCCTCTCTATTATAGAGAAGCAGCTTTAATCTATATGTAACAAAGTAAAAATAGCCCAGGAAGAACAGCTGTGTGTGTTGAGGTGAGGCAGGGACAGTTGGTTTCCCGAACAGAGCAGCATGTTAAACATACTATTGCTACTGCAGCAAATATCATATCGTCGTCATCATCATCATCATCATCATCATCATCACCACCTTAGGGAATATATTGCTTTCTGTAAGTAACTGATATGATTTCTTCTTGTCTTTTGATTGGGTAATGTTTTGCTTTTTACTTTTGCTGCTAGGAAGCTCTGAGACAAATTTAAAGTTCCTCTTTAACAACTATCTAGTATTTTCCATGCATATCAGAGTTCTTATTTTCTTCTAATCTTGACTCTGGATTGTGATTTCAGTTTTACCCGGTTTTAATCATTTACTCACCATTTACATATTTATTATATGTATTCTCCAGAGACTTCTCAAAACCTTAGTGGAATAAGGTAAGGTATGCATGACATTAAAAAGAAAGGTAATTTACCTGGGTAGGGCTTTCATCTGTAGCATCACACAGATTCTTTAATCCTTTGAATTCTATTGCTAAAAAAAATTCTGAAGAAAAATCAAGACACCATCTGGCTGCCTTTGGAAAGACAGAGGTACTTCGGGTCTTTGATCTGTTCTGCACATGGACTGGGAGAGGCAGAGAGGACCAAATCTCCCTGACACAGACAATCGTTTGCTTTATTAAACAAGTGTCTTGTATTACACACAGAGAGTATGCATTATGTGGATGCACACAAAAAATATGATGAAAAGTAGATACTAAGCATACTGAGTACTTTGGGTTTTGAATCATTAACATCACAGCTGTTTCTAATAATTTTTCCCTAAATGCAAGCTTATTTCCACAACATGTACTAATGTAACTGTAACTGCCCCAAAATGTTTCATTTTGTAAAAAATGAAGCCTTAGAAATAACTATGCAACTGAGAGTCCGTAAGCACTTTAGATCACCACCCTATATGCCTTTACTTTGCTTTTGTTTTTTTTTTGGTCAGCTATCATTCAAGATGGGGGCAGTTTGAAACAGTTGATTTACTGATAAACTTGTGAAATGTGCCCTTCTAAACAAAAAAAAAAGTGGGGGGGGCAAAAATAACTTCACTAATGAGAGAAGTCAAAGAAAGTTACAGGTGGAGTGTCCTGGGATTTTAAATGGAAATGCAATGGAGGAGTTGCTCATTCATCCACCACTACATGGAGCGATGATAACGGTAATGGGTCTTGGGAACTTGACTGGGAAATATCCCTTAGCTGGCCAGGGCTTGAGGATACTTGGCATTTTTGTTTGTCGGTTGGTTCGTTTGTTCCATTAAAATTCTGAGGTTTAGACAGAAATTCATAAAATAAAATCTGGGGTTATCTCACACTCAAGCGCAAAGAACATTTACGTTAATATTCCTTTCAGGTCCCTCCTCCTAATTACCTTTTATTTTTAATTGTTTCCCTCCATCCATGTGGTTGCTCGCTTTTCCAGATGGCTTCATATTTTTGTAAACGGTTGGGAGACTTAGTCTATCTCGTGGAGGTTCGGCGCACAGAGGCCAGTGCCTTCTTTAGGTCGCTTCTGAGCGACTCGAGACGGCCTCCCTCGAATCCGCAGCAAAGAGCAACAGACAGGGCTTCCCTTTCAGTCTGGGTTGCCATGGGGCACAGCTCCTGCTCCGGCCCAGAGTGCCAGAGTCTCCCAGGGCTGCTGCCTTCAGCCAGGTGGAGGGGTCAGCGCGGAGCCAGGTACAGAGCTCCTCCGAGCCTGAGACGGCGGGAGGTGCTGGGCTAGGCTGCGCCTCCCCAGGCAGGACGCCAGGCAGTGCGGCGGACGGTCCCCAGAGGGCGCCACGTGCCCCCGCCCGGTGCCCGGCGGCGCTCACCCGCCCGCAGCCCGGCGAGTCCAGCGGAACCTAATTGCCCATGAACCCCTTTCTGCGGGGTCTGGAGAGGGGGAGCAGGCCGGGGCCCGAAAACCCCCCATCCCACCCCTAAATCTGGGCGGACTGTGAACAGCCACACAGTGGGACAGTTAAGTGTCTCTGCCAAGCTCGGTCCTTCCCTCACCGGGATATATTATCCCGCCACCATCCGGCAGGCCGGCCGGGGATTATTATCCCCGTTGTAACGCAGAGGAAGTTATGGCCGGGACGCGGTCAGGGTCACGAAATAAAAACATGTGGACCCACGGCGCGAGCTGAGCTCTGCCGGCCTACCCCGCCCCCGAATCCTGTAGAGCCAGGCGAGGCCGAGGCCCTAGGCCCAAGGCCGGGGCGTATTCGGGTTTACGTCTGCGGGAGAAAGAGGTGGGTGGTGCGGCTGGCGAAGTCAGTGAGGGACCGGAGACAGCCGGGCCTGGAGAGAGCCGGGACCGGAGAGTCGGGGCGCGGGCGCCGCGGAGGCTCGGAGCCGCAAGGAGGCCCAGGCTCCCCGGGACGCGGCCACTGTACCTCCATAGCCAAAGCGGCGGGCGCCCAAGGCCAGAGCGCTACCGACGAGAAAGTCGGGGCCGCGCCGCCCGGGAACTAGAGCTCCTCGCGGGGACTTTTAAGTTTTCACTCACTAGGCTCTGAACCTATTTTTAAAAAGCAATTCTTTATTCAGATATGTAGAAGACTATGAATGACAGCTCCTTCTCCCCAACACCATTCCCGCCGGAGCTGCCCAGGTACTCCACACCTACCGCCTGAAGCGAATCTGCGGGCGCACGCACGCACGCCCGTCGCGCGCAGTCTCCGGGTTGGCCTCGCCTCATAGGCTGCCGGTGCAGTGCGGGAGCGCAGCCCGGGACACCGTTTGCGCGGTGGTGCGGTCTTATAGGTTCCAGGGTTTCTGAGGCTTTTGGTGAGCATTACGAGTTCCCCTTAGAGGAGTCAGGCGCCTTGCGGGGCTAGTGGCATGTGGTGGCTGTGGCTGCGCGCCCTTCTCGGCCGGCGCTCGGAGGCGCAGGCGCGGCGCGGACGCCCACACTAAGCTATAACCCTTGACGGGCTCTGAAACGCAGGCAGCTGAGAGGCGTTTTCGAGACAGCCGCCCCGGGAGATGATGTATTTATTCTTCGCACTTACTGTGCACTTAGCACCGAGAGGGCCGTACTTTGCACTTATCAACAGAAACCCGCGTTCCGCGCTCCCTGACTCCCCGTGGCCGCCGAGTGACGTGCTGCCGCCGCTGGCGCGGTTCTTGGGCCTGGGCTTTCCAACAGGTGGAGAGAGCTGGAAGCGACCGGTCGGACCAGCCCCGCTTAGCCTGACACCCACGCCTCGGGGGTTCGGGGGCGCGGCCGGCCAGGTCTTTCCAGGGAAGGGGGCGCGGGCTGGGCTGGAGCCGGGATTCCGGAGCGGGGGCTTACACTGGAAAGTGAATGCGCAGGCGGCCTCAGAACTCCAAGAAGCCGCGTTGTAGAGCTTCCCTAGGCGCCTTCTTTGATCTCTCTTAAAAAGGGTATCATTGTTAATCGCTGAGACGAATCTCCTTTTCTAGTGACTTAAGCAATCAGAGGGACTCGTCTGGGATCCAGATAAGTTGGGAATTGTTTCGCCTTCCTCAGTGCTTCCCACCCAAGTTTGCCTCCCAAGTCTTTTTTGATTTTACACACACACACACACACACACACACACACACACACCCCACTGGAGAATTCTCGATGATGAATTAATTAGGAGGTCGCTCCTGCGTGGGCTTGCCTTTCTCTCCCAACACGCCCTTTCCCCAGAAGACTCCGAACCCCTGGCGGAGTCCGATTCCTGCCCGGGCTCCCGCGGCGGAGCCCCGCTCTCGGACTGGGCGAACCCAGAGGCAGCTGAGTGCACCTCCGAGCGCTCAGCTTCCCGACGCCACCGCGACGCTGATTTATGGTCCAGTCGCTC
The DNA here is from genome assembly GCF_000001405.40 of Homo sapiens. Lineage (NCBI taxonomy): Eukaryota > Metazoa > Chordata > Mammalia > Primates > Hominidae > Homo > Homo sapiens. The sequence goes on along the minus strand of NC_000006.12, from coordinate 84,772,866 downwards.
GCTTGAACCCCAACGCTTTGGCTGGGTTAATTTTTGTCGATTGTTCCTCATCACACTCAGATAGTTTGTAGCTTGAGACGGATTTTATTTATCACCCTGCACATGTGAAATACAGTCAGACATAAAAATAACTGACTCTGGGACTCTGGCACAATATTGGAGCCGTCGGGGAATAATTTGGCTAAGCGATTTAGACGTTTCACCTTCTAAACAGAAATGCAACTCTCAGTCAAACTGTAAATCAGATTGTCTTCGGCAATGTAAAAAAAAAAAAAAAAGAAGAAAAGAAAAGAAAAAGCACCAAAACCAGAAAGAACGAAAACTAAATGAAAGAAAACGCAGATATTGTCCAAAACAATATGAGCTTCAGAAACCCAGACTGGATTTTAATTTCAGCTTTGGAACTTCATCGGAAATACGAATTCCTTAGTATTTTACCAGTGGGAACCGCCCCCAGGGATTTTAGGGTGTCCCCGGAAACTGGACTGACTTCTTTCTTTTTACTTTATTGAGAGTTTTGTTATTAAATAATATCAAGTAATAAATGCTACATAAAAAATTAATAATCCCGAACTAAGCTTACTCTCGGATGGAGTCAGGTTGGGGCCCCCTTACAAAGTTCTAATTATAAGTGGAAACAAGGGGACGGGGACGTGGAATGGCCTGGACAGGGCAGGACAGGAGCTCAAGAAGCAACAAAAACTTGGAAAATAAAAAAATTAGAAATTTCTGCAGCGCTCTCCTTGTTTCCACCTTTCCGAGGCAGATGGAAAAGAAGCTGATAAGTTTTTCTGCGCCTCATTCGTCTCCCACGTCTTTCTGGAAACCCATAATATGAAACGCTCGATTCCTCACTGTCTCACAGAGACCAAGTGATCCAAAGCCTGGCCAGGGGGAGCCCTGGGCAAAGCAGGAACTGGGAAAGAAGAGAAAACCAATACTGGCGACCACTCGATTGATCGCAAAGGGGAAATTCAAAACACAACCAAATAAAACTTCTGCCTGGGTAGGGAACATTTGCTGTAATTTTACATTATTCTCCCCTCAAATCCGTTTCATTCTTCTACAACAAAGTGGAGACCAATCTTGAGTGTTTCCCTATGCCTCCACGATGGAAATCTAAAGATGGTTTTCTTGAAGCGAACTCACAGCGAACTTACCTGTAGGCACCTGCCTACTTTCAGGGTATTTATTTGTTTGAACCCATTTTTGACCAAGACCATTTAGATAACTTGCTTCACAAATTTCTCCAAATAAACTGAAACAAGAGAGCTCTGACTCTTAAAATCTACAAAATTAAATGTAAATTTAAAGATAACAGGGTGCTACAGGTAGAAAATTAGAGTGATTTTTTTTTAATCACTTTGAAGGTGAAGGGAAGATGTTTTGGTAGTTGATAGTACTTGATATCCATTGATAATACTGAGTATGTAGTATTACATTATTATTGCAATCAAAATGTGGTTTCAAACGTGTTAAATGAAATAAATTGAATATTTTGATGGAAAATAAATCAGCAAGCACTTGGAATTTTTTCTCAAAAGCAAGTTTAATTGGTGTGTTTTTGACATTTGCATGGTCCAGATCTTAATCTGATGGTTTTTATATCATCCCCAAGCTGGCTTTCCTCAATTGATATCTCTGCTTCTTCGTATAGGGAATTCAATATACAGCACGCCCTGCTGACAGGTACCTCCCGTGTTGTGAGTAATTATTTGCCAATAGATGGCCTGATGTCCTTTTCAGTATAACAAGCTGAGAAATAAAAGAAAAATGTTTGCCACTCCACATATTTATTTTTATTTGTTAGGGTTTTTTTCTTGATTTTTAAAAATACAACAAGATAAGTTATTTATCTTAGAATCTCAAACCACAAATATCTCAAAAAACATATATTTCAAAAATTAAATCTACAGATGTAATACATACTGTGAACCCTATAAAATGCGTTTACAATTCTGACTTAAAGAAAGAAATTTATAACTTTCATATGTACCTTCCTTGTGCAATAGGCAACTGCCATATGTTTCCGACTTCCATAATTCAGTTTTCCTGGACATCTGTAGCAGGTAGTGAGTGCTTCTTAAAGTACATTTTATGTAATTTGAGAAGGAACCCGCACTGAAGACTAGAGGTGAACATTAAAAAGCACAAGACTTTCTAGAAATGCTAGTTATTCTAAATTTACATCACCTGTTATGCATGGCCTGCGATAGGTTTTTTTTTTTTCCATTCCCTTTTCTTCATGTGACTGAATTTGGAAATTCCAAAACATGTTAAGTGTTTTGGTAGAGTTCCTCTCATGATGACTACTCTTTAGCCTTTTACTTGAGGATTCTCGTTTGACTATTTCTGAAAATTCAGCTTGGAAATATATTCCAGTATGATTATTGTATTTGAAATAAATTTTAAGAATTCTATATTGAAGTGGGAAAAACCCTAAGCTGTTTCATTTTTTTTATTTTTTCTTAATTGTTTATGATACACTTTTTAAAGGACACAATAGTTTACGCAATTTAAAGTGAAGACAAAACCAAACCAAAAGTCATGCTGAAAAGTCATAACTTCTTGTCAAACTTTTGCTCATGTGTTTAAATGCAGGGTTCATTCCTAATGCTAATACTTTTTTTAATTTTTCAATAGCATATTTCTTTTTGCATAATTCCAGTGCTGGCTTTAAATTAATCCATTAAAAATCCTTTCATTCAGCTGAAACTGAAATGCCTCATCTGTCAGTACAAAAATATGAATAAATTCCAGCCACGTTTTTCATTGTTTATACTTTCAGCAGATTATATGAATGTGCACAAAATTTCCACTGTTTAAGAACTGTCGGTATCTACAGATGTAAAATATGAGAACAGGACCTAATTTACAGCCAATTAGAGGGTGCAATAATTTTTATTAAAAGCTAAACACTAAATCTAGTGACTCTTAAATGGGGCCTAAACGGGAACATTTATTTCCATTTTCAATTCATTTTGTAAAACCAGCAGACTCAAGGTAACTTTTTGTCTATAAGGAAAAATAACATTAAATATTTAATTCAAAGAATAGGAAGCTGTGTATTTTAAATATCAATTTAAACATGTTTTTATACAGCATAGACTATTAAAATGCTCATTATAACTAATTAGAGAATATTAGTTAGCTTCCCTATTGAATAGTTTGCTTTATGTCCAAATTGATCTGTTGCAATGTTGGTATTAGCAATGTCCAGCTAGGCATCTTCGGGTATTCTTTTACATCTGGGTGTTAATTTCAGTACTTCCTTCAAGCCATCTTACATGTCACATATTAGTGATAAAGACAAGTGTGGCCTTCTTGAACATTTCTGTTACTGATCCCTCAACACTGTAGTTTTGTGGGAGGAGTGTGAGTCAATAAATGAGGGAGATAGGGCAGCGGTTTTTCACCCACGGGGTGAAAAAAAATAATTGCAGTGTTGTTTGGAGGTAGAGCAGATACTGCTGGAGATACACCAAGCATGAATACGGAAGCTCATTTTCCCAGAGGGTGAATTTTCTTCTGGACGCATCACAGATTCATTACTTCCTCAATGTCCCTCGACTTGGTGGGCCAGAAGACCCCTTCTCCCCTTCCTTTCTCCAAGCTGGAAAACGGGGGGGCGGGGGGGTGGAGAGAGAGAGGAATGAAGACAAGCTTACCCTGGGAGTATACTCTCATTTGACACTCCAGAAACCGAGCACCTCCCTGGAGCCCCAATGAGAAACGATCATTGATTTTAAAAAATCAGCGCTTAAAGAGATACTCCGCGGGCTCAGACCTGATTCTGATTCTTCTACCTGAGAACTGCGGAGTTGTTCCGTGGGCTGCACAGGTCCTTTGTAGAGGGCTTCAGTCTCAGCTAATCGGAATTGAGAAGGACGAATTGTTGGGGGAAGAATGGAAAACAGTCGCCAACAAGTGGGGAGGCGATGTCTGTGCGTGCAAGTCAGCCACAGGAGTGAGCAGGGAGGAATTGCAGCTCCGGATCGCTTTGTTCACGGGGCCTGGGTTTGCATCTGCAGCACCAGACCCGGCAGAGAAATCCGCAAGAGTGCAGTCCTTGAGCCCTGGGACGCCTGAATTTACTACCGTAGGCTTTATAAACTTGTACAAGATAAAATATTTTCATTAACGCAGATCCGAAGGAGAGGCGAGAAGAAAAGTATGTGCAAAGAGAAGAAAGAGAGTGGGAAAGAGTAGGGACAGGAATCGCGGAAAGGGGAAGCCCTAGCCCATTTGTGCGGCGCTGCCTGGTGACTCAGCGTAGGCTGATGTTCACGGTCTCCAATTAGGCTATGGCTCCTTCCCAGATTAAACTATAGAGGAACGCAGCCAAATAAGTACCCCTCTTGGTGTTTGGATTTGGCCGTTGCCCACCCATACTCTCCGTCCCATTTCTGCTTCTAGCTCACTTCATCTTTTACTAATAATAAACTTCTCTATGTGTGGCAAAGAAGTCTGGGTCCGGATTATTTGGAGACTCGGGGACCATTTGATGTGCCCTGAGATCAGGGGCAAAGAACAGATTCTTGTCTGAACAGACTCAGGGCTTACCTTATCGAGTCTGAGAAATTAAATATAGGGGTTAAATACAGCGAGTGTCAAGTGTAAAAGAAAAAAAATCAATCTTTCGAAGGAATGAAGACCGGACGCATAGAGCTTTAACAATTATAACTTAAAAAAGAAACAATTGTTTATAAATAAAATGTAAGTATCTTATAAATCAGGTAAGATGAAATAGCAAACTATACACAACTGGCCATGTATCAATGCTATGTAAACAGGCTCCAGGCTAAAAAGCAGAGTGGAAGCCGACAGAGAATGAGTTTAAAACAACAACAACAAAAAAGCACTATTTCGGAACTGTCCAATTTTAAACTGCACCAAGAAAAATAAAGAAGAGACCGGATATGCTTTTTAAAAGTCCATCTCCCGCCCCTGCACGCCCCCTCCCACCAGTTAGTGTTGCTGTCCGGCAGGACATGGATTCCACTGTATATCGTTGTCCCAGATCTGGGAGCTCAAGGATCTTTTGCCCTTCTCTCTCTCCCCAAGTCCTTGAGACTAATTCATTCTGACAATATTCTCCTCTGGCTGACTTTTATTTAACATAGAATCCGGCTGGTCTTGAGAGAGGCCTGACAGTTTATTTCAGTTTTGTTTCCTCAATGTAGCTCAATACTGGGAAAAGACATTTTAATCTCCTAAAGCAACAGAAGACACACATTCTCAGGTACTTAGACCCCAACTGCCAACAGACACATTTACACTTGAGCAGGTGCACATGCTCACGCACACATGCAAACACAGACACGTGCACACGCGCGACCGGACATTGCGATTACGCGCCCTGTCCCCGCTTTCTTTGCTCTCTTGACTTGCAAAGTGCGAGGGCCTGGCGCTCTCCTCGAAAGGGCATGCCGCGCTGTTGGTAAAAGGCCTTGCTAGGACGAGGCTTTGCTGTCACTCGTCACTCTCAAGGCTGCCACTCCGCCCAGCCAACTCGGAATGTCTTTCCCTCCCATGCCCAAGAGAGATTCGACGCCCCTTCTCCAGGAGCCGAGGTTGGAGTGGGCTGCAGTCTGTGACACACTGCCCCTCGGGACCTGGGTTAGCTGGTCCTGCCCAATCCAGTAGCCTGAGCCGAACTTAACGCAAGTTGGAGGCGGCGGCAGCAGTGGTGCGGCTCTACTGCTATGATTCTCCTTAGCCAGTAGCAGGACTAGGGGGCAAACGCCTTGTCCTGTCCTCGGCGCCCTACTCACACTTGAATTATTTCTAAGGGCCACGTTCTAGAAACATCGTGGATGTAGACGAGGCTCTGCTTTCCAGCCTTTCGGCAATGCGGACACCAGTCCCCGGGTTTCCCCGCCTGCTGGGGTCTGCTGCCCAGGGTGAAGGCGAAAGACATAAAGAAATGGCAGAGGAAAAGAAGAGGGCGTGAGGCTGTATGATCCCGAGAGCGCCTTGCAGGCCTGTGTATCCCTTTCTAAATCAGTTTGAGCTGCAGGACATATACAGGGAGAACTCCTTTGCGGAACAGGCTTTGCGTCAGCAAACAGTGTTTGTCCCTGGCAGTTTCTCCCAGGGTAGGGGCTCCCACTACCCCTGCTGAGCCCCAGCAGGCCCGAGGGCTCCGACGACTACACCCCTGGGCAGCAGCAGAGTCTCCAAAGCTGTAAGGACCGCTCGGAGAAGCACCGGGTAGCTCCCTTCTTGGGGTCCCCGAGAGCCTGGGATTGGGGCGGGGCACCTCAGCTGAACGGAACTTCTTCTGGCGTCTACTCCAGCTAAGTTAGCTCCCGCCTTGTCCCACTCCCACTCCCGGCCCAAACTCTCTAGGCGGCCTCTTAGCTCTCCCTGCCGGCGCCTGCCTTCGGCTAAGCTTCAGAAATGGGATTTGCGCTTCTTTTTAATGATGTAATACCGGCCTAGGGTACCCCGGAGCTTGGAGACCCACTAGGGACCACACAGCTCTAAACCGGTCGCAAAGCCTTCATTTTGTAAAATGCAAAACACCTCCTCCCAACTGAGTTTGTTTCTCAGGCGTCTAAAAGAGGCTTCCTCCGCAAGGATATTACAAAATCATTTTTGACCTCAAGGCTGCCAGGTTTGGCTGGGCGGCTTGCTCGTGCCTCTGCTCATCGCCTGCCAGGTTCCTACTCCCGCTGTGGTGTCCGGCCTCCAGGAACCGCGCGTTCTCTTCTACAATAAAAGGATCAGTCTCAGTGGCGGATCTACCCCCAAATGCTACTCTACTGAAAGTTTACAGAGAAGTCAGAGATAAAAGGGCAGCCAACGGTTGCGGAGATTGAATTAAACGAGGGACGAGGGAGAGGAAAAAATTCCTTTGTCATATATATATATATATATATACACACACACACATATGGAGACAGAGAGAGAGACAGAGACGGAGTCTTGCTGCGTCGCCAGGCTGGAGTACAGTAGCGCGATCTGGGCTCACTGCAACCTCCGCCTCCCGAGTTCAAGCGATTCTCCTGCCTCAGCCTCCCGAGTAGCTGGGACTACAGGCGTGCACCACCACGCCCAGCTACTATTTGTATTTATTTATTTATTTAGTAGAGACGGGGGTTTCACCATGTTGGCCAGGATGGTCTCGATCTCTTGACCTCGTGATCCGCCCGCGTAGGCCTCTCAAAGTGCTGGGAATACAGGCGTGAGCCACCGCGCCCGGCCTGCCGTGTATTTTATACAAAAGATGGAGTAATATGCACGATTAATTTTATTCCACAAGAGATTTGCTCTATTTATACCAAACATATATATATATATTTGTTAATCCTAACAAAAAGTCGAGTTGAAACTACAAAACAAATTGTACAAATATATATGTTTGGTGTCATTTAATTAAAAAGCACTGATTTTATTAAATTTGTTTTAAATACATCAATGGACTCCTTAAAAGCCTGAAGTAACGATTGTAAATTGTCAACAGTAGGACAAATATAAACTTACTTAAATCACAGAGAAGTTTTTCAAATGGGGAATTTTATTGCGTCTTCATACTTATTTCATTTTGCGAAGTTTTAAGGGGTTTTAAAGTTGTCCATATCGTTAAAGACGTACAGAATGAAAATCCCATGACCTACGTTTTAAAATAACTACCACTCTTTGAAAGAAAAGGTGGGCTGCGGAAAGGGCGTGCTTTTTCTGACATTTATATGACGGACTGAGCGTTAACGTAACATTTTGCACTCCTAAAGGATTTACATATTTCTTAACCTGGTATCCCCTAAGAAAAAAATCACGGAGTAAAGTTTAAATAAGCCTAAGCCATATCTGGCGCAGACTGAGTGCAGGAACATTTAAATGAGAAAGGAGGGGCCTGCGAATTCTTCCCAGCTTCCCAATATTCTGAGTTGTAGCAACATTAAGCGATACGGAAGTGGGACGGCAATTTACGGAACCTTGAAAGATTCCTGATTTTCTAACTTGTTGAACGTCTAGTTTAAAGCCGGGAACTTCCGCCTTTCCAGGTCCTGGTGAGGAAAGCTGGAGACTACGGGGCTGGACTCAGCTACGGACGTCAGAGAGACAGAGTTCAGCGTCCGTGTGGCTGGCACATCCAAGCCAGACAGCGGCGCTTTTCACTCCTGGTTTTTCGCTACCTTGTAAGGAAGTGGGCGCGGGCTGCGCGGAGTCGGCGCCTCCTGATTGGCCGGCCGTCTGGGTGATGGACAGGGACCCGGGCTCCGCCCCCGCCGCTTTATTGACACTAATGAGCAAGTTCTTCCCACCGCTCTCCTGCCTGGAAGTGCTGACAGATCAAGGCAACAAATTTCAATTACAATCCCTAATTTGTGTCCACAGAGTGTTTTTTACCCATGTTAGTCCTCTCTGGCGCATCAGTTGAGGCAGACCTCGGAGCAGCAGGAGGAGGTGGAAGGGGTGGGAGCAAAGGAGTGCATCAGTGAGAGAGCGCGCGAGAGAGACCCAGGAAAGGAGACTTGGCCGGCGCGTCGCCGGTTCCTGGATCCCAACACAAGCGAGAAAGCGGAAACGCCAAATCTGTTTTTTGCCCGCGGTGGGGAAGGGGGCAGATCTCGGGAGGCCCCGAGAGCCTTTTAGTTTTTGGTGGGGGAAGAGCGAGAGCGCGCGTGTGCCCGCGTGAGTGTATATGAGAGAGGGGCGGGCGGGCGCGGGGCGGGGGGGATGGCCGAGAAGCGAAGGGGCTCGCCGTGCAGCATGCTAAGCCTCAAGGCGCACGCTTTCTCGGTGGAGGCGCTGATCGGCGCCGAGAAGCAGCAACAGCTTCAGAAGAAGCGGCGAAAACTGGGCGCCGAAGAGGCGGCGGGGGCCGTGGACGACGGAGGCTGCAGCCGCGGCGGCGGCGCGGGCGAAAAGGGTTCTTCTGAGGGAGACGAAGGCGCTGCGCTCCCGCCGCCGGCTGGGGCGACGTCTGGGCCGGCTCGGAGTGGCGCAGACCTGGAGCGCGGAGCCGCGGGTGAGTGGGCCCCTTCCTGCCTATAACTTCTCTCCGGCGCGAACCTGAACTTCTGCGAGTCTGTGGGTGTGCGTGCGCGCCGCGTCCCTACATGGCCAAGGCCACTCAGCCACTAGCGCATTGGCCGTGTCAGTCGCAAAGCTCGCCGCGCAACCTGGTCACCCTCCAGACGGTTCAGATACTGCTTCCAGGCTCGCCTCGCGGGCGGCCGCCGCCCACTCGGCGACCCGCGCCTTCGGCCGCGGCTGTTTGCTGCGCCTAGCGGTGCAGCTCTGTGCTTCCTGCATCTGCCTCCCTTGGGGTTCCAGCCAATGGGTGCTCTTTTTTGTTTCCTAACTTTTAAAAGCACAGGGCGGGGAGGAGGGGAGCGACGGCATACCCCACCCTGAAACCGGAACGAATGCCCTAAACCGTTTGTGCAAACCAGGAAGAGGGCGGCATATTTGGAAACTTGGTTTCCCGAAGGGTAGTTGAGCGGTTCCCTTCCCTTCTCCTCTTGATTTCTCTGCCAAGGCCGACGGCGACCGCGGGCTTGCTTTTCACACTTTTCTCTGCTGGGCTGGAAGCGCAGGGCGCCGGGAGTTTGGCGAAAGCGGGGTCTGAAGAGCCTTCTAGAAGATGCCTCCGGCCCGGCCCAAAAGAAGGCCCAAAGCGAGGCGCCGCAGACGCTTATGGCTTAAGGAGGCCCAGGCTCTTGGGACCAGAGTCCGGGCGCTTTTGCTGCTTGCGCTTCGAGGCGCAGGTTGCGTCGGAGTTTGCACTGGGGACTCTGGACCCGGGAGCTCCTCTGACTCCGTCGGGCAAGCGTCCCAGACCCCGGCGGCGGCGTGAAGCCTTTTCTGCTGGGGCCTTGGCCCTGCGGAGGCCCAGCGGGTGGGGTGGACGCTGCCCGCGCGCCTCTCCCGGGCTTGGGACTTGGGGACCAAGCAGGCCACACTGGAGCTCTGAATGCGCCCCTTCGACAGGCAGAATGTGGGTGTCTATCGACTGGCTTGTTCTTTAGGAGGACCTGATGGCACCAAAGCTTCCCCTTTTCTCCCGGTCATTTTCCTCTTCTCAGCCACCAGGTGGGCCCGTCTCCGCGGCTGGCTTCCCCTCTGTTTCCCTCACCAGTTCCCTTTCTCTGTCCTTTGCTGTCCAGGCGGCTGTGAGGACGGCTTCCAGCAGGGAGCTTCCCCTCTGGCGTCACCGGGAGGCTCCCCCAAGGGGTCTCCGGCGCGCTCCCTGGCCCGGCCCGGGACCCCTCTGCCCTCGCCGCAGGCCCCGCGGGTGGATCTGCAGGGAGCCGAGCTCTGGAAGCGCTTTCATGAGATAGGCACTGAGATGATCATCACCAAGGCCGGCAGGTAATGGGCAAGCTGGCGTGGACGCCCCTCCCTACCCCAGACCCTGTCTTCACTCACCTCTAGCTCAATCAGGAAGAAGGGCCTGCAGCTCGGTGGGGGTTCTGGATAGCATTTTCGGTCAAACGGGACCAGGCCCCAGACCGTGGTTCACTTTGGAGGCTAGCTTTGGCTACCCACCACTAGTGCAGTCGGTGCACAGTCCAACTGCCCTCTGGTTGAATGCCAGGGAGAAAATTACTGTCGCCGCTGATGCCACAGCTGTCGCGGTTGATGTTCTGCGTTCAGGGCGGTTATAAATTTGAGGTCATATTTACCCTTGTCCAGGTATTTATTTAGGCTCTAGTTGTCAGTTCTGGAACTAGGAAACATTCTTTTTTTTTTCCTTTCTCTTTTATTTTTAAACAGCAGTTTACTCCAGTAAACTATGATTTGCTTTTTCAGATTTGAAACTCCCAGGCAGATTGGTTCTTTATCAGAAGATATCCTGGCAATTTGATAAGATGATCTGTCCTGCTATTTCATATTAGACTAGGAGGAAAAGTCACTGGACTCACCCACAATACATGTTTAATCATGTATAGGTGCAAGAATAATTACCCTGATTTTTAAAAAGCATCCTGTTTATAGATTTAGAGTACCTGGTTATTTATTTATTTATTTTTGTCCTAAATGGAATCCAACACAGCCTGAATTTGCTGAGGAATACTTAAAAATTTTTTATAAAAAGGTACATCGGTTTTTTAAAAAGTGTGAAATTTTCCCATCCATTGGTTAGTAAAATAAATGGATTTGTTGGGCAGATCATATTAATTTGAGGTAGGCACATGAATATTTGCATTTTAAAGTTTTCAGTTTATTTAGTGCAGTGAAATCTATGAATAATAAGCTTCCTTAAACGGAACTTTAGAAAGCACACACAACTCTTTCAGGGAGTACACATGGTAAAAACCTGGATAGCATAAAAAGTATCCAAACTTATTAGAAATTACAAAAAAACATATTTTATTGAATCCATATGCTACCTTCTACATTTTCACAGAGCTTTTATTAATGATCCAAATTCAGTCTTCACCAACACAAAGCAATAGTTGTCTTATAAAGGATGTAGTTAAAGACCTTTACTCTTTATCTTACAGGTGCACTGAAATAATACTAAAACAGCCAGCGTATTAAACTGTTCCCATACCTAGTTAGGAGTAATAGACTTTATTTTTTTCTAGGAGTAGTCTTTCATGGTATTTTTGTTATAGAAAAAAATTTGGTAAATAACTACTAAAATTTCTGTTATAAGGTTAAATTAACAAAAATTAGATTTCCTTGGAAGGGACTTAAACGTAAGTCATTAAATGATATTTAAAAATCAAACTGCTGTATTTGTTTTTTATATACAATAATTTACTGTTGTATTCTTTGCTGCTGTGCCTTTTTAAAAGGATGGGTGCATTTACTCTAGCATCTCCTTTGATATGCATCTTTGGGAAGCCAGGATAAATGCAAATTTTCATCTGTTTTAATTAGCAAAGTTTTAAGTGTGGTTAAGTAAGAAAACATTTTCATGGTATGGCGGGGGAAGAAATGATTTGGTAAATATACGTTGTGTTTAGTTTCTGCTTTCAATAAAGAAGTTTTACTATACCTTTCAAATTTAGAGCAACTTTTGCACTTCACCTTTACCATGCTGCAGACAGGAAGTCCTGTCTCAATAAAGAACATATTGTTTGGTTATAGCATGGCACATTGGCTCCTTGTGGTTTTTTATAACCCTTTAAAAATTTCACATTATAATGTATTTTATCACTTTCAGAGATCCAAATTTTGTATTTCTACCATTTGTTACATTTTATTAGTTGTATTACTAAAGTAAATATGCTTATCGATTTTGTTTAAAAAATAAGATGCTTTCTTTTGTGCCATTACTCCCTCAGTGTAAAATTATTTTACTTTTAGCTATACTGACATTTCAGTAAACACAGAACACATGTACACAGGGTGCAACAAATTACATTTAAAAATCTCAGTTCTGATATGTTCTATGTCCTGACTCCTTGAATTACATTGGCAAAGTGAATACTATAAATTTATCCATATTAAAAATAGAGATCCAAGAGGTTTCTTTGCTTATTCACGCTCCATCCTTAGTCACAAACAAAAACCCCAAACCCTCTTTCTCTTCGCCTTTTTAAATAGGCGCATGTTTCCAGCAATGAGAGTGAAGATCTCTGGATTAGATCCTCACCAGCAATATTACATTGCCATGGATATTGTACCAGTGGACAACAAAAGATACAGGTACAGTGATTAGATACTGAACAATTAAAAAAAAAAACACTAGGATTTTGCAGGCTAGTGCCTGTTTGATCTGTGAGGACTGTGATCTTTGCTTCCAGAAGTCTGTAGAATTTCCAGATCCATACTTTAACGCCCATGGGTGCCAGCGGCCCAGATGGTGCCTTTTCTTGCGGCAAATGTGGAAACTTAATTTTTGTTTTGTTTTTAATAGATAGAGAAATGTTTTCAAATACTGAGAACTTTTTAAAGGGGATAATTTGGTGTTGCCAAACTAAATGTGTCTTTTATATTGACTTACACTTCAATTCGAATTTTGAGAGGAAATGTTATGTAATGTTTATAGATATAAATTATATTAAATGGAAAGTCATAATTTCTTTGTGATCTTTTGGTCATGTAAATTTCCTTTATCTTGTTACATACAAAACCATCAATGTTTGTAGGCTTTTTTTTTAATTTCAGAATATTATTTAAGGTTTTCTACAAGTAAGAAAAATAAAAATCTTCTAATTTATGTGATATTAAGACATCACTAAACTGGTAATAAATTTTTACCTTTCTGTTGTTTTTTTGGTATGTGTTATAACTTTTAAAAACTTCTAATATTTGGATTTTGAAAGAGGACATATTTATGTAAAGATCAAGTAAATTTTGAAAATATACACGTTCTTCAGTTTCAAACCAATCTTTACTCTTTTTTTTTTTGCAAGAAAACAAATCAGCAATTTTCAGTGACAATGCTTTATATTTTTCTGAAGAGCTAAAAACATTAACATTTAAATAAGGAAGTTTTATGTGTTTGGAAGATTCGAAGATACTGTTTTAAATTTTGCTTGTCTTCGTTTCTTTCTCGCTTTTTGTTGTTGCATGGGACAGAGCTTTTAGTAAGTTTAAACAAAATCAGATTTGTTTTTTATCACTTCAACAATTTAAGGAGTCGCTTTTTTGAAATAGCCTACTGGTATCAAAAGTACACAGATTTTAGTTAGTACATGGACATATAGAATACTACAGAAAGGGGTAATAAAAAAGACAGTCTTATTATTTGTTTTGTGTATAAGTTATTTTAATTAAATAAGTCATTAGGGAGTTTTGCTAAAATGATCTACCACATGACAGAAGCTAGAAAACATTAAAGTTCATTTTTTAAATATACTTGATTTAAAACCCATATTCCAAATGGGGTTTTGTGCTGAGGAAGATAATATAATTCTTAATAAGCTTAATAATTATTCCTTTTTCTTCTAAGTTTGTCTCCTATTTATTTTCCCAATGTCTTCCCTACATTTTGGTTGGTTTATTTTACTTAATTGATTCAAATTTACTCTCATAGAAATAAAGACATTTCAGAAATTAGTATTAAGATGTCAGGTTTTAAAAGATCAAATTGTAAAACATAATTTGTTTTCACTTATATTGCTTCCCAAGAAGAAATTTGTTTGTACTATTTGTATTTAGAATGTTTTACAAAGAATGTGTAACTTGTAGCTTTTATTCTGTCAGTGGGTGTGGAGTTTTGACTATTCAAAATGCATACTTTTTCAAGGTTTTGTTAGAGCCTATTACTCTATTTGTTTTGGCAGTAACTCAATTCATTTCCACAGTGTAATTTTTCTTGAATCTCTAAGATTTTCATTTCATTTGTCAATGTTTTCAGCAATATTAGGAAAAAATTTGGCTTATTTTCTAATGTTTGAGTGGTATTTAATCAAGTTAAAAATTATTGTCACTTATTAGAATGTAAAATTAATATTCACAAAAGCCCACAATTAGGAACTTATTGAAATTACATCATACCACTTAAAAGAAAAAGGTTTCTTTTTCTTTCTTTCTTTTTTTTTTTTTTTGAGATGGAGTCTTGCTCTGTTGCCCAGGCTGGAGTACAATGGCGTGATCTCGGCTCACTGGAACCTCCGCCTCCCAGGTTCAAACCATTCTCCTGCCTCAGCCTCCCGAATAGCTGGGATTACAGGCACTCCCCACCACACCCAGCTAACTTTTTGTATTTTTAGTAGAGACTGGGGTTTCACTATGTTGACCAGCCTGATCTCGAACTCCTGACCTCGTGATCCGCCTACCTCAGCCTCCCAAAGTGTTGGGATTATAGACATGAGCCACCGCCTCTGGCCTAAAGGAAGATTTCTGAAAGACTATCCCTAATTTTATGATTGTATATGTTTTCCCAAGAAAAGAAATGAAAGACTAGAAGGCATATTGAGCCCAAAATGAAATATGTGACAAAGAATTGAAACAAAGGGCCTCATCAGAGACGTTCTGAAAATATTTTATGCTCTTATAAAAAGAAATGTGTATATAACACAGGTAGACTTTTCTGAGACTATTTGCAAATTATAGCTTTAAATTGTATGCTAATCTTAACACACAAATGGAAGGAAAATATCTAAGTATATAATTTTATTTTATAATTTTTTCTTCATTGTTATACTAGTTTCTAGTTTTTTAATTAGCTTATTTTAAATTATTAATAAATGGTAATCTTAATATAGTTAAATATTAATATTTCTTACTTGAGGCATTGTTATTCAAATGTATTATTCTTACTGAGTCAATATATTTGTCATGTAAAGAAATAGAAAGGATGTTTTGTTTCCTAATTAGAAAAGTAATATTAATTAGATATACCATTATTTTCAAAGTTTATTTTTTGGTTAGCAATATTTGAAAAATGATTTGAAAGAATTTTTTATAAGGATCAAGAAAGAAATATAGGAGATGAATAAGGGGCTACATTTTATGATAATACAAAATTTTCCAATTAAACTGAATACTTTGTCCTCAATATATAGTATCATAGTATTAGAAAAAATACCAAATGATAACAGATAAAACATTTTTTCCTATTAAAATAAAAGTTTCTAGAACTTCTGACTATTTCCTCTTGCCTTTCTACTGTCTGTTCCATAAGCCTTTACATAGTCTAACATCAGAAATGATCTTGAAGGAAGCGGGGCATTTTAAAATGTAACTCTCAAGTATTTTTGAGATTTACTTAAAGGTGAACTTGACAAGCTATTTGTTTTTTCGTGTCGATGGAATATTCAGAAGAAAAGTGGAAAATATCAGAGATGGAATGTCTAGGGTGAATAAGTGTCATTCATAAGAATGAATATGCTTGCATTTATGGTGGTGATAGTATGCATATTTTTCACTAAGCCGTTAACACGCCCCTTAGTCTGAATTGTCAGTAGGCCACTGCTGCCTCAGAGTGGTTTGGAAAAGCGCTTGAAATTTTATTTTTAGTGTAAAGAGGAAATTGATTTATTTTAAAACTGAAACAAAATAGGCACACATTTTGTCTGATTCTACTGAGTTGGACATGCCAAGATAAAAACAGTATACTGAACGCCTGGTCATTGCCTTCTAGGTATGTTTACCACAGTTCGAAATGGATGGTGGCAGGTAATGCTGACTCGCCTGTGCCACCCCGTGTGTACATTCATCCAGACTCGCCTGCCTCGGGGGAGACTTGGATGAGACAAGTTATCAGCTTCGACAAGCTGAAGCTCACCAACAATGAACTGGATGACCAAGGCCATGTGAGTAGATGGCCTCTCTAATGCATCTGTAGATGGCACAGCCACATCTACACTGTGCCTGACTAAAGGAAATGAATGCTTCTAAGATCATAATGTTCATTGCCTGATTGATTAGTATGTACACTGTCTTTGCAGAATCAAGTTTATATTTGCATAGACTGTGCCTGTTGCCAGAATTATCCGATGAGGCATTTAATAGGTTAAAACTAGATACTGCATTTTTATTGGACTGAAAGTACTGGAAGCAGAGATGTTGTTAGGCAAAACATTTGTGTGAAATCTCTTGAGGTGCTAATTATTATACTGTGAATATGAATACTTTGGAGTTGGGTTAATAAGGATAATGATTTATTGTGTCCTGCCTGCATCCAGCTTTGTCAGCTGAGGTTCATTGCTTCTCAGTAATTGTCTAGGCTTATGCTGTTTGTGTGTTCCATCTGCAAGTTCCCAGTTGTTTTGTAATGACATCTAATGTGTCAAAATGTTACAACAATCATTCCTTTTATTCTTAAAACTGCTGAAACATGATACATAAGTCAAAGTTCAGCCGTTCCAATAATGCAGTCATTTTTAACACCTTAGTAATTTTTATGCAGTATTGTTCCCAGGCAAGATTTCTACACTATTATTTTAATAAATAAGTAACTGGATACATGCTGATTTCTGTTCAAAGCCAGCATTTTTAAAATTAGGTTTCTGTTATTTAAGATAGTTTTGATTGAGGCAGGATTAAAATGCCTTTCGAAGAATATATCATACATAAAAGAAATACCAACTTGTTTATTTCTCAAAGGAGTGATATAAAGATAGCATATTTATGAGAATATCTTTTAAAACAAAATGTAAGTTGTCATAAACTAATAATATAGTGATGACAGGATATGGTTTGGAAGTTGCTAAACAATGTCTTAAGAAATTGACCTTAATGAGAACATTCCAGTACTAATTTCACTGTGATACAAATGCAGTAGGTGGATTTTTAAGATGCAACTAGTAAGATCTCACACCGCCAGTGTTTTTGTTTCTTGATTGTTGCCTTTTATGACTTAAAATGGAAATAAAAAAGTAACATAGTAGATTTCTTTTCTGTACCCAACTTCATGTCCTGTATTTTAGTGCATTACTCCTTGGCTTTCCTTATTTTTATTCCTTATTTTTACAATTTAACACAGTCAAGTTGTAACAATTATTTTTCACAGGAATTCAGTGAAATAACACCGATTTCTTCTGTGTCGCTGAGGCAGCTGTCTGTGAAATATACTCAGCACATTCATTGAAGGACTTTTTTTTGGAATAGAACATTTTAGACAATGTTTTTAGTGTTACTTGTTATCAAAACCTTAAGTACACTACCATTTTTTGTGAGTTCTACAGTTTAAAGAATGTATGCTCTAAAGAGATAAGTGGGGATAAAAACTATATACCTTCATGTATAAGTTATAAACTTCTTAATAATTTAAATCAATATAATCATTTTACAGTTCTAGTTCTTTCCGTTCAAATTACTGGTTTTCTATCTAATATCTAATGTACTAAATATTAGATATAGATCTAGTAATTTATCAATCTATATATTAACTTTATGATTTCAATAGACTTTATTTAAAGCAGCATTCTTCAGAAAATAGGGTGTGTGCGTGTTTGTGTGTGTGCGTGTGTAGAGAGGGAGAGAGAAAGAAAGAGAGAAAAACAGACACAGAGAGAACAATTTATTTTAAGGAGCTTACCCAGGAAAATTTGGGTCCTGACAAGTCCGAAATCTGCACAGCCACCTGGAGACCTAGGGAAGAAGTGATGTTGCAGCTTGAGTGTGAAGGTAGTTTTGTAATAGAATTCCCCCTTCTCCAGGGATCTCAGTCTGTTTTCTCCTACAGTCTTCAACTGATTGGATGAAGCCTACCCACATTATGAAGGGTAGTCCACTTTTCTCAAAGTCTGCTGATATAAATGTTGATCTCATCTAATAAATACCTGGCAGCAACATCCAGACTGGTGTTTGACCAAGTATCTGGGTACTGTGGCATAGCCAATTTGACACATAAGATTAACTGTCACATAGCATTTGTTTAAAACACAAAATAATAGATTACAAATGAAATTCAGTTACTTAAACCTAAATAATTATAATATTTTACTATTAGGGAAATAAATAACATAGCAGAAAATAGGCAAAATATAGAGATGTATATTGTCTAACTGCTGAAATTTTTCTTTTAAGGTTGTAGCAGGATGTACTAGTTGAATAAATACAGGTACATTAACATGTGGGGAGCAGGGAGAGAGATGTACTTGTACAATTTGGAAGCAAGTGAATTGCCTTTGGTAATGGTAAAAATGTACGTACGTATTACTTGATACTAGAGGAGGATGTAGGAGGGAAAGTGCTCTTTTCCATTATTCATTTAGAAAAGATACTTCGGAAGATGTTATCCAGTATGGTAAAAGATGCAAAGCTGGGCACGGTGGCTTGGCCTGGGCATGGTGGCTCATGCCTGTAATCCCAGCACTTTGGGAGGCCGAGGCAGGTGGATCACCTGAGGTCAGGAGTTTGAGACCAGCCTGGCCAACATGATGAAACCCCATCTCAACTGAAAATACAAAAATTAGCCAGGCGTGGTGGTGTTTGCCTGTACTTCCAGCTACTTGGGAGGCTAAGGCAGGAGAATCACTTGAACCCAGGAGGCAGAGGTTGTAGTGAGCTGAGATCATGCCACTGCACTCCAACCCAGGTGACAGAGTGAGACTCTGCTTCAAAAAATAAAAAATAAGATAAAAGCCATGATCTCTGCTTTCTGTGAGTTTCTAGCCTATGTGGGGAGAGAAGAAACCATGAACACAGATTATCATCCTGCCAGCTCAGAGAAGTACAGATGCCAGTGTCACCGTATTCCAGCCAGGAAAGATGGGAAAGGCTTTATGAAGAAAGAATCTGTTTATTTACTCAGCTTGATGACCCTAAATGAGGCTAGATTAAATATTAGGAATTTGTTTCTGATTTTATTGTTGATTGTGTTCAGGGTATAAGAAGACAGTAGTATTGTTATAGTAGGACTTTCTAATTCAAGTCCCTTTGCTGATGCAGAGACCTCTTGGGAACTTACCCCTCTACCCTTACATAGTTGAGGTTCATCCCATCTGCCCCTGCCCACCCTCAGCCCTCAATTCCAAAAGAAGTAACACTGATCTCTAATTAGTAAAGCTATTGACTCAAATGAGAGGTGATTTTCTAGCTTGCTTTCTAAATTGCTTTTTTTTTTTCTCTTCTCAGTTCCTAGTTTTACTCTGCCAAGTCTGTGCAAGTGTGCAGCATAGTGACTTGAGAACTCCTTAGAGACCTGGGACTTTATTAATTTAACACAAAATGATTGCAGGAATCAAATCTTTGCAGTGCTTTGACTGGACGTAGGAGCACATGAGACATGAGATGATGTGACATTGAGGTTTTGCCAAAAGTGACTTTTCAGTTGTTCAAATATCATGAATTATTTGGAGAGGAATAGTGGTGAAATTCCAGAGTGGAAATGTTCCAGCACTCCACAGCTAATTTTTGGATGTTTTGAAGACCTTAATCTCTTCCTGATCCTTGGTGAATCCATAGCGAGCTTTATGCTGGCTTTTATACAAATGAAGACTGGTCCTTGAGCTACCCATATGCAGAAGAGTTAGTATGCTTGAGTAGGGTAATTCCTTCCCATCATGTACATGTTTCCCAATTCCTCTGGAATTTTCCATCTGAGGGAAAACATGTAGTTGACCATTTTTATTAAAAATTAGAGGACATTTAGCAGGTAGTGGTGTACCTTAAGCCTCAGAAGGATTTGTACCCACGGTGCTGTGGCGCTTTGGAAGGAAGCATGGCCAGACAGCCACAGTGGGACCTGTGGGAAGACCTGTACTCCCAGCTGCTGAGGACTCAGTGATACTGATGCCTTCACTCTTTCTGTTTCTCCTTGAGAATCAGGTGTGGAAGCAGCAAGTTATAGGGGAGGTTGCTGAGGTCTCCCTGGTGGAAGGACCTTGCAATTACTTAGAGGTATGACACATTTGTGTTTGTTGGCAAGTCACTTTCATTCTCTGAGGGTTGATTTTTCTCATGGGTTATATTGGAATCAGAGAACTTAGGGTGAACTAAATGAGCTGATGAACTCGAAAGGACGTATTTGTAAAGAGTCCATTATATACAGCATCATGCGTAAAACAAAAAGAAGGCTACCTTGCTATGGAGTTTGTGATTCATTGTTACAGCCTTGATTCCTACCATTTAAAGGGAGTCAGTACGTGGTGTTACCAAAAAATGTAGGGAGCAAGGTTTTTGTTATCTGTTTCTTGTTGGTCCTTTGATTGACTTATTACATCATGGGAATTTAGGTCATCTGGAAAATTTCCAGTCAGCAGGGAGTGTTTTCTTATTGAGCTATCCTGTAAGACTAGACACAGTTGCCTTTCTGTCAGATCTCAGGCTCTTTCGACTCATCAGATGAGAAATAAACAATATTATGCTTTTTTTTTTTGACTCAAATCTAGGTGTCCTTAAAGTAGAAAAATGTGTATTAGCCTGTACTGCAAATGCAGTCTGTATTTATGGACTTCTGTGACTGTAATACTAGCTAAACCCAAAAGAAAATAATCATTCTAAACAGATCAGAGAGCACTGAACATTACACATCACATAGAATTATTTGGAATTATTTGTGTTTTGGAGATGGGCATCATATCATTGTGGTCTTCTTGTTTATACGACCAGTGGTTCTCCTGGTTCTATTTGCTCTATTAAATAAGCAAACTTTTATTGAGCATTCATGATTGTAAGTTTGGTAGTTAATAATCAAATGGTTCATCCCCTGTGCCCCTGCCCACCTCAGAGCCCCCAATTCCAAAAGAAGTTAACACTGATCTCTAATTAGTAAAGCTGTAGACTCAAATGAGAGATGATTTTCTAGCTTGCTGTCTAAATTGCTTTTGTTTCTCTCCTCAATTCCTACTTTTACTCTGCCAAATCTGTGCAAGTGTGCAGCATGGTGACTTGAGAACTCCATATAGATCTGAGACTTTTATTCATTTCACACAAAATGATTGCAGGAATGAAATCCTTGCAGTGCTTTGACTGGACCCATGACCACATGAGACATTAAAAAGCACATAATGCTATCATAAAAAGAGGAACTGAGGCTTGTTTCTCCATCCCTAAAACATTCCAGGGATACATAAAGTTCTTATAGATAATACTGAATACATATTATTTTTCTTGAGCAATCTTCAGATTACTATTGATAGTTGCTTCTTAACATGCAAACAAAGACATACATCAGCCATTTCTGTATCCTACTCCAATATACCCCACTTGAAGTCTTTTTTGAAATATGGTAAGGATATTTTGAAAAGTAACCTTAAAATATATACAACTATATGGAGAAATCTCCTTGAGAGAACAGTCTTCATAAAACAAGAACCTGCTTTTCATTGACTAGTAAAAAGAAACCCAAATGAATCTTTGTTTCTTTAATTACAACTCAGTCCAATCTTCTGAAATTAGCTATGCATTTATTTTTGTTTGTTTAATGTAAAGTAACTTTTCTCCAATTTTTCTTCTGCTTAGAAATTTGTTTCTAAAAGATATGCTAATTCTCCCTGGGAGTTTATAAGTGTCATTGTTTTGTCCCTTGTTGTTTGCTTACCAGTGGCATTTTGTTTCTTACCTTGGAGAAGAGGAAGGGTTCTCCCTTAAACTCCCCTGCTCCCCAAAATATCAAGTGAATATCACTTTCTAATGAGATAAATTAATTAAGAAATAAAGAGGGAGGGGGAAAAACAGAGTTAACATTAATGGTTGCTATGATATGATTGGTCATTTGCTGCTTTATATTTATATTAAAAGAGTGTGTTAAAGAGTATGTTAACTAATGAGACACCAGGTGGGGCTCAATTAACTGCTTCTGTAGGCTGAGACCCTTTTTTGTGTTTCCTTTGTTGGACCTGGCCCTGTGATGATGCCTGCCCAAAAAATACGAATTTATAATGAATGCACATGAACGTGGTGGTGGGAGGACGAGCATGGGCCAAGGGACCCAGCTTCCAGGTTCAGCCTTAAGGATTCAGAAGTCTCTTGCTTGTGTAGACCTTAGTTTTCTATCTATAAATTGGAGTATTAATGTCAGTTTTTTCAGACTTAAATATATGTAATGTAATGTCACACAGAACCCTGCATATCAAACAGGGAAGGGAAGCACCTCTAATTGGAGGGCGGTAAATAGACCTCAGAATCCATCTTGCCTACTCCTTTTTCCTAATATAGTTCTGAAAAAGAATATCTACTGGGTCCACATGTCTGCAAGATATCTTTCAACCCTGCTGAGATATTGTGCTTCCAAGAACATAAACTTAGATTTAGATTATGCCTTTTTTTTTTTTTTTTTTGAGATAGAATCTCGCTCTGTCACCAGGCTGGAGTGCAGTGGCACGATCTCGGCTCACTGCAACCTCCGCCTCCCGGATTCAAGCTATCCTCCTGCCTCAGCTTCCCAAGTAGCTGGGACTACAGGCATGTGCCACCACGCCCAGCTAATTTTTTGTATTTTTAGTAGAGACAGAGTTTCACCATGTTGGCCAGGATGGTCTAGATCTCTTGACCTTGTGATCCACCCACCTCGGCCTCCCAAAGTGCTGGGATTACAGGCGTGAGCCACCATGCTCGGCTGATTATACCTTTTTAAATGAGGATTAGTGAACATATTACTCAGGTAATATACAAAAGAAATGAGAAAAATATCTATATTCACCAAAAATCTGTTTAGAGTGTGCTGATCATTAGAACCATTAGAATTAAATGTTGCTTCTGTGTTTTTCAAACTTTCTACCTAACAGCAAGTTATATATTTTATTTTCTACTTTATTTTGTACTTTTATTTATTTAAAAAATTTCTGGTTGCAACCCTTCATGTTGATTTCATAAGTCACTAATGGGTCATTAAAATTCTTCCCTTTACATAGAACAAAGAGAAATTTCCAGAATTTCTAGAATTCTGGAAAGAGAATTTTCCTGAGATTGCAGATTTGCTTGTGTCCTCAGGTGATGATGAGGGCTGTTTTCCCCTGTTGTCCTTTCCTCACACTCATGCTTCCTCTCCTAGAGTGTCTGGTTGGCATGATCATGTGCTACCTAGGCATTTCTTTCACTGATACAAGGAAAACTGCAGGGTTAAAAAAAAAAAAAGAAAAAAAAAATCTTAGCCACAGCACTGCCAGAAAGTAAAGAATCTTCTTGTGGCAGCAAACACACTTTCCAGATGTAGGACAATCTGTGTTTGGGCTGACCAAATATTCTGAATGTGTCTTATTAAACTGCCCACATCATAAACACAAGGCAGGCCAACCACTACATTTCCCTAAGACTTTTCTGTAAACATTTGTTCTATAAATTCATAATGGCTCAGAAATTGAATTCAAATCTTATAGCTCAGGAAAGATACAGGTTTCTTAAGGAAACTCCTTAATGAGTACCTGAATATGGAATCCCAGCAGCAAACAGAAAATCCCATTGGATGAAGCTGTTTCTTCACCCTACCCCATCAGCCTTGAAAGCATAGAACATACAAAGAAGAAGACAAAATTCACTCACAATTCCATCATCTAGAGGCAATCACTGTTTATATCTTTCTATGGGTCATTTTTACTCTATTTTTATGTAGTTTTAACAAGCTTATAAACAATTTAGGTCATTTTTTAAATTTAAGATTTTAAAAGTATTATTTCATTATATGGTAAAAAATAATGCTGTATTTCATTGTGTGGATTTCATTCACCTAACTAATTTACTCATGTTGGATATGTAAGTGGTTTATAGTTTTTCTACTGTTACAAATAATCTGATGCCCGTCTTTGTACATGAAAAGCTTTTCTGAATTTGTAATATTTCCTTAGGATAAATTCTCAGATGTGGAATCATTGGGTAGAAGGTAGTTGAACCATATTATCAGATTTCCCCAGCAGCATCTGAGAGGGCCAGCTTTTCTGTTCTCTGCAGTCTGAGTAATGGAAGCCTCATTGTGATAGAGGCACAGACACTGGGCGCTCCCAGCAAACCAGAGACTTTGTGAGCCACACAAAAAACAGATGCTGGAGTGTCCTTAAAATTCCCTTTGCCCTTGAATAGACATATGTAGTCACGAACTGGGGAAACATTTCCTCTGAAAAAAACCTTGTCTGTGAATACTTATTTTTTAGGGGATGGGTGTGGTGCAATTTAAATGATGATTTCAGTCTCATTTGTAATTTTATTGGTTTGGACTCTGTGTTCCATTGGGCTCATTATAAATAAAATGCTTATTAATTTATTCCTGTGTTTTTAGCAACAGAAAATTTGATATTAAGTTCACATGGTTGTACACAGGGTTTCACTAAAATAGTGCTTTTTATTTTGTATTTTTATGTACATTTTACAAACAACTTCTTAGCCTTCCTTCTCCAGTTCTGATATTTCTTATTAAATTGACACCTCTGCATCCTTGGAAATGATTTCCAATCAGAATTGATTGTACACATTAAATATTTAGTCAGGTTGTTGAGGTTGGGCAGAGGCTTCTGATAAATTCAGCTTTTCCTTCTTTGATATAGATTATTCTTCATTCTATGCACAAATACCAACCGCGAGTGCACGTCATCCGTAAAGACTGTGGAGACGATCTTTCTCCCATCAAGCCTGTTCCATCCGGGGAGGGAGTAAAGGCATTCTCCTTTCCAGAAACTGTCTTCACAACCGTCACTGCCTATCAGAATCAGCAGGTATTGTTCTCAGAATTGGAATCTTTGTAGATTTTTCATTTCAGGTGAAGAGAGAAAGTTAGCTATCCTTCTCACTCTAAATATTATGAATTATAAAGCATTTGCCATATATGACATTCAAAGTGTATATATATGAATAACAGTTCTTTATCCATGATTTTCCAAGTAAGTCTGCTCTAATGTTGATTTCTTTAGACAAACCATGTCTTGTGACTGACAGTGTAGGTTTACTTTCCATTTTGAGCTTTTGAATTATATCTTAATTAAAATTAGAATGTATTTTTATTGCCTAAAAAATAGACATGTAGAATATTAAAAATGAATTGTATCATAGAGCATGGGACTTGATAGCTTACTTTATTTTTAAACTACATTCTAAAAATAGTTCAGAAACATTTATCCTGTATAGTCATTTTGGTACATATACAAAAGGGCTATTTCTTTCAAGATATGCTTTAATTGTGATAGAGGATGATAAACTTGCTTATAGTCTGAGAGATCAGCAATGGTAGAATACTTATTTCATAAAGTTAGAAATAGTGTGAGAAGTGAAATATTTCCTTTCTATATGGGTAAATGTATATATTTCTCTAAGGCTATGTTTATATGTGTCAGTTAGGTAGAGAATTGAATCAGAGGCAATATGTAATCCATGCTGGAATTCCAGCTGGTTTTCATAAGAAATATCCATGTAATATAAGCCGATGTGGCCTGTGGTAGATTTTTTTTTTTTTCAATTTCAGTGGTCAGCAGAATTGTTCTGGGTCTCCATTTCTCTTTACATTTATATACATTTCAATTACAAATTTAAGGCTTTTAAATCTCTCTGTTGTGGTTTCTGTTGTTATAAAGCTTCTTAGAAGATTTGGATCCTATCCCATGTGTTCTTTGGGCTGAGAGGCTCAATAGCTCTTATCCGTATGGAGACATCAGTATCACAACCGAAGCTGTCCTGTCCTCTCACACTCATGTTGCCACTCTTTTATAAGCTTTTAGGAAGGAACATGAAATGTAATTTTTAAAAGATCCATAGATAATATATTTATTATCTATGCTAATAGATATAATATAGGACCATGCTAATAATATAATTTATTTATTATCTATGCTAATAGATATAATATAGGACCATGCTAATAATAATAGGACCATGCTAATCTTCTCTGTATTGTTTCAATTTTAGTATATGTGCTGCTGAAGCAAACATATTTAATATAGCATATTTAACGTATTATATATAACATATGTAATATGTGTAATATAGTACATAATTATAATGTATTTATAATTTTAATATATTTAATATAATAAATATATAAGATATATACATTATATAAAATATATTTATAATGTATATAATTATAAATAAATGTATTTATGATTTTAATATATCAAATATATTAAAATTATAAATATCAATATAAATATATAAATAGTATAATATACTGTACAATAATATATAATATACGAAATATTATATAATATATAATTATAATATACTTAATATAATTATATTTAGTATATTATGAGATATAATTATATATTTAATGTATTAAAATATATTAGGGACAGAAAACGATTTTTTGGGAGAAAAAGTAATACATGAGAAAATAGCAGAGGCATTTAGTATTCTTTTAACAATCTCAATTCGTCACCTCTTTCTGTCTCTCTTCCTCTCTTTTTGTCTCTCTCTCACACACAAATTAACTGTGCACTTTGCATATTTTCTTCCACCCTCTGTGGTACAGTAAGTGCAATGCAGTCAGCTTTTGGTACATGTTGTGACTAACACAAATTAGTGAACATTGAGAAGTTGATTAAGATGATGGACAGATTAGAGGAGAAATTGATAATGATAACATGCAGTCACATTTACTTTTTAGTTTCCTGGCTACTATTTTTAAGAACTTAACGGAACATTGTTAGCAGATTAGTGGTTAATAGCATGAGCTCTGCAGCCTGTGGTCCTGGCTTACTTAAGCTTCAGTTTAAAATAAAACACAAAACTGAGATAATAGCTATACATAAGTTGCTCTAGTAATTAAATGAGTAGTATGCCGAAAACTTAGCACAGTGTACATTTTATGCACTCAATACATATGTTAGTAATAAAAATGATGATAGTAGCAATTGTGTTATGTCTCTGTTTTAACAAGGCACCATTATATAAATCTGTACTTTTTAAAAAACAACATTTTAAATGAACATTTACATTGCTTAATGTTTTTAAACATTATTAAAATAGACAGAAAATTGAGCTATATTGATCTGTAAAGAAGAATTCCTTCAATGACAGAGTGGCAGACATGATGACTTAATTAGCAAACCCTTTCATTATATCATTTATAATATAGTTTTATCCACATACTAAGATAACATCATATGGAACACATATGTCTTAAGTGTTGCGTGGCTGACTGGAGGGCGTGCACAAGCAATGTAGGGGGACTGCAGATGACTTTTATTTAACAGTTTTTGTCCTTAGCCAAGATGGTGTAATTAGAAGTATGTTCATTAACTTTGTAGAGTTCATTAAGCCCAGGAATTTAGAAGCCAAAACATGATGTGTCTCTTAGAAAATAGGCTGTAAATTCCTCTGGGCAAAGTGGAGATCTGGTAATAAGCAGATGGGATGGTATTTATTAGTGTCAAGTTCAGGATGGCATAACTAAAAAAACTATTAATGGAGATAATTAAACCATTTGTAAAAAATTTCCCCCTTAATCTTGGTGTCTTAGTGAGCAAAAAGTTGGTTATGAGTCAACAAATTAGAATTCTTGTTAAAACTAAAACATCATATATAGGAACCATTTTACTACCTATACATATTTCATAGTATGTTGTGTACCTCCATATAACACAATACAATTTATTTTGAAAGAAAGTTAAAGTGAAAGCATCATTTATTTTTACTCCATTTAGTATGAGATTTGATTCATTAGAACCTTCAAGTAGTGGTTACCTCTGGTTAGACATTCACTGTAGTGCTCTGACCAGGTTAGGACTCCACAGATAAAAGAATAAAACTTTCAGATAAAAGCCACAAAGAATATTAAAGGAGAGACAAAGAAAAATACAGAGACAGAAAATTAAAGGAATGTGTACATTATTACCTAATTTTAAAGAAGAGAAAGCTCTGTAGGAGCTTAACAACATTTAAATGGCTGTTAAATAGAAGTTGGATACGAGTTATTCCTCATTAGCTTTATTGAGATAGAAACAGGATTAAACCACATCTCAGAGTTAAAGGGAAGAACTTCAGTTCAGAGGGAATTGTCAATTATAGGGCACGTTACCAACAGATGATTCAGAATCTTTTTTTCCAGAAATATTAAAAAACAAAACTAACTTATATCTATTAATGCAGATTGAAAAGGAGTGAAGTATCTTTTTTAGAGCAGATGAATGTTCTAGATGATTTCTGAAATTTTCCTTAGCTTTACTGCTAGGATATTAAAATACTTGGGGAATAAAAGAGGCTTATACAATAGAGTCCTCTAACAGTTAACTTTTGACTCATTGTAGTTTTGCAACCAAGTAAAAACTTGCTTGACATTTATATAAGATTTGATATTTTTTTTTCCTACTCTGCAGATTACTCGCCTGAAGATAGATAGGAATCCATTTGCTAAAGGCTTCCGAGACTCCGGGCGCAACAGGTGGGCCTTAGTGAAGACCATTCCGGTTATGATAAATATATTTGATATTTTATTATGAATTTTCTATTACAAAGTAAATGGCTAAATTTACTAATACGATATTGAAATCATTTCTGATGAGGACTGTTGTGCCTCGGAGATAACTTATTTTTGTAGTGTAATGGTGTCACCTACCCTAAGGTGAATGTTCATGTGCGCTGCTGAGCTGAAAATCGAAGCTCTCAGGATGTACACTGCATGCTGTTTCTGAAGGGGCCTTGAAGAAACCTGCCCTTACAGGCACAGAGGCTTCAGTATCCTAATTAAATATCCTCTCTGCCTCTACTATTGGTTTAGAATTTCTTTAGTGATGATGCGACTATCTATTGATATTGTCTGTGGAGTACGATAGGGTCTTTCGTTAAGTCATATTTCCAGCTGGAATATGAAACTACTCTCCATTGCCAAGAGAGCTGATGTTCTTTAGTTTCCAAATTTGTCTTGGCTCTGCTGACAGCCACATACTTGTTTATTTTTTCTGTTTCACGTTTTGTGGTGTTTGTACTAAGTGGTAGAGCCACAATAATGAATTCCACTCTTACTTTTATCAAAAAGCAGATCACCTAGTCTATGTGGCAAAGGGTTTTTGAATTTATTGATATGACTCTACTCCAATATAGTTCAGTACAACATTTTCTAAAGTAACTGTTAGTAAGTAGTAATAGAGAGTAATAATAGACTACAGTTCTGCAAATGCCTTTTCAGAGTAAGGCTTCTGCTTAAATGTTTTTAAAAGCAGCTTGTTTTTAAAAAGAAGTATTTGAACAATCTTTATGACTTTACTCATGAAATTATTCTAATACTCCTTGAAAATCCCCAATTATTTTAGAGGCAGTTTCATTTGAAATTTTAGAGGGAAAACAATCCAGATTCTTAGTTCTTTCAGTTGATTAATTGAACAAGATGGGTGACAGAGACCTTTTCTCAGAATACACTCAAGTTCTTGCAGAGATGTGATGTCATTGTTATATGCAGTGGCATCATTGAAACACCACGCAACATGAGGACTGAAATGCAGCTAAAATGCACTGAGAGTAGAGTAGCCTTCAACTTAGTGCAGGTAGATCAGGAAGACTAATAGCAGGGCTTCCCTCTGAAATTTTTCACTCTGTAGGAAAGTTTGCAGATATTCCTAACACATGAAAGTTGTCTGCTGTATTGAAATTATTTTGTTTTTTAAATGTGTGTTTCAATGTAGAGAAAAAAATTGCTTGTCTTTTGTTTTGTTACATTAGCTCCTGGTTAACCTTGTTTTTCAGAGGTGTTTCTGAAAATTAAAATGCAAATTGAACCATCATTTAATAACTGGAGATGGCCACTTAGTGAGGTGACTGAAGAGAACCTTTGGGATGACTCCTATTCTACCTTGGCGAATGCTTTGATGGAATTATTTTGTGATTTTTGTTATAGCAGAATAGTATTTGTCCATTTAAGAGTCTTGTATTACTTTCAGTTTTTTTTTCTTAACCAGAAAAGGAATTTATTAAAACACTGAAATTCCGGGAGAGAAATACTCAGGCTTGAAGAATATACAACTAGCAACTATATCCAAGCTATCAATTACTCTAGCAAAGTCTTCACTGCTACTGACTCAGGGGTCACATGCTTGTATATAGTCCATTTTTGAAGGGATAAATTTAAAATATTTGAAAAATACTTTGTATTTTGAACAGATAATAGTGAAGAAACCTCTACAAGAAGTGAGATGACAGATACATATGACAAGTTTTCAGGAAGAATTCTAGATACTCAGCATAATGAAAATACATTTGGATACTTAAATTTGGTCAGTGAAAATGACAGTGGTGTTGTTGAATATAAAATACT
Source organism: Homo sapiens (assembly GCF_000001405.40). Lineage (NCBI taxonomy): Eukaryota > Metazoa > Chordata > Mammalia > Primates > Hominidae > Homo > Homo sapiens. Next base: position 84,742,394 of record NC_000006.12, on the reverse strand, counting down.
AGGACTATATTGTTTGATATGGCGAGTTCAAAATGCTAGCTTTGATATGGATTTTTCTATCCCTTTGGCTATTTCAGGAGTATGTAAGCCTGACATCCATGGTGCTTGTTACTATTTCTTCCCTGACTCTAAAACTTTAAAAATTTTGGAGGAACATACAGAAGACAGTGAATTATGTTTTAATGCTTTTAAGATTTTGTTAAAATTTAAAATTTTTATTTTGTTCCAAGTGTTTAAACAATATTATAGTACATGAAAAGCACATTGAGCCTATATATGGCTTTCTTGCTAGTGAAATACAGTTTCAACTTTTTTCCTTGCTGAAACTCTCTTGCTTATTATAGACAAGCTATTTACTAATACTTCTCACTTTGGAATGCTAAATATCTATAAATCATTATTCCTCTATTTAAAAATCTGATTGTAACATTTTCCGTTGACAAATGCAAAAGACACATTTGGAGAAGAGATAATTCAGTCACCTGAATTACATAAGTGAGCATTTCTAACTTGTGTATTAGTTTCCTTTAAAAAAGACCAAGTTATATGTAAGACTTGGTGGAGGGCACGGTTGTTTGGAGAGCATGGGCATGAAGGGGCATGATTTTTTAATTATATTAGTAGAGAAGTGAAGCTATGAGAAAAAGTTTAACATATTTCTTTATTACCCCTGGTTCTATTGTGCTGTTGTTAGTGGTTTTTAAAACAAATTCTATTTTTATTTCCCCGACCCTGTACATGAAATATACAAATTGACCAGGACAAGAAATAAACATAGACTTGTGATTGTTTAAACTTTATGAAACAATTTGCCTTAATTAAAAATTATCCTTTTCTGGCTATTTATGGCTGCACAGCCTATTTTACAGGAATCAGTAGCTTCGGCCCTTAAAAGCTCTCCTGCAAGACATTTGCTATGTGAGAGAGAATTTATGTGCTGAGAATAGTTTCATTCTTCAGTTAGGCCTTAGGTTTGACCCTATAAAATTTTTTACTCAGGAAGGTACAAAAATTTCTTCTCTTTAAATACTTCAGGAAAAACATAACCATTTTACTAAATAAACTTGGCCATTTGATAGCATAAATTAGGGCAGTGATAAAATGTGGAAATTGTTCAAAGGCATCTTGTATAAATTATCGCCTTGGCTGCACTCCTGCAGGAGGTGCCTTTTATCTTTTCTTTAACTAGCCAGGAAAGGTCTCCATTACTGGAGAAAATGAAGGCTTTTTAAAAAATGTCCAGATTCAGCTAATAAACATTTTATAACTGTTTCCTGCAAAATATCTAAAATCCTTTCTGGAACTTGTAGTGTGAAACAGCAGCCTCAGGAAAAATATCGATTGCTCCAAATCAGATCACTTGTAGATATGTCAGCTTCAGAGCATCTCTTTAAAGCTTAGGGTTATATATTTGTGATGATCAATAACTTCTCCCTAAGAATTTAGTTTATGGATTTGTGTTTGAATCATAATAAAGTTTACACTGCTAAAGCAAATAATGCAGTAAGATACATCTCTGTAGTCAGTTTCTAAGTCCAGTGGTTGCTTGTTAATTATCTTAGTAAACTTCCCTCAAGACTGCTCTATAATCACTTTAGTATTTTTAATATTTAAAACTACAATTAAACTCATCTATGTGGTAATAAGAAGCTGTTTTATATTAAGCTGTGTCTTAACATTCTTTTGCATTTAAAATCGTTGTATTTCTGGAAAGTCACAAAATTTAGTATTGGTATAAATTGAATAGAGGGTGATCAGCTAAACAGGACCCAGAGTTCATTAGTCCAGTGTTAAACATACCCACAGGCAACATGTGGTTTGGAACTGACCAGGTCTGCCAAACTGCCCAGAAATCAATACACTAGTACAGAAAATACTATCAAGTGGCATGAACTTGGATTTGGCTTGTAGTTTGGCCACAGATATGATGACTGGTTTGGAAAAAAAATCTCTTAGAATGAAACAATGTTAGGATTAATAAGGGTTTCAGACCTTTTGTAATCTCATCCTTTCTTTGTGAGAAACTGAAGTCCAGGGAGATTAGCAAATTTGCTTAAGGTCAGACAATGAGTTTTAGTGAGTTGCAGTGCCAGTGCAGTCTTTCTGACCCCAATCTAGTATCCTTACCACTAAATAATTCTCTCTCTGTGGCACATTGATTACATCTGAAGCCAGATTCTGTTCTCTCTCAGGGTAGGCCAGGTGGAGCAGGTGCAGGTCCCCTCTGTGCTCTGCTCTTTTCTTTGGCAATCCTGCACTATCCCCTCTGGGGCTGCAGACATCTCTTTGAAGTGCCCTCAGAGCTGCACCCCCAGAGCCTGTGACTTAAGAGATGAGTCAGGCTTATGTGCAGCCTCATGAGGTGTGTTTGTGCATGCAAGCCTGTGCATGTATACACACCACCCCTCCACACATGCATAGCTACATCATTCTGTCACTAAGATGGGGTAGGCGTATTCCTCCAGAATGAGTACAGAAATCAATTAACAGAGACTATACCCTGAACACTCTAAGGAAGTAAATTCTGTGTGTGAAGCCTTGGAACAGATGGACAAGTAGTGTAAGATAGTTTTATTGGCACAAATCACTTACCTCTGGTGTTTAGAGAGCTTTCACCATATTGTGTATGTGGTATGACTCTCTGGGGTGGATTCCTCTAGTCTTAGTTTGCAGGTTATGACTTGGGGCGCAGGGACTCCAGAGGTGGTAGCACCTTGAGTCAAACTATTAAAGGAGATGTCTATTATTGGATATCCCAGGAAGCAAGTATTTTCTACAGTGGAGCTACAGGTTTCATTAAAAGTGTAATGTTACCTAGATCAACAAATTACTTAGGGCTGAGGTGGTTGAAGGAAGAGTGATGAGGTCTCAGGTGTGGCTGTCTTGAGAATGATCTAGTTGAGTGAATGGCCTCATTCCCAGAACCCAGAGGACTTAGTCACTTGATATACAGAGGGGAAGTCTCTGAATCATTCATGGTAGGAGATGGTTGATATATGTATTTAGAGTAGTTGCCCTTGTTTTAAAATATACGTATGTCATGTAAGTAGTCCATATGAAACTTACCCTGTCTCTTTAAGTATCCATTCATTAAGTGTATTTCAGGGTTTTAAAATAATTTGTGATTTAATAGTAACTCTATATACTAGATAGCCCTGTGAGGTCACCTTCCTGCTCTCCTCCCACACACTGCAGGGAGAGGCCAGTGCTGTTTCTTCATGGCCCTCCTGTTGCTGGTGGGAGCCCAGCCTGGCTACACTGGGTGTAGTAGAGATTGTGCTCCTGAGAGAGAAGTCAGTCTTCTTTGGAGGAGTGCTTCCCTGAGCTGGCTGCTGAGGCACCAAATGATGGGCAGTAATGACCCTTAGAAAAGAGCTGGTTTTCTAGGAATGTGCTTTTGTGGCAATGCCTTCCTCACTTAGAGGGAGAAGTAACAGGACAAGGAGAGTGGGTGTGTTCCAGATCACAGCAGAGCCTTGGACTCACAGCAGCCAGGAGGGACTCTCTTCATCTCAGCTCCTTAGCCCAAGGGAACAGCTTTTCACCCTTCAGGTCAGCTGAGTTTTCCTGAGAACATTAACAGGCATCTTGGGTGGGTGATTTCAGTTCTCTCCTGCTGCTGGTAACAGGATGTTAGCCCATTGCTGAAGCATTTCTTCTTGCCAGTGGCAAGATCCTAACTGGACAGTGTGGGGGTACTGTCAATATCAGTGTTGTTTTGAGATGCTTGCTGCTGGTGAAAGATCCAAATGCTCCTAACTAGACTTCTTTTGTCCACCCCTATCCTGACCCTTTCCATTTAGAATGGGTTTGGAAGCCTTGGTGGAATCATATGCATTCTGGCGACCATCACTACGGACTCTGACCTTTGAAGATATCCCTGGAATTCCCAAGCAAGGTAACTCACAAAGTCTCCTGGGTCATATATACAGCCCGTTCCTGCCTAGAAACTCAGGCACTAAAAGTGTACAAGTCATTATTTATACTTACAATAATGACCTCATCACCAGCATTGTCCTACAGATTCCATCTGTCTTCTGCATGGTATGGGGATGGATCAGGAAAAAACGGCTCTCATGGTCACAGATTAAATCTTAGATGTCTTAGGCTGTTTGTATATTTCATGACCTTTACCTCATCCTTAAATCTCGTATTAAAATTAGAGGTGCTCTGATGCCAGGTCCTGTTCACAAGAAATTGTTGATGGTGCCCCCAGTCCACCCTTTCTTCAGATCTTGTTTGTTTTCTTTCTTCAGCAGAATTGCCTCTGGGTAGGGTTCTCCTGTTGGGTTAACGATGAGGAAGGTCAGGCACATTCAGGCAGACCCTCCTGGGCTCATCTCTGAATATTTCTCAGCAGCCCAGGGCTGATTTCTTCTCAGAGGGAACTGCATGGAAAGCGATGTTGCTTCCTCTCTGGTCTGCTCCATAGGTAACACTCTCAGCTCACTTCTACATTCAGGCTTTTTACCATCATCCTGCCCAGATTCCAGTGAGAATTTGCTATGCTGGGTTTCAGATAATTATTATTGGTTGGATTGGGCTTTTGGATTATTTTGAGACACTATATAAAACACCATCAATACAGCAATGAAGGTTTTACAACCTGTCCAGCCCTTTGGAATTCTCCTCTCCCCTTAAGTTCTGTCAAGTTTGCAAACATCAGTCTGCCAGCAGATCCAGAGGGGGCACCATCACTGCCATTGGTTGGACACAGGGTTAACTACCCTCTCTAAGTTTCACAGGACTGTTGATTTGTTGGACCTCTGCTCTTGTATTAGCATGTGATTCAACAACTTGTTTTCTAATTGGAAATGAGATTTTTCAACCAGATAATTCCTTGAAAGCTGAGACCATCTCCTTTTCATCTCTGTAGCATTCCTCCAACCCTTGCCTTGTAACAAGCTGTGTCTAGCTCATATTTACAAAATTGAAAGGAAAGGATGACTGTGGAGTCATTCTTTACATTTCAACTTCTTTTGTAGGCAATGCAAGTTCCTCCACCTTGCTCCAAGGTACTGGGAATGGCGTTCCTGCCACTCACCCTCACCTTTTGTCTGGCTCCTCTTGCTCCTCTCCTGCCTTCCATCTGGGGCCCAACACCAGCCAGCTGTGTAGTCTGGCCCCTGCTGACTATTCTGCCTGTGCCCGCTCAGGCCTCACCCTCAACCGATACAGCACATCTTTGGCAGAGACCTACAACAGGCTCACCAACCAGGCTGGTGAGACCTTTGCCCCGCCCAGGACTCCCTCCTATGTGGGCGTGAGCAGCAGCACCTCCGTGAACATGTCCATGGGTGGCACTGATGGGGACACCTTCAGCTGCCCACAGACCAGCTTATCCATGCAGATTTCGGGAATGTCCCCCCAGCTCCAGTATATCATGCCATCACCCTCCAGCAATGCCTTCGCCACTAACCAGACCCATCAGGGTTCCTATAATACTTTTAGATTACACAGCCCCTGTGCACTATATGGATATAACTTCTCCACATCCCCCAAACTGGCTGCCAGTCCTGAGAAAATTGTTTCTTCCCAAGGAAGTTTCTTGGGGTCCTCACCGAGTGGGACCATGACGGATCGGCAGATGTTGCCCCCTGTGGAAGGAGTGCACCTGCTTAGCAGTGGGGGTCAGCAGAGTTTCTTTGACTCTAGGACCCTAGGAAGCTTAACTCTGTCATCATCTCAAGTATCTGCACATATGGTCTGATGAAGCCTTTAAGTTAAATGACATTTGGATCTGTCTAACATATTTTCTTTTTCTTTTTTAAAAGCTATGTGGAAAGAAACTCTCTGTGGTTTATAAAATGTACATATAATAGAAAATGAAGGCTCACTGGGTTTTTTGACTTTATCATGGTGAGATTGTAATTATCTATGGTATATATGTATGCTGTATATACATAGCACATGGAGTATCACGGCCCCTATTGTTCCCCTGTTTCATCCAGTTGCACGGAGTATTGGCATGCGTGTAGTATGTTTAAGCAAAGTTCTCAGACTCTTTTAAAAACAAGATGGTAAACTTAAAACTTGGCAATTATACTATCCAGAAGAACACTTATAACTTAATTTATCAGAAAAATGCTCTAAACGGTTTCATACTTGATGTATTGATAACCAGCAGTAACCAGCATGTAGAGTCTTGTGATTTCTGTTATTCTTGGACACAGTGTGAGAATCTAAAATACAAAAGCCAGTTGAAGTCTTAGTGTTAGTCCTGAGGTATTTGTAATCATGAAGGATCAGCTTTTTCATTCCTGCTTATTATTTACCACACATACTATATGACCTTGGGTCTATAAAAAAATCATAACCCATAATAATTGTTATTTTCTTAAGGAAGGTAAAGGAGAGGCTTGTGATTTTTTTTTTTACACTTTCCATTGGGCACATAAGAGGTTCTTATTCATCTGTAGAGAACAAATTTCCAGTATTTTCGATTTTTTGCTTATTTTATATATCAAATAGACCATTAAAGAATGTTCTATAAACATTTTTAAATTCCAATTTTCACCAGGGGAGGAATATGTGATATGAGTGGAATGGCAAAAGGAAAATAAATCCACCTCAAATTCATTGATTCCAATGAGAAATGTCTATCTTTTAAATCAAGAGTAATACTATTGTTAACTATACCTTATGTTTTTGTATAGTTTGTTTTTAAATTTAGAATATTTTTTCCATCTTGCTCTGAGCTTCCTGACCGATAGTATATAAGTAAAAAAAATGCATTTATGCTACTTATTTATATCTTGTAATTCCTACACATTGAACCCTTTTCCCCTTCTTAACCTTGTCCGTCTGCCTGAGTCTTTCCCAAAACAGATAGTTCCTAGGCCTGTATGGTGTTAAATAACACGGTGAGGAATTTCAGTAGGTTATCTCCAGCAATCTGTCTTTTGGGAGCTATAGTGCAAAGGCCAAAGCCCATTACTATAAAGACCCTCTTGGAGGACTAAGAAGGAAGATACTAATTATGATAAAGGAACTATAAAACTTTTAACCTCAACAGAATTTGTAATGTCAGAACTGGAGAAATTAAAATCAGTATTAAATTTTTTAATTCCTAAAATAATATATGCATGGTTGAAGAGTTAAAAACAAGTAACTTTGAGAGCACAGTATGAGATAAATAAAAAAGGCTAAGAATACATGATGAGGCACATTCCCCTTCTGAGGAGAAAGCGAAATAACATGTCTGTGCATTGACCCATTCATTACATTTCATGTATCTTAAGCAAAAGAGCATGATTTTCTCTCATTGCTAAAAAGAGTTGCTTTAACTCATCCCTGGATTTGGTGGGGAAAGGGTACAACTCCTGATTTGCTGTTTCACTTTGAAACAACACAATTTGTTAGATACTTAGGGAGATATACTGTTGAATTTGCACAGGATGTGACTCTGTTTATACATATTAACAAATTTCCTTTTGGATTCCTTAGCAGTTCATCAAATTAGTATTAAATTTTTAAATTTAAAACTAGCATGAAGGGACATGAAATATTTGCAGTAGGTGGATCTATGTAAGATGTTTGGGTATGGCATTAATAGCTTGACAAAGATTTGGGGAAAGGTGTTAAGAATGAGTCCATCTCAGCCAATAGTGCTTGGTGTATAATTCAAGAACAGAGAGTTTTCCATCTTGAAAAAACATGGAAAGTAATGCTCTATACCCATATGTATTAATAAGAGCATTTTCCTTCTTGCCGTTGATCATTTCAGATGATACCACAATATGAGTATAATTTTTTATTAATCTTTTTTCTGGTAAAATTTTAGCAATATTGTACAAATGCTTTTTTTAGGTTTTACTGTAAATATTAATCACCACGTCACTTCAGAGACTAGCCTTTTATTGCTGAATTAAATGACATGCATACATTGATAATTATATATCTGTATTTTATTAAAAAGTACTTAAAATTATATTAAAATATGTTATTAAACCCTTTTATGATTTTGGAGGGTAATCATTTTAATGTCTAAAAATATTGATCCAAGAATAAGCACACACATGCACACCCCAAACGCAAATTCTGTACCTCTCAAATACATGGCAGAAAGAAATGGGCCTGCTGTTCATGTTTCATGTGTTAAATGTAATTTCTTGGTGTGTTGACCATGTCATTGAAGGTGAAGGCCCTGACAAATGTTGAACACATGAAAATTTGAATGTGAGAGGAAAGGGATGGGGTGGTATGTTTTGTTTTGGGTCCAGGGGAGAAAGGCAAGGTTACAAGAATGAGTGGCTTGCACCACTGACTAGTGATGACAGATTACTTCTATGCCCCTTGACTAGTAAACATTCCAAGGGACATCGCGATGGGGTGAGGTTGCTGCTATCAAGACCAGTCACATTTTGAAAATTAACACTTGCTTCCTTACAAGCTGCCTTCCAGAGGTCAACAGCTTTTCACAAGTGAGGCACCCAGTTGCTGACCCTTGATTTCTGGAATGTAAGGGGTCAGGAATCCTTGGTGGCCCCCAGAGAAGGTTGGGGCACAGTGTAACCTATATAAGGAAGGATCATACTCACTCTTTACATCAATTAGCAAAATTTTGAGGAAAAAGAATCTCACTTTTAAAATGTAAATAGCTCTTCATTACCCCTCCAGACTTAATCCTACCAGTAACTCACACCTTAGTGTGAAATTAATAAACAGCAGCTTTGGAGATAGCTGGAGGTTTGACTTAGAGGAAAAAGTAATTTTTGTAGCAGGACAATTCTGGGAAGATTTGTATGGGAAGGAGAAGGTGCAAGAAGAGAGATCCCTAACTAAACTCTGCAGTGTCCCATGAAGTCCTGGTGCAGAGCATTAAAAATAATCATTTCATAAACTTCTTTCAGGAACCTTGGTAGAGGTGGTGGATGCTACCTACCCTGATGCTGTCTCTAATTAGAGAGGTTTGTAAAGATTCCTTTGTTGCAAAGTGTAACACAGTGTTATTTCCTCATGAGAAATTTATTGGCTCATCTACATGAAGTTTTTTCTAAGCTTTCCCTTAAGAACTAATTGTATTAAATTATTACCATGTTGTGTTTTAATCTCATTGTTCATCCTTTCTAAAAAGAAATGCTCAGATAAGTTGAGAGTAAGGTTAAATATATGAGCAGTTAAGTACTCATACATGATTACAGCATTCTAAGAGTTCAAACCTTAAAAATTATCAGTGCTAGAAATCGACAAATATATTCAAGTATACAAACATTCAACAGATATATAAACTTAGTATCCCTCTACATGCTGATATATTTTCAAATAATGTGCTTTCTTTTCATTGAACTGTGGTATGATGAGAATAACATGTCCTCGGGAATTAGAGAACTTAGTTTGAGACTATGGATTTCTCAATCATGATTTTGGGTAAAAAAATTAGCTGCTTTATGTCTCAGTTTTGCTATGTGTGAAAGGAATGGCTGGGATGATAATTGTTAGTATTCCTTTTAGTTTCCAATTCATATGGTCCTATTATATAAATATTTAGCTTAATATTGGGAAACTAGTTTTATAAAACTATTATATCTTTTGGAATATATTCTGTTTATTTTTGGATATATATATATATATACTGTATCTGTGGCTTTACAAAGAATATAACACTATCAGTATTATTTTCAACTTGTTGAATTATGTGAAATTTATCCTTTAAATGGAACTGTGCTTTAGTTTTACAGGATAAATTTTAGTATTTTAATATCAGAAGGAAGCTATACTTAGTAACGTATTTGCTACTTTATAGTGAATAGTAAAAGACATTAATAAAATTTCTTTTTCATGATGCTCTTAATTGCATGGCATTAAATTATTTTGTTTTGAAATAAGTATAGCAGTCTATTATAATATATGGAGATCATTCCAAGTCCATTCAAAATACATTTAAATCCTCGAGAAAACAATTGTGTCTTTTTGAATAATTTTATTCCTACTGAGACTCAGATACAATAATATGAGGCAGTTTATTACTCTGCAGTTCACTGAGTTTATACAAGGCTGAATCAACACACACATCCTATATCCATATTTTTAAATCATATTAATTACATCACTAGAATTACTTAATAAAAAGACGAGATTTTTCTAAATAACACCTATATTGAGATACAATTAACATGCCATATAATTCATCTATTTAAATTGAACAATTCAGTGGTTTTAAATATGTTCACAGAGTTGTGTAACTATCACCACAATCAATTTTAGAACATTTTTATCACTGCAAAAAAACTCCATGCCCATTATTAGTCATCTTCCTTTTCCCTCCATTCCTTCCTTATCACCAAGTCCTAGACAACCACTGATCTGCTTTCTGTCTTTATAGATTTGCCTGTTCTGGACATCTATGTCAAGGGAACTATACAATATGTGGTCTTTGGCACTGACTTCTTTCACTTAGCATAATGTTTTCAAGGTTCATTCATGTTGTGGCATGTATTAATATTTCATTCCTTTTTAGTGCTGAATAATATTTTGTTGTGTCAATTTACCACAATTTGTTTATATCTTCATTAGTTGATGGACACTTGGGTTGTTTCCACTTTTTAGCTGTTATGAATAATGCTGCTATAAAAATTTATGTACAAGTTATTGTATAGACATACATACACTTTGATTTCTCTTGGCTATATAGCAGTGGAATTGGAAGGTTCTGAGGTCACCTTTTGAGGAACCACCAGACTGTTTTTCAAAGCACTTGCACCATTTTGCATGCTTACCAGCAATGTGTGAGGGTTCTAGTTTCCCCACATCTGCACTGACGGTTGTTATTATCAGTCTTTTATTACAGCCAGCCTAGTGGGTGTGATGTCTCGTTGTTTTTATTTGCATTTCCCTGATGACTCATGACATTGAACTTATTTTTCTGTGCTTTATTGGCCATTTGTGTATCTTCTTTGGAGAAATATCTATATAGATCCTTTGACCATTCTTTAATCGGGTTGTCTTTTTATTATTGAGGTGTAATAATTCTTTATATATTCTAGATATAAGCTTCTTATCAGATATATGATTTGCAAATATTTTCTCCCATTCTTTGAGCTGTCTTTTAGTTGTATTGATTATGTCTTTTGCAGCACAGAAGCTTTTAATTTTGAAGAGGTCCAATTTATCTATTTTTTTTTTTAAATTTTGTTGTTTATGTCTTTGGTGTGAGGACCAAAGCATTTTGATGAGCTCTTTCAATCAGCCTTTTGACATTCCTAGTAGTAGTAGTAGTAGTAGTAGTAGTAGTAATATAAATGTATTTTGAAGGTGCTTTTCAGGTGTATAAATTTAATAGTACTTGATAAATTACCCCTCTTCCCAACACACCTGGATAGTCTTGGAGAAATAAATGATTCCTTCAGTATCTTAAAGGAAGACAGAAGGATTCCAAAGCCATCAGAAACATTTTATTACCATAAGAAATGGTAGGCAATTTCAATATTTATTAAATTAATAAATATTAAGTATTGACCATTTCCTTGGCATCATTTTAGTCATTTGGGATACAATAGTGAAGAACACTGTTGGTATAACCAAACATCTTGTAAAAGCTGATTTGCTGGCAAAGAAATGTATATATATACATATATATATATATATATATATATATATATATATATTCATACTGCAATATATCACAGTTGGCAGGAAAAAAAAATTATTGCCTCTTGGCTTTTCTATGAGTTGGTGCCCTCGCCCTTATTACTATGTTACATATCCCAGATGGTCACTGCAAAATGTTTGCTTCTGTGCCAGGGTACAACAGGGATGCATTACCACCTTAACTCTGAGTTTGTTTTGTGGTTTTCTTTGGAAACCCTAACATCGTTTAAAATTCATTTTTTTGAATTTGGCTGTTTACAGCACTGTAATAAGATATTTCTCTATTAATAGCAGGAAGTGAAAACCGTGCTTGTTTAGGGCTTGGGAAAATTCCTGTACATTTTTCTTAAAGGTATTTGGTGAAATGGATTGCAGAGATTTGCAGATTCCTTTTTCTTAATTTGCCTAAATGAATTTCAAGGGAAAATTTGTTGAACCATATGTTTTTCAAACAATTGAAGCTCTCACTCAACAATAATAAAGAGAATCTTAAAAAGCACTTCTATCTCCAGGCACGGTGGCTCACGCCTGTAATCCCATCACTTTGGGAGGCCGAGGTGGGTGGATCACCTGAGGTCAGGAGTTAGAGGCTAGCCTGGCCAACATGGTGAAACCCCATCTCTACTAAAAATACAAAAATTAGCCGGGCATTGTGGCACAAGCCTGTAATCCCAGCTACTCAGGAGGCTGAGGCAGGAGAATCGCTTCAACCCAGGAGGCGGAGGTTGCAGTGAGCCGAGATCGTGCTATTGCACTCCAGCCTGGGCTACAAGAGCAAAACTCCATCTCAAAAAAAAAAAAAAAAAAAATGGCACTTCTATCAAGTAGTGTACAAAGCCCTAGTAGTCCATTGCCTTGGGGTAGTCCATTGCCTTGGGGAAGTTTGGCCAAGAATGAATGAACATTATGGTGGACCCGTTGTAGCTTTTGTTCATTTTGTCTTTCTAAGTTTGATAACCTTGGTATATGGGGAAGAAAGGAACTAGAAATTGTGTATGTTTAAATATTTGCGGTCTACTCGGTTTAACCTTGAGGATACCAAGAAGACAGACACAAAAACATAAAAATATAGAACTGGAAGGTCCTTAGAGATCAAATAGGAGATAGTTGTGTGGAGACCCATGTGACCTTCAGAGGTCACCATTGTGACCCATCTACAAGCTTCAGCAACTTCAGTGACAGTCCCCTTGGCAGGCTTCATAAAGCATTTTCAAGCTGCCTTGTCTTTCTTCATATTTTTTTTTCTTAGTCCTGGATGTCCTTTCTCACCCACCTTCTTATTTTCAAGGACTTACTCAAGGACTTTTGTCCTCAGTGAAGACTTTCCCAATTTCTATTTCTCTCATCTACCTTTCCCCAGGAGAAATCAGCTCTCCATCTAAAATATTGTCACAGTGCTCTGTGCCCTCTTGAAGAACATACCTAAACATCCCCTTTTCATTTAGATCAACCAGTCCAGCTATAATGGGAGTCCTCTGGGGCAGGAGCTATATCTCATTTACGTATTTGCCACAGGACCTAGCAAAGATAAAATGATTAATAAAAGAGGGAGTACATAAATAAATATGTGATTAAGTGAGTAAAGCAATGAATTTTGTAGGCTTTGGAATAAAACCTCAAATTGGGAGGTCTGGAGGTTTTGCTTGGTCAGCTGCCCATTTGCCATATCAGAAGAGACAAAGAGGACTATAGATTCCTCACAAAAAGACAGGAAAGGAAATGCTTCTTTTTCTTTTCTTTACTTTTTTTTTTTTTAATTTGTTTTTTCCCCCTGCTTGAGCAGATTCTTATGAACAGAGGGTTGGGCCTGACAGCTAAATAAGATACTCCTCCTAAAATTGTAGTATTTTATCATCAATATCTTCCAAAGCCATTAGGATGTTATATGAATCTAACAGAGAACTACTCCTAAGGGAAGAAGGTAGTTCTCTGTATGCAACTTGGACATCATTCCATCTAGGGAGAACTTCAGCTGTAGTTTCAGGAATTGACAATTTCTGTTGCAGGTACCCCCTAGAGTCTAGTTTAGGAATAACATCAGGAAAGAGAGGCTTTTTATGTCCTAGGGCATCCAGCTTGCCACAGATGTATCATTGATAGCAGTGAGACAGTTTATGTGACAGAGAAGCCCAAGCTTCACAAGAGATGGACATATTATATCCTGGTAGGTATGGGCCCAGGGTCTCTGAAGGGATTGATGTGTTAGGTTACTAACATGGTTACTTCTAGGTTATCTCTGCAAGTGAGTTGATATTGCAATAAATATTATTTCATCTAGAAAAAAGTACTTGTTTTCTTATATAGAATAATAAGAGTATCTAGACCACTCTCTAATACCCCATAGATTAGAGGTGCTCTGTCAGACAAAACATTTTTTTCTCTCTAGGGAGGGATCCAAGACATTTTGGAGAAAACCTCTCTTCTGAGAAAAAGCCACATTGGTGGTTGTGGACCCAGAAACTGATGCTGTGTGAGGATACATCCTTTAGATGAGTGAGGCACTCCATATTGGGGCATGCATGCTCATTCTTGCTTTCTGCCTCATTCCCTTTTCTCTGGAACGTATGGGACTACTTTGGCTTAGTATTTGCTCAGGTTCTTATGGTAAGAGCACCTAAGAGATTGGGGATAAAATAGGCATAGACTGAGAAGAGGAGATATAGAGTAGGCAGGAGGCCTTCCAGAGTTCCCTACCGCAGCTTTTACTATAGCTCTGTTTTGTGGGTACCAGATATCTGCCCAGATTAATAAAACTGTATTTGGTTTCTACATTTTTTCCCTATTCTTCATGTGTGTGATGCATCTGTCAGAATTTCAGGGGGAGGGATATGAATGACACCTTAAGTTCCTAACACATGTTTACTTGTTTACTCGAAGTTCAATCATTCATTTATCCCTGCATTTAGCATTTGTTGAGTACTTGCTAAGTGCCATAATCTGTTGCTGGAGATGTGGTGATGAGCAAGGAAAGTTGTTCTTTTGGAAAATTTCAGACTCATCAGAAGGTCACATGTGCAAACACATAATCATAATACAATGTGATAAATGTACAAAGAGAGGTGTATTAGTTCCTTTTCTGTTCCGTATACAGAATACCTGAAAGTGGGTAATTTATAAAGAAAATAAATTTATTTCTTACAGTTATGGAGGCTGAGAAGTTCAAGGTCAAGGGACCACATTTAATAAGAGCCTCCTTGCTGGTGAGAGCTCTCTGAAGATTTCTGAGGCTTTGTAGGACATCACTTGGTGAGGAGGTTGAGTGTGTTGACATGCTAGCCCAAGTGTCTCTTCCTCTTCTTATAAAGCCACCCATTTCCTTCTCATGATAACCCATTAATCTATTTATCCATGCATGGATTAATCCATTCATGAGGGCTTTGCCCTCACTTCTTTTTTTTTTTTTTGAGATAATAACACATTTTAATTTTGTCGTGAACTTAGCAGAAATTTTATATTCATAAATTTGACAGTCTTGGGTTTTTTGCCATAATTTTTTTAAATTTTACTTTAAGTTCTGGGATACATGTGCTGAACATGCAGGTTTGTTACATATGTATATATGTGCCATGGTGGCTTGCTACACCTATCAACCCATCATCTAGGTTTTAAGCCGCACATACATTAGGTATTTGTCCTAATGCTCTGCCTCCCCTTTTCCCCCACCCCGCAACAGGCCCCAGTGTGTGATGTTCCCCTCCCTGCGTCCATGTGTTCTCACTGTTCAACTCCCACTTATGAGTGAGAACATGTCGTGTTTGGTTTTTTGTTCCTGTGTTAGTTTGCTGAGGATGATGGTTTCCAGCTTTGTCCATGTCCCTGCAAAGGACCATGAACTTATTCCTTTTTATGTCTGCATAGTGTTCCATGGTGTATATGTGCCACATTTTTTTATCCAGTCTATCATTGACGTCTTCCCTCGCTTCTTAAAGGCCCCACCTCTCAATAATGCCACACTGATGATTAAATTTCAACATGAGTTTTGGAGGGGACATTCAAACCATAGTAAGAGGTATTTACAAAGAACAGTAGGAAAATTGGAGACTGTGACTTAGGTTATATGGGGGAGATGTGAGGGATCAAGAATCAAGGAGAGCTGTGAAGATGGGGGACCATTTGCTAATAGCTAGGGAAGAGTGATGGAAATGGTAAGTGAGTATTCTAGAACAGTACTATTCAATAGAACTTACTGCAAAGATGTAAATATTCTACACTGGCCAGGACAGTAGCCACTAGACCATGTAACTACTGGGCACTTGAAATGAGACTAGTCTGCCTGAGGGTCTAAATTTCAAATTTTATTAAATACTAATTAATTCAAATTTAAATGTAAGTTTAGCCCCATGTGGCTAGTGGCTACCATGTTGGGCAGTGAAGCTTTAGAAACTCTGCAAAGCAGAAAGTAATATGCACCCTAAAAGAAATGTGAACAATGACAATG
This sequence comes from Homo sapiens, assembly GCF_000001405.40. Classification (NCBI taxonomy): domain Eukaryota; kingdom Metazoa; phylum Chordata; class Mammalia; order Primates; family Hominidae; genus Homo; species Homo sapiens. The sequence continues at coordinate 84,726,367 of NC_000006.12, read as the reverse complement.
GGAGAACAGTTCCCTGAATGCACAGCTCACCCTCTGTGTGGATGATGCTTCTGGAGGGTTACTATGAGTAGTCATGACTCTGTGACTATATGAAAACTGACTGATAATGCTAGGTGACTCTGCCAGGCAACTGCTTCATGACAAATCAGTGTATTGAATGCCTAACCAGTTCTGTCCTCCATAGTTAGTCTTATCACACAATTGTCCAGAAATGACCCAGGACACATGTCATTTCCTTTCTATAAGGTAGTGGCCAAAAAGTTTCCTTGGGGGAGTTATACATTGTAATCTCCTTTGACAAGGTTGGTTTTGGGAAGAGCAGCTGTTAATTCTGAAGAGGGGAGACTGACACAGAACATGTACAGTGTCTGACTGACCTCCTAGATGAGGAGATGCTGATGCCCTGCTTTTTTCTCCTGGTCCTATGCTCATTATCTCCATATAATGCCCACTGTTGAGCCACTGGAGAAAAGCTTCTCTGCTGTTGCTTCAGCCTCTTCCCTTCTCAAACCAGACCAAAACCCAGCTAATCGTTTGCTGGTGAATGTGATTCTTTCTCTTGCCTTACCTCTATTAAATTAAATGCATTAAGAAGACAATGCCTCCCAGGGGAAGACAGAAAAAAATTAATGCAGAATTTCCCTCATATGAGGTACAAAAAAACCCCACTAGAATTTACACAGCATTTTATATTACACACCACAGATTCCCATGCATTATTTCATTTTGTCTTTCCAACAATCCTGTGAGATGTTTTTATCCTAACTTTGTATGTAAGAAAACTGAGGCTCACAGAAGTTAAAGACTTACCCACAATCACTTGGCCATCAAGGGAAAAGTTAGGACTCAGCATAGGTCTTCTGATGCCTAAATGGCATCTGTAAACATGGAAGGAAGGAGATTGGGCAATAATAATTATTAGGGAAATAATTCTTACTGAGAGAGAAGGAGGGAGAAGAGAAGGGAAGGGAAGAGGAAAGAGAATGAAGGTTCTTTCTCCTTGCTGACTTTTCCTGTCTTGTTGGAGATCCAAGACACTTTGGGGAAACTCTGCTTTGCTCTGAAAAAAACCATGTGGATGGCTGTTGACCCAGCAGCTAGTGGGTGCCATCTTAGGGGTGAAGTTCCTGTCAGTGAAAGCATTGATTGGTAGAAGCAATCACCAAAGCAAATATCCTTCAACAAAACTTCCCTTCATCTAGCTACTTATTTCCATCCAGTAAACAACACCCTACCATGAGTGGGGAGCTGAGGAATTCAGAGCTGGGGCACAGCCAGTGGGAAAGTCTTGGTGATTTTTTAAGAGTTTACTATTAAAGATTAGAAAGGGGGAAATGAACCTGTCAGCTTTTGCTCTTACGATATTAGTTCCTCTAGAGATATATATATGTACAAAACTTCCAAATGCTATGATAAGTTATTTCTAATGGTGAGGTTTCCAGAGAAAACTCTTTTTTCCAGACCTCTGTAAACATTTTTATTTTATTTTTTTGAGACAGAGTCTTACTCTGTCACCGATGCTGGAGTATAGTGGCACAGTCATGGCTCACTGCAGCCTCCACCTCCTGGACTCAAGCAGTACTCCTACCTTACCCTCCCAAATAGCTGGGAGTACCAGTGCAAGCCACTATGACTGGCTAATTTTTGTAGGTTTGGTAGAGATGCTGTTTGAACATATTTTTAAAATATGTTGCGATAGTAAAGATAAAGATAATAATATATTATAAACTTATTTCTGGGAGGGAAATCTTATGATTGTTGACATTAACTAATATTCATATAACATGAATTGTGACCCCAAAGCTACTTAACATATTTTAGTCCCCAAAACCTAAATAAGGAAGGTACTATTTAGTATGATTTTATAAATATGTGATTAAAACAAAAATAAGGGACTGACCTACCAGGGCTACCCAACTGGAAAGGAGCAAAATCAGGATTTGAACTCAAGTCCATCTGATCCCAGACTTGTTTTCACTGTGTTGTAAAACATAATGCTAGGTAACAAGAGAAAAAAACAGATAAATTGGACTTCAAATTTAATATCTTCAGTGCATCAAATGACACTATTAACAAAGTGAAAAGGTAACCCACAGAATGGGAGAAAATACTTGCAAATTATCTATATGATATGAAATTAATATCTAGAATATATAAAGAACTACAACTCAACAACATCAAAAAATGAACAACCCTATTAAAAAATAGGGAAAGGACTTAAATAGACATTTCTCTGAAGAAGATATACAAATGGCTGGTAAGCACATAAAAAGATGCTCACCATCACTAATCACTGGGGAAATGCAGATCAAAATCACATTGAGATACCACTTTATACCCACTTGGATGATTAACATAAAAGCAAATAAAAAAACTAAAAAATAACTTTTGGTGAGGATGTGGAGAAATTAGAACCATTGTGCTTTGCTGCTGGGAATGTTAAATGATGCAGCCACTACGGAAAATGATATGAGGGTATTTTAAAAAATGGAAAATAAAATTACCATATGATCCAGCAATTTTACTTCTGGGTATACACCCAAAATCATTCAAAGCAAGGACTTGAATCAATATTTATATATTCACATTTATAGTAACATTATTCTCAATAGCCAAAATTTGAAGAGACTGAAGTGTCCATCAATGCATGTGTGAGTAAACAAAATGCGGTATTCATGTCTACGAATTCCTCATCCATGGATTCAACTAACAATGGATCAAAAATATTTGAAAAAAAAATGGATGCTTGCATCTGTACGGAACATGTAGGCCTTTTCCCTTATTATTCCCTAAACAATACAGTGTAACAACTATTTACGTAGCATTTACATACACTGATTAAGCATTATATGTAAACTACAGATGATTTAAAGTATATGGGAGAATGTGCACAGGTTCTATGCAAATACCACACCATTTTTTATAAGGGACTTGAGTACCTGTGGATTTTGGTATTCAAGGAGAGTACTGGAACCAATCCCCCAGGGATACTGAGTGATGGCTGTACATACCTTGGAATATTATTCAGCTTTAAAAGGAATGAAATTCTGACACATTACAACATAAATGAACTTTGAAAACATTATGCTAAATGAAATAAATCAGACACAAAATGACAAGTATTGTATAATTCCACTTACATATACCTACAGTAGTCAAATTCACAGAGACACAAAGTAGAATGGTGGTGGTCAGGGGTTGGAAGGAGAGGGGAACTGGGAGTAAGTGTATAATGAGTACAGAGTTTGAGTTTGGGAAGATGAGAAAGTTCTGGAGATGGATGGTGGTGATAGCTGCACATCAATATGAAAGCACTTAATTCAATAGCACTGTACACTTAAAATGGTTAAGATGCTGGTACAATCAAAGCACTGTGCTAATTTTAGTAAGACAGACTTAAAATAATCCTCATGGCTTTCTGAAAGTCAGTTGCACAATTATCTGCCTATTAATATTTTCAATCCTTAACAAATATTTATTGAACATCAACTGTGAATCAGGTATCATTCTAGATATCAGGAGTATTGTAGTGAACACGATGTAGAACTTCTCTGCACACATACAGTATAAAATCTAGTGGAAGAAACAGTAATCAAATAATAACTCAAATAAATGTAAACTTACCACAGTGTAAGTGTTCGTGAAAAGGGCATTGATGGTGCTATGAGAACAAATGCTAGGGAGAACGTGATTGATGGAAGAAACACTTTCTAGGTCTTGATTCTAAACAGAAGACATAAAAATGTACACTTCCATCCTGGACACATTGTATTGCTGCCTCTAATATAATATGAGTAACAGTATTTTCTTGAGTCCCTCATTTTTGCAAGCCAAGTGTATTTGTGATATTGCTTTACTAAGAAAGCATGGGAAATGTTTCTTGTGTGACTGCCAAAGTATGGCATTAAAAACAGAAGCCTGATACACAAATGCAAGTGTATTTGATCCTCACCTAACTAGCATTTAATTCTCCTGGCAATCAAAACAGGCTATCAACATTCTGTAGTAAATCTCAATAGTCATTTCTATTAGATCATAAGTAAGTAAGAAGGGGAAATCATTTCATTTTATTTGTAGGTAACAAGACACAGGAAAATTCCATTATTTCTGTACTTAAGTGTTGCTCACCTGTAAGAGACCAAATGATTCATATATATATTTTTTTTCATTTTCAGCTTTTATTTTAGATACAGGCGGTACATATCTTAAAACAATCATTTGAAAAAGTATATAAGAAGATATGTAAACTTTATCCAAACATTCCCTATGTTAGAAAGGAGAGCAGGAGACAACTTATTATTTACCAAAAGAAAATTAAGTCCCTTATAAATGGATCACTGTAGCCCCCCAAAAAACTGAGAGCACAAACTCTTTCACAAGTCTCCATTTACCTGTTTACTTATATATTTAACTTTTTAAAATCTAAGATGTGTCATTAGTTATTGAACCAGGAAGAAAACATGATGCCAATTAAACTTGATACAATGCCTTATCCATAGTCCTGTGCAGCATGTCATCAGTCACATCAGTCCCTCATTACTTTGAAGTCTTCTGCTTTCCATTGCATTGTTTGGCATGCAATAGTCTATCCTTTTGCATATGTCTCAAACAAACTCTAAGTTGATTTCTACTAGTTTGGTTCCATAAAGTGCTTTATTGTTGCTGTAAGAAAATGTGGAATTGACACCATTCCTTCTGTGACCTTCATTAATGTCAAGTTTATGCCCCACCTTTTTCTTTCTAAGCCTTATGTGCACAGTAGTCTTTTGTTTCAATGCTGCTATGTAACCTTGTTGAAGACATTTTATTTGGTAAATTCAATCCTTGCTGTACCAGCAGTGCAAAGAACTCAGTGAAAGTGATTAAAATTGAACAAGCATGCTGCCTGCCCTACAGTGATTGTAAGATGCCATCAACTCTGAAAAGCATTCCTATTTGGAAGATTTTTGAAATTATTTAAAAATTACATAGCCTGAGGCTGGGCGCAGTGGCTCATGCCTCTAATCCTAGCACTTTGGGAGGCCAAGGCAGGTGGATTGCCTGAGCTTAGGAGTTCGAGACCAGCCTAGGCAACATGGTGAAACTCTGTCTCTACTAAAATACAAAAAATTATCTGGGTGTGGTCAAGTGTGCCTGTAATCCTAGCTACCTGGGAGGCTGAGGCAGGAAAATTGGTTGAATCTGGAAGGCAGAGGGTGCAGTGAGCCAAGATCACACTGAGAGACAGGACTAGCTGGATTTCCTAGGCCAACTAAGAATTCCTAAGCCTAGCTGGGGAAGGCAATAGCCCTACCTTTAAACATGGGGCTTGTGACTCAGCTCACACCCAACCAATCAGGTGGTAAAGAGGGCTCACTAAAGTACAAATTAGGCTAAAAGCAGGAGGTAAAGAAATAGTCAAATCATATTGCCTGAGAGCACAGGGGGAGGGACAATGATTGGGATATAAACCCAGGCATTCAAGCAGGGAGCGGCAACCCCCTTTGGGTCCCCTCCGATTGTGTGGAGCTCTGTTTTCACTCTGCTAAATCTTGCAACTACACACTCTTCTGGTCCATGTTTGTTCTGGCTCGAGCTGAGCTTTCACTCACCATCCACCACTGCTGTTCGCTGCCATCACAGACCCACCGTTGACTTCCACCCCTCTGGATCTGGCAGAGTGTCTGCTGCATTTCTGATTCAGCGAGGCACCCACTGATGCTCCCATTTGGCTAGAGGCTTGCCATTGTTCCTGCATGGCTAAGTGCCCAGGTTCATCCTAATTGAGCTGAACACTAGTCTCTGGGTTCCACGGTTCTCTTCCATGACCCATGGCTTCTAATAGAGCTATAACACTCACCGCATGGCTAAAGATTCCATTCCTTGGAATCCATGAGGCCAAGAACCCCAGGTCAGAGAACAAAAGGCTTGCCGCCCCATCTTGGGAACTCTAAGAACAAAGACCCACCGGGTAACATTTGGTGGCCTCGTATGGGGATTCTCCAAAGTGGTGAGTAATATTGGACCATTTTCCCTTGCTGTTCTTTCCTATCCTTCCTTAGAATTGAAGAAAATACCAGGCACCTCTCGGCCAGTTAAAAACAATTGGCATGGCTGCTGGACTTAAGACTCAGGCTGAGGCTTCCTGGGAAAATGCTTTCTAACAACCCCCAACCCTTCTGGGTTGGGAGCATTGGTCTGCCTGGAAGCAGCTTCCGCTTTCACAATTTTCCTGGGGAAGCTGAGGGCCTACTAGAGGCAGAAAGCTGTAGTCCCGAACTCCCGGCATTGGCCGACATCATGGTGCAGCCAGAAGTCTCTACTCAGTCGCCCATGCATGCGCCCCTACCTCTCCTTCTGACCCTTACCTCCTGGGTCCCGACCATGACTTTCTTGAAAGTGTAGCCCCAAAATTCTCCTTACCTTTGAATCTACTTCCTCCAATCCCTGCCTCCTAGGTACTAATGCTTCAGACTTTCAATTCCTCTCCCAAGTATTAGAGCAAGTTGTATCTCCAAAGGGATCTAAGGAAGCTCAACACTGTGTCCTTGGGCAACTAGGCCATGAACCCAGGGAGTCTTGCCCCTGGTGTCCCTCCCAATTTAGGTATGCAGCTCTTGAATGGGCAGTTATGTGAGACCCATTCCCCATCATCCTTTTCAGAGCCCCAAGTTTGTAAATGGCTAGGAGGATTGCTCTCTCATTGTGTAAGATGCTCTCCTCCCCCATTTCTACCCAGCTTAACATCCCCTCTCCTCCCCCACCCTGGCAATATAATCTCCAAGCCTTGGCTCCTTGGCCAGGGCCTTAGAACTGATGACCCAGTACTTTAATAACTGGAACTGGGTCTACAACAACATAATAGATTAGGATGAAAACGAATTGAGTAAATTTAAGGGAGGCGCATATTCCTATAGTGGCAAATGGGGGCAATGAGCAAACATCCTTCTGCTGTTTTCCCAAAATCCATCTACAAAAAGAGAGAGAGAGAGGAAAGGGAGGGGAGAGAGAGAGAGAGGAAGGAGAGAGAGAGAGAGGAACAAGAGAGAGAGGAACAAGAGAGAGAGGAAAGAGAGAGAGAGGGGAAAGAGAAAGGCAGAGAGAGAAAGAGAGAGAAGTAGTAAAGAAAAAAACAGTGTGCCCTATTCCTTTAAAAGCCAGGGTAAATTTAAAACCTATAATTGGTAATTGAAGATCTTCTCTGGGACCCTATAACACTCCAATACCAAACAAGGTCATAGCCTGAATCACTGAGACCACTGACAACCAGTAGCCTTCATATCAAAAATCCTTAACCCAGTAACCCACGGATGGCCCAAATGCATTCAATCTGTAGCAGTAACTGCTTTGCTAACAGAAGAAAGTAGAAAAATAACTTTTAGAGGAAACCTCATTGTGAGCACACCTCACCAGTTCAGAACTATCCTAAGTCAAAAAAAGCAAAAAGGTAGCTTACTAACTCAAAAATCTTAAAGTATGGGGCTATTCTGTTAGAAAAAGATGATTTAACACTAACCACTGATAATTCCTTTAACCCAGCAGATTTCGTAACAGGGGATCTAAATCTTAATTACCATACAAAGGTCCAAACAAACCTAGGAGGAACCCCCTTCAGGACAGGACAATAGGTGGTTCCTCTCACGTGATTGAGGGGAAAAAAACCACAATGTGTATTCAGATATTGATAGGGAAACTCTTGTAGAAGCAGAGTTAGGAAAATTGCCTAATAATTGGTCTGCTCAAACGTGGGAGCTGTTGGCACTAAGCCAAGCCTTAAAATACAGAACCAGAAAGGAACCATCTATACCAATTCTAAGTTAATTTAGACTAAACAAGGTCTTATTAATAGCAAAGGATAATTGAAATTCCAGACTTAACAAGGTTTTCAACAAAAGTAAATTTTGCTAAAAGTTCACAGTGTAACCTGTATTATCCTAATTTCTAATCTTGTGGCCTTAGACAGTTTAGTCCACACACATAAAGGAAGTTTGCTTTGGAAAAAATGGTTATCATCTTCAAAAAAAACTCTATCTCAATCCTGACTCAGAAGATTACCTACACCCTCTCTGAAATGAATTTGCATAAGAACTGTTGTTTATGGGAATGCATCTTGATGGGGCAACTGGGTTGTTACGAAATACTCAGGAACCCAGCCCAGCTCTAGAACTCACCCTGAGAGCAAAGGCTATTGCCAATATTTTGGGCATGCTGGTAAAGGACCACAAGAATCCAGCAGCCCAGAACCCTTTCTCTGTGGTCAATAGAGGTGGGAAAACAGGTGCAGAACTGCTACATCGGTGAGCATAACTAATCCAATAAGCAGAGGTCCATGGTTGGTTACACACCCTGGAAAGGAGTAAGCATTAGGACCATACAGGACGCTCTAGGACTAATGCTCATCAGAAAATAACTAGGGGTTCTGGCATCCCTATGTTCTTTTTTCAGATGGGAAACATTCCCCCCAAGGCAAAAATGCCCCTAAGATGTATTCTGGAGAATTGGGACCAATTTGACCCTCAGACGCTAAGAAAGAAATGACTTATATTCTTCTGCATTACTGCCTGGCTACAATATCCTCTTCAAGGGGGAGAAAGCTGGCCCCCTGAGGGAAGTATACATTATAACACCATCTTACAGCTAGACTTCTTTTGTAGAAAGGAGGGCAAATGGAGTGAAGTGCCATATGTACAACCTTTTTTTCATTAAGAGACAACTCGCAATTATGTAAAAAGTATAAATTTATGCCCTACAGGAAGCCCTCAGAGTCTACCCCCCTGCCCCGGTGTTCCCCCGGCTCCTTCTCCAACTAATAAGGACCCCCCCTTCAACCCAAATGGTCCAAAAAGAGATAGACAAAGGGGTAAACAATGAACCCAAGAGTGCCAATATTCCCTGATTATGTCCCATCCAAGTGGTGGGAGGAGAATTCGGCCCAGTCAGAGTGCATGCAACTTTTTCCCTCTCAGACTTGAAACAAATTAAAATAGACCTAGGTAAATTCTCAGATAACCCTGATGGCTATACTGATGTTTTACAAGGGTTAGGACAATCCTTTGATCTGACATGGAGAGATATGTTACTGCTAAATTAGACACTAGCCCCAAATAAGAGAAGTGCCGCCATAACTGCAGCCTGAGAGTTTGGCGATCTCTGGTATCTCAGTCAGGTCAATGATAGGATTGCAACAGAGGAAGGAGAACAATTCCCCACAGGCCAGCAGGTAGTTCCCAGTGTAGACCCTCACTGGGACACAGAATCAGAACATGGAGATTGGTGCTGCAGACATTTGCTAACTTGCATGCTAGAAGGACTAAGGAAAACTAGGAAGAAGCCTATAAATTATTCAATGATGTCCACTGTTATAGAGGGAAAGGAAGAAAATCCTACTGCCTTTCTGGAGAGACTAAGGGAGCATTGAGGAAGCATACCTCTCTGTTACCTGACTCTATGGAAGGCCAACTAATCTTAAAGGATAAGTTTATCACTCAGTCAGCTGCAGATATTAGAAAAAAAACAAAAGTCCACCTTAGGCCCGGAGCAAAACTTAGAAACCCTATTGAACTTGGCAACCTCAGTTTTTTATCAGAGAGATCAGGAGGAGCAGGCAGAATGGGACAAACGGTATAAGAAAAAGGCCACTGCTTTAGTCATGGCTCTCAGGCAAGTAGACTTTGGAGGCTCTGGAACATGGAAAGGCTGGGCAAATCAAATGCCTAATAGGGCTTATTTCCGGTGCAGTCTACAAGGACACTTTAAAAAAGATTATCCAAATAGGAATAAGCTGCCCCCTCGTCCATGCCCCTTATGTCAAGGGAATCACTGGAAGGCCCACTGCCCCAGGGGATGAAGGTCCTCTGAGTCAGAAGCCACTAACCAGATGATCCAGCAGCAAGACTGAGGGTGCCCAGGGCAAGCGCCAGCCCATGCCATCACCCTCACAGAGCCCCAGGTATGCTTGACCATTGAGGACCAGGAGGTTAACTGTCTTCTGGACACTGGCGCAGCCTTCTCAGTCTTACTCTCCCGTCCCAGACAACTGTCCTCCAGATCTGTCACTATCCAAGGGGTCCTAGGACAGGCAGTCACTAGATACTTCTCCCAACCACTGAGTTGTGACTGGGGACCTTTACTCTTTTCACATGCCTTTCTAATTATGCCTGAAAGCCCCACTCCTTTGTTAGGGAGAGACATTCTAGCAAAAGCAGGGTCCATTATACACCTGAACATAGGAGAAGGAACATCTGTTTGTTGTCCACTACTTGAGGAAGGAATTAATCCTGAAGTCTGGGCAACAGAAGGACAATAAGGATGAGCAAAGAATGCCCGTCCTGTTCAAGTTAAACTAAAGGATTCTGCCTCCTTTCCCTACCAAAGGCAGTACCCCCTCAGACCCGAGGCCCAACAAGGACTGCAAAAGATTGTTAAGGACCTAAAAGCCCAAGGCCTAGTAAAACCATGCAATAGCCCCTGCAATACTCCAATTTTAGGAGTACAGAAACCCAACGGACAGTGGAGGTTAGTGCAAGATCTCAGGATTATCAATGAGGCCGTTGTCTCTCTATACCTAGCTGTACCTAACCCTTATGCTCTGCTTTCCCAAATACCAGAGGAAGCAGACTGGTTTACAGTCCTGGACCTTAAGGATGCCTTTTTTTGCACCCCTGTACATCCTGACTCTCAATTCTTGTTTACCTTTGAAGATCCTTCGAACCCAACGTCTCAACTCACCTGGACTGTTTTACCCCAAGGGCTCAGGGATAGCCCCCATCTATTTGGCCAGGCATTAGCCCAAGACTTGAGCCAGTTCTCATACTTGGACACTCATGTCCTTCAGTATGTGGATGACTTACTTCTAGCTGCCCATTCAGAAACCTTGTGCCATCAAGCCACCCAAGCGCTTTTAAACTTCCTCACCACTTGTGGCTACAAATTTTCCAAACTAAAGGCTCAGCCCTGCTTACATAAATACTTAGGGCTACAACTATCCAAAGGCACCAGGACCCTCAGTGAGGAATGTATCCAGTCTATCCTGGCTTATCCTCATCCCAAAACCCTGAAGCAATTAAGGGGGTTCCTTGGCATAACAGGCTTCTGCCAAATATGGATTTCCAGGTACGGTGAAATAGCCAGGCCATTATAAACACTAATTAAGGAAACTCAGAAAGCCGATACCCATTTAGTAGAATGGACACCTGAAACAGAAGTGGCTTTCAGGCCCTAAAGAAGGCCCGAACCCAAGCCCCAGTGTTAAGCTTGCCAACAGGGCAAGACTTTTCTTTATATGTCACAGAAAAAAACAGGAATAACTCTAGGAGTCCTTATACAGGTCCAAGGAACCAGCTTGCAAGCTGTGGCATACCTTAGTAAGGAAATTGATGTAGTGGCAAAGGGTTGGCCTCATTGTTTATGGGTAGTGGCAGCAGTAGCAGTCTTAGTATCTGAAGCAGTTAAGATAATACAGGGAAGAGATCTTATCGTGTGGACATCTCATGATGTGAACGGCATACTCACTGCTAAAGGAGACTTGTGGCTGTCAGACAACCATTTGCTTAAATATCAGGCTGTATTACTTGAAGGGTCAGTGCTGTGACTGTACACTTGTGCAACTCTTAATCCAGCTGCATTTCTTCCAGATAATGAAGAAAAGATAGAACATAACTGTCAAGAAGTAAATGTGCAAACCTATGCTGCTCAAGGGGACTTTCTAGAGGTTCCCTTGACTGATCCCAAACTCAGCTTGTATACTGATGGAAGCTCCTTTGTAGAAAAAGGACTTTGAAAGGTGGGATATGCAGTGGTCAGTGATAATGGAATACTTGAAAGTAATCCCCACACTCCACGAACTAGCGCTCAGCTGGCAGAATTAATAGCCCTCACTCGGGCACTAGAATTAGGAGAAGGGAAAAGGGTAAATATATATACAGACTCTTAAGTATGCTTACCTAGTCCTCCATGCCCACACAGCAATATGGAGAGATAGGGAATTCCTAACTTCTGAGGAAACACCTATCAGACATCAGGAAGCCATTAGGAGATTATTATTGGCTGTACAGGAACCTAAAGAGGTGGCAGTCTTACACTACTGGGGTCATCAGAAAGGAAAATAGAAGGGAACCGCCAAGCAGATATTGAAGCCAAAAGAGCTGCAAGTTGGGACCCTCCATTCAAAATGCTTATAGAAGGACCCCTAGTATGAGGTAATCTCCTCCAGGAAACCAAGCCCCAGTACTCAGCAGAAGAAATAGAATGGGGACCCTCACGAGGACATAGTTTCCTCCCCTCAGGATGGCTAGCCACCAAAGAAGGAAAAATATTTTTGCCTGCAGCTAACCAGTGGAAATTTCTTAAAACCCTTCACCAGACCTTTCACTTAGGCATTGGTAGCGCCCATCAGATGGCCAAATCATTATTTACTGGACCAGGCCTTTTCAAAACTATCAAGCAGATAGGGCCCGTGAAGCATGCCAAAGAAATAATCCCCTGCCTTATCGCCATGCTCCTTCAGGAGAACAAAGAACAGGCCATTACCCAGGGGAAGACTGGCAACTAGATTTTACCCACATGCCCAAATGTCAGGGATTTCAGCATCTACTAGTCTGGGCAGATACTTTCACTGGTTGGGTGGAGTCTTCTCCTTGTAGGACAGAAAAGGCCCAAGAGGTAATAAAGGCACTAATGAAATAATTCCCAGATTTGGACTTCCCCCAGGATTACAGGGTGACAATGGCCCCGCTTTCAAGGCTGCAGTAACCCAGGGAGTATCCCAGGTGTTAGGCATACAATATCACTTACACTGTGCCTGGAGGCCACAATCCTCCAGAAAAGTCAAGAAAATGAATGAAACACTCAAAGATCTAAAAAAGCTAACCCAAGAAACCCACATTGCATGACCTGCTCTGTTGCCTATAACCTTACTAAGAATCCATAACTCTCCCCCAAAAAGCAGGACTTAGCCCATACGAGATGCTATATGGATGGCCCTTCCTAACCAATGACCTTGTGCTTGACTGAGAAATGGCCAACTTAGTTGCAGACATCACCTCCTTAGCCAAATATCAACAAGTTCTTAAAACATCACAGGGAACCTGTCCCCGAGAGGAGGGAAAGGAACTATTCCACCCTAGTGACATGGTATTAGTCAAGTCCGTTCTCTCTAATTCCCCATCCCTAGATACATCCTGGGAAGGACCCTACCCAGTCATTTTTATCTACCCCAACCACAGTTAAAGTGGCTGGAGTGGAGTTTTGCATACATCACACTCGAGTCAAACCCTGGATACTGCCAAAGGAACCCAAAAATCCAGAAAACAACGCTAACTATTCCTGTGAACCTCTGGAGGATCTGTGCCTGCTCTTCAAGTGACAACTGTGAGGAAAGTAACTAGAATCGTAGATCCCCATGGCCCTCCCTTGCCATATTTTTCTTTTTACTGTTCTCTTATCCCCTTTCATACTCACTGCACCTTCTCCATGCCACTGCACTACCAGTAGCTCCCCTTACCAAGAGCTTCTATGGAGAATTCGGCTTCCCAGAAACATTGATGCCCCATAGTATAGGAGTTTTTCTAAAGCAAACTCCACTTTCACCGCCCACACCCATATGCCCCTGCACTTCAGGCCATACATTTCAATCCCTGTATCTTTAACCTCCTTGTTAAGTTTGTGTCTTCCAGAATCAAAGCTGTAAAACTACAAATGGTTCTTCAATTGGAGCCCCAGATGCAGTCCATGACTAAGATCTACTGTGGACCCCTGGACGGGCCTGCTAGCCCATGCTCCAATGTTGATGACATCGAAGGCATCCCTCCTGAGGAAATCTCAACTGCACAACCCCTACTACACCCCAATTCAGCAGGAAGCAGTTAAAGCTGTTGTTGGCCAACCTCCCCAACAACACTTGGGTTTCCCTGTTGAGAGGGGGTACTGAGAGACAGGACTAGCTGGATTTCCTAGGCCAACTAAGACTTCCTAAGCCTAGCTTGGGAAGGTGACTGCTCCCACCTTTAAACACGGGGCTTGTAACTCAGCTCACACATGACCAATCAGGTAGTAAAGATGGCTCACTAAAATACAAATTAGGCTAAAAGCAGGAGGTAAAGAAATAGTCAAATCATATATCACCTGAGAGCACATGGGGAGGGTCAATGATCGGGATACAAACCCAGGTATTCGAGCAGGGAGTGGCAACCCCCTTTGGGTCCCCTCCGATTGTGTGGAGCTCTGTTTTCACTGTTAAATCTTGCAACTGCACACTCTTCTGGTCCACGTTTGTTCTGGCTCCTGCTGAGCTTTCGCTCACCGTCCGCCACTGCTGTTCACCGCCGTTGCAGACCCGCCATTGACTTCCACCCCTCTGGATCTGGCAGGGTGTCTGCTGCATTTCTGATCCAGCGAGGCACCCACTGACGCTCCCGTTCGGGCTAGAGTCTCACCATTGTTCCTGCATGGCTAAGTGCCTACGTTCATCCTAATCGAGCTAAACGCTAGTTGCTGGGTTCCATGGTTCTCTTCTGTGACCCATGGCTTCTAATACAGCTATAACATTCACCACGTGGCCCAAGGTTCCATTCCTTGGAATCTGTGAGGCCAGGAACCCCAGGTCAGAGAATAAAAGGCTTGCTGCCCCATCTTGGGAGTGGCCCGCCACCATCTTAGGAGCTCTAAGAACAAAGACCCACCCAGTAACAGCACCACTGCACTCCAGCCTGGGCAACAGAGCAAGACTCTGTCTCAAAAAAAAAAAAAAAAAATTACATAGCCTCAGACCTCTGAAATATGGCACATTATAAATTATTTAAAATATTTTACAGAATATGTATGGAAAGTCTATCTGATTGAAAGTTAGATAGAAATGAAAGTCATGTGGTATCTGATCTCAGTTTACTTGCTTCATGTTCCACCTCCATTTTGCCTCTCAAACTCATGAAGCCTTTTCTTCCCTAAGAAAGCAGTGGCTTTGCAGATACAGTATCTTTGAGGTATTGTCATGAACTTAAACCTGCTATTCATATTCTTGACTAAGCTCAGTGAGAGAGATACCTCCAGTAGAGGTTAGGCAGCTTTTCTTCATGATCTGTGGACACTTGGCAGAAGTGCTGATGACAGTTGCAAGAACACGATGCACAGCAGTATTCTTTACAGCAGTTTAATCTGTGTCATCAAATCCCCAGAAACCATGATTAATAGCAGCACTTTAGTTTGTTCTCAAGTTGTATATTTGACAGTGGTGAACTTTGATCTACAGTCCCACTTTACAGAATCATTTTCACAAAAACATTTTGTGTGATCCTTTCATCTCATTAAGCACCCCCCCAAAAAATCCACATACGGGACATTTAATGCCATTGCTGTAAGCTGTGTGTTTAGTATACCATTTAAGTACTTTTAAAAATGTTTGAAACTCAATTTATTTATTATATTTGCATGCCAAATTGTGCTATCCAAAAACATGGACCTCAGATCATGTAGACATAAATGAATGAATGAATGAATGAATGAATGAATGAATAAAATTTTATCTTCTATAACCTTCTACTGGATTACTAAAGGATAGAGGGGTGAGTTGTGATCAGACATTGAGTAGTCAGAATCACACAAGGCAATCTTACCACCCAGAAGTGGCCAGTGAAGGATTTCTCAAGGTCAGATTTAATGAGGAACATGGAATGGAAAATTAATCCTATGGGGAATAATGAGTCCATGATTTAGTCTCAGATAAAATTATTTTTCTTTCATGTAGTTAGCTGGGTTAAATTAGTATTTTTTCCTTTTTCCCCCTCTATTCTTCACCCTATACATTCCGGGTGTAGAGAATACTCTTTCTATTCTTTTTATAATTCTCTTTCTGGAGCATCATTGCCCAATAGAAATAGAAGATGAGCCACATATGCCATTTAAAATTTTCTACTGGCCACATTAAAAGAAAAAACAGTAAAATTAATTTTAATAATTGATTTAACCCAATGTATCTTAAATATTATTATTTAAACATGTAACTAATATAAAACTTAATTCTGTAGGATTTTACTGTTTTTGTACTTAGTCTTTGAGCTCCAGTTTCTATTTTACACTAACAGTAAGTGAATTTTCACTTTTTACACTGCTTTCGGTTTAAAATTTAAACTTATGTTAATTAAGATTGAGCAAAATTTTAAAACTCTAGTTCTGCAGCTACATTAGCCACACTTCAAGTGCTCAGTAGCCATGTGTCTGGTGACTACCATACTGGACAGAGTTATGAAGCATCAGTCAGAGAAATAGCTCTATGACTGGGGAAGGTAATGTTATTCTGTTGAATACTTTAGCAAAAGTAGTCTTACCTAGGAATTACTGGAAAAATGAGAAGTAGGAGCATCAGGATATCTGGTACCTGTGTGTACTTTGTACCTGGTAGCGAAACAGTATCTTTTGTTTAAAACGTAAGGACTGAAAAGAGAAGCACACAGAGATGGAACGCAGGATCATTGGAAAGCGCTTTAAAAGTGGTAGCCACTACCGTGAGCTTGTTAGCCTTAGATTAACAATATGAATGTAAGATCTTTGAAGTCACAGAATAGGACTGATATATAATAGGTATTTAGTAAGTGCTACTATCCTTTACTTCTTTCCTTATATTCATTGTAGTAGCCATATAGTACTTCATCAGTCAAAGGAAAAAATCGAGTCTTTCTTTATAGATGGTTAATGGTTGTGACCCAGGATATGTTCTCATATAAAGACAATCTTTAGAGGATTGTTGGAGAAAAGAGGAATTTCTTTCATACTCCATGGAAATGATTATTGGTTAATAATAAGCAGTAAATACACCAGGTGTATTAGTGTTATATATATTTTGGAAAGAAAGTGCAGTTGAAATTGGGTATCAGATTTATTTGCCACTTTAATAGAAGTGTTAGGGGGACAGGTGGTGAGGAAGCAAGTGAAATTGCTCAAAAAAATGTGCACTGGCCAGTGGAGTATTTCTGAGCATGGCTGGTCCCCTGCTGCTTTGTCCCTGGAGAGCAGAGCTTTCGTCCCAGCCTGAGTCTTCTCAGGATGTCCTGTCTGTTGTTTCTCCCTCTGCCACATGGTTTTAGATGCAATCCAGGATTTCCAGGAAGGCACTATGCCAAGGTTTCTAAGCTGGAAGACAAGATAGCAACTTTTGATGGAAATATGTCTGGCCTGTGTGATGCAGTGATTTAATTAATTATGTTCAAAGTACTAAACTACCATCAGCTGTAATAATTACAGGAACTGAGGCTCCATGAAGAACATTGAAGTAATGGAAATCCAATAAAAAGTAACACTGAGTTGGCTTAGATAAGGGGAAAAAGGGAGATATCAAAGAGGAGGCTGGACTTCTTGTCTGTGTAGTTGACTCATTATAAACTTCAAGAAAAATCTGCTGGGCCCCAACACCATCTTTCATCGTGAAGTGAAAATGGTTGTATAGGAAAGATTATCACTGTGGCTTCTAGAGACTATGATCTGTTTCTGCTGTTACTGAGTTTATAAAAAGAAAAAAAATGCTTTTCCCAAAGTGATCATTTATGGGGCCTCTGCATTGGGATGATTCTGTTAGTTCTTGAAGCACTTGAATCTAAAATGTCCTACCAGGATAAGTGTCACTTTTGGAGATTGCATTAAATACAATATCTCATGAAAATTATATCATATTTAAGTTATTTTTAAATTCCTTTTGCTGCTGGCATATTTGGGTAGGCATTTGCAAATGCCATTAAGCATCTATGACTAGAAATGAGGAAAGAGAAAGAACTGAGCTTTCTCATTCTCCTTCTTACTGGTTTAGGTCATTTCTTTTCCCATATCCCTCCCTACATATGATCTGAGGTTGTGAGTTGACTAAGGCCTCAACTAAGGGCTCTGACACATGTGCCACTATGGGCTTTGGGGGAAGGGATGGGGGCAGGAGAGAGAGAGAGAGTTTTAATGGATCAAATACTTAATAATGGTTTGTATGTGCCAAGTAAAATTCTAAAGATATCTTATATATTAACACATTTGCTCCTAACAACAAGCCTCTGTAATATATGCTATTATTATCACCCCATCTTATAGACATGAACACTGAGTAATAAAGAGAGATTAAATAATGTGACCAAAGTCACTCAGCCTGTAAGTGTCAAAGTCAAGATTTGCACCCAAGGATCCTGGCTCCAGGGACCATGCTTTTCATCACTCTGCTGTCCCACCTCCTGTGTTATGTTATGGAACTTCAGGGTTTCCAAAGCATCTTATAAATGTTTTCCAAAGCATCTTGGTAGTAGAAGCTCATGAAACTGGTGGGCTACAAGGCTGGGATTCAGTCCCAGGTGGTCTCTGTCCAGGATCCTCTCTACTATATGTCACACACATGTTAGGTTCACAATAATATTTGTTCAATAAATGAATATTCTAGAGAGGACAGGGAAAAAGTGCTTTTAAACACTGTGATGTTGTGATACTGAGAATCATACTGGGGTACTGGGAATGGATATTCTTAATTCTCAGTTGTAGAACATAATTTCCTCACTCCCTCACCATGCATACACACACACACACACACATACACACACACACAGATGTACACACACATACACATCCTATTTTGTTTCCAACTAGCATATTATCCAAAACCAACTAACTGATCAGTGTCAACTTCTTGCACAAATGCATCCTTTGAGAGTTTCTTGCTGAGAAAGAATAAGTGTAAATTTTAAGAATTAGTGCAAGGTATTTCTTATTTTATACCCTTTGCGGGGATTGCCTGCCCAGACCCTAGCACAAACCTACAGAGCTAGCAGAGTAGACAGAGAATGACTGCCCAAGAGTGTCCCTCAGGGTCCCCAGCTGAGTGAGGCCCTTCACAGTGAGCAAGGACAAAACATGTGAGGCAAAACACATGAGCTCTTGAACACAGCCTGTTTCTTTCCCCGCAGCTCTGTAAAATCAAAGTTGGAGGCACCACAGGAGCTCTTTTAAAATGTCCTGGCCAGCTTGCTGCAGCCCAGATGTTGTTCCAGTCATTTTGCTGCAAGCTCCAGTAATCGCATGACTTGAGCTGCTCCTCTGCAGACCCGCTAGCCTCCACTGGCACTGCTCCTGTAGATGTTACAGATGCCACAACTCATTTCTTTGAAGTCAGTGTGTTTTTTTAAAAAACACCACTTTCAACAGATTTGGCCCAAATTCTCATTATATAAGCTGATCTTCTGGAACATCTGTCACTGTTGTGGCTTCGGCCTCCATCCTCTACTGAAGTATGATAAATTGACATTAATAAATAATGAGGCAGTGGTGAGTTTAACATACATATTATGAGGCATTGAGGCTAAAATGACAGACTTTCATCTTTCAGAAAGACCAAAAGCATAGATTAAGCAAACAAAGGAAACACAGCTAGGTTCCAGATGACAACCTCCAACTATTGCTGGCTTAAAAAAATTATAATGTACCTCACATAATTGACTGTCTCTAAATAATACAAATTGACACAAGGTTAATAGGAATGGCTGGGGCTTCATAGCTGGAGACATATTAACACAGCATAATTTCCATTCTATACCCTCTTGGTTCCCATTTCTCCAAATGCCCTCTTTTGTCCAGAGAAAGTATTTTCTTAGCAGAAATAACCATTGCAATTCAGTCTTATGTTGACCTCTACCATAAAGAATAATGTCATAGTGGTATTATGCACTTAGGTAACACCAACCTATCTCATTGCATGGTGTGATCTCATTGGCCACAGTCTCATTGTTACTGTCAATGTTTAGTTGCTCATTATTCTTCTGTGGGGTCATATTGTGTACCTGCTATGTGAGTACCTTTAGGCATATGCTAGTGAATGCCCTTTGTGAAAACAGAAAAAGAAGTAGAATCTGGTTACTCTCTAGTGTGAAGTTCAATGCTTTTGAAATTCATATATTTCCATTTATTCATGGCCAAAGATAACCTAAAATCAAGGCTAACACACGTAGTAAAAAAATAGCAAATGGGCTGTGGTTCAATCCTTTGTTCCTTGGACACACACACGTGCACATATACACAAGTTTGCATACTCTTAACCTGT
Source organism: Homo sapiens (assembly GCF_000001405.40). Classification (NCBI taxonomy): domain Eukaryota; kingdom Metazoa; phylum Chordata; class Mammalia; order Primates; family Hominidae; genus Homo; species Homo sapiens. The sequence continues at coordinate 84,706,338 of NC_000006.12, read as the reverse complement.
ACTTGTGTGCCCAGCCTCCACCTGTCTTTTGTATCATAAAAGCTCTCTGAAGCCAAGGACAGCATCTGGCTGGTTTAGCCTGTATAGCTCCAAGTTTGTGTCATGCAGTGGATGCTTAGTAAATATTTAATGACAAAGGAAACACTGCTGTAAGTGAGGATGACTATTATTACTATTTAGCAATGAATGAATGGAAGGAGAGAGATGAATTGCCTGATGCCAACACAGCAAGTCAGTTGCAAAGTATACTTTGGAAGGCTGAGTGCTTGGACTGTGCCTGGGCTTTTTCAGATTTGGGCATAGAACACTTTGTTGTTGGCTTAGAGCTTGCTAAAATTAAAGCAAGAACACAGACCTCTGGGAGTTTACATTTTAAAAGCAAATATAGTGTGGAAGCCAAAACTAAGAGTATCAAAAAGTGAGAAGACCGGCTGAAATCAGCAGACACTGGTAACACAGAGGAAGAAGGATAGGAAGTTTCTCTGTTGGTGCAAAACCCAGAAGTGACTTCTCCTTGGTTCCTTTCAGGAATACTTCCACCATAGGCCAATATGGTTATGATAAAACTTCATTTTATTTTACAGCCAACAGTTCAGCATTATGTACCAGTCACAGTTCTTAGACATAAAGAATGTGACTCACTACAGGCTTACAGTCTAGATCACAAAGATAATTAATTACTCCTGCCCATACTCACTTCTAGACTTGACCTATCTTAAATTGACATACTTGCAAGTCGATAGTGCAAGTATAGCCAGTATACATATCGTACTTGCATTTATTTTCAAATTTAATGCAATTTCTCATATATAGACTTTTTTCATTTTTAAATCGAATTATATATTTTTTTCCTTTTTTTATCATACTTTAAGTTTTAGGGTACATGTGCACAACGTGCAGGTTAGTTACATATCTATACATGTGCCATGCTGGTGTGCTGCACCCATTAACTCATTATTTAACATTAGGTATATCTCCTAATGCTATCCCTCCCACCTCCCCTCACCCCACAACAGGCCCCGGTGTGTGATGTTCCCCTTCCTGTGTCCATGTGTTCTCATTGTTCAATTCCCACGTATGGGTGAGAACATGCAGTATTTGGCTTTTTGTCCTTGCGATAGTTTGCTGAGAATGATGGTTTCCAGCTTCATCCATGTCCCTACAAAGGACAGGAACTCATCATTTTTTATGGCTGCATAGTATTCCATGGTGTATATGTGCCACATTTTCTTAATCCAGTCTATCATTGTTGGACATTTGGGTTGGTTCCAAGTCTTTGTTATTGTGAATAGTGCCACAGTGAACATACCTGTGCATGTGTCTTTATAGCAGCATGATTTATAATCCTTTGGGTATATACCCAGTAATGGGATGGCTGGGTCAAATGGTGTTTCCAGTTCTAGATCCCTGAGGAATCGCCACACTGACTTCCACAATGGTTGAACTAGTTTACAGTCCCACCAAGAGCGTAAAAGTGTTCCTATTTCTCCACATCCTCTCCAGCACCTGTTGTTTCCTGACTTTTTAATGATTGCCATTCTAACTGGTGTGAGATGGTATCTCATTGTGGTTTTGATTTGCATTTCTCTGATGGCCAGTGATGATGAGCATTTTTTCATGTGTTTTTTGGCTGCATAAATGTCTTCTTTTGAGAAGTGTCTGTTCATATCCTTTGCCCACTTTTTGATGGGGTTGTTTATTTTTTCCTTGTAAATTTGAGTTCATTGTAGATTCTGGATATTAGTCCTTTGTCAGACGAGTAGATTGCAAAAATTTTCTCCCATTCTGTAGTTTGCCTGTTCACTCTGATGGTAGTTTCTTTTGCTGTGCAGAAGCTCTTTAGTTTAATTTGATCCCATTTGCCAATTTTGGCTTTTGTTTCCATGGCTTTTGGTGTTTTAGACATGAAGTACTTGCCCATGCCTATGTCCTGAATGGTATTGCCTAGGTTTTCTTCTAGGGTCTTTATGGTTTTAGGTCTAACATTTAAGTCTTTAATCCATCTTGAATTAATTTTTGTATAAGGTGTAAGGAAGGGATCCAGTTTCAGCTTTCTACATATGGCTAGCCAGTTTTCCCAGAACCTTTTATTAAATAGGAAATCCTTTCCCCATTGCTTGTTTTTGTCAGGTTTGTCAAAGATCAGATAGTTGTAGATATGCAGCATTATTTCTGAGGGCTCTGTTCTGCTCCATTGGTCTATATATCTGTTTTAGTACCAGTGCCATGCTGTTTTGGTTACTGTAGCCTTGTAGTATAGTTTGAAGTCAGTTAGCATGATGTCTCCAGCTTTGTTCTTTTGGCTTAGGATTGACTTGGCAATGCAGGCTGTTTTTTGGTTCCATATGAACTTTAAAGTAGTTCTTTCCAATTCTGTGAAGAAAGTCGTTGGTAGCTTGATGGGGATGGCATTGAATCTATAAATTACCTTGGGCAGTATGGCCATCTTCACGATATTGATTCTTCCTACCCAGGAGCATGGAATGTTCTTCCATTCGTTTGTATCCTCTTTTATTTCATTGAGCAGTCGTTTGTAGTTCTCCTTGAAGAGGTCCTTCACGTCCCTTGTAAGTTGGATTCCTAGGTATTTTATTCTCTTTGAAGCAATTGTGAATGGGAGTTCACTCATGATTTGGCTCTGTGTTTGTCTGTTGTTGGTGTATAAGAATGCTTGTGATTTTTGCACATTGATTTTGTATCCTGAGATTTGCTAAAGTTGCCTATCAGCTTAAGGAGATTTTGGGCTGAGACAATGGGGTTTTCTAGATATACAGTCATGTCATCTGCAAACAGGGACAATTTGACTTCCTCTTTTCCTAATCGAATACCCTTTATTTCCTTCTCCTGCCTAATTGCCCTGGCCAGAACTTCCAACACTATGTTGAATAGGAGTGGTGAGAGAGGGCATCCTTGTCTTGTGCCAGTTTTCAAAGGGAATGCTTCCAGTTTTTCCCATTCAGTATGATATTGGCTGTGGGTTTGTCATAGATAGCTCTTATTATTTTGAGATACATCCCATCAATACCTAATTTATTGAGAGTTTTTAGCATGAAAGGTTGTTGAATTTTGTCGAAGGCCTTTTCTGCATCGATTGAGATAATCATGTGGTTTTTGTCTTTGGTTCTGTTTATATGCTGGATTACATTTATTGATTTTCGTATGTTGAACCAGGCTTGCATCCCAGGGATGAAGCCCACTTGATCATGGTAGATAAGCTTTTTGATGTGCCGCTGGATTTGGTTTGCCGGTATTTTATTGAAGATTTTTGCATCGATGTTCATCAGGGATATTGGTCCAAAATTCTCTTTTTTTATTGTGTCTCTGCCAGGTTTTGGTATCAAGATGATGCTGGCCTCATAAAATGAGTTAGGGAGGATTCCCTTTTTCTATTGATTGGAATAGTTTCAGAAGGAATGGTACCAGCTCCTCCTTGTACTTCTGGTAGAATTCGGCTGTGAATCCATCTGGTCCTGGACTTTTTTTTGGTTGGTAAGCTATTAATTATTGCCTCAATTTCAGAGCCTGTTATTGGTCTATTCAGAGATTCAACTTCTTTCTGGTTTAGTTTTGGGAGGGTGTATTTGCCAAGGAATTTATCCATTTCTTCTAGATTTTCTAGTTTATTTGCATAGAGGTGTTTGTAGTATTCTCTGATGGTAGTTTGTATTTCTGTGGGATTGGTGGTGATATCCCCTTTATCATTTTTTATTGTGTCTATTTGATTCTTCTCTCTTTTCTTCTTTATTAGTCTTGCTAGCAGTCTATCAATTTTGTTGATCTTTTCAAAAAACCAGCTCCTGGATTCATTGATTTTTTGAAGGGTTTTTTGTGTCTCTATCTCCTTCAGTTCTGCTGTGATCTTAGTTATTTCTTGCCTTCTGCTAGCTTTTGAATGTGTTTGCTCTTGTTTCTCTATTCTTTTAATTGTGATATTAGGGTGTCAATTTTGGATCTTTCCTGCTTTCTCTTGTGGGCATTTAGTGGTATAAATTTCCCTCTACACACTGCTTTGAATGTGTCCCAGAGATTCTAGTATGTTGTGTCTTTGTTCTCGTTGGTTTCAAAGAACATCTTTATTTCTGCCTTCATTTCATTATGTACCCAGTAGTCATTCAGGAGCAGGTTGTTCAGTTTCCATGTAGTTGAGCAGTTCTGAGTGAGTTTCTTAATCCTGAGTTCTACTTTGATTGCACTGTGGTCTGAGAGACAGTTTGTTATAATTTCTGTTCTTTTACATTTGCTGACAAGTGCTTTACTTCCAACTATGTGGTCAATTTTGGAATAGGTGTGGTGTGGTGCTGAGAAGAATGTATATTCTGTTGATTTGGGGTGGGGAGTTCTGTAGATGTCTATTAGGTCCACTTGGTGCTGAGTTCAATTCCTGGATATCCTTTTTAACTTTCTGTCGCGTTGATCTGTCTAATGTTGACAGTGGGGTGTTAAAGTCTCCCATTATTATTGTGTGGGAGTCTAAGTCTCTTTCTAGGTCTCTAAGGACTTGCTTTATGAATCTGGGTGCTCCTGTATTGGTTGCATATATATTTAGGATAGTTAGCTCTTCTTGTTGAATTGATCCGTTTACCATTACATAGTGACCTTCTTTGTCTCTTTTGGTCTTTGTTAGTTTACAGTCTCTTTTATCAGAGACTAGGATTGCAACCCCTGCCTTTTTTTGTTTTCCATTTGTTTGGTAGATCTTCTTCCATCCCTTTATTTTGAGCCTATGTGTGTCTCTGCACATGAGATGGGTTTTCTGAACACAGCACACTGATGGGTCTTGACTCTTTATCCAATTTGCCAGTCTGTGTCTTTTAATTGGAGCATTTAGCCTATTTACATTTAAGGTTAATATTGTTATGTGTGAATTTGATCCTGTCATGATGATGTTAGCTGGTTATTTTGCTCGTTAGTTGATGCAGTTTCTTCCTAGCCTTGATAGTCTTTACAATTTGGCATGTTTTTGCAGTGGCTGGTACCATTTGTTCCTTTCCACGTTTAGTGCTTTCCTTCAGGAGCTCTTTTAGGGCAGGCCTGGTGGTGACAAAATCTCTCAGCATTTGCTTGTCTCTAAAGGATTTTATTTCTCCTTCACTTATGAAGCTTTGTTTGGCTGGATATGAAATTCTGGGTTGAAAATTCTTTTCTTTAAGAATGTTGAATATTGGCCCCCACTCTATTCTGGCTTGTAGAGTTTCTGCCGAGAGATCAGCTGTTAGTCTGATGGGCTTCCCTTTGTGGATAACCTGACCTTTCTCTCTGGCTGCCCTTAACATTTTTTCCTTCATTTCAACTTTGGTGAATCTGACAATTATGTGTCTTGGAGTTGCTCTTCTCAAGGAGTATCTCTGTGGCATTCTCTGTATTTCCTGAATCTGAATGTTGGCCTGCCTTGCTAGATTGGGGAAGTTCTCCTGGATAATATCCTGCAGAGTGTTTTCCAACTGAACCTGCAGAGTGGTTCAATTCTCCCCATCACTTTCAGGTACACCAATCAGACGTAGATTTGGTCTTTTCACATAGTCCCATATTTCTTGGAGGCTTTGTTCATTTCTTTTTATTCTTTTTTCTCTAAACTTCTCTTCTCACTTCATTTCATTCATTTGATCTTCCATCACTGATACTGTTTCTTCCAGTTGATCGAATTGGCTACTGAGGCTTGTGCTTTCATCATGTAGTTCTTTTGCCATGGTTTTCCACTCCATCAGGTCCTTTAATGACTTCTCTGCATTGGTTATTCTAGTTAGCCATTTGTCTAATTTTTTTTTCAAGGTTTTTATCTTCTTTGCCATGGGTTCAAACTTCCTCCTTTAGCTCAGAGTAGTTTGATCATCTGAAGCCTTCTTCTCTCAACTCGTCAAAGTCATTCTCCATCCAGCTTTGTTCCGTTGCTGGTGAGGAGCTGTGTTCCTTTGGAGGAGGAGAGGTGCTCTGATTTTTAGAGTTTCCAGTTTTTCTGCTCTGTTTTTTCCCCATCTTTGCGGTTTTATCTACCTTTGGTCTTTGATGATGGTGACGTACAAATGGGTTTTTGGTGTGGATGTCCTTTCTGTTTATTAGTTTTCCTTCTAACAGTCAGGACCCTCAGCTGCAGGTCTGTTGGAGTTTGCTGGAGGTCCACTCCAGACCTGTTTGCCTGGGTATCAGCAGTGGTGGCTGTAGAACAGCAGATATGAGTGAGCAGCAAATGTTGCTGCCTGATCATTCCTCTGGAAGTTTTGTCTCAGAGGAGTACCCGGCTGTGTGAGGTGTCAGTCTGTCCCTTCTGGGGGGTTCCTCCCAGTTAGGCTACTCGGGGGTCAGGGACCCACTTGAGGAGGCAGTCTGTCCATTCTCAGATCTCCAGCTGCGTGCTGGGAGAACCACTACTCTCTTCAAAGCTGTCAGACGGGGACATTTAAGTCTACAGAGGATTCTGCTGCCTTTTGTTTGGCTATGCCCTCTCACCAGAGGTGGAGTCTACAGAGGAAGGCAGGCAGGCCTCCTTGAGCTGTGGTGGACTCCACCCAGTTCAAGCTTCCAGGCTGCTTTGTTTACCTACTCAAGCCTCGGCAATGGCGGGCGCCCCTCCCCCAGCCTTGCTGCCACCTTGCAGTTTGATCTCAGACTGTTGTGCTAGCAATGATTGAGGCTCCATGGGCATAGGACCTTCTGAGCCAGGCTTGGGATATAATCTTCTGGTGTGCCGTTTGCTAAGACTGTTGGAAAAGCGCAGTATTAGGGTGGGAGTGACCCGATTTTTCAGGTGCTGTCTGTCACCCCTTTCTTTGACTAGGAAAGGGAATTCCCTGACCCCTTGTGCTTCCCAGGTGAGGCGATGCCTCATCCTGCTTCAGCTCTCACTCGATGCACTGCACCCACTGTCCTGCACCCACTTTCCAACACTTCCCAGCGAGATGAACTTGGTACCTCAGTTGGAAATGCAGAAATCACCTGTCTTCTGTGTCACTCATGCTTGGAGCTGTAGACTGGAGCTGTTCCTATTCGGCCATCTTGGCTCCACCTTTTTTTTTTTTTTTTGACAGAGTCTCACATTATTGCCTAGGCTGCAGTGTGGTGACACAATCTCAAGTCACTGCAACCTCCACCTCCAAGGTTCAAGCAATTCTCTTGCCTCAGCCTCCCTAGTAGCTGGGATTACATGTGCCCACCATCATGCCTGGGTAATTTTTGTATTTTTTTTTTTTTTTGGTAGAGATGGGGCTTCCCCATGTTGGCCAGGCTGGTCTCGAACTCCTGAGTTCAGGTGATCTGACCACCTCAGCCTCCCAAAGTGTTGGGATTGCAGGCGTGAGCCACCATGTCTGGCCAAGAGACTGATTTATTTTAATCATGATCCATTCCCTTCAGGCTATGAGACTGGGTAAATATTTATGTAATTTTTGCTTGATTCAGCACAAAAATATCAGCCACCTTAATGTGCCTGTGCTCAAGCTGTTTGCTAAAATATCGGATAATTTTGGTATTTATTATTATCCCGGGACTAAGATCTTTTAATTCAAAAGAATAGTTGAGTTGTCAGTGTTATTATAACTTATTCATTATATCACATTCTGTTTGTTAGCAATTCATGACTTGGTCTCAGAACTCAGAAATTAGAGCAAAATAATTATAAAAGTATTTATATATGGATGTAATAATTTGGGATATTTTATATCCCATCTGCCTAGAGTTGACTTGTTATAACAAAAGCCTGTGTAAATTCATAGGCTACTATGTAGAGCTTAGCCCTGCACAGCAGATGTATTTGTATAATTTCTGTTACCAAAATATCTTGTAACCTCCTTCCACTACTGGCTTTGGGCTTTTGGGTACACATTGAAGGTTGTTTACCCAATAACCATTCTTCCTTTCTTCCTTACTATCAGAACCTCAGTTTTCTTTGGGGAATTATTTGTTCCCAGAGTTCCTTGCAGCTATTTGTAACTACATGAACACTTCAGGCCAATAAGATATCAATTGGTGTGTTTTAGGGATTTGTTGAAAAATGTTTGCTTTTCTAGTACAGAGTCTACCTTTTACTTCTTATTCCTCTCCTGTTTTATTCTTCTCACTTAAATTATAATATAATTCCAGAAGTGGAAGAGCTATTTTGTGAGCATTCAAATCAAAGCATAGTAAATATAAGTTTAAAATTGAAGCTTTGAGTCAGGTGGCAGAGGGCCTTGTACATGAGGCTATTAACTCAGAACTTTTCCAGTGGGCCAGGCAGAGCCACTGACAGGTTTTGAGCACAAAACTGGCAGGAGTAGAGTGAAGTGCAGGGTCAGTAATAGGGAAAGAAGATTCTTTACAGAATTGGAGATGGGAGGCATGGACATGAGGAAGCTGGACTTTAATTAAAAGACTCTAAAATAGGATCCTCACTCATATTACAATTTACTTCTGAATCAGTAACTCAGTAACCAAAGTTTGGTCGAGGTCAGCATGATGTAAAATTAAATGATAAAAAATGTGCAATGTGTATTTTAGGTAGATAAACAATTTAGCTAAACAGCCAGTATATATGAATGTCCTATTCTTCTTTTCCACTTTCCCTGTTCCCCACCATTCCCCTCCCTCCTTCCTCCTCCCTCACTTCTTTCTCTCTCTTTTTCCACCATCCCTATTTGTAGCTTTATTCTAATCCAGGAATGATAGACTTTGGGGGAAATTTAGAGATTTCATTGTGTGTGTGTGTGTGTGTGTGTGTGTGTGTGTGTGTGTGTGTGTGTTTTAGCCATCTAGCTAGGGTAAAATCAATGAAAGGGTACATTGAAGATCAACTCACCAATCCATGGGTAATAGTGATTTATGTTAAAGAATTCATCAGCTTCAACTTGCGGTTCCCAAATCCCTCTTTGTTAGATGTGTGGTATTAAAAGCCTCATTGTTACAGAGAATCGTAACATCATGACCACACAGTGGCAAAGGCGTGGCAAGCTAACTGGTTCTATCTGGTCCAGAGTAAGTTTTTAAATTAAAATAGTCTAGATGTGCATTAATTAACCTGAACGGTACTTCCTGCTCTCATCCTTTTTTCTCCAGATTAAGGAGTATCACTGTTGTTTATTTGTTTGTTTGTTTGCTTTGTGCCTGCTGCATATTTGAAAGGCATTCAGCTCCTTCATGGTGAGTATTTAGTTTATTGCTATTTGGGAGGTAGGCTTGGAAAGTGAGAATGTTGCTGTTGCCCTTTCTGTAGACAGTCAGAAACAAACAAACCAAGAAAATCTATAGGCTCCTAACAGATGGGTTTTAAAAAGTAGGTCATATTTTGAGCCCACCAACTTTGATGACATCCCTATAACAGAAACTGGATTCCTAAGTGTCAGGACAATATAAATGAGGTTCTAAAATGGCCTCTGGATCTGTTATAGCTTCCAAGTACAGCTGGGAAAAAAATTTTAGAGGGAAGTCTCTAAGGATTTGGGAAAGTAAAAACCACTCCGGGAAGCCCTGAATTCATTGCTCTGTCTCGCTTTTTCCCTGATAGACGATATTGGGATTGATTCAGTCTTGGGAATTAAAGAATTCAGATGATGTGGAGATTTTGGGGGAGAAAAAGGGGGTATGTAAGTGTGTGTGTATGGCAAGGAAAAATCAATTTTCCTCCTTTTCGATAAGAAAATTAAAGCATATGGAGGCTAAAGTCCAACTATGCTGCTGCTTCACTTTAAGATAATCTGTTTTTGGCACCTGAAAGGCTAGAAGGGCAAGATGTGAAATCTGTGAGGAAGAAAGAGACCCCATCTTCCACCTGGTCTAGGATGTGTATACCAAGGGCACTTTAGGTAATAGAATTATGTACAGATCAAGTTAAAGAGCATGAAGCTCAGAGGAAGAGGGTTATAGGTTTATGAGAACTCACAGGACTAAGATAAAGTGCCCTTGTGTATTTTCCACTCTGGAGAGGGGAAATAAAATACCTTCTTAGATCCAAATATCTGTGGTTTCTCAGGCTTCATGCCTCATTGCTGAGTGAGAACAATTGGAAACCAGGAGGTACATTTATACATCAACACGATTTTGCCTCCAATGGAATGAAGGATGAAATGGCCTCCCCAGATTACCCCTTGTTGATTGCTTGGCATCCCAAATGCTAGTCCATCAGAAATGTTTCCCAAGCTTAACTCCCCCAAATACTGTTGAACTAGAAATACTTTTTCATTACTTTTTGTCTTGTCTAAAGACTGCTTGCTCTTCCTCTCTCCCTCATGATCTATGTCTGAGATCCAAAAATATTTCTTCTTTTATGTCTTCCTCATTTTGACTATAAATTTTGGCCAAGACAGAAATTCTGCAACACAGGCTGTTACCAGGCATTTTTCACATTTGTTGCCTATGTGCTGATTTTTGTGCTATTATTTTCCAAAATTGATTATTCAATAAAGTAAGTCCACAACTTATGAATATGTATTGTCAACCATAGCCTTCCCTTTCCAATCAACCTGATGGATATCAAGTATTTTATACTGGTTGAGGATAGAAGGGGACAAGACAATATAATGAAAGCAGTTACAGTGATTGTATTTAGTCAAATGCAAATTTAGTACATGTATGTATATATGCATATATATATACACACATATATATATTTACGTACGCACCATACCTCAATGGTATTTGAATACATTGAAAATGTTCCTATCTCTACCCTGACTCTTTCTCTTTCCTTTCACACAAAACTATTGTGAGGCAGAGCTTTATCCAGAATGCGGAAGCTATTGTCCAATTGAGTGGAAATAGAGCCATTCATCTTGAAAATCTTGAAGCATATCTGCAATTATGTTAATTGCTATTGCACTATGAACAACGAAACTACTACTTATGCCAAAAAAAAAGTTAACAAGAGGAGGTTAACAACAAATGCACATGTCCAACATATAGACAGCTGCTGGGCAGACTCAAACCATAGCATATGTCTTATGACTTTACGAAGAGAAATAATTTAAACTAAGGGTGTGAGGGTTGGATGCTCCAACTCATTTCCCATTGGGATAAACAAGGTGCTATTTACCATGCAATTAGACGGGACTTATTCTAAAATACCTCTGTGGGAAGAATTAACAATACATAAGATATATGATTTCACCCTGACTTTCAACAGGAGATATTGACTTTGTCTTTAACTTCCTACGGATTCTCCAAGCTTTTCTATTCTAGGAGTAAAGAAGCCCCTAGAAGAGAAGGAAAATTGAGGAAAGTTGATAGTCCACAGAACTTTAATTCTCCTGAGCTTTGACTTTCTTACCTATCTGGAATATCGTGCTTTTCAGCTGACATTCTGAAATAGTTCTTTTGGTTCTATAGGCACATAAAAAATCATTTGGTTATTTTATGGCCTCTTATTAGAAGAACTTTGTGCCAAATTTGCAAGTCCAGGTCCTTATACATTTCAGCTGTGAAACCTTGGGCAATTTCATAACTCCTCTAAGCCTCAGTTTCCTTACCTGTAAAAAGAGGATAATAACAGCACTTACTTCACAGAGATTTTGTAAGGTCAAATCATCTCATAAATGTAAAGCACTTATAATGGTGCCTGGCACATAATCAGCACTTACAATAGCTTATATAGCACAGCATCACCACGTTAAGTATACACACTGACCAGTGAGATTTCTATTAAAAAGTTTGGGTGGCATTAGACATAAAAAATGACAATGAAGTACTCTAGGCTATTTGGTAGAGCTGGGGGGCAAAGTTGCCATTATATCAAGTATACAGTATATAGTACGGAAACTATTGTATTTAAAATCATTGTTTCTTCATTATAAAAGGGTTATTCATTTGCACTCAATTTTTATTTGGGCCTTTAAAATATGGAGTGCACTTAAAATACTATCTAGGATAGTTTATATCCTAAAGGTAATTATTAAACAAGGAAAGTGAAGATAAGACACACTGTTAGCAATCTTTCTTGCTTGTCCCATCCCATGGTCATATTTTCTTGGGGTCCAGCAGGAATATTATAGAATAAAAATGCACAGAACAATCTGACAGGAAGCTCCTTTACCACCCCTCACCCTTTCCCACTGACTCTATTTGGGAATCCCCAGGAAAGATGACATGCCCATGAGATCTCAGCAGATCTGTCTCACTACTTTACTTACTAGTCTGCTCCCTACTATATACCATCAAAATGGAAAACTAATGAATTCAAAAAAACTTTGGCTACTGCATCCTACATGGATTTGAATCTGCATATTCTGTCATTTTTGCTAACATTAGCACACAATCTAAGATTGCTCTAGTTTTTCTTTCAAAATTGATTGTACCACCTTACTTATTTTTGTAATAGGATCAATGATAATGAAATTTAGTTTCTTTTGCTCAATGATTTGGACATTTTAATCTAGAAAGGATTACCAACCTTTTAAAGAAATACACCAGACATCGTCATTAGCCATGCTTGTTAAGATGTTGACATCAAATATAGGAACTTTGTAGAATCAGAAATGTAAATCTATTACTTTTGGATGCAATAGACAATATTTGTGGGACCCTATTTATTATGTTCAACTTTTAATAGCTTTTAATAGAATGTGTAAATTGTTTCATGAAGTAGATCAATAGAATCAGCATGAATAAAGACTGATATTCAATTCAATAAATATTTATTGAAGTATATTGTGGGAAAATTACAGCCTCTGCTCTCTCTTCCCTCAAAAAAAAGCATTTGTTTAAGAAAACTGAGGATAAAAGAATTAAGGAAGATCTGGCAAAACAACTGAAATCTGATAAATCCTAGGTTTCAGAATTCATTTGAATTTGAAACCTAGGATTTTGACAAGTCATCCTTAGATTCATCTCACCAAGTCCCAGTAGGTGGAAAATTCAACATATTTTTGTAATATATAATTAGGTGGAATGTGATTCCAGAGAGGGCAAACTGAATTGAAGTAGAAACCACATTTTTTTCCTTGAGCGCTCTCTTTTGTAAAAACTGTGAGCTATGCAATCATGGTTTTAGATTTCATGATCATCATTTTTGCAACAGACCAAAGAGCTTTTATACATAAGCAATTATCCAATATTAACAGATGCACCCAATTTAAAAAAACCATAAACAGTTATGTACAAAACATATACCTACTTGCTTACAAAGGCAGAAGCTAGAATACTTTACTTAGACTGAAATGTATTAATATTATTCTGGTTGCTCTTCATCCATTACTTTAATCATATTAAGTGAATAATAAATATGAGGCATTCTACTGTCTACTAGGGATAAAGGTAAGTGGTTACTACCTCCAAGAAATCGACAGTTTAGTAGTCTAGGATACAAGTACAGAAATAAAAGTTTGGAGAGGCTATATAAAAACACATGTAGGATCTAGTGGGATCACAAAGGAATAAGTGATAATTAGGTTAAAAACAATTTTGTTGAAAATAAATCCAACTATTTTGATTCTTGGCATCATTTATCATTTCACAATGCATATATATACATATAAACATCAAGTTGTGCAACTTAAATATATACAATTTCTATTTGTCAATTATATCTCAATAAACCTGGAAAAAAGTCTTGTTAACATAAAAAAATCGAATGGATATTCAGTGAAATAATAAATTGATCAGAAATAAACATTCCTGATTATTGCTTTTTAATATAATGTGGGTAGTTTTGTTGCACATGAGAGCAATATCAAAAATTTGTTATTAGTATTTAGGCATTTTTTTTTACTATTTCCAAGAATTAGAAATAATTAAAAAAAAGAAGAAGAAATTACCTAGGAGCAAGGAGGGAGTCAGTCTCACATCCAATTGGGGTAAGTAGGGGCATAAGTAAGACATTGTCATCAGAGGCCTCTTAGAAATGATGTTTAAGTTGAATTTTAAAAGACAGCTGAGCACCCTTATGTTTGGTTCAGGGCAGCCAGTAGCCTCCAGTGGGGTTGGGCTGAGCATAGGTGGCTGCGATCAAGGCTGCAGATGTGAGGGAATGGGCCAGAACAATAGGAGGGCTGGAGCAGCTGGGTGTCAGAGCAGTAGGGGGTGTACCAGATCCTGCAGGTAGGCTGGAGGGATGAATTCTGATAACTTTGAGGCTGTGTTACTATAGAAACACTGTTATGAAGATAGTAAGCACTGGAAATATTAGTGAGAGAAAGTTGAACCTGGGTCTTTGGTTAAACTCTTCTGGAAGACTGAAGTAGATCTGGGTTATAAGTGCCCACCGATCACCAGCAGGGGCAGAAGAAAACTTTCTCTGGAGGAATGTTTCCCCAAGTTAAGGCTGTAGGACTTTCACAGAAAAATATCAAGCCATGAGTTCATATACAGAAATTAGTAAATACACTAGAAAGTAGGCCATGTGAAGGACAGTCAATAGACAGAATAAACAATACATTTGAACCTCTATGAACTGCTAAGTTTGAAACATTTAACAAAATAAAGGATGCAATTAAAAGATGAACAAACAACAAAAGACAAGCAAATATGGTAATTTTAAAAAGCTGAACTTCTAGAAATAAACAATTGTAAGTGTTGTAATTCAAAACAACTTGATGGGTAAAAATAACAGATTAAACAAAATTAAAGAAAGTTCGTGAGTTGAAAAAATAATCTGAAAAATCTATCTAGAATGTTGCAGAGATGATGAAATGAAATGGGATATCAACGTTGAAAGATATAGAAGATAAAAATAGAAGGTCTTACATATGTTCAATAAGAGTTTGAAAAAAGAGATTTGAGAGAATGGAGGAGAGGCAAAATATAACAAAGTAGCAAGTATTAATTTTCCAAAACTGATGCACATGTACCCTAAAACTTAAAGTATAATTAAAAAATAAATAAATAAATAAAATAAAATAAAATAAAATTATGACAACACATTTTCAAAGAGAACAACATAGCTCCAGCAAGATAAAGAAAAAGAAGTCCATCTTAAAAGCATCACAATACATTTTCAGAATATTAAGACAAGGAGAAAATACAGAAAGTAGCCAGAGAGAAAGGGTTGATCACCTACACAGGAACAACAATTATAATGACAGCAGTGTTCTCCACAGAGAAAAATGGAAGCCAGAAGACTGTGGAATAATGTTTTTAAAATGCTGATAGATAACTGTCAACCTGTACTCCTGTTCTCTTCCTCCCACTAAAAACAAAACACAAAAACATCTTTGAAGAATGAGGGCAAAATACAGTCTTTTACAGATACAAGATAATTTACAGAAATTGAAGGGAATTTACTACCAAAGCATCCACTCTACAGGAAGTCATGAAGGCTACATTTCAAGAAAAAGGAGACTGATCTCAGAAGGATGGTCTAGATACAAAAACAGTGAGAATGTAAATGATAAACAGAAATGTAAACATTGTGTAAAGTAAAATAACACCATATATTTTATGGTGTTACAAAATACATAGAAATAAAATATTGGACAAGTACTTTATAATTTCAGTGGAGGAAAAGTTATTTTAAGGTCTGTATCATTCACAAGGGGTTCAAGACATTTTTAAATTTTAGACTTTGTTAAGTTAAACATGCATAATACAATTTCAAACAGAACCATTAAAAAATAGAAATAGAGCCAGTAGTGAGCTGGTAAATGTGGAACAATTGGCTCTCTGAAGACAAAGCCCTAATTTGTGGCATTTGCCAATTTCCATGGTGTAAATAGTCCCACCATGAATGATTTCAAGCTACCTACATGAAGTCACTGAACTTCATATTGAGCAAAGGATCAGAAGTGAAAGGAAAGGAATCGGAAAGGATACCTAGAAGGACATACCAACGAGATCAAAGGAAAACTAAGAGAGTGCTGTATTCTGAAAGCTAAGTTAATAAAGTGTTTCAAGGAGGGAGGGAGTGATCATATTAATGGAGAATATTAGTACTCACTAAATATCCATGTTTATTTCATTGATATGAACCTCCTTATGTTAGGTTGGTGTTGTGTGACTAGATTCTGGCTAATGGGGTGGATATCACAGTCCTTCCTGACTTTAAGTAATTAGAAGGAACCAAGGGCCAACCTACTGAAATAGAAGATTCCCCCGTGGCTAGCAAAGTTATATAAGACTCCAACAGACATTTTATGATGTCTACTGTGTCCTGGGCACAGTGCTACTCCCAAAGAATAAAACAGTGAGTAAAACAGGAATTTTGAAATGATTGTGTAGCAGTTATACTCTTGTTTCAAGTGTTTTCAAGTCACAAGACCATGTAGCTCAGTTCTATAAACAACTACTTTAACAGTGGCATATTCCCAAAGGATCATTCTTTATGGGTACCAGAGTATAGCAATACATGTATGTCCCTTCTCTTATTCCTTCTCTACATCAAGCAAACATAGCCCTAGGCACTGAAACATAGCCCCAGGCTTCTCTAGAAACTAATTTCTTCAGTGTTGAAGGCCATTGATCTCTACTGCTTTTTTGTTTTGCTATAGTGAGTCACATTGTACTTCAGTGCTGGCAGTGGTTAGGTCCTGTATCAGGTGAGATAAAAACACGAATACACTTGCACATTAATACATGAACATAAATGTACACAAAATTTCAATGGCCTCAAGTCACATAAAAATAGATTCATATTCATTAGTGTAGTGTATGAGGTCTGGAATGGACCCACCCAGAGTGTAGGCTTATCAGAATGGTGTCTGTATAGCTTACCAAATTCCACATGAGTAGAGCTAGAGGAAATCTGAGAGATCATTCAATCCAGTGTTTATCAAACATTCTTCTAGACACAATACATAGAACTATATTTTAAGACACACACATGCACACACAAAAACAGAAACACACACACACCTAACTGAAACAAAAGTCTCAGGAAAGAATATACCATGCAGAAGAGGACTCCAGTCTGCTGGCTGGGTCAGAGCCCAGCTGAGGCAGGCAGGGGATATAAGGAAGAACCAGCACCCCTTTCTCCTCAGGCACCCCTACACCCACACTAGGTCTCTCCTGATGAATTGAGGTGGACAGTGACCTCACAATGCACTTAAAGGGCAGGACAACTGACAGCATCCTATACAATGGACTGTGGAGCTGTGTCTGGGTGGCACTGTCTACAGCTTGTACCACCTTGGCTGGGTTTTCTTCTAGAAGAAGTGAGATCAAGAAGCCTGGTAGACCTGGGGAAGTTGTAAAAACATCAATGAATGCTGGCTTCTGTGAACACCAATAAAAAAAAAATGAAGCAGTGTGATATTTTCTATCCTGTCCTGTCCTAAGCTATCTTATCCTATGTTCCATCCCATCCCATCCCATCCCATCCCATCCCATCCCATTCCCTACTTTATCCCTTATCTTATCCTCTTTCCTTTCCAAGCATTGCCTGTTGCAACTGACTAAATTGACTTTATGTCCCACAAATGGCTCCAAATCACAGTGTGAAAATACTGTTTTAGACCAACCCCCTAATTTAATGGAAAGAAAAACTGAAGCTTAGCGACAACAAATAGTTTTTCAAGGTCACAGTTATTGCAGAGCTAGGACCAGAGCCTAGGTACCCTGGTCCAGAGGGTTTTGTTCTTATTGGAGGGCTATCTGCACCTCTCTTTGAATCTCTTGGAATAGGGAGATAAGGAGAAGAAGGAAACATAAATTGATGGCTATGCCCTGCCTTCTCCGTTCTGCTTATCCCTGGTCAAGGTTGCCAGAGAATTCAGGCCCTTCAGAGCCAGCTGAGATGTGCTGAATGCTAAGTGATTCCTCATCTGATTCCTTGCTCCAGAATACAGGGACTTGAAGACAGACTACATTTTTCCTGAGCGAGACAATTTGGTCTCAAGGGAAACCAAACTGTAGCACAGAATGTGAGGTGAGTTTGCCCTTGCCCTTTCATTTATCTTCCTTTAATCAAACAGACTAAACGTTTTCATTGGAAAGAGAAGATTGTTATCCTTGGCTTTCTTGTGTCTCCAGCAGTATTTTTCTTAGGAATGTGTTAATAGCTGTAAAAATTTTAACACGTCTTCAAGTGCCTCTCATGTTAGGAGATTCTTCTCAGTTGTGGGAAAAGTTGTTGTCAGATTGCCCAGTATTTAAGTGAAATCAAAATGTTTCTGACAGGTTGATTATGCTCTTTCTTCAAATGCCCTGTCTTTTCAGAGTATGCAGCCAGATGCTTCGGAGGGAGAGACATTTTTCTTGCCAATCCCGATTCCTTCAGTCCTCAATCACTCCCCAGAAAGTTAGGCTCAAAAGACGGTTAACTTCAGGAAAAGTTAAGAAAAGATTTGGGTGTTTTCAGTTTCAAGATAGTGTGGTGCTTGGCCCTTTTGTAAAGAGCTTATTTGCTCTGGTCACCAAACTTCTTTACCTTTATGTTTTGTTTAAAGAAACAAGAACATTTAAGTAACAAATATGGAGTGTGTTACGTAGAAGGCAGTTCCAGAAGAAGTTGAGAGCCAAATGTGCAAATATAGGAGGGAGATTCCTAAAAATTGCTGTTAAAGTTTTTGTTACCCCAAAATTTATTAATTATTTAATGGAAATAAAAGAGGAAAGGAGGAACATGAATTCATCTAAGATTACATATTCCTGAGTGTTACATTGAAAGAGAAAATTGGCTCTGAAAGTGGGATACCTTTGCTTTGAGAGAACAATTAAGCAAAGCCCTTCTTCCCCTGTCTGCCTTGCTGAGTTTTCTCTATGACGTTTCCTGTTCGAGTGTCCACATGCTTCCCTTCTAACACCTCCCCTTTCTTTCTTGTTCTACAGAGAGAGCAACAATAGGATGGAATGCATAAAATCCTTCCCCAGAGCAAGCTTCTCCCACTTCTTGAAAGGCTTTATTTTTATATAGCCTCTGGAAGCCAGACAAAGTATCACTTAGAAAGCGAGCCTCACAGGGCGGCTCTGGAGAGATCTGAAGGCTGCGTTCATAAGTTCAGAAAGAACAAAGTTTATGCTTTAGGCCGCTAGACCGTAAGCTCTTTGAGTTCAGTTTTTATCTTCATTGTATTTCAAGAACTGTGCAAGTATCTGGTACCTGGAATATGCTCAATAAATGTTTGAATAAAGATTAAAAACCCTGAATGGATTGATACGGATCTGAATCTTTTTTATATCTCCAGCTCTGTTCTTAATAGATGGCTTTTCCTGGAGCTGTTTAAATAGACAGCTTGGAAAGTGGATTTCATTTTCTAAGTCAGGAAGCGGGTTACACATAGAGATGGACATCAGTGTTTTCTATTTCAAGACCAAAGGTAAGTCCAAAGAAAGAAAAGCACCTCTGAATCAAGTGTTTATATTCTAATCAAGAGGTGAAGTTCTGTGCATGGGATCTTGGTTCATTTGGTATCCCTGAGTGATACAGAAACAAACAAAAGTTAATGTGTATTTTAAAAAGACTTTCATGCATCCACTAGTTTCCTTACAACCTGCCTCCAGAGCCTATTACAGCAACTTCTGTGGCCTTGGGCAGTCCAGGACATAGTTTTAATTTGCTGAGGCCCTAAATTACAGACTATGCATTTGCAACTGATTTAACTAGTCAGCAAAGTAATAGTTTTCAACAGGTTTTAAAGGAGGCATTTCAATTCACAGGTTAGAGTGTTTTAGATTATGTTGTTGCAAAATAAAATGAGATTTAGGTTTTTCTCCTCCTGAGGAGTGGTGTAATCGAGCAGCATCCAAGAAAAGTGAATGGTACTCATTCTGTATTAAATTGCTCATCAGAACACATAATTTTTTCTTTTACTTTTTAAATTTTTTTGGCAACTATCAGTTGTAGCAGGTACTCAAACTGGCCCAATAAATCAGGACTTTAGCACAGTCAGGAGTAAACAAATGATCTCCATGAGATATATATATGGGTAAATTATTCTCTCAAGAGCCGGAATCCTGTTATAAATATATATGGTACTGACATGTATTAGTACATATGGTGCTGATAATACATCAAGGTGCTAATAAATGTACAACCAGAGCAAATATTAATTAGATTGTAATACTTTAAATCCAATAATTAAATGTTATGTGCTAGATACTTCAGTATCATCTGAGCCCTTTGCCACATCAGTGTATAGTATACTCCTAAGTATTTTAAAACTTTGCTGTCACTGAAATTCATCTTTATGTTCCATCATCTCATGTTTTTTAGTGCCTAATAAGTGTTTGTTGAATATATGAATGGAGATCTGTGTTTTCTTCAGTTACGTATTGGAGGTTTGCTCCTCTTAAAACTATTCCTGCAATTCCAGGCATTTCCACCAGGGGAACAAAAGAGCTGCTGTAGTTTGGCTAACCCTGGAGGAGTATAACTAAGAAGGGAAGTAATGGTAACACGTTATTATTTTTTGAAAGAATCCAGCTACTCATTAATATATTCCTACAGATTAGATATGTTGGTAGGTAAGAGGTGAAATAAGCACAAAAAGGTCTATATTAAGATTTTAAAAAATAATATTTGAACATAATATGTTAAGTCTTACTCAACTAGTGTAATAACCACTAACTTTTATTCTGCTTTTCTCCTTTTCCTCTCAAGATACTTAACAAAACAAGCCCTAGCTGTAGTTTATCTACAAACAGATTATTCTTAGATTATTCACAGGTCGCTTTTAGCTTTAAAATTAAAACTCCTCCAGCAATTTTCCCTTGTTGAGTTACAAGATCTGTTGCTTCCCAATTACTTATTTAAGGATGTTTCCCATGGATGCTGATTTCCCTACTCAACCTCTGCTTTCAGACTTTCTACTCATCTCTATTCATTCCCTCCAAAATTAAGTACGATGTGTTTGTTTTTAATAATGTTCTAAACTTTCAATATATTATTAAAAGTGATAGCCTTTGTTAAGCTTGGGAACTATGTCTTCTTAATATATTTTAAAGGGAAAAATCTCTGAATAAACATTATTTTTTCAATGCATAATTCCCAAAGTGATATCATGAAAGAGCTTTAATAGATCTTCTAGAACTATCTACTTGCTCTTTTGTTGTAGATTATCCAAATCAGTTTTGGACTGAATAAATAAGAAGGTTTTACTTTCTAGTTTTTATATCAGGCATTAGTCATAATATTATTTTGTTCTATAATAAGCCAAGTAAAAAAAGCTTTTCCCATGGGTCCCAGCTTCAGTTAGTCGCAATATTTCTGAACCTTAGTTTAAAATTTTTGTTTAAAGTGCCTACAATGTCTCAGGTGCTACATTAACATTAAATTCTGGGAATACAGTGATAAACAGGAAGACAAAGTTCAGGCTCCCATGGAAATTGAATCTAGTGGAAATTAAGTAATAGAAAAATGGGAATAACATCAACCTCACAGTTAAGTTTTAAGGATTAAAGTGAGATAATTTATATGATATTGCTTTGCAAACTCTGTAACATTAAATTTTAGATATTATATTAACTTGAATGATTTTTAAAAGAATCTAATGGTGAAAAGAAATGTGAGTATATGTGTTATATACTTATTTTAAAAATGAAACTGATCCTTAGAGACGTGTTATGATCTGCCCCAGGCTACACTAGTTGAAGTGGTACCACTGGGTTTGAGCCTAGGTTTTCCAACACCTGCATTCAGGCTTTCTCACATTCTCTGAACATTTAGGACTCTGTAGGCTATTCTATCAATCTTTACTGGTTAATTAAACATACATGTATTTCATTCTTATTTATGTACATGTGCTGCACATACTTTGTTGTTTTGGCAAAGCAGTCTGCTTCCAGAGGCTGCATCTTCTAGAAGCAGGCTGGGTACTGTCCATGCTCATTGACTCTTTATTCTATAATTTATCAAGTGGATATGATAGATTTATAGTCCAAATTGGGTTCATGTAGTAAAAATCAATTGCTGTTCTCTATGTTTCAAAATATTCAGAGCATAGTTGGAGTGCCTACTGTATACAAAACTCTGGGTTAGGTGATTTTGGAGGGGGGGTACAAAACAAGTAATATTTTTTTCTTTTCTTATTGTATTTACTAGGACTTCTTTTGTTTCTGTGTTTTACAGTAAATAACAGATATCCTTATATTGTTCTTGACTTTAATGACAATATTTCTAAAATACTCCTATTACTCATGTTGTTTGATACACTGCTTTGGATAGATTGCCTTTGTCATGTTAAGGACATTCCCATCTATTCCTTTTCTTTTCTTTTCTTTTTTTTTTTTTTTAAGACGGAGTCTCGCTCTGTCGCCCAGGCTGGAGTGCCGTGGTGCAATCTCGGCTCACTGCAAGCTCCGCCTTTTGGGTTCACGCCATTCTCCTGCTTCAGCCTCCCGAGTAGCTGGGACTACAGGCGCCCACCACCAGGCCTGGCTAATATTTTTGTATTTTTAGTAGGGACAGGGTTTCACCATGTTAGCCAGGATGGTCTGGATCTCCTGCCCTCGTGATCCGCCCCTCTCAGAATCCCAAAGTGCTGGGATTACAGGCGTGAGCCACTGCGCCCAGCCCGTTTATTCCTATTTTTATAAGTTTTTTTAAACTATAAATATGTGGTGAACCTTATTGAATATTTTATTTATCTATTAAATTAAAATAATTTATGATTTTCTCTTTTTTTCCAGTAATGTACGAAATATCTTGATTGATTTTCTCATGTTAAACTTTGAGTTATTGGAATTCCTTCTAATATCCTGGTGGGTTTAGTTACATAACTCTTTTTTAGAATTTGTATTAGGTTTCTCTAGAAGGACAGGGCTAATTGGATAGATGTATATATAAAGAGGAGTTTATTAAGGAATGTTGACTCACATGATCACAAGGTGAAGTCCCACAATAGGCCATCTGAAAGCTGAGAGGGAAGCTAGTCCTAGCCTCAAAACTTCACAAGTAGGAAAGCTGGCAGTGCAGCCATCAGTCTGTGGCCAAAGGTCCCTGAGCCCCTGGCAAACCACTGGTGTAGGTCCAAGAGTCTAGAAGTTTAAGAACTTGGAGTCCGATGTTCGAGAGCAGGAAGCATCCAGCATGGGAGAAAGATGGAGTTCAGAAGACTTAGCCAGTCTAGTCCTTCCACGTTCCTCTGCTTGCTGTTATACTAACCACGCAGGCAGCTGATTAATTGGTGCCCACACAGATTGAGAGTGGGTCTGTTTCTCCCAGTCCATTGACTCAAATGTTAATCTCCTTTGGGAACACCCTCACAGACACACCCAGGAACAATACTTTGCTTCCTTTAATCCAATCAAGTTGACAATATTAAACATCACGGAATTCTTACATCTAAATTCACAAGTTAAATTGGCCTATACTTTCGTCTCTGAATTTGCTTTTATTTTGTTTTGGAATAAAAATTTCATCTTAAAACAAA
The DNA here is from genome assembly GCF_000001405.40 of Homo sapiens. Taxonomy (NCBI): domain Eukaryota; kingdom Metazoa; phylum Chordata; class Mammalia; order Primates; family Hominidae; genus Homo; species Homo sapiens. Next base: position 84,683,137 of record NC_000006.12, on the reverse strand, counting down.
TTTTGTACTACTTTCACGAACTAAATCAGGCAGAGTTCCTTGTTCTCCCTAACATTTTACAATAATTTTTATACAATAAGGATTTTGTATTTCTTAAAAGTTTGGTAGAACTCATCTTTTAAACTAAATGGACCTCTATTAGTGGTGGAGAGAGAAAATTTTATTATTATTATTTTAACTTTCATAGACATTATTGGTCTATTCAAGTTTGAAATTTCTTCTTGTGCCAATTATGGTACTGTTTTTTCAGAAATGTATCATATTTTCCCTGGACTTTCCTATTTATTGCCATGCAGTTGTTCATAACATTCTTTTATGGTTTTAAAATCTCTATAGTTTACTTCCCTATTTTATTATGCATTTGTTTATGCCTTTTTTTTCTCTTTGAGGTATTAGTCTTATCTGAAGTTTACCCTATATCCTATTCAAGAACCAGATTTAGTTTTGTTAATCTTTTACTGTCGTTACTTATTTCATTAATTACTATTCTTTTCTTTTTGTGTTCTTCCTTCTTGATTTTTTTTCTTTCTTTTTTTTTTTTTTTTTTTTTTTTTTTTTTTTTTTTTTTTTGGTGGGATGGCTTTTGTAGGGATGGTTTATTTTATTGCTCTTTTCCTGGCTTCCATGTTGAAGTTTGAGCTAATGGTTTTTAGTTTTTCTCATTTGATGATGTTACAGTAGGTACTTCAGACATGAGCAGGGCAGGAGAAGCCCCCCATCCACCAGGAATGTCAGGTGACTATCAGGTATGGTCAGGCTGTTGTTAAACTGTCTCTCTAAAATATTAATTGCTCGCAGCCAGCAACAGGGAAAGGCAGTCTCTCCCAATAGAAAGAAACACCCGAAACTAGTGATCAGCAGCTTCCCAATAAGATCTCAGGAGTTGGGCAAGTGGGCTCAAGCATGCGCATTCAGAGGCCAAATGTCAGAGTTTAATTGGTATCTGGCCTTCTCTAGGAATGCTAGACTGGTAAGGGAAAAACGCCTCAAGTGAGCATGCGCACAACTTCAGTCAACACTAAACACACTGCACGTGCAGCGCCTCCCAAGTGCTGGCAGGCCGCTGTGCATGCGGACAGCCCACCCCAAGGAAAGAATTAGGAGAGAAGCAATGCAACCCCGGAAGCATGCCAATGTATAAAACCCCAAGTCAAATGTCAAACGTCAAACGTCAAACTGCACACTTGAATCTCTCAGGTCACCCACTTGGCCCTTTTCCAAGCGTACTTTACTTTCGTTCCTGCTCTAAAACTTTTTAATAAAGTTTCACTCTTGCTCTAAATTTTGTCTCAGTCCCTCCCTCTGCCTTACGCCCTCCATCGAGTTCTTCCTTCTGAGGAGGCTAGAATTGAGGTTGCTGCAGACCTGTACGATTCACTGCTACTAACAATGATAAAAGCACTTGAATGTTTAAATTTTTTTATATGTTTTCCCGCAAGTTTTGATACGCAGTAATTTCTTGTCTTTTAGTTCTTCATATTTCATATTTTCCTTGTGATGTCCTTTTTAACCTAAGATTTATATTGTATTTTGTCTAAGTTACTGGGCATATGGGGCTATTTTAGTTATTCTTTTGTTGTCATAACAGGTTTGTTGCCTGATGTAGAGCAAGTAAATACACCGAGACACAGGCACACAGAAAGAGGTTTAATGGTAAGCAGCTGTATGAGGAGAAGGGAGGAAACCCCAAATGTGCCACTCCGCGGAGTATGAGGCTAGGGATTTTAAAGACTTTGAAAGAGTAGTGGGCCAAAGTATGGGGACTGTTGATTGGTTGAAGAGTGCAAAGTGAAGTTATGGGATGGGAGATAAAGGAACTACATTCTCATGCTGATTGGGTTCTTCTGTGAGGGTCTTCAAACTGGTTGATGGCAGCCATTCTGCTGGAATTCAGGATCTGAAAAACATCATAAGCAATTCTTAAATAAAAGCTTTATGATTCTAAGGTCAGATCTATGTATAGGAACAATGGAGATGCACATGGTCAGTATCTAGTGCTCTGTGTCTTCTGGTTAGTCAACAGCTATAAGGGAGTGAGACAAAGTGCAACCTGATTAATATTTATTATGTGTCTGTCCAGAATCTGTAATTCTTGTTAACCTTGTAAGGATGGTTCCACTTTGTTATTGATTTTTAATTTTGTTGCATTAGTGTAAAAGAATATAGTCTGTATGAACTTTATGACCTCAATCTTGCATAATTTATTTAGGCTTCACATGTTTTCCTGCACAATTTTGTGAATGTTTTATTCTCAGTAAGAATATGTTTTTCTGTTTATTAGTTGTTTAACTTAGTAATAATGCGACTCAGATTTTTATTTTCTTTATTTACCTGATCTGTCAGATTCTGAGAGGGATGTGTTCAACTTCCTAATCTGTAGGTTAATTAATTAATTCTTTTCCATAGCTCTAGCACATACATACACACACATATATGTATATATATGCTATCTTTTATTAGTATATTTTTGTATTATTGACTTATTTTTCTTTCCTGAGTATATAATACTTTATACTTTATGTATACATTATCTTAACCGCTACTCTTTTTTTAGTTTGTTTGTTATGAGACGGAGTCGACTCTGTCACGCAAGCTAGAGTCCAGTGGTGCAATCTCAGCTCACTGCAACCTCGCCCCACGCCCCACCCCCTCTGGGTTCAAGCAATTCTCCTGCCTCAGCCTCCTGAGTAGCTGGGACTACAGGCACACACCACCATGCACAGCTGATTTTTTTTTTTTTTTTTTTTTGGATTTTTAGTAGAGACGGGGTTTCACCGTGTTGGCCAGGCTGGTCTTGAACTCCTGACCTCAGCTGATCTGCCCTCCTCAACCTTCCAAAGTGCTGGAATTACAGGCGTGAACCACCGCGCCTGGCTAACTCTACTCTTCTGATATTAAAATAACTAATTCCGTTTTTGTTTTTTTTTTCTGGCCAATATTGGCCACTAACGTTTATTAGGTTGCTATAATCTAATAAACGAAAATCAGAAATTGTGTTATCTTGTGTATAAATCCCTCTTTTCTGTTTCATTTTTAAAATTTTCTATATTCTAATGTACTATTTGATGAGTTTTGACAAACGTATATACCTGTGTAACTACAATCCCAATTAAGATCTAGAAATTTTGTTTCACCCCCTGAAAGTTCTCTCATATCCCTCTGTAGTCAATCCATTTCTCACCCTACCCCACCCTAACTCTAGCAAACTGAACTGATTTTTGTCACTAAAGATTGGGTTAGGCTGTTCTAGAACTTCATATAAATGGGGTCATCCATTCCATTCTCTTGCACCAGGCTTCTATCGGCTCAACATAACGTTTTTGTGATACATCCTATGAGCATGTATAGTACATTCCTTGAATGTAGTCTATAGAGGAAAATTGTTGCATTACATTTTATTACACTACATTACATTAAATGTAATTTTAAAAATACATTTTTAAAATGTATTTAGGCAGAAATCAATAAAAGTCAAATACAGTCATGCAACACATAACAACATTTTGGTCCATGATGGACCACATATATGATGGTGGTCCTGTAAGATTATGATGGAGCATATATAGAAATTTGATATATGTCATTTGATACTAGCATTGCAGATTGAGTAGAGGAAATGGTTAATATTTAGTAATAGTGCTGGGGCATTTGGTTTTCCATATAAAAAAATAAATAAAAAATACATATATCATCTAGGTTTATCTAACTACACTCTGTGATGTCAGCATAATGAGGAAGTCACCTAATGACACATTTCTCAGAAAGTATACCTGTCATTAAATGATGCACGATTGATACTAAATTACATGAGTGACCAGCTTATTTAGTATTTTCAACCCATACATATTTGGAGGGCAGCACATTATTCATATAAATGTTTTCTAAATACTACATGATATAGAAAGAGACATGGATTTTAGAATAGACAGGCCTGGGTTAAGATCCTATCGCAACTGCATGAGCTGGGTGACCAAGGCTAGTTGCTTAACCTCTAGTAGCTATGGGATAATAATACATACTGGCAAGGATATTGTTAGGTTAAATGAAATAATATTCGAACAGAACTTGACACATAGTTGGTGTAAAATGGCATTATGTTGAATTAAACTATAATTACTTAAAAATTTCTCTAACACTTGTGTTTGCTAAATTAAAATAAATTACATTTTATTATTTTAAAGATGCATGGTCACCAAAACTAGTTTGTAAATATGTTTCTAAATAGCAGACATTGAGAGAGTGGTAGTTTGAAATTGGAGCATATTAATTTCCTATGTATAAATGGGCATTTATAAAGTACTGAATACCAATTTATTCTAAAAAATACCAATTTATTGAAAACTATTGTTTGTACTGTTAATTTGCTTAGCAAACCTTTCCCCATGTATTTGTAGTGACAATTCTCAGCTTTGCCTTTGTACAAATGATACTGATGAGAGTGTATCATTGAGCTTTTACCACTTTGCTGACTTGAAGTGTCCACGTGGGACTAGTTGTTCATATATGGTAAAAAGTGATGGTATTTCCTTGGCAAAAAAGGTATTAAAATATATGAGAACATTGTAGATTTCTACCTGTTAGAAATCTAGATTTTTTTTTTCTCTCCCAACACACTTACTTCTCTTTCCTCAACCAACCAATTCACTGGCTACTTTGGCACTAATAAAATAATGATACTGATAATAATAATAATAGCTAATAGTTTTTGAGCACCTGCTATGTTCCAGTCGTTATTCAAAGAATATTTTACATACGGTATTCCATTTAATTACTGAAAAATGCTACGCAGCAAGAACTACGAGTATCTCTATTTTCTGGAAGAAACAACTCAGGCGCAAGAAGATGCAATAATTTACCCAAGGTTGGACAACTTGTATCAGAGCCTAGACTTATGATAACAATAGCTAATACTTATTGAGAACTTACTATATGCCACGCACTAAGTGTTCCATTAGTTAACTTTTTAAAAATCATCTCAACAACCCTATGACACAGATACTATCATTTTACAAATGATGAGATTGAGGCAGAAAAGGGTTATATAACTTACTGGTATTACACAGCTAGTAAGTGAAGAAGTTGGGATCAGGCTGGGTCTAGAACTTGTGCTTTATTATCTCTTAGTATTGTCTCTCAACCAGACAAAATTATTTATAAGTACTTAATGTGTGCACAGTATTCTGGGGACCACAGAAGAAACATAACTTTGTTTTCTTTATTCATGAACTTACTGCCTTTTAAAAGAAGTGAAAAGAAGACAAATGAAACCATTATAGGAAGGCATGAGTGCTGAACTCTTATTACAGAAACTAAAAGTAAAGGGTTTAGAGAAGAGAGAGATGGGTATGTACTGGAACTCCAGAGTGGACGTTTAAGTACTCTGAGTGAATAGGAGGAAGGTGGAGAGAGGATACTTTATAATGTGGAACAACCTATTAATTCTCCATAAACAACATGTCTTTAATTACTTTCAGGGCTAAAACTCATTTATCTTGTTATTTTTCCTCAGTAGGGGAAAAATCACCTTCTTAGTATCTTTATAGCCCTTTCTAGTAAGATTAAATTAACTCCGTAAAGGTTTTTGAAAATTTTCTAATTTTTTACTCCATCAGAGTGAAAATATTTAATGTCTTATGACATTAACTAGAAAAGCTAATTTCCTTTGCCTTTAATTTTGGCAATACTTTCCTTCATATAAATAATGACAGGAGGAATAAAAATTTCTTGTGACACTTTAAATGTAAATTTGACAAAAATGACATCTCCTTATGCACACAGAACATTTATATGTTTTGGATCAAAGATTTTTTGGCAGAAAAAAAGAAAATTAACAGGTTGGTTTAATGGAGAGTCTATCTGTTTATAAAGGCTTATAAGAAATGGTTTTTCCTTTAATCACACCAGTAGATAGATCCATTTAAAATAGACTAACTCAGCATGTCCAAAATGGAACTAATAATCTCACTCACCAAAGTTGTTCCTTTTCCCATGCTCCTTATCTCAAGTAGTTACATCTCAAATTATCACCTACTGCCACTCACCTGCCCCTGCTCCCTCATTCTCTTATGCCTATCAACCTCAGGGGCTGAACCTGACCCTGCTCCCTCACTCCTTCCTTTCTACCCATCAACCTCTGGGGCTGAACCTGCCCCTGTTCCCTCACTCCTTTCTCTATACACATCAACTTTCTAGGGCTGAACCTGCCCCTCCTCCCTCACTCCTTCCTTTCTACCCATCAACCTTTGGGGCCGAACCTGCCCCTACTCCCTCACTCCTTCCTTTCTACCCATCAACCTCAGGGGCTGAACCTGCTACTGCTCCTTCACTCCTTCCTTTCTACCCGCTAACCTCTGGGGCTGAACCTGCCCCTGCTTCCTCACTCCTTCCTTTCTACCCATCAGCCTCTGGGGCTGAACCTGCCTCTGCTCCCTCACTCCTTCATTTCTGCCCATCACCCCATCAACCTCTGGAACTGAACCTGCCTCTCCCTCCTCACTCCTTCCTTTCTACCCATCAACCTCTGGGGCTGAAACTGCACCTCTTCTCTCACTCTCTCATACTTATTAACCACAGCGACCTGTTGATTTTTTTTTTTTTTTCAGATAATCTCAGAAATCACTCTCAAACGTCTATAGGAGCCTGGCAGATAAAATAAAACAGGCTGGAATTGGTGGAAGGGTATGTGGTCAGGTGGGGAGCGTATGTTGTCTAAAAAGATCATATGCTTCTTACTGCCAGGCAAGGTATTGTCATGAGGAAATGTGGCTCAGTACTGCAAATCTACTATATTTCTAAAGAGGAGGTAGAAATTTAGGTTTTATGTAGTCTTCGGATTTTATGATGTTGTCAATGAATTCAAGTAAAAACAAACTCATATTGTATACTTCAAACAAGTCATTTAAGACAAAGTTGGGTTTGTGGTGTTGTCAGTTTATGGCATCTTTTCTAATACTATTCTTGTTCTCCATTCTCACAGCTGTTGTTCTAATTTAGGTCTGTACCATCTTTGTCTAAATATTGTAGCGTCTTCCTAACTGTTCTCCTTGATTCCAGTCTTGTTCCTGCTAAGCCCTCCTTTATCCTGACTCCTGACTGGGATTTTTAAAATACAAAGTTCATCAGATTACTCCACTGTTAAAAAAAAAAAAAGAAAAAGAACAAAACAAAGCATCTTTGATGACTCTGGTACTTAGATTAATTCCAGACTCTCTGGCCAGGTGTTCCAGGCCCAAAATTCTATGGACCCACCCCAAATTCCTGGACTCTATCTCTGTGGTTTCCCCAGCCACAGCCTTGGTTCTACCACACAAGAACATTCAACATTCTCAGAACATGTCAGTTTCTTTTGGGTATCACACATGCTGCACTTTCTAATGGGAACATCCCTCTCAAGTTCTGCTCATCAGCTCAACTCAAATATCATTTTCCTGTGAAGCTCAGCTCAGGGTATAGTATATGTTCAACCAATAATTTTTGAATTAATGACCAGCCTATAGCCTTCTCTAAGACAGATACATACCATGCTAGTCAGAATTAGTCTCTTAATGTTTTTTCATACTGTTAGTTTGGTACCTATCACCCAGATTATGGCTAGATGTACGGTGTGCATGTTTATTACCTGTGTTGAATTGTGACCTCTCTTTATCCACAGATCCTAGCACAATGCTTAACACATGATAATCAGCCAATGAATCTTCTCAAATTGAAGTTATTTTATAATATCTTCTTACTGAAAAACGTTATTGAGGTTTTTCTGTTTTAGGTTGTTTTTTGTGCTCTAAGAGTTCAACATGGAATGACATGTGTAGAATGCTTTTTCTAGAAATTAAAACATTTATTCAAGAAAGGGCTTCTCTGTGGCTGCCTATGGAATAATTATATACCAAGGTCAAGTATTTTTAATAGTCATGCCCCAAATTATATAGCATGCTTATCTAAGGACTTCAAGATCCTTTGTGAGCCTGTTCTAAGTAATCCATACATCGGTCCTCTGAGATGAGTCAGATATAAATATAGGCCCTGAAGTATAGGAAGAGGCTGGGTCTGGGTAACCCCTCGACATGTACCATTTCTGAATCAGTTCAAGTGAGTTCAGTGCATAAGAGAGAGAAAACAGAAGTACTGAGTAGTGTGAAACTCACTTGGAAGAACTGCTGCTTGTATGAAACATTACTAACAAAAAGGGAGAGAGGGCATGTCATCTCCTCTCCATTATAAACAAGATTGAAAAATAAAAATCGCAAATGGGCCTACACATAATCATATCTCAGTGCATTTGGTGAGTTAGGTAGGAATCACTTCCCTAAAATTTAAATAATAGGATTTTCCCCAATAATAGCTTAAAAGAGAAGAGTGTCTTTAAAGTTGATGTGCTTGATCAATGCTACATGGAAAATTACCTGAAGAACATGACTATATTAAATATCATAAGATATTGAGAAGGGTTTCTTTTGCATAGACAACACAGCTGTGCTAAGATACTCATTCTACTTGGCAGAGTCTAGGAGCATCTGAGAGTTCTGTCACCTGTCACTACATTGTCTTTGGGGTTTCTGTAGCATTGTTTATTATTAGCTCAGGAGATGCTGCATGTGAGTACAAGATCTCATCCTGCTGGGAGCCACAAAGTTGGATGAAACTCAACTTGGGGAGCTTGTTGGCTCTGAAGAAAGATACTGTCTTGAGAAATAAGACCCACAGTCTTCCACCTTTTCCCTCCCCTGTAAAAGATGTAATCTGTGGGCAATTGAAGTCACAATACAGAAATTGCAACATTATCCCAAACAATAAAATACTTGGCTTTTTTATTTTTTATTTTTTATTTATTTTTATTTATTTATTTTTTTTGAGACAGAGACTTGCTGTGTCACCAAGCTGGAGTGCAGTGACATGATCTCGGCTCACTGCAACCTCCACCTCTCAAGTGATTCTCCTGCCTCAGCCTCCCGAGTAGCTGGGACTACAGTCGTGTGCCACCATGCCCAGCTAATTTTTGTATTTTTAGTAGAGACAGGGTTTCACCATGTTGGCAAGGATTGTCTCGATCTCTTGACCTCATGATCTGCCTGCCTCATCCTCCCAAAGCGCTGGGATTACAGGAGTGAGCCACTGCACAAGGCCAAAATAGTTGGTTTTTAAATGATACGTGTTAGTTTCTCAAATTTTTTCTCAACTAAGAAACGTAAAAGGCAAGTGTTGGTCCTGTGCCATGGAAGGGCAAGGCGAGCCCAAGGCAAATCTTATGGTGCTGAAAAAAGTTCATTTGGAGCAGCTGTTTAGGAATGGGGCAAGAGGAAAGCTCTCAAATTTAAATTATGCATTTTGAAAATGGGTTTAATCTTACCTTTTATTTTGTTTTATTTTAGTTTTGAGGCAGGGTCTCACTCTGTCACTCAGGCTGGAGTACAGTGGTGTGATCACAGCTCACTGCAGCCATGACTTCCCAAGGCCTCAAGTCATCCTCCTGCCTCAGCCTCCCAAGGGACTACAGGCACATTCCACCATGCCTGGTTATTTTTCTATTTTTTTAGAGATGAGCTTTCACCATGTTGCCCACTCTGGTCTTGAACTCCTGGGCTCAGGCTATCCACCCACCTTCTCCTCCCAAAATTCTAGAATTACAGGATTAAAACACTGCCCCCAAGCCCAAATTTCGCCTTAAATTAACAATACAAGGCGGATTGATTTTACCAGTTCTAAGGTATATTTTTCCTCAGCAATCAGGTATGGAGACTGTACATGTCAAGCACTGCTTTGGGCAGTAGTGAGACAGCGATGAATGAGGAGGCAGAATCCCTGCCCTCATGGAGCTTACCTTCAGGTAGGGAGAGACAGGTCACATACACAAAGAATCATTTAGATAAAGTCACATTCAGATGTGAAAAAAATAAAATATGATAATATGGCAATTGCAGTGCCATGGGCCTACAGTACAAAAAGTTTGTAGTAGGATGGAGTGGTGAACTACATCTGATACTATCTGGAGACTAAGGGAAGACAGACCGATACTGGCTTCCCAAGATGTAGCTCATGTGTGACCTTGATAAAAGCAATTTTAGTGATAGGTTAGGATTAAATCTCCAAATATAATGGGTTAAGATAGGAGATGAGGAAACTGGGCTCCGCTAAGAAAAAAAAAAACTATTTGATTTTTTGAAAAATATTTAAGGATAAAATACATTCATAAATTTTATTCCACTTAGTTTCAAAACATCTGGTTATTAACACAAATCTCTATATAGGAGTTTTGTCATTATTTATTTCTAACATGATTTACTCAATATTTCACTTCTTTTTTTTTTTTTTTTCTTTTTTTTTTTTTGAGACGGAGTCTCGCTCTGTCGCCCAGGCCGGACTGTGGACTGCAGTGGCGCAATCTCGGCTCACTGCAAGCTCCGCTTCCCGGGTTCACGCCATTCTCCTGCCTCAGCCTCCCGAGTAGCTGGGACTACAGGCGCCCGCCACCGCGCCTGGCTAATTTTTTGTATTTTTAGTAGAGACGGGGTTTCACCTTGTTAGCCAGGATGGTCTCGATCTCCTGACCTCATGATCCACCCGCCTCGGCCTCCCAAAGTGCTGGGATTACAGGCGTGAGCCACCGCGCCCGGCCAATATTTCACTTCTTTTAAAAAACACGGATATTGGTAGATCCAGCCTATTAGATCACACACCTTAGATTCTTTCCAAAAGAACTGACAAGAAAAGCTTATGACAAAAGTATAATTTTGATGCATTTTTAATTATTTTTCTCAGAACAATACATGAAGAATTACTAGTACATAAGCTTCAGAAAGACAATTTAATTAAATATCTTACATTCTTACAATTAAGCAATGAGCTTTTTCGTTGTTGTGGTATTTTTCCAGTTTATTTTTATTCTGCCTTCTTTGTTCTTTTCTTTGCAGCCTTGTTTATATCATAAGATACAGACACAGAGCAGCCTTTGCCCTTCCAACAAGATAGTTGCCATTTTGATCTGCCAATCAAACTCAAGGGTCTGCCCTGAAAGTTGAAACAATCGATCATAGTTTGAACACTTGGGCAGTGTCAACTAATTTTAGTCACCAAGCCTGGGTTGATGTGAGGAGTGATTGGCAAGGCACTTGTCCAAGACCAAGCAAGGTTTATGACTGTCCTTATGGCTAACAACTGCACAAATAGAAACAGGCTGCGTCTGTGAACGTAGTTTCAACAAATTATTTGGAGTATGAGTCTGCCTCCTATCTGTATTTATTATTCCAGCTCTCGGCATAATAAGGATGAAAAACTCTGTTTACTTGAAGCTTTTCCCACTAAAGGACAAGTGATGCTTTCACTTCCCAGCTCTGTGTGTACATAACCAACCATATGCCTAATTTAAGACACCACCTAAACAAAACCCCCAAACAACCCCTCACCCTAATCAACATGAGGTGTGTATGAGAGGCAAGTTTCCTGGCTTTACCTTCCCTCTTTCATTAAATTTTTGTGATAGGGAAGGATTGAGTGAAATCCTACCTCAAAATTAGAATAAATACATTAAAAAACAAATATAGGAAGTGAAAAGTTTAGAGCCTTGGCAAGTCTCTCCTCTCCCTATAAATTGCTGCTTTCGTAAAGGAGCCCACCCAGGACTTTAGACAATACAATGGGAGTGTGTGTCTAGGAATCTTTGGTAAAGTTTCTGGATGGGAACAAATAAGCCTCTTTGCTACCTTTCAGTTGCCTTACACATCAGGCACTGGCACCAGAAAATGACACACAATGAGATTATTCAGGGTTTATTGCCCTTCTTACTTGGCATGCTCCCACCTGACTGCTATTGGCTTGGAAGCCAGGGAAATGTAAGTATGTCAAGATTTTATTGGGTCAGTGGCTGCCAACAAAGCAGCTTCCCAGTTTCCCAGTTTTTGTGCCCAGAATCCCATCAGTTCCATCTCAATCCACAATTCAGAGTAAGCGAGTGGTTTTCCTGATGGCAACAAATTGCCATTCCTTAATCTATTCTGTCAAGAATTGACGAACTTCTATAGTTGACTGAAGCAATGATAAAATAAACTCAAGGTATTAAGAATACAAAATATAAAAATGTTGATCTTTAAAACATTTTTTAATTAAAATATGATTGGTAACAATTTAAATAAATTTTAGATCTTTAGTTTTTAATTATGAAGATAAATGCACATTGTAAAATTTTAGAAATGACAACAACATGTCAAGTAAAACAAACCCTTCTTCCCAACCTCACTCCTCACTGATGACATTTTAAGGATTTATCCCTTCAGAAATTTTATTCTACCGATATAATCCTATTTGTAAATAATACATAAACATGTGTACATTCTATTATTTCAAAAAAGGAATTGTAGGGCCAGGCGCAGTGGCTCATGCCTGTAATCCCAACAATTTGAAAGGCTGAGGTAGGAGGATCACTTGAAGGCAGGAGTTTGAGATCAGTCTGGCCAACATAGCGAGACCCTGTCTCTACAATAAAATAAAATAAAATAAAATAAACCAGGCATTGTGGCACATGTGTGTAGTCCCAGCTATTTGGGAGGCTGAGGCAGGAGGATCCTTTGAGCCCAGGAGTTTGAGGCTTCAATGAGCTGTGATTGGACCACTACACTCTGGCCTGGGCAACAGAGAAAGACCCTGTCTCAAAAAGAAAAAGAAAAAGAAAAAGAAAAAGAATTATAGTATCGTGCTTTACTATTTTTTAGTTAAATTTGTCATAAACATTTCTCCATGACATACATAGCACATCAGAGACAGATAAAAGTGATTTTTCCAATCTTTCTATTACACTGCCATGTAAATATACAAATGAAGATGTGAGACATAGACCTGGAATACCACTCACAAACATTGTTTATTCACTCACAAACATTTATTGAGTCCATTCTATGTGCTAGACAGAGCTTGATTTTTCCCACTTGAGAGAGTGCCTATTCACCTGATGCTAAGAAAGGTGAGAATTTGACTCTAGTTACTCTCAACACCTCTCCCACTTGCTCTCACTTCTCCACATCTCCCAAAATAGTTACATAACTTTTGTGAAACCTGTTTTCAAGTTTTCCATTATTATGCCCATGTGAATATTACTCTCGGCTGAGCCACATGGTGTATAACTTCTCCTTCCTGTCTCAGCATTTCTGAGGGGCAGTGTAACAGGCAATAAGAGCGCTGACCCTGAACGCTGGCTCATATCTCATTTTCTCCATTACTAACTGGGGTGACCATGGGCAAGAATTGCAACTTCTCTGTGCCTCAGCTTTTTCATAATAGTAGCTGCTCCACAAGAATTCTATAAGGTTAGAATGAATTACTATATACAAAATGCTTAGAACAGGGCCTGGAAACAGTAAATTTTATATAAGGTTCTTTTTTTTTTTTAATTTTCATCATTATGATCTCCCAAGAAAGGATATAAGGGAGGTACTTTTTAAAAAAATCTTGTATTTTTATTTTATACTCTCACTTTATGAATAATTTGGCTGTGTATATAAATCTAGGTTGAAGATCGCTTTATTCACCTGAGACTTTGAAAACGTTTCCATTGTTTTCTGGCTACTTAGGGTTCTTTTACCATTCCACGTCCTGTTTTTTTGTATGTAATCTATTTTCATTTGTGTTTGTTTATTTTTTTTCTGTTTAGTTTTGTTTACTCTCTCTGGAAATTTTTAGTATCTCCTCTTGATACCTAGTTATTTCACTATTTCATAAAGATATGCCTGTATATGGGTCTTTCTAAATGATTGTGCAGGCAACTTGGTGAGCTCTTTCAAATCTGGAGATCACATCCTTTAGTTGGGAGAGTTCTTCTATGTTTTTATTATTATTATTTATTTCTCTCTAGTTTTTCTGCATGATATTTCTGGAACTCCTATTAGTAACATATCTACCTTCCTAAAGAAAGCCTCTGGTTTTCTCATCTTTTGCCTTCTCTTTTTCATCTCTTTCCCTTTTCATTTTAATTTTGAAGTATTTCCTCAACTTTACTTCACAGCTCTTCTATTGAAACTTTTATTTTAGTATGTTTCATATTTCATTAAATTTATTCTTCCCTGAATGGTCCTTATTATTTTTTTTTATACTTTTACTTTCATTTCAGAGGTACATGTGCAGGTTTGTTGCATAGGTAAATGTATGTCATGGGGATTTATTGTACAGATTATTTCATCACCCAGGTATTTTATTTCATCACCCAGGTATTAAGCCTAGTACCCATTAGTTATTTCTCCTGATCTTCTCCCTTCTCCTATCCTCCACCCTCTGATAGGCCCTAGTGTGTGTTGTTCCCCTCTATGTGTCCATATGTTTAGCTCTCACTTATACGTGATAACATGCAGTATTTGATTCTCTGTTTCTGCATTACTTTGCTAAGGATAATGGCCTTCCGTTCCATCCATGTTCCTGCAAAGGATATGATCTCATTCTTTTTCATGACTGCATAGCATTCTATGGTGCATATATACCACATTTTCATTATCCAGTCTATCGCTAATGGGCGTTTAGGTTGATTCCATGTCTTTGCTATTGTGAATAGTGTTGCAATGAACATACATGTGCATGTGTCTTTATAATAGAATGATTTATATTTCTTTGGGTAAGTAACCAGTAATGGGATTGCTGGGTCAAATGATATTTCTGTCTTTAGGTCTTTGAGAAATTGCCACACTGTCTTCCATAATGGCTGAACTGATTTACACTCTCACAAACAGTGTGTAAGCATTCCTTTTTCTCCACAACCTTACCAGCATCTATTGTTTTTCGACTTTTTAATAATAGACATTCTGACTGGTGAGAGGTGGTATTTCATTGTGGTTTTAATTTGCCTTTCTCTAATGATTGATCAGTGATGTTGAGCTTTGAGCTTTTTTTATATGATTGTTGGACACATGTATGTCTTCTTTTGAGAAGTGTCTGTTCATGTCCTTTAGGAACTTAAATTTACAAGAAGAAAAAAGACCCCATTAAAAAGTAGCCCTTATTATTTTTAATAACATGTTATAGTTTAGTGGCTACTGTATCTTATATGCTAATATTAGTGTTTTAGAATTGTCCCAGTTCTTTTCATTGCTCTGTTACATCAAATTCCCTGTTTACTTGTTTGTTTAGATGTCTGTCTTCCATGTTAGAGGCTTCCCCAAAGAGTAAACTTCCGCCATCCTGGACAAGAAAGAGAACTTGTAAGATCTAACTGCTTCTCACATAAACTTTTAACCAATCATGCTGTTTTTACTTCTGCCCCTGACCTTTTGTTATCTGATGTAATGTCTACATTCCATAGCCAAATTTTTGCCCTTCTCTAACTTTGCTTATCTTTAAGAAACAGGATGTCTACTGTAAGAATTTCCCTTTGTAATCAGACCAGCTGAGACTGGTTAGAACCAAGATAGCCTATCAAATGACTTAAAAAGACCTTACGCTTCATTATAATCTCATTTCCATCTAGATGACACTCTCACCAGTGCCATGACAGTTGATAATCACCATGACAACAACTGGAAGAAGTCATAAAAGGAAAAAAGGAAGACAGCACTACTGGTTCAGAGAAGTTTACCACCCTATTCTGGAAAAGGCATGAATATTGCTCCCTTTGCTTTTACTGTACAAACCCTTCATTAAAGAGACTCTATATTTTAACCTCGTCATCCTTCACTAGTTGAGAAGTTGATTTGCAAGCCACATTCCCACTTCTCTATTCCCTGGCTATTGAATAAATCTTGCTTTGCTTGATGCTCACTTTTGGTTTCATGTATTTGCTCTGCAATACGTAATTGGAAACATCCCATCTTTTGGGGCTACCGGGCTTTTTAGTAATATTTTGCTTTTATAGAAACTTGGAACTCCAATTCCTGGGCCTTTCCCCAGTTCAGTGACATGAATTGCTTATGTCTTAGTGTCTTTCTCTCTTCTCCCCTACAGGCACATAGGTTTCCTCACTCTGTTAAGTCAATGTTCACTCTTCCTTTTAATTTTCTTCTTCAATTTTTGTGGATATCTTCATTTGCTTCCATCTTCTGTAATGTTTTCTTTGTTTCTCTGTGTTATACTTTATTATTATTTATTTGCTTATCATGCTCTAGCCTCATTTTAATTGGCTTCCAGGGGAGACTAGAGATAAACATATGTGTTCAGACTATTATGCTTAACCTGAAGTCTGTAACATTTTTCAATAAACACTTTTAAAATTCAGAACATTTATTCAGTGCCTACTATATGTCAAGCTCTTGGCTGAGAAGCTGCTCCTTGAATTTTTAGTGTTTACAATGATTATTGAAAATATATTTCAGGCTTCATTAAACCAAGCTCCTTATGTATTTCTGCCAAGTAATAAATATATTAAGTAAGTGATTCTTTTTTGCCTGTTGCAGTTACTGAATATGTCCAAAAAGAAAACATTTAAACAGTATTATGTTATAAAGTTTTCATAAGTCAGATTGCTTTTCTTCCAACTAGTGTAATTCAGAGTGCTTTTTACTTTTCGGTCTTCGTGCTTGTGAGTGTGTATATGTGTGCAAGTGCGTATATGTGTGTGAGTGTGGATGTATGCATTTGTACCTATAAGTGTATGTGTGAGAATGTGTATATGTGATGTGTGCCTGTGAGAGTGTGCATGTGTGTGTATGAATGTACATGTGTACAGGGGCATAAAAGTGCCTATATGTTTATCTATGTGTGTGACTGCGTGTGTGTGTGTGTGTGTGTGTGTGTTTATGGCACAAATAGGAAACAACTCTGCTGGTGACACTAACACCAAGGTCCTCATAATCCCTCCATGCTCCTGTTCCTCCACTTATAAAACTAGAATTACCATTCGTCTTGTAGATACTGAAATGCATCTTATTATAAAACACTGGGAAATAGCTCTATTAGACATAAAATAAACTGCTGCCTATAAAACTGGGATTAATGAAATGTTAGAAGCAAAGGTGTTTTTACTCATGAGGCTTATGTTCCACTCAGGCAGGATTACTGGGTCTGGATTTGTTCTTGCTTCCTGGAATTATATTGCTTTTCCATTTGAGAACCCAGTCTCCAGTTAAAGAATTATGTTGATTAGCTACCAAGGGGTTGCCTTTGTTCTTTGCCCAGAGGACTGGTGGCAAAACAGAGAGAGGAAGAAATTGGAAAGCAGCTCATCTTTAGTACTAAAGGGCCTCCAGGGAGTTCACTGTAAAAATTAAATAAAAGTGAATAAATAAAACTTCCCTTAAAACCTTGCTATGTAACACCTGGAATGTTCATATAACTATGCAGCTATCTATTCTACATTCAGAGATATAAAGGAAAGACTTCTTTTAACCTGATAGCATAAGGTTTTAGATAACAAATATGCCATCCTTCAATCTCAAGTAAAGAAACACTTACTTCATTCAACAGTTAAGTGAGCTGCTATCTGGCCCTCATTATATCTGTGATTTAGAAGGACTATCCAGGCCTGTGTTGTCCACATCAGAGACTACCAATATAAAATGCAGCAAATGGGATTTTTATCTTTCAGCACTCCTCAGAGTTGTTGCACAAGATACACTTCTCAGTCTGCATATCATCAATCTAACGCAAACTATTATCTCTGCACAAGAGACTAAACCGAAAGCTCTTATGCTCAGCATCATACATAAACATACCTGACACTCACAGTTCCCGGGATTCCTTGAAACTCTCTGGGCCATGCAAGATGTTCCATGCCGTGACAAACCTGGGCTGAAAGTAAAAGGGCACTATCTCATGAGAAGTTTGTTGACAGGTTGGGGAGTGAACATTTCACCAAAAATCAATCAGTGATTTGTTCCCAGGCTTCCAAATTAGCTGGCAAATGCTGGCATATCAGTAGTAATATTATCCTTAAAAGTCAAGCTCAAGGTTCATACTTTTGGTTCTTGCAATTAAAAAGATATGCATGGAAACCTTATATTGTTTTCATTTGCTAGCAATATTATTTACAGATTCTAAAAAAATTGAATTTAAGCCTCTTTAAAAAATTATAAGAATGTTGTATCTTTGGCAAAGCCCAGAATAATGGGCAACTTACACCACCATTTTGACCTTGTATAATTTGACATGTTATCTTGCTTTTTAAAGTTTTCTTCTTACAAAACCATTTTCAGGGTGAATGTTCAACACAGTTCTAACTTTTAATATTTAGTGCCCTCCTGTTCTCTGAATCACTGAGCTCATTTTCTCCTAGGTTAGGGAGCTTTGATAATCACATTAGAAATATTCATTAGGTCTAAAGTTTCTAGTCTTCACCAGAACTCACTTTGTAATAAATGAATAAACCTCTTGATTTCAATAGTAAGCGGTGAGTGAAGCCTGTGGTTCTAGCAAGGTGTCTGTGAAATCAGGTCACATATTAGATACCTCTCGGGCAACTAGCTTGTCCGTAAACTGCTGGGACACGATCTCTGGTCTCACAAATGCACTCTCAAAGACACAAGAGAATCCAGAAAGGTGTGTGTGTGTGTGTGTGTGTGTGTGTGTATAAAACTTTACAAATTAAATTAAATTCTTGAACTTTCTGTGTTACTCAGTGTGTGCCTTGTTTTGAGAGAAAGTGACAGCATGTTACTTTTTAAATCAACTTGGTTCACTTAAAGATTGAAATGTAAAGAAAGAGATTGATCACTACCATAGGTTCTCTGCTTCATGTATAAGCTTCGAGGTTAACGTTGATAGTGTAAATATTAAGAAAAGGACTGTCATAAAGTATGAAAAGGGAGTAGATTAAATGTATCAAGTTCATACAGATATCTGGAATGTTAAACCAAAGAATTCAACACAATTGAGATAATCAAATTGTTCAAGTAAAACACTTACCTGTAAAGACCTGCTTTTTATTATTTCAATAATTTGAAAGAAGACATTTTTCAACTAGACTTCTGCAAATTGGTGTCAATTCCATTGTCTCTAGATAATAACAAGATGAACAGACCCCACAATCTCAAGAGGACCTCTTTGGCATTTGTTTCCTGAAGCCTTGGAAAGTCTTCACTGGCCATACTAAGTGAGTTAAAAAACCACATATTTATTTCCAAATAGTTAAACTGGTTCTGGCCAGCATCTATTTTGGGAATTGCATGCTGCCAACATAAAGAATTCCCCACATCATTTCTGTTATAAAGCTATTCTTCATTTCCTGCCCTATAGTGGAGCTATGCTTTCGTTTTTTATTTCCCTCATGAATTTGGCTGTCTTATAGTGAGGAGGGAGAGGCAGTGATTTCTTTATTTTGAGGCCATCTTTCAGACAGTAAGCTGCCAAACTCATTCGTGTATTTTCCAAGAACTGGCATTCTTATACTTCACCTTGTAGCTGTCCGGGAGATATCCCAGAAACTTCATTTATTGGGTATAATAAAACTCATGGCTTCAACATAATTCTTTTCCTATAAAAATAAAGGTATGTGCAAGACATATTGAGAACAGCAAATATGTAGATAAAAGGCTCACAGAAACTTCTTCTCTTTCCACCCATGACAGGCATCAGCAATGCCAACATTTGCTAGAAACCCACCATGGCTGTGATGCTCAATGGCATCACAGCTTGGCTATGTCAATTACAACCAAGTTTGAGGTTGTTGAGGTCTCAGTGTATATTATGTTGATAGAGCTAAGAATGAGCACTAATTTCTGCTCCAACCAAAAGGGACTGTGAATCTGTAGTATGCTCTGGCTACTGAAACACAGCAGCAGGCCTGTGAGAAGCAAGCCAAGAACATCAGACTGAGGCAAAAGGAAGGCACCTTTTGTCCCAGAATCAGTACTTGCAAACCTTTCTAGCATGGTAAACCCACTCTAACATTTTTTTTAATATTTATTTTAAGTTCAAGGGTACATGAGCAGGTTTGTTACATAGGTAAATGTGTGCCATGGAGGTTTGTTGGATAGATTATTTCATCATCCAGGTATTAAGCCTAGTCCCCATAAGTTATTTTTCCTGATTCTTTCCCTCATCCCACCCTCCCTTCTCCACTAAGCACCAGTGTGTGTTGTTCCCCTCTATGTGTCCATGTGTTCTCATCATTTAGCTCCCACTTATAAGTAAGAACATGTGGTATTTGGTTTTCTGTTCATGCATTAATTTGCTAAGGATAATTGCCCCTGATATTTCTAAGGTTTTCGTAAAACTACCAATGGAGGCCCATATACCATATGCTTAAATATTTAAAATGTATAAAGCTAATAAACAAATACATAATATATTTTCTCCTTCTACCTTGACAAGTATATCTTCATGATGACATAAAAGGCCAGGTTCAAATTGAGAATTCTTGGACTTTGTGGAGTTAATTTAGACTGTAATGTGAATGACAAATTTGAGGAAGTAGCTTTTAATGGGGAGGGGTGGAACCGTGTTACAGTGTCCTGATGAAAGACACAGAGAAGATATATGGAAACACTGGGACAAATATAGCACTTTGTAACTTTGTCAAATGCAGTTTTGCTGTACTACTTAGAATAAAAATGTCAGACACAGAAATACCTCTACAGATCTTTTTCCAGAGGTCTCTTTTGGGCCTCATTTAGGCTTTAAATGAGGCCTGCAGGTGTGTTTGGCCAACTCAAACCCTAGTCTTTCTTCCCATCCCCTCTCTCACTGCTTTGCTCTGGATGGCTCCAGGCAAATGAGAGAGCCCTGTCTTCCCCAAGCCCACACTGTGTTGTCCTGTTGTCCCTGGCTGCCTGGAGATTTTCTCTACCCTCTACTCCTTGTCAGATCTTCCAACCTTCTTTGCCTGTCCTACCACACTCAGTTTAAATAGAAAGAGGAAAGTCTTCTCCTTCAAGCTTTCCTTAGGCATCCCAGAATTGACTCCTTTCTCTTTGGATCACGTAAACTGCCCTGTGTCTCCCTACACTGCTTTATCCTGTTGATCTTTGAGTACTTGTCCTCTGTCATTACTAAACTGAGTGCTCCCAAGGTGGATATGTTGGCTCAGTCATCTTTGTATCCTTGGTATATCACTTTCTATAGTTCCAGGAGCATATTAATGTGCAGATAATGTGGTTTTGTTTTGTTTTGTTTTGTTTTTTGAGATGGCGTCTCCCTCTGTCGCCAGGGCTGGAGTGCAGTGGTACGATCTCGGGTCACTGCAACCTCCGCCTCCTGGGTTCAAGTGATTCTCCTGCCTCACCCTCCTGAGTAGCTGGGATTACAGGCATCCGCCACTACGCCCAGCTAATTTTTTGTGTTTTTAGTAGAGACGGGGTTTCACCATGTTGACCAGACTGGTCTCGAACTCCTAATCTCATGATTCGCCTGCCTCGGCCTCCCAAAGTTCTGGGATTACAGACGTGAGCCACCGTGCCTGGCCAATGTGTTTTAAATTAAAGATGAACAAGTAATGAAAATGAGCTTTTGACCTGAAGAACCTTCTCTGCTATTTGAGAAGATAATTCTGAAACACAAGACAATATGTAATTAGATCTTTGTTTCATCATCATTGTTGCTATCATGTGATTAAAGCTGGGTGACAATTCCTATGCTTGGGATTTTGAGGAGAAGATCTAGAGTGCTGCAGTGATGGAAAGCCTTCATAAAAGAATTGGGAATGAACTTAACCAACTTAAGGACAGAATATAGCACACAGTAATAATACTGGTAGCTAACGCTTACTGAAAAACATATTTTGTGCTAGACATTGTATCAAGTGCCTGATTGCATTTAATTCTCCTAATATTCCCATAGTAACTATTTTTATCCTCATTTAACTATTGAGGAAACAGAAGCTTTAGCCTTTGAGTCATTGACGACTATCCCAACATCAGGGTAGAGACAGAATTTGAACTGCTGTTCCATGTTCTTTCAGGAGTAAGTGCTGATAAACGGGAGGATAGGAATGGTTTGCTGAATGAATAAGTAATCAAATAATAGCTAATAGGAAGGCAAGCAAGGGGTGGGGATTCCAGTAAAAACTCAAGGCTATGGGAAGACTGGCTTTGAAGTCACAAAGTTTACAGTGGGAAGATTAGGGAGAGGAGTTTTATTCCCAACACAGGATGAAATGAAATGTGGATTATTTTTTAAACTTTTATTTAGTTTCAGGAGTACATGGGCAGGTTTGTTATATAGGTAAATTGCATGTCATCGGGGATTTGGTGTGCAGATTATTTCATCATCCAGGCAATCAGCATAATACCAAATAGGTACTTTTTTTTAATCCTTACTCTCCTCCCACCCTCCTCTCAAAAATTAGTCATTTTTAAGAGAAGAGTTGTTTTTTCACTTTGATTATAGTTCAATTTTATATTCTCCCTTGTATGTTATGATTTCATCAGGTTGGATTCCTCAGGTTACTCTTCTCATTGCCCAACAGTAATTGTTAACCTAAAGTTATGGCTTGAAAAAATAATTCCAACAAAAATTCACCAGACAATACTATAGGCAAGGAAACATTATTTGTTATCAGGGCTACTAGAAACTATTCTTCTTCAAATATATATTATTAGGTTTACCTAATCAATCATTTCTCCTTTCCTTTATAAATGCCCTACAAAATGCCTTGAATAGTGCTAAGGTCTTTTGTGAACATTAAGGATGTTACGGGATTTTTTTCCTAGGATTCTTTAAGTGTTTTTGGAAAGTAATACATCATATACAAATGGAGGTAAAACTTCAAGTTATAAGCAGTATTTTATTACACAAGGAGAGAAATGTATTGTTATTTCATTTTTCTAAGTTTGCCCTGTGGCTTCTTGTTACAGGGCATCTGGTTATTTCTGTCACTGTGTTCCACATTTCTGACAAATGACTTAACACATGTCTACTCTGAACACTACAAACTTGGAAAAGTAAACCCCACTTTAAGTTACCCACCACCTACCCATCCATCACCTGGGTAAGGCTGTGTGCCTCACAGTATCATCTCCTTCAGAGTCCTGCCAGAAGCTGGAATATGGAGCAGCACCAAGGGACAAGCAGATAAGGGTGTTGTAAAAGGTGTCAGTTGATAATGCATCTTAAACAATGCTAGTTTAATATCTCAAATCCATAAAATGATTCAGTTTTAGAGGAGGAATGTAATGTGCTTGTCAAAAAAATATATTGGCTTCGACTTAAAAAAAAGATTGTGACACTCTACATTATATGTTGTGGTGGTTATTAATATTTGTTCTTAATCTGAGACCAAGACTAAATAGAAAAAATCATAATAGTCAAATACATCTATCCAGGAAATGAGGGTGAATGCGGACATGGTGGGTGATAATTAAAGAGTAGAAAGGTAAAACAACTTTGGGGGAAAAAAAGGGAAAAATTGGAAGGGAAAAATAGGTATGCCTTGAATTCTTTATCAATATTAATAATAGCCAGCCTTTATTGAGGGCCAGGCACTGGTTTAAATGCTTTATAGATAATATTTTATTTAATCATCACAATAATCCTTAATTATTATCTCCCTTTTATAAATAAGAGGAGTCCGGCATGGAGAGATTGAATGGCTTATTTGACTCCCACGCAAGTCACTGTGTGCTGGCAGCCCCACCCTCCCCACTACACACCACTTTCTTAATGCTCCTTAGAGGAAAGTCAACTTCCTTAAAAGAAATGCACTACTACTGTCCTCTGCCGAAGGATCATTCACCCGTGTGGGTCACTCCCAAAAAAAGAAATGTGTGTTTGTGTCACCCCTAAAGGGCAGAAGCTATTTGGCATGGGAAAAAAACGTGAGCTAAGATCTCAAACGATGTAAATTTTTTAAAAATAAAAAACAGCACTTTTGCAATCTTGAAATCATAAATTCAAAATTTCTCCTATAAATAAAGAAACAAGTGCAGTATTCTCTTTTCTTCTTAGCAGCACCTCCTCCTCTCCATGCTTGGATCATAATATAGCTGTGTATATCCCATAGAGTGGGTCAAAAACAATAAATGACTATTTCCCCCAGATTAACTTTTTCCTTATCTTTAGTGGTTTTGCATTTTAAAAGTGTGAGAACTGTATATATACACTCACAGACCCACATTTGAGCTTCTTTCTCTATATTTTATAAAATTTACCTTTGGGGAAATCTTGTTATGAAAATTAGTATATGTTGCCCACATCTCATCTTCTACCCTTCCACTTACCCCTTTCCATACATATTTTAAAGGTAAGGTAGTAGAGCAATAACATAAACTTTCAAGAATTTCCCAGTGACTTTGAACTGAGGAAGAAGTAAGTTTGAATCACAGCTCTGCCCTTCCTAGCTCTGAGACCAAAAGAAACTTTCTGAACATCAGTTTTCTTGTCTGCTAAATGGGATTGTTGGGAGGAATATTTAAGAAAATAGACCGAGTGTGGTGGCTCATACCTGTAATCCCAGCACTTTAGGAGGCCCAGGAGGGTGGATTGCTTGAGCTCAGGAGTTTGATACCAGCCTGGGCAACATGGCGAGAACCTGTCTCTACTAAAAGTACAAAAAAAAAAAAAAATAGCCAGGA
The DNA here is from genome assembly GCF_000001405.40 of Homo sapiens. NCBI lineage: Eukaryota > Metazoa > Chordata > Mammalia > Primates > Hominidae > Homo > Homo sapiens. Next base: position 84,658,733 of record NC_000006.12, on the reverse strand, counting down.
GTGGTGGTGTGCACCTGTGGTCCCAGCTACTCCAGAGGCTAAGGTGGTAGGAGCTCTTTAATCCGGGGTGGCGTGGGAGTGGAGATTGCAGTGAGCTGAGATTGTGCCACAGCACTCCAGCCTGGGTGACAGAGCAAGACCCCATCTCAAAAAAATATATAATAATAATAATAAAAAGAAAACATAAAGAAAGTCTGCATATGCATGTACTCTGCACATAGAAGGTGCTTAATGCCTGATGATCCTTTATCACAAAGAAGTTACAAGCCAAATTGTATTTAAACCTCAACACCTCCACACATACAGGCTCCAGCTAAACCCCAAGAGAAACATTGTCCTATATAAAACAATGTCTTGGTGGGGAAAGGTTTTAATGATGTCTTCTAACAGTGCTTAAGCATTAAAATGTCTTTCTTCCAACAACTTTTTCCATTTCGTTATTGACAAATGCCACCTCCCAAGTGATGAGTAGGTAACACATGATCTATGAAAGAGCAGGCTCTCCATTTCTCTCACCACTACATTTCTTTGGAGGAGCGGGGTAATTAATATTGAGACACAGCCACTGCTTCAATCACCTGCATATCAATCAACTTCTGCAAGGCCAGAGTTCAATTAATTGATGTCACCCTGGAGGCACCGAAAGCAGTTAACAAGTCTCTAAACTTGGTGAAAAAACAAGCTGCAAGATCCAATCTCCCATAAATTCCCACTGCAGAGCTCCATCTCCTAATTCATCCTTCTATGCCAAATACCCCTCTGTTAATAAATACTTTGCAAGAATAACGCATGGAAGGCAGGTACTGAAAGGTCACAGCACATCAAAACGAAGGATTAGGACATAATACTTTTTATTTATGACTATTAGGAAATACCATTTTGTTTTAAATCTTATACCATAATCCATTTTTGAGAGAAAGCATGTCTTATCTGGGAAGTTTCGCAAAGTAACACCCTTTTCACCAACATGCATTTCAGTATTTTTTCAAAAGAGAAGAAGGTCAGTGCTCCTGTTGTTAAATATAATTTGTTGACAAGCTGGACCACAATGAGTCATGTATGATGGCCTTAGGTATTATGGGGAGGAAGTAGCCAGGAGACGATGTAGGGTGACAGTAGTGATGCTGGGATGAGGTAATATATGTTACTTGGTAAGGTGAGGGAAAACAAGTCAACCAATGCTGTTCTCTGGCCATTGACTCAGAAGCTTAATTCAAAGCAACTTGGCTGGGAATCTCTTTTTGATAGTCTCTCTGGAAACCTCCGAAGGGTCTGGAATTGTCTTGGGTCAGGCTGCAATAACAAAATACGGTATAAACCACAGAAATTTATTTATCACAGTTCTGGGTCCTGGAAAGACCAAGATCAAGGTGTTAGCCAATTTGGTTCCCTGGTGAAACTATCTTCCTGGCTTGCAAATAACCATCTTCTAGCCGTGTCCTCACATAGAGAAGAGAGAGGGAGGGAGAGAGAGAGAGAGAGAAGAGAGAGGGAGGGAGAGAGAGAGAGAGAGAGAGAGAGACAGAAAGAGCACTCTGGTCTTTCTACAAGAGCACTAATCTCATTATGGGGTCCCCACCCTCATGACCTCATCTAAACTCAATTACCTCCCAAAGCCCCCACTTTTGAATACCATCACATTGTGGGTTAGTGCTTCAACATACAGATTTTGGAAGGAGAGTACTAACATTCAGTACATAACAGGAGTTTGTGCTGCTTATGAAACAGAAAGGATGAAAGATGGCAGCCAAACTTTTCAGTGAGAGAATTTGCAGATGGCAGTTATGGGGAAAGAGAACGGTCAATTCAGTGCTTATGGTTCAGGAATGACATCATATTATTTCTTTATTTTCCATGAAACCAACAGGCATCTTCAGGAATAATAACCTTAATAAGACCCACCACAGTAACTACACGCAGTTAATGGGATTATCTCCACTTCTGTACCCAGGGGGAAACTGGGGAGCTTTTTGGGTCACCCTCTCATCTTCCAACCTGTTGTTTTTCTGGTCTCTGAAATATTTTGTTTATTGGCCTATGTGATATTTGCCTATCTGGCTCTCACCTGTGATGTAAGCCCCTTGAGATTAGGATTCACATTTTTTCTATTTTGAATTTCACCAGGTGCTCAGAGGCATAAATACTGGCATGCCAGTTTATATGGCAGTTCTTTTAGAATTTCTATATAGGTAACATATTTTACTTTTCAATTTGTATTTTAATTCTGTGCTTAGTTTAGGAGAGAATACTCCTCATAGAATCTGTCATCAATTTTGAAGCCACACTGTCACATAAACAAAACCAATTTTTCTAATCCCCAATAAAATAAACTCAAGTGCAAAAAAGTTCGGTGTGCTTCAGCTTATGCTGAAATGTATAAATACTTCTATGTCTCATAAAACACAGTGCTAGGCATTTTGTAAGCCATTTGGTTTTGGCATCATTCATTTTATTTTTAGTCTTTCATTTAGAGACAGATTTCTGAAAACTAATGCTATTATGTGATAGCTTTTATAAATCAGAGTCATGATATCACAAATCTATGGAGTTGTGAAATCTACAAAGTTCAACTGGGAGGGGTGAGTTGTATACTGACTTTTCATAACACTCTCTGGGCACCTCAGGGTTATATTCCATGTTCCCATTCTGGGCCCCACTGGGAAGGTCCTTCAGGACCGTTAATTTCATTCGTCATCTTTATAACATGCATTTTGTGAGTTTGACTGATATAAAACTTATTTTTTTCCATTTTTCTTTATTAGAAATTATGAGAGTATTTTACATACACAGGTTTATCTTGCATAATAACTGCTGGTTAGCCTTTCACTAAAGCAACTTTTGAAAGGTTGTATCATTTTCCCCTTTTCATTCAATTTTTTTCCTCGTTATAACTATTTTTCCCCAAAACTCACTTAATCATTATGATATAAGTCACGTATTCACATTATGTTTCAGGCAAAGATCCATTCACCAACTTACTTGATAACAGCAGTTTCTAATAAGAGTATCATATGGAATAAATTTGAATTGCCCTGTGTGGATGAACCCAAAGTATTTTTCTTTGCAAACATACATAAGATGAGTGGGATAAAAAGGTAGTATTTTCTATGGTTCTCTCAACCACTGTATGTGTGAGCTATTTCCATGTGTTTCAAAGCCTCCTGCTGTATAGCATCTATCTTGTTCTAAAGATGTGTTTGTGTTATAACTTGTGTGTGTGTGCATGTATGCACACGCGTGTGCCATAGGTAGATTGTTGCAGTAATGGTGCCCAGTTTCTTCAAACTTTCCTTTATCTACACCTTTGGGTGGTCTCCTTCCACTTCAGCAGAGCCTGACTGTATGACTTACTTTGGCCAATGGGAAAATAGCAAATTTAATGTAATCAGAGGCTTGAAAAGCACCTGTGCATTGGGGCTTGCCTTTCTTACTGCTTTGGAACCCTGACACCACCAGAGTGAGGAAGCCCAGGCCAGCCTCCTGGAGGAAGAGAGACACATGGAGCAGCGATAAACAATCCTAGCAGAGGTGCTCTAGACAAGTGGTTCTCAAAATGTGATCCCCAGATTAACAGCAGCAGTATCCCTTGTAAACTTGCTACAAATGCAAATTCTCCAGCCTCACCCCAATCCTACTGAATGGAAAGCTTTGGATGTAATGCCCAATAATCTATGTCTTAAGGAGCTCTCTAGGTAATCTTAATACATGTTCATGTCTGAGCATGAAGTCATAGAGCCCTCTGAGAACCACTTCTCTAGACCAACCAGACTGCCAATTGCCAAATACATAAGTGGGGCCATTCTAGACCTGGGGTAGGCAAGGCACACAGTCACAGCCATGTGTTTACATATTGCCAATGGCTGCTTTCACACTACAACAGCAGTGTTGAGTAGTTCTGACAGAGAAAACATGGCCTGAAAAGCCTAAAGTATTTACCATCTGGTACTTTATAGAAAAAGTTTGCCTACCACTGTCCTAGACCAACCACTTCCAGCTGTGTCACTGGCTAACAAGAGACATCAGCCAAGCTGACAAGGATTTTTAAAAACTAGCCCATCTAACCAACAGAATTCTGAAAATACAATAGTTTGTTGTTTTAAACCATTAAAATTTGGGATGTGTTTGTCTACATCAAAACATGCATTTTGAGTGCAAGACAACCAGGTGCCCAAATAAGGTTACCTGTCAGAAAGTTGATCACTAACTCTCACTGCCTTCTAGAAAATGGTTCCTTTGCCCTTCATCTCCAACCACCCACCCATGATCAAGGCTTCTCTTTGTTTGGTGAGTACAATAACCTTTCATCACATTTTAATGTTCAAATTATATTTATTTAATTTACAGTTATTATTATTTCTAGAAATTTAATCATTCATTTGATATATTTTGCTGTCTGTAAAAATCCTTTAGTATCTTGGATTCGAGTGGAACATATCATTTTAACCATTAAAACTAATGGAGATATTTGTGTAATTAAATGCCTTTCCCTTAGCAGTTGAGTTAGCAAAAATAAAGTTGTTAAAAATATAAAATCTTAGAAGAAATAGAAGGTGGTAGTGGTTATGTCTCTGTAGTGGGATTATGAATGCTTTTATTTTTTGTATGATTATATATTTTATTTTCTCATTTAAGTATTATTTTTAAATCAGGACTCCCACACTCCACAACAGATACTACTCATGTTACTTTTTCACTTGAATTTAGTCATGTCCTGTGTTCCGAAAAATATTGCATATATTTTACGATTTTAAATGACTAATGCCTGGGTTTATCTTTAGTACTTTATTATGTATTGAACTTGAGGTGTTTGTGGTGGGAGGAGGCCTAATTTGAGATATAAAATAGATAATTCCAAGTTGATTTCAGTCACAAAGCAGGCAACAGAAAGAACTGCCTCTTTGGTTTGGCCGTGCTATGGTCTGAATATTTGTGTCTCCCCAAAATCCATGTGTTAAAACCTGACCCCCAAGGTGATAGTGCTAAAAGGTAGAGCCCTTGGAGGTGATTAGGTCATGATTGCAGAGCCCTTGTGAATGGGATTAGTGCCCTTATAAAGGAGATTTGAGGGAGCCTTTTTGCCCTTTCCTCCATGTGAGACACATATCAGGTGCCATCTATGAGGAACGAGCTCTCACTAGACACTGAATATGCTGACTTTTTGATCCTGGACTTTTCAGTCTCCAAAACCATAAGCAATAAATTTCTCTGGTTTATAAGAACAGGTCTAAGGTATTTTGTTACAGAAGCCTGAATAGACTAAGGGAGGCCATTATACATGGCAATGATTGAGACTCTGAGACTCTGCCGTAGGGAGAAAGTGAAAAGAAAACATATTTCCTATTTGATAGTGTTCTCCAGATCCTATGAAAATAGAAAAGGAGGAAGTAGGTTTTAATGGGAATAGGAAGGTCATAAAGAAAGACATTTTGTGGGGAATGAAAGAGAAAGTTTAAGAACACTGCCAAGGTACGTTGAAAAATTCTCTTTTCTGTATCCTTTCAAATCTAGATGAGATCACCAACCAGCTGGTACTGTTTAGATGAAGAACTTGTTAGAGACAGAGATATGGGCAAAATGACCTGTTGAACCTTCCAGCCTTAGAGTTTTGTTAACATGAACTAGGAGTGTGAGATTTAACAAGTAAAGTTTTTCCTTTTGTTTCAGGTTAAATATATTGATTCCTGATTATTCAAAGATGTGCGTCAGTATTTGGGATTGGTTTGGATTTCCACTCATGGACAGATCCTAATAGTATAACCTGCAAGCATTCTGTGTGCAAGCTTTACTGGATAGATTGTTAATTGCATTTGCCAGCATGGCTCAAACGAGTCATGAATCTAATCAGAAGGCACGAGTCTATTTCAGAAAGTCCAGCTAGACCTTGTAAATTCTGGCAGCAGTAGTTGAGGTGTGATGCTAGAGGTTATATGAAAATACACTCTGTACCACTTTTAAAATGTATGAAAGTGAAAAAGAAACCATAAGTTTTTGACTAAATTAGAAAAAATATAAGTATTTTGTTCAGAGACCTATAAGATAAGGCAAGTCTACTTTGTTTTGTTAAGGCTATAGGATTTTTATGAGGCAGAAGATCTCATCAGTTTGCTAGTACCACAGATGGGGTTGCTTGGGACTGATTCAGAGAAAAATGTCTGGAATGGATCCAGATTTCAAGCGGGGGAAATAGCAGGAATTGCTTTCTTCTGACTATGTTCAGTGTTTTCAGTATAAATCACTTATCAGCCAGAGGTCCTTGTAACTTATGTACTAAGGTATTTTTTGTGTGTGGAAAAAACAGTAACAGGGGAAAAATTAACTAATCTCTTTAATAAAGCTCTGGTATTCAAAGTTCTTTTGGGCACAATTGCCAATATTTTCACCACCCAAGATGAGGTGAACTAGCAAGTCCATTGGGCCTCATGGTCTTATATTCTTACAACTGAGATGACAGCTGTCACTCACATGCAAAATCTCCTATTGCCATAATATCCCCTGTGTTATCACTGTGCTTGAAAATAAACAAATTCCAAACTGGAAGGGTTTGGCTTAATTAATAATAAGATTTTAGGGCTTTATACTGGTGTGAAATTACCCGGGGCTATTCCAAAAACACCCTAGACACTATCCTTCTTTTTCTGGAACTGATTTTTCTCAGGATTTCTCTTTGGCAGCTACTTAGGCTAAGATTGCTTGGGTGCTCTTTGGCCTGGAGAAGTCTATGTTTTGGTTGGTCTCATCTACCAAAAAAGGCCTCTTATCTCTGAAACTATTTCAACTCTTCCCAAGAATTTAGACCTAATAGTAGGGTGTCTTCTGACGACCTTACCTAAAGTACTAGAAGGGTGAATAAATCACTGTAGCAAGTGTCTGGTAGACACAGCCACATGCTTCTTGGGAGCCAACTGCTGCAGGTATTTGTCTCTAGCTGAAAGCAAAACCAAACTTGCTGATTGGCTGGGAAAGAAGGCAGGAAGCAGATAAGAACTTGACCTCAGGCTTGGTGTCCAGGAAGGGCCTTCATGATGGTGCCACACTGCTCTGAATGTTTCAGCTGATGGTAGGCATTTAGTCCTTGGCAGGTGTTCACCTACCCAGGCAAAACAAATCCCAGTGTCAGCTCTCTTTTGCATTGCATGCTGAAAAGTACTGTAGTAGATTTCACAGGAGGACTCTGTTCTCTGAACTGTAAAGAATAATTGGAATTATCTTAGGGGGAAGAAAAAAGAGAGGCCCTGAGAAAGAAGTTCATGAAAATGGAAGTGCTAGTTCTAGAAGAAATCTCAAATCTTATGTTTTGTTTAATATGCCATACTTGCCTCATAATGGGTGGAGAGTAGAACTGTGGCCCAGGTAGACATGACGTCCTCCTCATCATAGGAATTGTTTTTTAAACATCCCCTATTTGCAAGGAACTTTGGTAACAGAAAGTTGTGAGAACCAGTCCCAGTTCTCAAGGAAACAGACTAGAGGAGGATGGCTAACAACAGTGGAAGCTGGAAGGAAAAATGGAATTGGACAAGGCAGGAATCGGTGAGCTCTTAATATGTGAGACCATGTTTCTCTCAAGCAGAGAGAAGGCAGTTTAAGTGTGAGTTTAAAAAGTGCCCATAAAACTTATGGTTTTATTCTTTGTTTTATTCTGCCTTTAATTTTAAGGAAAATTACCTGTGTGGACTATGATGGCAGAGAAAGGTGATTATTGATTCATTTACTGAATAACCCTTTGGTTTTCACATTTGAGTGGTGTTAGAATAGGAAAATAGAACAAAGTCCACATAACCTGACTTAGTTTTCAGGAATCTGTTATTAGAATATTTGAGTTTAACTGGCTTATGCAATTAATTTCCTCTGCTTTTAATGACTTAAAAATTCTTCAGATGCACTGTCTTTTACATTTTTATTCTCGATGACATACTGTATTACATTGGTCTACTCTAAATCCCATCTGGACTGAGTCAAGAGGGGTTCCATATGAGTGGATCAATTATTCATTACATATTGAAAATGGCTACTTTATATGAATGCTGCAGCCCTATAAGTCCTGCATAAAATTTAAATGATTCTATTGACTCCTAATTAGCAATTACTTTTATCAAAAGGAGGATTACAAAAGATATATGCTATAGTCTGAATGTTTGCATTCCTCCGTTATTTATATGTTGAAAGCTAATCAGAAATGTGGGTGGTAGGGCCTTTGGAAGGTGATTAGGTCATGAGGGTGGAGCCCTCATTAATGGAATTAGTGTCCTTATAACAAAGGCCCCAGGCAGCTGCCTTGTTGTTTTCCACTATGTGAGGACACAGTGAGAAGACACCATCTGTGAACTAGGAAGCAGGCCCTCCCCAGACACTGAATCTGCTAGCAGCTTGATCTTGTACTTTTTAGACTCCAGAACTGAGAGAAAGAAATTTCTGTTGTTTGTAAGCTATCAAACAGGCTGACAATGAGCAACTAATTATATCTTGATAAACTGTGGAGTGTTCTTCACAGGCTGTCTATCTCCTAATTCTGTTTCAATCTTTATGTATTAAATAGAGTGACTTCAGTAGGACAAGGTAATGCTCATGCAGGCATATCAGTTAGAGTTTGATAAGGGAAATAGGACAACTCTGAGTGACAGAGAATTAGAAATTCATTATAGAGAATAGAGCTCATGCAATCATGGGAGATGGTGAAGAATAGCATGGAAAACAATTGCCTTGGCATCTGGTGTGGGCCTAACATCACTGCAGGCCAGCAGGGCCATCTGTTGGGACAAAAATCCAGATGTGAAGTGGAGGAGAGCAAGGAAATTCTGGAACCAGTGAAGACAAACTAGATATTTTTCAGGCAAATTGGAATCTGTACCCATCTCTCACCACTGCTGTCTTAGTCTGCTTGGGCTGCTATAACAAAATACCACAGACTGAGTAGTTTATAAACAGCAATATATTCCTACAGACCAGAAGGCTGGGAAGTCCAGTTCAAGGTCCCAACAATTGGGTGTCTGGTGAGGGGCCCATTCCTGGTTCATAGGTGGCAACTTCTCTTTGTGTATGCACATGGTAGAAGAAAAAAAGGCAGCTCTCTGGGGTCTCTTTCATAAGGGCAGTAATACCATTCACAAGCGTTCCACCCTCATGATCTATTTCCTTCCTTAAGGCCCCATTCCTAATATCATCTTCTTGGGGTATTAGGGGTGAGAATTCTTTATGGGTTAGAATTCCAACATATGAATTTTGTGGGGAAACAAACATTCAGACACTGCCAACCTTCAACCTCCATGCCTAGGAGGCTTGCAGAAGAAGCCAGTGCTCTTCACCGTGCAGCTGTACATGCGGTGGGCCCGTAACTTGGATAAATTGTAGGAGGATATTCAGCAGGGGGAACCGTGGGCCTGGCTGCTGCCCCAACATGACAAGGTGAACAAGCACACGGGTGACAACAGAGGCAAGTTACAACAGCATGTGGCTCTCCCCTAACCTTCAGGGTGTAACACCTGTTGCACTTTCATCTTCCAAATCTGCTGCAAAAGTCTCTTGTGGCCCTGCCTTAATGAGGACCCATATAGCATAGGAATTTGGGGACATCTAGTTACAGCTTAGCTAAATTGACCCCGTACAAAACGTCTACCATAGATTAAGAATGTCTTGTGAAGACGCAGTGACTCATTTATATGTTTTGGTGAAGAGGTCAAAGCTAAACACATGTACAAACATGTAAACTTGCTGTTCTCACTAAATGTCAGTCATAGTGAAAGAATAACTGATTTTAGTAGACATGTGTTAATGGTATTTTTGTTTTAAAAAGTGTCGCTTGATTTACCTGCAACACAGAGCCAGAGTTATGTTCCTTAGATTCATAATTCTATCCTAAAATAAAATTATAAGAGACTTCAAAAACTCATTTTGATCACTCCTTTGTCTCCTGTGCTGAGTCAGATCACACTCCATTCATTTATTTAACAAACATGTGTTGATCTACAATTGTGCTGCATTTGAAAGCTAAGTATAGTACCCATCCTTACCCAAGAGGTAAGTCATTCATTATAATACTTCCTGAGATGTGCTTACCTGAAGTACAGCACCAGTACTCTAGGGGTCTCTGGGAGAGCTGCTTTGGAGACATGACTCTAAGCTTAAATCAGGCATTGACTGAGAAATAAAATTTTACTTTGAGATGACCCTGAAAGGCAAGTCAGCAAGGCTATAATGTGCATGAATCTGAAACTTTCACTAACTCCAACCTACTCTTTCTGACTTTAGAATGACACTCAGAAGGGGAGACACCCATCACCTTCACTGGAAACAGCAAAGGAAATAAAATAAATAACATTTGGGCTCTCCTTACAGGCAGTAATCAGTACTAACCAGAATGGAGGTTAATGTATTGCCGTTTAGAAAGTCAGAGTTGATGTTCTGAGTCAGACCATTCCTAAAAGTGATAATCAGAAAAACTGCTTAACGTCTGCAACAAAAGCAGGTAAGATCAGTTGACCAGTTGACTGTATTATGCCAAGACTCACAGGGTGTCATATAACTTGGTGACCATCTCAGATCTAGGATCTAGTCCACAGCTCTGCAATTTAAAGGTCTTGGTTTTATCATTTCTACAGTAGGGATCAGGCTGTCATGAATTGTTTGTCTCAAGACATAGAAGAATTGACTCATAAACCCAATATCAAATTATAAATCTAAAGGTTTTTAATGAGCTTCAAATATGAATAAATGGAATTGGATATTCTTTAGAGATTTGTATCGTGATTGATCATTACACTTCTTTACTGTAGAAACATTTGCTTTTATCTAAAATATATTATGGGCCATTTGGAAACAGAATGCCCTCACTCTCAATATCCGTCCTCAATTGGGAATTATAGAAGAGAATTGCGTTGTGTGCTGACCCACTGATTCTGTGCATGAATAATTGTAGGGTTATATCCTGCTCACAAAATCAAGTACATATCAATAAATTGCATATGAGGGAATTTTTATCTGATGGTTGAGAATGAGAAGGGAGTACTGGAAGTCTGAAGAAAGCAGAGAAGTTTTTATATAGTCATTATAGAGAACAGAGGGTGAACTGACCAAGAATGGTGATGCCAGGATGGCGCAGGAGGTCGGTAGTCTTGAACTGGTCTGCTTCTTTAAGAACTATTCTATGTCTGTCTGCAGGTGCACAGAGAAGGGAGGAGATCGTATTCACCCAGGGTTGGGTTTTGCTAGGCAAGCTGGTACAAAGAGATGAAGGATGGTTGGGAGCTCTGATCCACCTCCTAGATAAACTTTATCTTTGAAACTCTGAGGAGTTAATTCATAGCATCTTAACAAACATAAATCCAAACATTAATTCCAACAAAATGAAGCTTCCTTTTTCTCTAACTGTTGGACCAATTTTAAATGCCATTTTAAAAAAACTAAGTGCAAAGATTTCCAGTGCTGAGATTACTTAATTGTGAAGATACTTCGATTTTGTAGAAAAAACATTCTCAAAATCAATGCTTTCTAGTAGATCTAGCCATTTTATGACTTGGGCCTCCTTAAGGAACTGAAGAAAACTGCATCCATGTAAACATTTACAAAAATTTCTGAACAATTTCAATGATGAAGTCCAAATCAAGAATGCACCAAGCACTTTAATAAAATTAGTTGGTATTTTTGTCCCTTAACATTTACTGCTCCTCCAATAGTACGCCAATTCCATTTTGTGTCTTGGTGGGGAAGTAAAGCAAGATACCCTGACTTCCTCTAACCAAGAGGGAGTCATATAGTCCAAACTAGACCAATCAGATTTTTTTCTCCCTAACTGATCAATCATTAGCCAAATTGCAAAGATGATGGAGGAGGTGAGTGAGGGGTAAAATGGCTAAAAGGCATTCACTTTTTACTGTTAGTAAAGAAAATTTATCTATGTCAGATAGTTGAGCACTTCCTTTTGACTAAATGCCAGTGCCATCCTGTGCTTGTTCTAGTTCCTATCCTGTTTCTGAGCCTTATCCTCTGGCCTTTCAAACTTTTTTCTCAACTGCCCACTGTCTCTTCAATAAATTTTATTTCATATATTAGCCAAATTTGTTAATTGTTGCTTAATAGTAAACAACACCAGGATAATCTGACCCAATTCAAACTCTATATGTCAACAATGTAACTTTGATGGGGGAAGAGCTCAGATGATTGATCTTTATTCAGAAGAATGATTTTGTATTTAATTTTCATATGTAGCAAAAACTCAGTCTTCCTTAACTTGGCCTCTTGATAAGAGCCATCTGGTAGGTCTCAACGTATATGTTCCTCTTGCAAAGGTGTATGCACATTCCTTGGTGTTCTAGTTCCACAGAGCATATTTCTCAATTTTATTTTATACAGATAGCTATTATAAACATTTTAGGATTTGAATATAAATGTTGGCGGTAATTCTAATAAGATTCCAACCACAGGAAAATTGGACTGGGAAGATTTTTTTCCTACAAGCATATGATGAACTTTTCATTTATCACTAGCCAGAGATCAATGAAATAATTAATGTCTTTTGATTTAGATTCTTTAGACTGGATTCAAAGTGAATGCTAAACTTATTAGTTGAGTCTAATGGTAGGTACAAAAGACTGGAATGGCAAGATACAAGATAAGGATAGTGGACGTATATAAAAGCCTTCTCTAATTTCTTTAGTTACTTTCTATTAAGCTTTTTGTTGTAATGGATACCAGAAGGCCATTAGAAGTTTGAAATGAGTCACGACTGTTCCATGCATGAGCAATGTGTCTTGGCCAGAATGACAATACAATTGGGAAGACAAGAGAGACTAGAAAAGGAAGCAAACAACTTCCTAAGCTCACTCATATTAATAAAATATTATTGAATTCATTCCATCTTAATTAGCTGGTCATATACAACTCATATAGGTTAGACTGAAAGTTAGTCTACTTTATATTTTAAAATGACTGTGCTTTATCGTTCCCAAATTGCAAAAGCAAAGGTTTGCCAGATAACCCATCAAGCTCTGTGCCAAGCTTCCTCTAAGCAAACCACAGACCTGATTCTGCTGATCTATATCATTGGCGAAGAATAAGTGGACTTCTGATCTTTTAAGTTTCTCAAAAGATCCATTTGAATATGTGTCTATTATCAAAAACCACCCCAATCTTTTTTTTGTAAACATATGGAGCATAAATAACAAAAACTAATTTTAAAAAATTTTTCAGCTCACCTATTTCTAAATTTAGTTAAAACCACCTTATGTTTGCAGTTCTTCCTTGCGATTTCCAAGTCTATACATTACTTTTCAAAGATAACAGTGTTGATTGTTTCCTAATGGCATGGAGGAAAGTAGCAAACCTCTTTAGGAAACTAACTCAGAACCTTACCAAAATTCTGAGAAATCCAGGCATGTGCCTAGTTCCTCATATGTTTCTAGCATAGAAAGTGGCAGCTTCTGATCTTGTCCCTAATGTGTAAAGAATGTTTCAATACTTTTGTTGAAGATGAAGGAGAAGAGAAATTTTGCAAAAATGTCTGTTGTAAAATGCCTGGAATAAGAGAACTGGCATTAAGTGCTAAGAAGTATGAGTCAGAAACAATCATTCATTTCCTCATTTGGTAAACAAACATTGAATGCCTGCCCTATACCAAGCAGTCCCTCCAGTGAGGAATTCAATGATTAAGAAGTAAGTGAACAATTACAATATAATATACTAAGTTGTGCTGGGGAAAGCAGGTGCTGCAGGAGCTCAGAGAAGGAGCAGGACTCAGGTGTTCATAACTAACATAGGAAAGATTTAATCAAGTAGCAATCTGTGAGTTCAACTTATGGGAAAATATAGTGAGCAGGCACTACCAAACTACAAAGATGAAACCCAAGGAACCATCGTCAAAAAGAACTCCCAGAGAGGGAGGGAGAAATGGATGCATGTTGAGTGGCAAAGATGCAAGTGAAGGCAAAAAGGATAAACAGCAGTTCTGCAGCTTTATTTCTTGGGAGAATCTGGGAAGCTTGTTTAAAATTCAGGTTCCTGGGTCCCATGCCTAAGACTGTGATACAATAGGTCTGGGGAAATATCAGGGAAGCTGCATTTTTAAGAAGCATCCCGTATAATTCTGATTCAGGCAGTGCCTTCCGACCACACTTTGAGAAGCACTTTGTATAGTCGTAAGTCTCTGTCACAGTGTGGTCCCTTCTGCCTGCTCACTTCGTCCAGATCTTTCTGAGGACAATATTACTAGATTTTTCTCAGCATTGAAGCGAACTGGTATTCTATAAATTTCAACTAAACAGATGCTTTTATTTATTTTTTTTAAATCAAGCATTTTGAAAACATAATGTGTTGGGGACCAAGGCTGCTGCTCAGCACTTCCTCTCTGCCATTCCCACCTTGCCCTGTTCTTGGAGAGCAGGCTCTGGATGCCAGGTTCAGTGTAGCCTAAGTGTGAGCTACTCCCTCAGTAATGTGGATGCTATTGGCAGCATAGCAAGTATAACCTTTGTCTAGAGAATCCATTTCTTAGCTCATATCCCCTCTTCCCCAGGTACCTTTCATGACCCCTATGGAACATGTGAAAATCCCTCTGCAAGCAAAGTAAACTCACATCCTGGCTTTGATTGAGAATTAGACCAACAGAAGGCATACTGTGCAGCACTAGCTTCCCATAGCAAGGATGGATCCTAAGGTGTGATTTATAGTAACACCACTCTCTTCTGTAGTTTACAGACCTCTTTCCCTGAGCAGTGAGTTAAACATGTCTTATTAACACTGGCAATTTTAGCACTTCCTTCCTCATGTCGTAACAGCTACTTCTATAAGGATTCTTGTTAAGAAACAACGCCCAGATATTGACAGACTGCAGAATTTTGCTGCAGGCTTTCCCAGGGCTGTCCACTAATTACTCTGGTCTAGTAAACTTGGTGAAGCCCAAGATTCAAATACATTTTAAAACATATCGCTTTTTAAATGTGTGTTTTTGAATGAATCAGTTTTATATTTTAAGACACTGCATTTTTAAAAAATTATGAATCATTATAAACACACATACAATGAGAATTACATAATAAACCTTCTTAGACTCATTACCAAAATTTAAAAATTATCAAGATTTTCCATTTTACTTCTATTGTTTGTTTGTTTTCCTGAAGTATTTGAAAAGAAATCCTACCTCCAATGTCATTTGATCTTTAAATATGCTGACCATTTCTCTAGAAAAATGGGGATTTTCCTACCTACTTAACAGTGTCAATATTACCTTTATCAACAATAATTCGTTGATGTCATCTTGTGCCTGGTCCACAGCACTTTTCCTGAAATGTCTCAAAATATCTTTTTCCAATTGTTGTTTGGTTTATATCAGATAATAGTAAGATCCACACATTCACTTTGTGAATAATTCTGGAATTGGGTTTATGAAAGTGACCAATCAAATCATAAAGTTTTATTTTTCTGAAACAAGCACACAGTATGGCACTGGTTCTTTCTGTTATCTTCCTTCTTTCCTCCCACAAATCTTGGGAGCAAAAAAGTCAACCTCTTTTTTCTCAGGCCATCTTGCATATCATGTTTGTGAGGCTTAAACACAAGAGTAATATGAAGTCAAACCAAATCAGCTTCACAGAGATTCCCTGAACCTCCATTGCAGCTTTTACGATGAAAATGGAAAGAGCTTTTTGTCAGCTCTGCATCCGGTGACAAAGCTTAGCAGTGATACCCCACACCCTTCCTCCTGCAATGCATTTCTGCACAATATAGTGATGGGGCAATAGAAGCCCAGTGTTCTGTTAGGCTATAGTCTCCAGAAAACCCCATGGCCTGCCATCCTATTCCAACATTTCTAGTTAAGGCTACTCTTCCAGAGGGATACAGTACAAAGATTTTGGAGTCAGTTTCCCTAATTCAAACATTAACTCTGTCCCCACTAACTGTACTAGCAAATTAGTTAACATTTTGATCTTCAATGTCCATATCTGTAAAGTGGGTATAATAATGCCTATATTAGAGGGAAATTTGTGGGGATAAAATGGGATAACATATGACCCACCATGATGCATTCCATGTCATAAGCACTTAAATGATACTTTCCTCCTCTGCCTCTCCTTCTTAAAGTGTTAAATAAATAGAAAGCCTTTGACAACATCTTACAAAGTGTGTTTTGTGGTCCTTCCTACTTTGGAATACTTTCCTGGAGGCGTTCTTCTTCACTAGTTCTTTCCTTCAGTCAAGTTATCCTAACTGGGCAAAATTGACATGTAAATGGGACGGCTGTTGCTGGTTTGAGGAGATAATAAATGTAAGCGTGTGGATGGTTTAGAGACAATTTACGTGCTGGTTTAGCAGGCAAGCCTCTCGAGGCCTCTTTATATCCACACTGGCCAACTGCAGCTTAATCTGACAAGGATAATGTGCAGAATGTAAATATTACCATTTGTTCCATGTCATCTCAGATCAGACACTAATTTGCAAATGTAATTTATCATGTCTAAAGAAAACCAAAATGACAGCTCTTACCAGTATTTGGTATTTTTTGTGTTAACAATAGTTCATTTATGATTGTTATTGTTTCAGGCAGAAAATATGTCTCAATGTGTTCAGCTGGCAATGTGGGCTTTTATATTGCAACCCTCTCCCAGGCCTTGTTCTCCCCTCCCTTGTTGCATGTTTTTACCTAGGCTGGTCTTCAGATTGTTTGCCCCTCTTCTCCACACTTCTCAAATAGCTAAAAGAAATGTTCTGATAATAATCCAAGTTCTGGCATCTGTTTTGGGAGTAGACTGAAGGGGCAATGTGAAGATTGAGGACTACATTTGATCTAAAGTGGATTTTGTCTGTTTTTACTCAGGGTCTCCCTCACAAAGAAAATGCCCAAATGCAGCAAAAATTATTGAAAATCCAGTTAAAGCTATATTATAGATGAGCTCAGACTGGCCAATTTGTGACACTCAACTTCAAGGACTTTCTAACCCTAGGTTTCCCAAGAAGCCAAGACACCCAAATTGTCTACTCCTTATGGATCTGTCCCCAAAGCAAAACCATCTGTCTGTGCCAAAAAAGAGTTTGCTAGGCCTTTAAAAATATTAAAGGGGTTCCCATTAGTTCACAAGTTGTTATTCTTTCTTCCTTTCCTCATGACTCTTCTAAGGTTGGCAGAAGATTCTATTTTGGCAAGTTGATCATCCCTTTTATCTTTGTAAGACCACTGCAGTGCACTGCCCAGCAAGCCGTAGAAAGATCAATATATCTTCGCGTGACTGCCGGTGAGGTAGGCGGATGCCAGGAAAGAGGCAAGGAGCAAATCATCATAGCTCTGGCGGTCCTCATTTCAGAAGGGAGACCTGCCAATCCCAGTAAAACACTCATGACATTTTAGAAGAGCTACAGGATCTTTCTGCCTCATTTCTCACATGGAAAAATAGGGAGAGTCAAGTATCCCCAGCTGGAAGGAATAGGTTTTTGTTTATCTTTAATTGAAAACAACATTCCACCAGGGAAGTTACACTGGGTCTTGTGCTTCTCCCAGTGGTGAATGGCGCAGGAGATAAGAATAGAACGTGTCCGGAGGGGCCCTGGCCTGTAGATAACTCTTTTGTCATCTTGATTGGAAAAGCTTGTACAGCTGCTTTGATTCAGTAAAGCTAAATTTCTAAGATTTCCTTGACCTTTGCTTAAACTGAGTTTGAGACAGACTATTTTTCTTATCGCCTGATGAGCTAAACTGAGCTAATAAATTATTCACAGTGTGAATAAATCATTAAAAGTGCAAGATAACTTATGAAGAGTTCTGAGCTGAGAATTATCACCTGGTTGATGGCAACAATATAAGTATTGTTCAAGGAGCCAGAAGTTGGATTTTGCATATTTTGAGTGAGCTCCTTAACTGCTGTGGTCCAAATGCATGTTCCAGACATATATTTGGAAGGCTCACTAGTATTAACACAACTTGTGTGAAGCTCTTGTGAGTCTTTGCATGAAAAGTCTTAGTTTTGAAGTAGACTGAATTTTATTTCTGAACATCAATGGCTATAGGGGCTTTCCTTCTTTCCTTACAGTCTTGAGCGGTTTTTGAAATGCAGCAGACATTACCACCACAACCAACAATAACTGACAAAAACAAAAACAAAAAAAACCTCCACATAGCTTCAGAAGTCAAAGATTCAGGAGCTGTGGTGAAATGCAGATAATAGTAAAATATAAGAGACTACCACTTTACATCTATGTCATCATAATTGAAAGTAAGTCTCTTTATAAGCCTTAGAAAAGTAGCCTGATGTAATGGATATGATCCCAAATCCACTTGCATGTCTGTGATTTGTGCCATTAATTATGTATTTAACCTTGTTAAAAGAAGTATGTTACATAGTCTTCCTGATTTATGATTATTTGTTAGACATATATTACTCTCCATTATGTGAAAATACAACAAAACTTAAACCTCCAAACTACAAAATTTCTCTTAAAGAACTATATTACATTCTAATAATTTTACAAATATAGAATTCCTTCATAGTTTCTTAATTCCCACAATAAACTTTGGATATCTGTCCCTCATTTTCCTTATCTGTAAAATGAAGATAAAAATAATATCTACCTCATAGGATTGTCTTGAAATTTGTACAGCACTTAGAATAATGTGTCTAACATATTAAGCACTATATATATGTTAGTAATTATATTATTATTTATGCTGTACCCAGTAATATTGCTGTGGGTGGGCAGAGGATGCAGATATTTAAAAAGCATGAATTATGAGTAGTTTTCGCTGTGACCTAGCTGGGGAAGGATACCAACAAGTATGAAATATAAAGATTAAGACCTGGAACCAGGTGAGTATTATATAAGAGCAGAGACAACACCTGGAAGTGGGGAAATTACTCTGAGTTGGTTTATTTAGGAAAGGCCTTTAGAAGGAAACCATAAGACTTTTTCTAAGGCCTGGTTGAAGAGGAGAAACCAAGGTCACTGCAGATGTGGTAACACAGGATCCATGGTTTGAAATCAAAGCTAAACATGGCATTTGTAAGGTCAGAAAGAGAAGCCTTAGTTGAGTGAAGAGTGCATTGGGGTTGTGAGTGTGGGTCAGGCTACGAAGTAGTGGCAAAGAAGATTCTCTGGATAAACATATTGTGAGACTTCCCATGCCATCTTGAGGAATTTGGATTTTAGCCCCAAGGCATGGAAAGCTATTAGAGAATTTTGAACAGG
Organism: Homo sapiens; assembly: GCF_000001405.40. Taxonomy (NCBI): domain Eukaryota; kingdom Metazoa; phylum Chordata; class Mammalia; order Primates; family Hominidae; genus Homo; species Homo sapiens. The sequence goes on along the minus strand of NC_000006.12, from coordinate 84,639,572 downwards.
AAAGTACCCAGATAATAGTAATCCTGTAAGAATGCTGTTGTGTAAAATGAGAGACGCTTGAGGAAAGTGAAAATTTGGATACAGAAGTCAAGGCACAAAGGGATTAAAGTTTGGAATGTAGAAATGATATGGGACTAATTACAACCGATTTTCTAAAAATTGCATATGTATGTCTTTAAGGTCATCCTGTAAATTAGATAAATTATCATCCACATCTTACTGAAGTCAAACAGCTTCAGGTAGAGAAGACTTAGATGACAAAGTTACACTTGAACTTATTTATTAAATATGTATTGCGTGCCTGCCATGTCCAGGTTATGTTATAGCCACTGATGAAATAGAATGAAGAAGATTTACAAACTTCAAGAAAATTTATAGTGTGAGCATAGACAATGGGCATTTGGGAAATGCTTGTAGAATTGAATAAAAGAATAAATGAAGAGATCATATTACTTATAATATTTTGAAATGATTCCATATGAAAAATAACAAAAATATGCCTTTAGGCTTTTAATTCAATGAGGTTGCACACTTTATTCTTAGTTCTAGCTAATTCAAACGACCATAGGTCAAGTGTATCTGAATAGCCACTTGGAGAATATGTTATTTTCTATTGCTATCATAACAAATTACGACAAACTTTGTGGATTAAAATATTACAAAAGTATTATCCCAGAATTCCGTAGATCAGGAGTCCAATATGGATCTCATGGGACTAAAAACTAGGTGTTGTTGGTGAGGCTGCATTCCTTTCTGGAGACTCCTTGTTCATTCAAATTATTGGCTGAATTTAGTTCCTTGTGATTGCAGGACTGAGTTACTTTCTACAACCTGGACGTCAGCTGAGGGCTGTTCCTAGCTTCTAGAGGCCATCACATTCCTTGGCTCATGGCTCCCTTTTGTCAACTTCAAAGCCAGCAATGTCAGGTTGTCCTTCTCACTCTTTGAGTCTCTTCTGCCTCTGCATCCACCACACCTCTCTCACTGACTGATTTTTCCACATTTAAGGATTCATGTGATTGCACTGGATGTGTCCAGATAGTCCAGGATAATCTTTCTATTTTAAGGTCATCTGATTAGTAATCTTACTAGCATCTGCTCAGTCCCTTTAACCTCGTGTAGTCACAAGTTCTGAGGCTTAGCGTGTGACCATTTTTGAGGAGGGCCATTATTCTGTCTTCTACAGAGAGGAATGAAGCACTATATTTAAAAGTTTAGATTAGATGTTAGACACTTCTCTCATTCAGGATTGCTGAAGGCATGTTTCTTAACTTCGTTTCCTTTTCCCATTCATACACTATATCATATTTAAAGGAGAAAAAAACACAGAAGTACATATTGCAAGAAATGCTACAAATATTGAGGCATAAGGACCAGGCAGAATGCCTTTGCATATGAGAAGTTTTACACATTCAGGTGATGCATTTGTTCATTGCAAATGATATTTTCTGCTAAATTCATGATTTTGTACTGTTCATTTTGGAAATAAACAAAGAAGAGCCTTCCTCTCAAATTTCCAGTGTGCTAGATGAGATTAATTGGGCAGACAAATTACTATAATACAAGAAAACCCTTCCTACGATGTGCTACCATAATGGAAGTACAAAATACTGGGAAGAATAAAGGACAGAGGGATTATCTTTCATCTGAGAAACCAGAGATTAATTCATGGCATTTGAGTACTGAGAAGCAGGTAAGAAAACAGGCAGAGAAGGGAAGAGGCACTTATTTAGAGTAAGGGATGGCTAAATAAAGTTCAGAGCTGGGAGACGAGTGTGTATCTTTAAGTACTTGGAATTCTTTCAGACTGAAATAAAGCATAGGTAAAAAGGTTTATTTGGATAAAAAATGAAGTGTTATACAGATTAAAAAAAAATACCACAAAGGGTCACATTTTTCAGAAACAGGACTTTGGACTTTTTTTCTGGAGAGAATGGGGAGACATCAAATGCATATTAACAGAGGAAGGCAAGATCAGTGTCATACATCAAAAAGTGATTTGTGCCCATAACAGGTGAAATAGAGAGGAGTAAGTTTGGAAGTGAGGAGAGCCACCAGAAAGTGCTGGTAATAGAATAGAGATAATAAATCACATGCTAACTAAAGTAGAGATGGTATGAATGTAAGTAAAGGGGAAATGAGAGGGGCACTGAGGACATAGAACCTAAAGGAATGTGACAGGGATTAGATGTGAAAAAGTGAGAAAAATATGAGTTATAAGGTTTAGAGCCTTGGCAGGAGGCTCTAGAAGAGCGTAGGTACCATGAATAGAAAGAGCAATCTACTCATATGACAAAGGGCTAATATCCAGAATCTACAATGAACTCAAACAAATTTATAAGAAAAAAACAAACAACCCCATCAAATAGTGGGCGAAGGATATGTACAGACACTTCTCAAAAGAAGACATTTATGCAGCCAAAAGACACGTGAAAAAATGCTCACCATCAGGGCCATCAGAGAAATGCAAATCAAAACCACAATGAGATACCATCTCACACCAGTTAGAATGGCGATCACTAAAAAGTCAGGAAACAACAGGTGCTTGAGAGGATGTGGAGAAATAGGAACACTTTTACACTGTTGGTGGGACTGTAAACTAGTTCAACCATTGTGGAAGTCAGTGTGGTGATTCCTCAGGGATCTTGAACTAGAAATACCATTTGACCCAGCAATCCCATTACTGGGTATATACCCAAAGTATTATAAATCATGCTGCTATAAAGACACATACACATGTATGTTTATTGTGGCACTATTCACAATAGCAAGGACTTGGAACCAACCCAAATGTCTGACAGTGATAGACTGGATTAAGAAAATGTGGCACATATACACCATGGAATACTATGCAGCCATAAAAAATGATGAGTTCATGTCCTTTGTAGGGACATGGATGAAGCTGGAAACCATCAGCAAACTATTGCAAGGACAAAAAACCAAACACGCATGTTCTCACTCATAGGTGGGAATTGAACCATGAGAACACATGGACACAGGAAAGGGAACATCACACACCGGGGTGGGGGGAGGGGGAGGGATAGCTTTAGGAGATATGCCTAATGTTAAAAGACGAGTTAATGCGTGCAGCACACCAACATGGCACTTGTATACATATGTAACTAACCTGCACGTTGTGCACATGTACCCTAGAACTTAAAGTATAAATATATATATAATCACACAATAAAAAAAAAAAAGAAAGAGTGAAGCCAGGTAGAGAAGAAGGTTGGGGTGGAGGGACAGAGATGGTGAGGTTGGTTTTTATCTGTTAAGTCTGAAAAGTTGGCAGAAAATTCCAGTGGAACTGCTAAAGTAAGAGAAAGTCCCAACAAAGATGAGACAAGGGTCAAGAAGAAGGATGTCCACAGTTAAAGATGAGAACAAACCGATGGCCAAAGAAGATGGAAGAGATTCACAGTAGACATAATGGCATGGGAAGATTTAAGAAAAAAACCTTGACTAAGATGTTGGGAAGCCCCTGAAGAGAAGAGCAGACGTTGAGATTCAATATCTACTTCTATTCGGTAATTATAACTCACCTTGTCATTGGCAGAAGCCCTTGGTGGAGGAGTAGAGTCAAGATGTAAGACTGAGTTAAGGAATAATTTTTGTTGCTGTTGGGGAAACATTCTAAGAATAGAATTTAGCTGAACAAAATGGGGGAAAGCCCATGTAGAATACTAAAAATACCATGGCAAGTTGTTTGATTCCAATAAGGGCAAAGTGGGAGATTTTAACTCCTTAAATTTATTTACCTTAAAATGACATCTTAAATTATCAAGAAGGTTGGGTACATTTTTTGTTTTAGACTAAAAATTCCAGCAGTCGGAATCATATGTATGCACATCTCCAATATATATCCTATTTTTAAGTAACTTGAATTATACATAAGGTTTTTACATTCCAGCCAGGGTTAATGTGAGAAATGCCTAGCCCTGAATATCAACTGACAAGGCTGTATATTTGCCAGTGTCACAGCTGAGATGACGAGAAGAATATTTTTCTAATTGCTGCCAGGAAGCCAGAGCCACCCCTTGAGCAGCAGGATTTCAAAGATTCACTGGTGTTCCACTGCAGAGTGTTCTTCTGAAATTAGTGAGAGTGAAAGGAATGTGCTGTGAGCCCCCATCCCCTGTTTATCTGGGAGGGCTGGGAGGATAGTGAGCTTGACAGTGAAATTCTAACCTGGAAAACTGATGAGATGCCAGCATTTTCCTGCCTTGTGGGGACTACCGGGGGTATCTCCTCTTACTTCATAAGGGAGTGACTGGTATTTGAGTGCTGATAACTACAATCTTGGTGGTGAGGCTGAGTCAGAGAGGACATTCCAGAAAAGCAAATGGCTGAGAAAAGAGAGCCAGGCCTGCAAACGAGAATAGAGGTTCTTGACAAACCATGGTGCTGCCAGGGTGCTGGTAGGAGGACAGAGGTTACAGGAACATTTTCTGAAGGGAGACCTAGTATGGACATGCTCATATTTTAAATAAGAGTGGCAAAGAGAAGGAAGAAATATGTTTGATCTCTGGCCTAGCGTATCACTAATATTTGCTGAGGAATTTTTTGTGTCAGTGATAGACAGCTGGAACAGAGAGCCTAATTTATGGAAAGTAGCTGAAAACAGTTGCTTCTTGAAAATCAGACCTCTATGCTAAAATCCCAATTGGATAACCAAAAGGAAAATTATATATTATGTATATATTATAAGGAAAAATTATATATATATATATATTTTATATATATAAGCTTTCTCAGAAGACTATTTCTATGCTATGTTGACTTTCCACATGTGGTTGTGTTTCTGTCTTTAGTAACTGAAAACCATAGAACAATCCACAGTAACCAATCCTTAATTAGACGCAAAACACTGATTTATATTCTCCTTTTTGGGTTAGGTTAAACCACCAAATCTATATGGAAGGGAATACCAAGACAGAGGACAGTGTGGGTTGTTGTACTAACAAGACATCAAGTATGCTATTTGTAGAATGTTTCTAAATTATAACTTCATTTGTCATCTCCAGAAGAAATTTAAAAGAGAAGTTATAAACCTATTAGGCCAGCAGAAAGAGATAGAATAGCACTGTCTACACAAACAACAGTGTCTTCGTCCGTTTTCTGTTGCTGTAACAGAATACCATATACTAGGTAATTGTAAATAAAAGGAATTTATTTCTTACCATTCTGGAGGCTATGAAGTTCAATAGTATGGCACAGGCATCTGGTGTGGGCCTTTATGCTTCATTATCCCACAGCAGAAGAAAAGAAGGGTAAGTGAGTATAAAAGAGAAAGCATGAGGGACTGGGCTTGCTTTTATAACAACCCACTCTCTCAATAACTGACCCATTCCCAAGGTGACTTAATACATTCATGAGGGCTCCACTCTCAGGACCCAATCATCTCTTATTAGGCCTCACCACCCAACACTGTAGCACTGGGGAATGTGTCTTCCAATATGTGAATTTTGGTAAATACATTCAAACCACAGCAAGTGGCAAGAAGGAGAAGCACAGACTGGTGGTTGAGTAAGACATGGAACATGGACCCAGAGGATTTTATACTGGTCCACTGGGACCACAGTGCAGGCTTTGAAAAAGGCCTCAGAGATGCAGCAGATTCTAATCTCGTGGTGTCACAAATACCTTAATGATGAAAACTCAGGTTTAACAATGTTACACCCTTCAGGGTTGCATATTTATTATCTTTCTTAGTAATACTAAGTCTTATCCTCCAATGATACCATAGTGACAAAACATAAAACTGAGTTGGGACTCCCCAAATGCCACACATTCCCTTCCATCTTCTTTCAAATGTTCCCCAGTGAGCCTGCTATTTTCTTTTTGTTGTTGTTGTTGCTTGGTTTTTGTTTTTTGAAGTGCAGTTTCACTCTTTTTGCCCAGGCTGTAGTGCAATGGTGCCATCTCAGCTCGCTGCAATCCCCGCCTCCCTCAGTCAAGTAATTCTCCTGCTTCAGCCTCCTGAGTAGCTGGGATTACAGGTGTCCACCACTACGCCCAGCTAATTTTTTGTATTTTTAGCAGAGACGGGCTTCCACCATGTTGGCCAGGCTGGTCTTGAACTACTGAACTCAAGTGATCCACTAGCCTCAGCCTCCCAAAGTGTTGGGATTACAGGCATCTGCCACTGTACCCAGCCTAAATTATTCTCAAGAGGCGATAGCATGCTTTGACTGTGGATTGTGTGGACTGCTGAATTAATGTTAAAATAGCTAATTATAAAAATAATTCCTATTTTATAGTAAACATTTACTCTTTGTTAAGTATGCTTAAGGACTTTGTGTCCTTATTGTCTAAGGACTTTATGTATTTTATGCCATTTCATTTTTATGATGATGATGAGCTGGGTAGCATCGTTATTTTCATTTTGCATGTGAGGATACTAGGACTTGAGAGAAAGCCTAGTGGAGTAAATGGCAGAGCTGGCCTTTGAACCGGGACCTGTTCAACTCCAGAGCCTGCCTCTCACACCCTAGGTTGGCTGCTTCAGAACAAAGTACCCAGGAGATATTAAGCAATATATATGAATAATTAAATGTATGTGCTTTTTGGCCAAGATGAGTTTGGAAACTTACCAATTGGGAGAATATCTTATTTAGAGAAATTGTCAGATGTTTTCTTCTTTTTGCAATTGGAAAGTGAGCAATAAGCAAACATTTCTTTTTGGCCCACACTTAGATTCTTTCTTTATAGTACCAAGAAGTATAATTTCTTGTTTCTCTGAGCCAGAAAGAGGAATAGTGGTTGGCAGATTGACAGGTGACCAGTGGATTAATCAATGGGATGTAGTGGCTGCTACACTTTAAGGTGACCCCTGCATAACTGTGCCAATGGCAGAGAATCCTTTGGCAAGATTACTGCTCTATGTGGGATAGAGACAATGGCTCTGTCTCCTTCCTCGGCTGGGTCCCTGACTGCTTGGGAAGCACAGGTAGAACTGGAGCCTGCAGAACCAGAGTTCCATATTCTCTTTTATTCTAGTTTCCATGGGAGGGCCCTACTTTGTGTGAAGTAAATGTATTCCTGAAGATTTGAACATAATCACATTTAAGCAAGTCATATTTGAAATGTAGTATGCTGATGCACTGTGTCCATTTGTTTCTTAACATTTTAAATAATAAAATTGAAAGGTTAAATTAGTTCAGGATATAGAGTCAAGGAATCCTATGATAATTGCTTTCTTTTTTTTTCTTTTTTTTTTATTATACTTTAAGTTTTAGGGTACATGTGCACATTGTGCAGGTTAGTTACATATGTATACATGTGCCATGCTGGTGCACTGCACCCACTAACTCGTCATCTAGCATTAGGTATATCTCCCAATGCTATCCCTCCCCCCTCCCCCCACCCCACAACAGTCCCCAGAGTGTGATATTCCCCTTCCTGTGTCCATGTGATCTCATTGTTCAATTCCCACCTATGAGTGAGAATATGCGGTGTTTGGTTTTTTGTTCTTGCGATAGTTTACTGAGAATGATGATTTCCAATTTCATCCATGTCCCTACAAAGGACATGAACTCATCATTTTTTATGGTTGCATAGTATTCCATGGTGTATATGTGCCACATTTTCTTAATCCAGTCTATCATTGTTGGACATTTGGGTTGGTTCCACGTCTTTGCTATTGTAAATAATGCCGCAATAAACATACATGTGTATGTGTCTTTATAGCAGCATGATTTATAGTCCTTTGGGTATATACCAAGTAATGGGATGGCTGGGTCAAATGGTATTTCTAGTTCTAGATCCCTGAGGAATCGCCACACTGACTTCCACAATAGTTGAACTAGTTTACAGTCCCACCAACAGTGTAAAAGTGTTCCTATTTCTCCACATCCTCTCAAGCACCTGTTGTTTCCTGACTTTTTAATGATTGCCATTCTAACTGGTGTGAGATGGTATCTCATAGTGGTTTTGATTTGCATTTCTCTGATGGCCAGTGATGACGAGCATTTTTTCATGTGTTTTTTGGCTGCATAAATGTGTTCTTTTGAGAAGTGTCTGTTCATGTCCTTCACCCACTTTTTGATGGGGTTGTTTTTTTCTTGTAAATTTGTTTGAGTTCATTGTAGATTCTGGATATTAGCCCTTTGTCAGATGAGTAGGTTGCGAAAATTTTCTCCCATTCTGTAGGTTGCCTGTTCACTCTGATGGTAGTTTCTTTTGCTGTGCAGAAGCTCTTTAGTTTAATTAGATCCCATCTGTCAATTTTATCTTTTGTTGCCATTGCTTTTGGTGTTTTAGACATGAAGTCCTTGGCCATGCCTATGTCCTGAATGGTAATGCCTAGGTTTTCTTCTAGGGTTTTTATGGTTTTAGGTCTAATGTTTATGTCTTTAATCCATCTTGAATTGATTTTTGTATAAGGTGTAAGGAAGGGATCCAGTTTCAGCTTTCTACATATGGCTAGCCAGTTTTCCCAGCACCATTGATTAAATAGGGAATCCTTTCCCCATTGCTTGTTTTTCTCAGGTTTGTTAAAGGTCAGATAGTTGTAGATATGCAGCATTATTTCTGAGAGCTCTGTTCTGTTCCCTTGATCTATATCTCTGTTTTGGTACTAGTACCATGCTGTTTTGGTTACTGTAGCCTTGTAGTATAGTTTCAAGTCAGGTAGTGTGATGCCTCCAGCTTTGTTCTTTTGGCTTAGGATTGACTTGGTGATGCGGGCTCTTTTTTGGTTCCATATGAACTTTAAAGTAGTTTTTTCCAATTCTGTGAAGAAAGTCATTGGTAGCTTGATGGGGATGGCATTGAATCTGTAAATTACCTTGGGCAATATGGCCATTTTCACGATATTGATTCTTCCTTCCCATGAGCATGGAATGTTCTTCCATTTGTTTGTATCCTCTTTTATTTTCTCGAGCAGTGGTTTGTAATTCTCCTTGAAGAGGTCCTTCACATCCCTTGTAAGTTGGATTCCTAGGTATTTTATTCTCTTTGAAGCAATTGTGAATGGGAGTTCACTCATGATTTTGCTCTCTGTTTGTCTGTTGTTGGTGTATAAGAATGCTTGTGATTTTTGTACATTGATTTTGTATCCTGAGACTTTGCTGAAGTTGCTTATCAGCTTAAGGAGATTTTGGGCTGAGACAATGGGGTTTTCTAGATATACAATCATGTCATCTGCAAACAGGGACAATTTGACTTCCTCTTTTCCTAATTGAATACCCTTTATTTCCTTCTCCTGCCTGATTGCCCTGGCCAGAACTTCCAACACTATGTTGAATAGGAGTGGTGAGAGAGGGCATCCCTGTCTTGTGCCAGTTTTCAAAGGGAATGCTTCCAGTTTTTGCCCATTCAGTATGATATTGGCTGTGGGTTTGTCATAGATAGCTCTTATTATTTTGAAATACGTCCCATCAATACCTAATTTATTGAGAGTTTTTAGCATGAAGGGTTGTTGAATTTTGTCAAAGGCTTTTTCTGCATCTATTGAGAGAATCATGTGGTTTTTGTCTTTGGCTCTGTTTATATGCTGGATTACATTTATTGATTTGCGTATGTTGAACCAGCCTTGCATCCCAGGGATGAAGCCCACTTGATCATGGTGGATAAGCTTTTTGATGTGCTGCTGGTTTCGTTTTGCCAGTATTTTATTGAGGATTTTTGCATCAATGTTCATCAAGGATATTGGTCTAAAATTCTCTTTTTTGGTTGTGTCTCTGCCCAGCTTTGGTATCAGAATGATGCTGGCCTCATAAAATGAGTTAGGGAGGATTCCCTCTTGTTCTATTGATTGGAATAGTTTCAGAAGGAATGGTACCAGTTCCTCCTTGTACCCCTGGTAGAATTCGGATGTGAATCCATCTGGTCCTGGACTCTTTTTGGTTGGTAAGCTATTGATTACTGCCACAATTTCAGATCCTGTTATTGGTCTATTCAGAGATTCAACTTCTTCCTGGTTTAGTCTTGGGAGAGTGTATGTGTTGAGGAATTTATCCATTTCTTCTAGATTTTCTAGTTTATTTGCATAGAGGTGTTTGTAGTATTCTCTGATGGTAGTTTGTATTTCTGTGGGATTGGTGGTGATATCCCCTTTATCATTTTTTATTGTGTCTATTTGATTCTTCTCTCTTTTTTTCTTTATAGGCCCTGCTAGTGGTCTATCAATTTTGTTGATCCTTTCAAAAAAACCAGCTCCTGGATTCCTTAATTTTTTGAAGGGTTTCTTGTGTCTCTATTTCCTTCAGTTCTGCTCTGATTTTAGTTATTTCTTGCCTTCTGCTAGCTTTTGAATGTGTTTGCTCTTGCTTTTCTAGTTCTTTTAATTGTGATGTTAGGGTGTCAATTTTAGATCTTTCCTGCTTTCTCTTGTGGGCATTTAGTGCTATAAATTTCCCTCTACACACTGCTTTGAATGTGTCCCAGAGATTCTGGTATGTTGTGTCTTTGTTCTCGTTGGTTTCAAAGAACATCTTTATTTCTGCCTTCATTTCGTTATGTACCCAGTAGTCATTCAGGAGCAGGTTGTTCAGTTTCCATGTAGTTGAGCAGTTTTGAGTGAGATTCTTAATCCTGAGTTCTAGTTTGATTGCACTGTGGTCTGAGAGATAGTTTGTTATAATCTCTGTTCTTTTACATTTGCTGAGGAGAGCTTTACTTCCAAGTATGTGGTCAATTTTGGAATAGGTGTGGTGTGGTGCTGAAAAAAATGTATATTCTGTTGATTTGGGGTGGAGAGTTCTGTAGATGTCTATTAGGTCCACTTGGTGCAGAGCTGAGTTCTATTCCTGGGTATCCTTGTTGACTTTCTGTCTCGTTGATCTGTCTAATGTTGACAGTGGGGTGTTAAAGTCTCCCATTATTAATGTGTGGGAGTCTAAGTCTCTTTGTAGGTCATTCAGGACTTGCTTTATGAATCTGGGTGCTCCTGTATTGGGTGCATATATATTTAGGATAGTTAGGTCTTCTTGTTGAATTGATCCCTTTACCATTATGTAATGGCCTTCTTTGTCTCTTTTGATCTTTGTTGGTTTAAAGTCTGTTTTATCAGAGACTAGGATTGCAACCCCTGCCTTTTTTTGTTTTCCATTGGCTTGGTAGATCTTCCTCCATCCTTTTATTTTGAGCCTATGTGTGTCTCTGCACGTGGGATGGGTTTCCTGAATACAGCACACTGATGGGTCTTGACTCTTTATCCAATTTGCCAGTCTGTGTCTTTTAATTGGAGCATTTAGTCCATTTACATTTAAAGTTAATATTGTAATGTGTGAATTTGATCCTGTCATTATGATGTTAGCTGGTTATTTTGCTGTTTAGTTGGTGCAGTTTCTTCCTAGTCTCGATGGTCTTTATATTTTGGCATGATTTTGCAGCGGCTGGTACCAGTTGTTCCTTTCCACGTTTAGTGCTTTCCTTCAGGAGCTCTTTTAGGGCAGGCCTGGTGGTGACAAAATCTCTCAGCATTTGCTTGTCTGTAAAGTATTTTATTTCTCCTTTGCTTAGTTTGGCTGGATATGAAATTCTAGGTTGAAAATTCTTTTCTTTAAGAATGTTGAATATTGGCCCCCACTCTCTTCTGGCTTGTAGGGTTTCTGCTGAGAGATCCGCTGTTAGTCTGATGGGCTTCCCTTTGAGGGTAACCCGACCTTTCTCTCTGGCTGCCCTTAACATTTTTTCTTTCATTTCAACTTTGGTGAATCTGACAATTATGTGTCTTGGAGTTGCTCTTTTCGAGGAGTATCTTTGTGGCGTTCTCTGTATTTCCTGAATCTGAACGTTGGCCTGCCTTGCTAGATTGGGGAAGTTCTCCCGGATAATATCCTGCAGAGTGTTTTCCAACTTGGTTCCATTCTCCCCATCACTTTCAGGTACACCGATCAGACATAGATTTGGTCTTTTCACATAGTCTCATATTTCTTGGAGGCTTTGCTCATTTCTTTTTATTCTTTTTTCTCTAAACTTCCCTTCTTGCTTCATTTCATTCATTTCATCTTCCATTGCTGATACCCTTTCTTCCAGTTGATCACATCGGCTCCTGAGGCTTCTGCATTCTTCACGTAGTTCTCGAGCCTTGGTTTTCAGCTCCATCAGCTCCTTTAAGCACTTCTTTGTATTGGTTATTCTAGTTATACATTCTTCTAAATTTTTTTCAAAGTTTTCAACTTCTTTGCCTTTGGTTTGAATGTCCTCCCGTAGCTCAGAGTAATTTGATCGTCTGAAGCCTTCTTCTCTCAGCTCGTCGAAGTCATTCTCTATCCAGCTTTGTTCCGTTGCTGGTGAGGAACTGCGTTCCTTTGGAGGAGGAGAGGCGCTCTGCTTTTTAGAGTTTCCAGTTTTTCTGTTCTGTTTTTTCCCCATCTTTGTGGTTTTATCTACTTTTGGTCTTTGATGATGGTTTTGTACAGTTGGGTTTTTGGTGTGGATGTCCTTTCTGTTTGTTAGTTTTCCTTCTAACGGACAGGGCCCTCAGCTGCGGGTCTGTTGGAGTACCCTGCCGTGTGAGGTGTCAGTGTGCCCTTGCTGGGGGGTGCCTCCCAGTTAGGCTGCTTGGGGATCAGGGACCCACTTGAGGAGGCAGTCTGCCCATTCTCAGATCTCCAGCTGTGTGCTGGGAGAACCACTGCTCTCTTCAAAGCTGTCAGACAGGGACATTTAAGTCTGCAGAGGTTACTGCTGTCTTTTTGTTTGTCTGTGCCCTGCCCCCAGAGGTGGAGCCTACAGAGGCAGGCAGGCCTCCTAGAGCTGTGGTGGGCTCCACCCAGTTGGAGCTTCCAGGCTGCTTTGTTTACCTAAGCAAGCCTGGCAATGGCGGGCGCCCCTCCCCCAGCCTCGCTGCCACCTTGCAGTTTGATCTCAGATTGCTGTGCTAACAATCAGCCAGACTCCTTGGGCGTAGGACCCTCCGAGCCAGGTGTGGGATATAATCTCGTGGTGCGCCATTTTTTAAGCTGGTCAGAAAAGCGCAGTATTCAGGTGGGAGTGGCCCGATTTTCCAGGTGCGTCGGTCACCCGTTTCTTTGACTCGGAAAGGGAACTCCCTGACCCCTTGCGCTTCCCAAGTGAGGCAATGCCTCTCCCTGCTTCGGCTCGCGCATGGTGCGCGCACCCACTGACCTGCGCCCACTGTCTGGCACTCCCAAGTGAGATGAACCCGGTACCTCAGATGGAAATGCAGAAATCACCCGTCTTCTGCATCGCTCACGCTGGGAGCTGTAGACAGGAGCTGTTCCTATTCGGCCATCTTGGCTCCTCTCGATAATTGCTTTCATGTGAACCCTTCATAAGGTAACTTCTAATTTTTTAAAAGCTCATTTTTTACTTAGATTTCTTAAAACAGAATGTATATGTATTATACTTCCAGACAACATATTGACTAATACATTCATCACGTAATAACTATAATTTTATTTTCCATTTTCAGTTTTCTCATCTGTAAAGAAGTATGTCTCAAAATTGTTTAGAGAATTCTATATGCTACAAGGAAGTCAGTATCTGGCCTACGCTAGGGGTCTGATAATTGATAGTTCTTGTTAACAGCAGTAAGTTTGAAATCCAGAAAGCTCTGCCTGAGAGTACAGAGCTCTTGGGTTTCGTCTAAATTTTAGCACCTACTCTCTCTGTGACTGCTGTTACTTCATCTCTGAAGTAGAAGTCATTAGTTATTTGGCTAAAATTTAAAGCACTGGACCAAAAGGCCTTTGGAGGTTTGCTCTAGGTCTAGAATCTATTTTTAAAAGATTTAATTCAATTATATAGTTTAATTTAGAAACTGGTAGAAACTAATTGCTTGGCTAAATCTAGTGTGTGTCTTATAATTGGTTTATATTCTCTTGTTGTTATCACCACAATTACAGAGAAATGGGATGGGCTGATTTCATGCATTCTCACTCACATGCATAACCCTGTTCTGTTTTTTCTCAGTGACATTTTTCCTAAGACCTTCATTCCTTTCAAATTCATCATATTTCTTTCTCTTTCTTACCTTTCTGATATTTTTTTTTCACCAAGAGGACTGACTTAAAAAATGAGTTCAGCACCTCAGCAAATTTCAGAATTGTGATTAATTCTATGCCCTTTCTCATTTATTAGAAACTCTTATTTCTCTCTCATCATCCTCTCCCTTCTGATAGATTTGCCCTTCTAATACTCTTTAACCCTTTGGGCTTACCCTATCTCCTTTGGTTCTTTTGCTTTTCTTATCTCTATCCTGTTGGCCTTAACTGATGTAAATTGTTTTCCTGTGGTTCCTCCTCCTCTGTAAAGACATGAACACTCACTGTGAATATTTCTCACTTTTTGCATTAGTCTTTGTCAGCTGAATCCCAATCTAACACACTTTTCATGAAAGCTTATAGCAAGTCCAGGCTTTTCTCATACTTCTAAATTTTCAGTCCTCTTGCAAAGTCATATGATACTTGCCAAATCGATCGCCTGCAAATTAGTTTTAGATACTGTTTCTTATTTTCTGGTATGGAATCACTATGGCATCAGGCTGAGCAGTTGATCTCAGCTTTGAACAAATATTCTCTCTAGTGGATCGGCTTGTACCTCATTTAGTTTGTTAGACTTGGGGTCTATGGTATGTATAGTTTCTGGTTCACCTTGAAGTCTAATTTGTGGCAGGTCACTATGTCTTATGTCCCTCAGTAAAACTTAAAACTAGATATATCATTATTATCCAGATCTATACACTTAAATTTTCTTGAAAACAATAATGAGGCTCTAAGAGCAATTTTGAATTATCTCATAAGATTGTATCCATAATCTCAAGTTTCCTTGCATTGGGTTAAAAATGATTTCAATTCATTGTGGTGTGGGGACCTTGGATCAGAAGCTCAGACTACATGTATTTATTTATATTTATGAACAACATTGGGAAATATAGATTGTTGTATTTAATATATTTAGTTCAGCTGAAATTTTTTTCCAAACCCATAGTCCATGGCTGAGATGAGGGGGAGGAGATAAATGGAATCTTGGCTGGAGGAGCATTTGGGAACTGCTGGACTAGATGGTCCCAGAGGTCTCTGCTGGTTCTTTGGTTTCATAAGTACATGGCTCATTTGGGGCAGGCTGGAATTTATCTGCAGCGGAAGCTGTCAGCTCTCACGATCTTGACTCTGTAGTTGACTGGTGGGATGGAAGGCAGGAGGTTTTGCTCTAAGAAAGGGTCAATTGTCATCCCTTCCTTTCACAACAGGCTTGACCTCACGTGGGCTAGTACAATCCTTGGGAATTTATTTAGTACTCTGGAGTTAAATGTGAAGCAAATGTTGCTTTAAGCACATTTTGACCTTGTCTTTTTTTTTTTTTTTTTTTTTTTCAGTTTTCAAGTTACCAGAAAAACAACTCAGGGAGAAAGTTTTCTCTCCATAGGTTCTGTTGATTGGGGTGACAAGAATTTGATAAGTTACAAGGTAACCACAGAGTCTGATGTGAGTTACAAGCCTGGAATTCAGTGTCATGTGGTTTCTCAGGAAATCTCAAAATTGTTGGGGAAAAAATCCTTTGACTCATTTTTGAGAACAAGGTGTCACAGGTCTTACAGAATGGCCCATACGAATCTTCTAGTATTGAAGTCAGAAAAGACACAACAAAGATGATCATATTTTCTGTTTCTTAGTTGTAAGGAACTGGAATAAATGATCAGATAACAATGAACTGGGGACTTACTCATAACATAGATTTGCAACATAAAGCAATATTATAAAGGATAATTATGTAGTGTAAAAGGTCATATAACATGAATAATGAAGTTCATACAACATGAAATTAATACAATGAAGTTAGTACAGCATGAAGTCATATACCATGAAGTTAATACAACATAAAAATGATAGAATGTTCTATTACATAATTTCCAAGCATATCCCTGAAAATTAAAAGCATTGTTATAGTAAATAGGAACAAAAATTAAAGGCAAAAAAGAAGATATTCATTTAAATAGTTATTGTCATAGCTCAGAGGTTAGCAGTAAAGAAGGCCCTGGGGAGATAGTGCCTGGGTACAACTCTCAGCTTCGTGACTTACTAGTTGTGTGACTTTGGACAAGTTGCCTATCATCCTGTGCCTGTTTTTCCATATGGCAAAATGGGAAATATTTTAGCAATAATAGCTACCTCATAGAATTGCTCAATTAAATGACAAATACATTTAAAGGACTTATAACGGTACCTGGCACAGTGTAGATGTCAAATATGTGAAATATATATGAAAATATATGAGAAGATGTGACTATGTCCATCTCTGAATAACCAGATAAATTAGACATCTACTCATCTACTGATAAAAATAAAAGGTTCTTAGGAAATAATTGAAGAACAATGACCTGTACTTCTGTGAACAATGCTAGCCTCCCTTACACAATCGTAGAGTGATTAAAAATGTTGAACAGCCAATATTTTGTTACTGTGGCCCCTACATTTGACTTAATATATAAATAGCTTTTAATAGTGAACCAGGTTTATTTGGAATCATTCAGCTCTTTCCTGCAACAAATGACACATGGAATACCAACATATGACAGATATATATGAAATATTAATAATCAAAGTAAAACTGAAATCTGACATCACTGGGCCAAAAATAAATACGTTAAGGAAATATAGAGACATTGTTTTCACGTGCAGACACAACTTCCCTGTCATGATTTTGTAGGCTGCAAATATGCTTATTTTAATCAAAGGGATATCTTATATGATTACAATTATCTTACTAGTTATTCATGCAAATAAAAATACTGGTCATTATGGTTTGGTGCCTGGAATTATGATTTGCCTTGCATGTTCCTATTGCTGTTTTGGACCTACAAAAACAGTATGCTTTAAATCATGGTAATCTTCTCCATTTAAGATTTATAGCTAATAAACAGGTAACATTCATTCATTCATTCAGTCACTCAGTCAGTATTTGAGTACCCACTGCATGCCAGGCATATGGGAATATGGTAATATGTCTGTGATTAAGACAGACATAGACATTCCTTGCCCATTTGCATCTTACAGTTAAAGGGGAGGTCATACTTACCAATATTTTATAAGCAATTGGATAATTGTAATGTAGATATGTGCTCTGATGGAAAAGTCCAGGTGTTAAGAGGTTTATACTCACGGAGGTTGGGAAAGTTTTATGAAGAAGTGACATTCAGTTGAGCCCTGAAGGAGAATGAGGAGTTTGTGGGATGAAGGGCACAGAGCAGGGATGGGGAGGAGGAGAGAAAAGTATTTCAACATAAAGAACAGCACTGTGAAGGTACGGAAGTGAGAAATTACAACAAGAAGGCCATGTGGCTGGCATATGGTGAGTTGCAGAGAGAATGACTCAAGGTGAGGCCTTGAGAACCGTATTAAGAATTTTAGATAATTCCTAGAAGCAATGGAAGCTATAATGTGTTTTAATTGGAGTTGGCCTAATGGTTCATAGAAATTGTGTTGGTTGTTGAAGAGATTAGAGACCATGGCAAGATATGAAGCAGGAAGAGAAGTGAAGAGGTTATTTCTACAGACAAAGAACAAGATTCAGAGATTGACTGGATGTGGACAGAGAGGAAAAGGGGGGCACCGAGGTGGCCTAGCCTTCTTCACAAGAGTCTGAGGGGCGGTGTTATTATTTATTGGAATGGAGAATGTGTTGGAGATGGGGTTTCATCATGTTAGCCAGCATGGTCTTGATCTCCTGACCTCTTGATCTGCCCGCCTCGGCCTCCCAAAGTACTAGGATTACAGGCATGAGCCACCGCGCCCACCCCTGTTTCTTTTTATAGTAGTTTCATAATTTTGGGTCTTGCATTTAATTCTTTAATCCATTTAGAATTAAATTTTGTATATGATGAGGGAGAAGGGTCTATTTTCATTCTTTGTGGCATGTGCATATCCAATTTTCACAACACCATTTATTGAAGATACTTTCCTTTCCTCAATTTGTGTTTTTTGGCACCTTTGTCAAAAATCAGTTGGCTGTAGATGTGTGGATTTAGTTCTAGACTCCCTATTCTATTCCATTGGTCTATTTGTCTGTTTTTCTCCCAATACCATACTGCTTTAGTTACTATAAGTTTGTAGTATATTTTGAAGTCAGATAGTTTGATGCATCCGGATTTGTTCTTTTTGCTCAAGATTGCTTTGGTTTTGGGGGTTATTTGTGGTTTCATATGAATTTTAGCATTGTTTTTTCTATTTCTGTGAAGAGTGTCGTTGGCATTTTGGTGGGGATTACATTAAATGTATCATCATGTTAGGTAGTATGGTTATTTTAACAATATTCATTATTTTAATCAATGAGCACAGGATATCTTTTCAATTGCGTCTTCTTCAATTTCTTTTATCAATGTTTTATAGTTTTCAGTGGATAGATCTTTCACCTCCTTGCACAGCAAAGGAAATAATCAATGTAGTGAACAGACAATCTACAGGATGCAAGAAATTATTTGTGAACCGTACGTCTGACATAGGGTTAATATTCAGAATGTATAAGGAACTCAAACAACTCAATAGCTTTAAAAATCTGATTTTAAAATGGATGACAGACTTGAATAGACATTTCTCAAAAGAAGATACACAAATGATCAACAGGTTTATAAAACCTGTTCAGTATCACTAATCATCAGGGAAATCCAAATCCAAATCATAATAAGAACCTCATTCCAGTTAGAATGGCTATTATCAAAACGACAAAAGATAACAAGTGTTGGCAAGGATGTGAAGAAAGGGAAACACTCACTGTTGGTGGGAATGTAAATTAGTCATTATAAAAAACAGTATAGAGGTTCTTCAAAGTACTAAAAAACAGACCTACTGTATAATTCAGCAATCCGACTCCTGGTCATATATACAAAAGAAATGAAATCAGTATTTCAAAGAGATACTTGCACTCAGTGTTTATTGCAGCACTCTTCACAATAGCCAAGATATAGAATCAACCTAAGTGTTCATCAATGAATGAATGGATAAAGAAAATGTGGCATATACACATAATGGAATACTATTCAGCCATAAAAGAGCATGAAATCCTGTCATTTGCAACAACATGGATGAACATGGAAGACATTAAATGAAATAAGCTAAATATAGAGAGAAAAATGCTGCATGGTCTTACTTATATGTGAACTCTAAAAAAATTTATCTTAATGGAAGTAGAGAGTAGACATGGACATAAAAATGGCAACAATAGACACTTGGGATCACTAGAGGTAGGAGGGAGGAAGCGGGGTCAGGGGTTGAAAAATTACCTATCGGGTAGTATGCTCAGTACCTGGGTGATAGGATCATTCATACCCCAAACTTCAGCATCATGCAATATGTCCAGATACCAAACCTGCCTATGTACCCCCTGAATTTAAAAAAAAAGTTGGAAAAAAAAAGAAAAGAAGTGGAGAGTAGAATAATGATTATCAGAAGCTGGAGAAGTGATGGGGGAGGGGATGGGGACAGGTCGGTCAACAGGTAAAAGTTACAGTTAGGATAGAGGAATAAGTTCTGATGTTCTATTGCACAGCAAGGTAACCATAGTTAACAAACAAGTAATTTCAAAATAGCTAGAAGAGAGGATTTTGAATGTTTCAACCACAAAAAATAATAAATATTTGAGGTGATGGACCTGCTAATTACTTTGATTTGATGGTTATGCAGTGTACACATATATCAAAACATCACATTGTACCCCATAATGTGTATAATTATTATGTGTCAACTAAAAATAAAATTAAACTTAAAAAAAAGGACAAGGACAGCATGCTCCCACTTATTTGTGGAATACAAAATACTTGAACACATAGATAGTGGAATGGCAGTTACCATGAGTTGGGAAAAGGATCTGGATGGGGAAGAGGAGATGTTGATGAAAGGGTACAAAATTTCAGTCAGACAGGAAGAGTAAGCTTTAGTGACCTATTGCACCAAATGGCAACTATAATACATAATAATGCTTGTATATTTCAAAATTACTAAAATAGTAGATTTTAAATATTTTCACTGCAAAAAAATGATGAGTATGTGAGGTGATACATTTGATAAAACTTGATTTAGTATTCCGCAATGTAAACATGTATCGAATTATCACATTATACTCCATAAATATGTAATATATACAATTATTTTTGTCAATTAAATAATGAGAATAAAAGGGTCAGGGATTCTCAGTGTTGGCTGCTTGCTGATATCATGCTGAAATGTGGATCTCCTCAACGTTGTCGGGTCTCTCGACTGTTAAAGAGAAGTCAAATATCTGTATTTTCAGGTGAATTATCTGATTTTAAAAAATTTGTAACTAAATATTTTTTAAACCCTCACAGCCCCCCTAGCAAAGTCTACTGGAGTGATTTGACTCACTCTGTTTCAGAATTTTCTTACGGCATTTCATTCATTGTTCTAAATAGGTGACTCAAGGGTGTTTGCTAATTAATGATCCTAGAATCACCCCACACTCTGCCAGTGTATAACATATTCAGTGCTCGGTCTCTTAAAATGTTTGGGGTTTTGATAACTGTGTAAAACAAACCTGCCACATTCCCTCATAATCAGGAACTCGCCTCTGTTGAAAACGCCTTGGTGATGCTGAAACCTAAATGTCCTACGCTCCATTTCTCTTGGGACTATCAAACTGAGTGCAGCCTGACTGCAGCAGCTCAGCCGCAATCAGCTGCAATCTCAGTAATGCCCTTCTCTGCAGGGAGTCACTGGGAGGCCTGGAAGTAAGAGAGAGTTTAACAGCTCCTGGGATGCAGAGCATTGAGGCAGTTTCTTCTGAAAGTCCATAAAACAAATCGTGTGGGCCTTTTTTCTTCTTTTTCATCATGTTTTCATGTGAAAAAAAAAATGCTATGGCCCAATTCTCCCTTAGACTGATTTGGAAAAATTGCTCTTCACCCTTCCAGTCTTCTTCCTTCTCTTCCCCTCCTGTGTTCTGGTTCTGGTTCTCTTCACGTTAGGAAGTGGTGATAAAACTGTGTATCTTACAACCCACCAGCACTTGACTGGCACTCTAGAGGGTCACAGAGTAAATAGGTGTCTGATAAAACGTGTGTCTGAAGACCTTGGCAACCTTTGAAAGCCTGTGTCAGAGGGCTGGGCTTGTGCTTCTAGGGAAGCTTGTTGTAACAGGCGGTGTACTTTCTCCTTTCATCAGCTTCTGTAGTAGCTTGATAGCATTTTTAGAAGTTCATTTAGGGGACGATATGAGTGAAGTTTTGAACAAAATCAAGGCTACTTTTCCTCTTTTCTGAGTGCGATGTCTTTAGAACTTGCTAATTAGAGAGCAGGCAACAAAGAGATGCCTGAGTCATTGTCTCCAAAGATAGTAAAACTAAACTCTGAAGAAAAATATGTTTTTGGAAATGCTCACAACTTAGTCACTCTTTTAAAATACAATTGACGTAACCACTTTTCCTTTTGGGCCTCTCCTGAAACAACAGTTAAATACATGAGTCAAGCCAAAGGCTCATTTTCCCGTTTGCTGGGCATGATGGGGTAATTGCCCAGACTCTCATTAAACGGTTCCAATTTTGGTGCTGATTCCAAAGGTCTCCAGGTAGATCCAGAAGTCCTTTGGACAAGCAAAATTTTGCCAGCAATGATGATTTATTTTTAGAAAGAGAAGCAATGAGTTTCCTTCTGAACAGAAAATGCAGCATGAAATCAAAAGACCTGGGTTGGAAATCTGGCCCTGCTCTTTATTACAATAGCTGTGTGTCTTTGGGCTCTTTAACATTTATGAGTCTATTTTCTTAATAATATAATTGGGATAATAATTCCTAACTGACAGGGTTGTTGTGAGAATTAAATGAGATAATTGAGAAAGTGCCTAGGGCTTGGGAAAAAGCAGGTGCTCAATAAACGCACATTCATTCATTCATTCTTTCATTAACATGCCAAACAAACAATATTTCTCAACAAAAATTGGCACTATTTGATCTTAATGAGTAACATAAATTTAAAAAAGGACAAAGTTGATTATTTATAGTATTTTAATTCCTTTGTGTTTTATTAGATTTTCCTTTAGTATTTTAAGAGATGTCCTTCCTTTAGGACTCATTAAGGGTTGTCTTCCCTTTCTTAATGCCTCATATTGCTGCCTACCATTTGCTCTAGGTTATTTTGTTTATTAACCTTAAAACTACCTATAAATATTACATTCATTTTTATATTCTTTGTAGATATATTCTCTTGAAGGATATATGTTTATTTTAAGGGAAGTCATTGAGTCCATTTGCCTTTTGGAAGGTTGTCCCACTCTTCCAACCCAACCTATCTTAGCAATAAGTTTGCACCATCAGTCATGAACCTGGCCATACTCACAGAAGTTGGTGTATTCTCTTTGAAAGATTTTCAGGAATGCTGGTGCCACACTTTTCTTCAAGGGTGGATTCCAATGTTTCATTTTCCTGACAGGCAAATGTTTCTTTTGTAGTTTAGATGGTTGCCCTAAGTCTATCCAGGTTGCTGAGTGTTCAATTTAACCCCATTAGTGGTTTTGATCACATTTAGTTGAAGTTTAGATAGAATTCTTAGACTCACCTTTCTGCTAATACTTTCTGTCTCAGTCTAATTATTTGCTACTTTGTGTTTTGTGCTCTGATGAATTCAAAGTCACCCATTTGTGCCCTTGTTTTCTTTTCTGATCCTATGCCCTCATCTAAGTGAAGCCGTAGAATAGTGTGTCCTTTACTACGATCTCAGTTGGTGACAGTACAGAGAATACTTTACTGCTTCTTGTCATCACTCTTTGGTAGCCATTTTGCTGGTGCTGAGCTCAGAAATCAGATTTCAAGGTGACAATATTGTATAGGACTGTGAGCTTTAGAGTTGTTTGTAGAGTTTAGTGGATTTTTAAATTTTGTCATGTTTTTTAGTCTTCAAAAATCTCCTCTATATCAACTCTTTTACTTTAGTTTTGTTATTTTTTATAGTTCTTGGAGCCATTAACCCACAGGATCCCCATTCTATGTAACCATTTGGCTATGAAAAATATCTGAATAATGAATGCAGAACAGGGACTATTTTTAAATTTAGGAATTTTTTTCAAAAGTAAGGGAAAAGAAGAAATACACTTTTTGCCTTTATTTCATGATGTATCTCCATTCAGGGATTCTTTGATATATGCACATGTTAAGATCATGTCACATGAGTCAAAACACTATTTATGATGAAAGAAAAGGAAGAGCTGGACTACAAATTTTCACCTCTGTCCTTCCACTCCTCCAGCAAAATCCATCTTGACTTCTGCATTGCTCAGATAAATTTTTTTCCTTTATCTTTACTTTCAGAACATGGAAAAATTAATATGGTTTTTAAAAAACCACTGTGCTACCAGAAGCAATCTAACCTTTTGGTAACCACAGAAGTGCATGACTATTTATTGACAACAAATTATATACAAGGTATTATACTATGGAGAGTACAGAGATGATGAGGTCATCTCTTTAAGCAGTCATGGTCTTTTTGGGGAGATGGAAAACATGCAATATGTAGAACTCCCCTCCACGGTGGTGGGTAACACATGCCATTTGAAATATATGTAGGTTTCTAGGTGAGGGGGGAAATTGTCTTTGGCTGAAGAGGTTATTATAGACTTTTAGAAGGAAAGAGATCTGAGAATGCGTAAGAGCTTGGTAGGCAGAGATAACTAAATAGCACAGGCAAAAACCAGAATTTTCTGCATAGAAATGAATGACTGAATGAATAACAAAATGAGTAATTTTTTTAATTTTTTATATTAAGATGAATTTAATGTAAATTCTAGGGGAGAATTTAATGTTCCTACTGTAATTTAAATTTTAAAATTTCAATGGAATCTATGGCAACCATGATGAAAAGAGTGCATACTACAAAATGCACAAATAGAAACAAATGTAACATGATGGAATCCAGATGATCAATTCAAGGCTCAACTGCTTGTGGTCTTTGGATAAGAAGAGAGTTTCAAAATGAATGCAAAAAAAAAAAAATTCTGAAATTTAGCCAAGTCTCCCTGAAAATGCTTGTTATCTCTAGGTTGTTGTGGGGTTGAAGGAATATTTGATTCTGGACATTTTATCACAAAATAATTTAGCTCATATTCATGACCCATACTGGTTAAAAGTTCATGAACCTGAGGAAGATATATCTGGTGAGAGAAGATCTGTGTCATTCCTGACAATTTTCTTTTGCAATGAGAATGCTCCTCTTCCAAGGTTGTTGAACACTAATCCCACAGGAAGAATACTGCTGCCCTATGCACAAAGATCAATTGTCATTGCAAGGGGTATGTTCCATTAGGATTATCACTGCCATTTATTGGAGGCTGCTCATGTGCCAGGCACTGTGCTGAGTAGACACTTTACATGAACAATCATATTTGCTCTTTGTAGTGATGCTATGAACCTACTTCCATTCCCATTTTACAAATTAAGAAATGAAGAAAGAGAAAGATTAGGGCACCTTCCCAGAGTCTTGACAGATTGAAACTTAGATTTTAAACGCATAAAGCCTGCGTTCTTTTCATTTGGGATTGTGACAGTTCTAAATAGTATATTATTTGAGAGAGTTATTCACACTTGATCATGGGAAGTCTTAACTGCTAAGCAAACAAACATGTACAAAGCACAACAACTTAATTTTCCTGATTTTCTTTTCCTAAAATTCTTTCATCAAGGAATCTCTTTTCTTGAGTAAGGTATGGAAAGCCATTGACTCTATTAACAAAAACACACTTGAGAAATGCTGTCATAAGGCAAGACCTGAAATAATGGATTAGGTGAGGAACTAGTGTACCTTCTCTGCTGGTATTTGAGGAATACCAGGAGAAAACATCCACATCTACCCCAAGAGCTTTGCCAAATTCTTCAGGAAGTTTGTCAGGTAAGCTAGGTTTTTATGTACAGATATCTTAATTTAAGGAAGGTTATTTTCTAATCTCTTTCTATTAACTGTGGAAGAATTCTAAAATGGAGAAGAAAGAGGAAGAAGAGGAGGAGAAGAATAAATGAAACCATATTTGTAGTGTTTTCTGATTAATTTTTAAATTCTTTGGTTTTATAAGTAAATATTTCCCTTTCAATTCTTTCTCCTCTTGTAATGTCTCAGTCATTAAGAAGGAAATTTGAAATAAAATATTAACTTTCCCCTGACATTTCTTTTTTTTTTTTTTTTTTAAAAAAAACATTTCTTTTTTTTTTTTTTTTTTTTTATTATACTCTAAGTTTTAGGGTACATGTGCACATTGTGCAGGTTAGTTACATATGTATACATGTGCCATGCTGGTGCGCTGCACCCACTAATGTGTCATCTAGCATTAGGTATATCTCCCAATGCTATCCCTCCCCCCTCCCCCGACCCCACCACAGTCCCCAGAGTGTGATATTCCCCTTCCTGTGTCCATGTGATCTCATTGTTCAATTCCCACCTATGAGTGAGAATATGCGGTGTTTGGTTTTTTGTTCTTGCGATAGTTTACTGAGAATGATGGTTTCCAATTTCATCCATGTCCCTACAAAGGACATGAACTCATCATTTTTTATGGCTGCATAGTATTCCATGGTGTATATGTGCCACATTTTCTTAATCCAGTCTATCATTGTTGGACATTTGGGTTGGTTCCAAGTCTTTGCTATTGTGAATAGTGCCGCAATAAACATACGTGTGCATGTGTCTTTATAGCAGCATGATTTATACTCATTTGGGTATATACCCAGTAATGGGATGGCTGGGTCAAATGGTATTTCTAGTTCTAGATCCCTGAGGAATCGCCACACTGACTTCCACAATGGTTGAACTAGTTTACAGTCCCACCAACAGTGTTAAAGTGTTCCTATTTCTCCACATCCTCTCCAGCACCTGTTGTTTCCTGACTTTTTAATGATTGCCATTCTAACTGGTGTGAGATGATATCTCATAGTGGTTTTGATTTGCATTTCTCTGATGGCCAGTGATGATGAGCATTTCTTCATGTGTTTTTTGGCTGCATAAATGTGTTCTTTTGAGAAGTGTCTGTTCATGTCCTTCACCCACTTTTTGATGGGGTTGTTTTTTTCTTGTAAATTTGTTTGAGTTCATTGTAGATTCTGGATATTAGCCCTTTGTCAGATGAGTAGGTTGCGAAAATTTTCTCCCATGTTGTAGGTTGCCTGTTCACTCTGATGGTAGTTTCTTTAGCTGTGCAGTAGCTCTTTAGTTTAATTAGATCCCATTTGTCAATTTTGTCTTTTGTTGCCATTGCTTTTGGTGTTTTGGACATGAAGTCCTTGCCCACGCCTATGTCCTGAATGGTAATGCCTAGGTTTTCTTCTAGGGTTTTTATGGTTTTAGGTTTAACGTTTAAATCTTTAATCCATCTTGAATTGATTTTTGTATAAGGTGTAAGGAAGGGATCCAGTTTCAGCTTTCTACATATGGCTAGCCAGTTTTCCCAGCACCATTTATTAAATAGGGAATCCTTTCCCCATTGCTTGTTTTTCTCAGGTTTGTCAAAGATCAGATAGTTGTAGATATGCGGCATTATTTCTGAGGGCTCTGTTCTGTTCCATTGATCTATATCTCTGTTTTGGTACCAGTACCATGCTGTTTTGGTTACTGTAGCCTTGTAGTATAGTTTGAAGTCAGGTAGTGTGATGCCTCCAGCTTTGGTCTTTTGGCTTAGGATTGACTTGGCAATGCGGGCTCTTTTTTGGTTCCATATGAACTTTAAAGTAGTTTTTTCCAATTCTGTGAAGAAAGTCATTGGTAGCTTGATGGGGATGGCATTGAATCTGTAAATTACCTTGGGCAGTATGGCCATTTTCACGATATTGATTCTTCCTACCCAGGAGCATGGAATGTTCTTCCATTTGTTTGTGTCCTCTTTTATTTCCTTGAGCAGTGGTTTGTAGTTCTCCTTGAAGAGGTCCTTCACATCCCTTGTAAGTTGGATTCCTAGGTATTTTATTCTCTTTGAAGCAATTGTGAATGGGAGTTCACCCATGATTTGGCTCTCTGTTTGTCTGTTGTTGGTGTATAAGAATGCTTGTGATTTTTGTACATTGATTTTGTATCCTGAGACTTTGCTGAAGTTGCTTATCAGCTTAAGGAGATTTTGGGCTGAGACGATGGGGTTTTCTAGATAAACAATCATGTCGTCTGCAAACAGGGACAACTTGACTTCCTCTTTTCCTAATTGAATACCCTTTATTTCCTTCTCCTGCCTGATTGCCCTGGCCAGAACTTCCAACACTATGTTGAATAGGAGCGGTGAGAGAGGGCATCCCTGTCTTGTGCCAGTTTTCAAAGGGAATGCTTCCAGTTTTTGCCCATTCAGTATGATATTGGCTGTGGGTTTGTCATAGATAGCTCTTATTATTTTGAGATACGTCCCATCAATACCTAATTTATTGAGAGTTTTTAGCATGAAGGGTTGTTGAATTTTGTCAAAGGCTTTTTCTGCATCTATTGAGAGAATCATGTGGTTTTTGTCTTTGGCTCTGTTTATATGCTGGATTACATTTATTGATTTGCATATATTGAACCAGGCTTGCATCCCAGGGATGAAGCCCACTTGATCATGGTGGATAAGCTTTTTGATGTGCTGCTGGATTCGGTTTGCCAGTATTTTATTGAGGATTTTTGCATCAATGTTCATCAAGGATATTGGTCTAAAATTCTCTTTTTTGGTTGTGTCTCTGCCCGGCTTTGGTATCAGAATGATGCTGGCCTCATAAAATGAGTTAGGGAGGATTCCCTCTTTTTCTATTGATTGGAATAGTTTCAGAAGGAATGGTACCAGTTCCTCCTTGTACCTCTGGTAGAATTCGGCTGTGAATCCATCTGGTCCTGGACTCTTTTTGGTTGGTAAACTATTGATTATTGCCACAATTTCAGAGCCTGTTATTGGTCTATTCAGAGATTCAACTTCTTCCTGGTTTAGTCTTGGGAGAGTGTATGTGTCGAGGAATGTATCCATTTCTTCTAGATTTTCTAGTTTATTTGCGTAGAGGTGTTTGTAGTACTCTCTGATGGTAGTTTGTATTTCTGTGGGATCGGTGGTGATATCCCCTTTATCATTTTTTATTGTGTCTATTTGATTCTTCTCTCTTTTTTTCTTTATTAGTCTTGCTAGTGGTCTATCAATTTTGTTGATCCTTTCAAAAAACCAGCTCCTGGATTCATTGATTTTTTGAAGGGTTTTCTGTGTCTCTATTTCCTTCAGTTCTGCTCTGATTTTAGTTATTTCTTGCCTTCTGCTAGCTTTTGAATGTGTTTGTTCTTGCTTTTCTAGTTCTTTTAATTGTGATGTTAGGGTGTCAATTTTAGATCTTTCCTGCTTTCTCTTGTAGGCATTTAGTGCTATAAATTTCCCTCTACACACTGCTTTGAATGCATCCCAGAGATTCTGGTATGTGGTGTCTTTGTTCTCGTTGGCTTCAAAGAACATCTTTATTTCTGCCTTCATTTCGTTATGTACCCAGTAGTCATTCAGGAGCAGGTTGTTCAGTTTCCATGTAGTTGAGCGGCTTTGAGTGAGATTTTTAATCCTGAGTTCTAGTTTGATTGCACTGTGGTCTGAGAGATAGTTTGTTATAATCTCTGTTCTTTTACATTTGCTGAGGAGAGCTTTACTTCCAAGTATGTGGTCAATTTTGGAATAGGTGTGGTGTGGTGCTGAAAAAAATGTATATTCTGTTGATTTGGGGTGGAGAGTTCTGTAGATGTCTATTAGGTCTGCTTGGTGCAGAGCTGAGTTCAATTCCTGGGTATCGTTGTTGACTTTCTGTCTCGTTGATCTGTCTAATGTTGACAGTGGGGTGTTAAAGTCTCCCATTATTAATGTGTGGGAGTCTAAGTCCTTTGTAGGTCACTGAGGACTTGCTTTATGAATCTGGGTGCTCCTGTATTGGGTGCATAAATATTTAGGATAGTTAGCTCCTCTTGTTGAATTGATCCCTTTACCATTATGTAATGGCCTTCTTT
The DNA here is from genome assembly GCF_000001405.40 of Homo sapiens. Taxonomy (NCBI): domain Eukaryota; kingdom Metazoa; phylum Chordata; class Mammalia; order Primates; family Hominidae; genus Homo; species Homo sapiens. Next base: position 84,610,698 of record NC_000006.12, on the reverse strand, counting down.
GTCTCTTTTGATCTTTGTTGGTTTAAAGTCTGTTTTATCAGAGACTAGGATTGCAACCCCTGCCTTTTTTTGTTTTCCATTGGCTTGGTAGATCTTCCTCCATCCTTTTATTTTGAGCCTATGTGTGTCTCTGCACGTGAGATGGGTTTCCTGAATACAGCACACTGATGGGTCTTGACTCTTTATCCAACTTGCCAGTCTGTGTCTTTTAATTGCAGAATTTAGTCCATTTATATTTAAAGTTAATATTGTTATGTGTGAATTTGATCCTGTCATTATGATGTTAGCTGGTGATTTTGCTCATTAGTTGATGCAGTTTCTTCCTAGTCTCGATGGTCTTTACATTTTGGCATGATTTTGCAGCGGCTGGTACCGGTTGTTCCTTTCCATGTTTAGCGCTTCCTTCAGGAGCTCTTTTAGGGCAGGCCTGGTGGTGACAAAATCTCTCAGCATTTGCTTGTCTATAAAGTATTTTATTTCTCCTTCAGTTATGAAGCTTAGTTTGGCTGGATATGAAATTCTGGGTTGAAAATTCTTTTCTTTAAGAATGTTGAATATTGGCCCCCACTCTCTTCTGGCTTGTAGGGTTTCTGCCGAGAGATCCGCTGTTAGTCTGATGGGCTTTCCTTTGAGGGTAACCCGACCTTTCTCTCTGGCTGCCCTTAACATTTTTTCCTTCATTTCAACTTTGGTGAATCTGACAATTATGTGTCTTGGAGTTGCTCTTCTCGAGGAGTATCTTTATGGTGTTCTCTGTATTTCCTGAATCTGAACGTTGGCCTGCCTTGCTAGATTGGGGAAGTTCTCCTGGATAATATCCTGCAGAGTGTTTTCCAACTTGGTTCCATTCTCCACATCACTTTCAGGTACACCAATCAGACGTAGATTTGGTCTTTTCACATAGTCCCATATTTCTTGGAGGCTTTGCTCATTTCTTTTTATTCTTTTTTCTCTAAACTTCCCTTCTTGCTTCATTTCATTCATTTCATCTTCCATTGCTGATACCCTTTCTTCCAGTTGATCACATCGGCTCCTGAGGCTTCTGCATTCTTCACGTAGTTCTCGAGCCTTGGTTTTCAGCTCCTTCAGCTCCTTTAAGCACTTCTCTGTATTGGTTATTCTAGTTATACATTCTTCTAAATTTTTTTCAAAGTTTTCAACTTCTTTGCCTTTGGTTTGAATGTCCTCCCGTAGCTCAGAGTAATTTGATCGTCTGAAGCCTTCTTCTCTCAGCTCGTCAAAATCATTCTCCATCCAGCTTTGTTCTGTTGCTGGTGAGGAACTGCGTTCTTTTGGAGGAGGAGAGGCGCTCTGCGTTTTAGAGTTTCCAGTTTTTCTGTTCTGTTTTTTCCCCATCTTTGTGGTTTTATCTACTTTTGGTCTTTGATGATGGTGATGTACAGATGGGTTTTCGGTGTAGATGTCCTTTCTGGTTGTTAGTTTTCCTTCTAACAGACAGGACCCTCAGCTGCAGGTCTGTTGGAATACCCTGCCGTGTGAGGTGTCAGTGTGCCCCTGCTGGGGGGTGCCTCCCAGTTAGGCTGCTCAGGGGTCAGGGGTCAGGGACCCACTTGAGGAGGCAGTCTGCCCGTTCTCAGATCTCCAGCTGCGTGCTGGGAGAACAACTGCTCTCTTCAAAGCTGTCAGACAGGGACACTTAAGTCTGCAGAGGTTACTGCTGTCTTTTTGTTTGTCTGTGCCCGGCCCCCAGAGGTGGAGCCTACAGAGGCAGGCAGGCCTCCTTGAGCTGTGGTGGGCTCCACCCAGTTCGAGCTTCCAGGCTGCTTTGTTTACCTAAGCAAGCCTGGGCAATGGCGGGCGCCCCTCCCCCAGCCTCGTTGCCGCCTTGCAGTTTGATCTCAGACTGCTGTGCTAGCAATCAGCGAGATTCCGTGGGCGTAGGACCCTCTGAGCCAGGTGTGGGATATAGTCTCGTGGTGCACCGTTTCTTAAGCCGGTCTGAAAAGCGCAATATTCGGGTGGGAGTGACCCGATTTTCCAGGTGCGTCCGTCACCCCTTTCTTTGACTCAGAAAGGGAACTCCCTGACCCCTTGCGCTTCCCAGGTGAGGCAATGCCTCGCCCTGCTTCGGCTCGCGCACGGTGCGCACACACACTGGCCTGCGCCCACTGTCTGGCACTCCCTAGTGAGATGAACCCGGTACCTCAGATGGAAATGCAGAAATCACCCATCTTCTGCGTAGCTCACGCTGGGAGCTGTAGACCGGAGCTGTTCCTATTCGGCCATCTTGGCTCCTCTCCCCTCACATTTCTCAACATAATTCTTATCTCCAGAAGAGTGAAGCACAGTATCTTACTTATATAATCATCAGTTATCTCATAAACTATTAAGTGCTCTTGGAAAAATTTATTAAATTTAAGCCTTAGATATTAAATGTAATTCATCAGACTCATGAATCTTAGTTCCTGGCTCAATACATTGACAATAGTATATAGGATACAAAGACAATGCTGAATTCCAGGGCTTTTATTTGATATTAAGACTTATAGTATCTACAATTACAGTTTTTCTCTTTTTTTCTCTTCAGAATATGAATAGCCATCTATAGCTGTTGATATAAATGCTTGTGTTTCCTTCCATTTTAAAGTCATTGTGCCATGAATGTAGGCAAATATCATTTCTAAAGTATTGGCTTTAGATGTAACACATTTGGGGGTAAAAGTAAACACTGCATGTGCCACTCTCCATTTCTCAAGAAGACAGCCTTAAGTGTGGAAGAGGAACTGATTCCCAGCAAATATCCTGGATTCGTTTTAGCATTTGACTGCCATTATGGAAGTCACCTTTCCACATGAAGGCATTGGTAAGATGGCACTCAAAAACTTCCCATTTTAACAAAAGTACCACCTCTTCTAAGTCTATTAAAAGAGCACTTGAACATCCAAAGGTTGGTGGCATTCCATTTTAAATACATTTTTCTTAAAAATTAAGAATTCAGAGTGACAAGATATGCTTTCACATCAATAATAAATTGTTTCATGCTTACATATATGCTTAACAGTTATCTTAACTCTTTGGCCAAGACCAGGGAACTGTGGGTCATGAGCAAAGTGTGTGTTGGGTGAGCAAACTAAAACCACCAAAAGTATTTCCATGGACTCGAAAACATTTTTGAGGGAACATTCAGAAATACACCTCATTTAAACCAGATCTTTTTCATTTTCAGTTTCCCTTTTTCCAAGTCATGGGATAAATTCTTTGATGGAACATACCAGGTTTGCACAGGCTAATGAAAAAGCCACATACACTTAACAAAAATTTGAGGCAAAACTCCTGGTTATGTTGTTCAAAGAAGACAAGAGACTTGCAGTTAGGTTCATTAATGTAAGTTAGGGTCTGGTTTCCTTTACTTCATGGCTACTAGAGGAAGATCGATCTCTATCCTTGCCTAGTAAAAATATCAGTTTATAATGAAAACATAACCCTTTGATGTATTTCTTTGTAGGATTTGCTTTCAGAAACTTTTGGTGCTTTGCCCTATCTTCTTCTATTAGTGCTTTTATCTAACCCCAAAAAGTCACCCACCAAAGCAGATGCTCTGAAGTCCCATAGGTTCCCATCAGTCCAGTAGAGAGGGCTGACATGACATATTAGTCTTAAATCTAAAACATATGCTTGGAAAATGCCCAGTTTCCTGGCAATAATTAAGAATGCTACTTGGCAGATTGGCAGCCACATAAAACAATCGTTAGTAAGCCTTATATTTATTATGTTCCCATTTTATGTAAATGAAACCCACATTACAAATATGGGTAGGAAACTAGACCCAAAATGATACACAGGGAGAATCAATTATGATGAAGATGAAAAGAACGTGGATAGTTTTTTAAAATTCATTTTTCTTATCCCAAAAGATCTCATCCTCCCACCAAAAAGAGCTACATCAAAACATTTTAAAATTTCTTTTGATTAACTTTTCAAATCATCTTGAATAAAACTTTCTTATAAGTCCTCATTTAGCAGTATGGCAGTTCTGGTTTACAATTAGTTAAGAAAAGATCCTGTAGTAACAGGAGACTTTTCCTTTATAAATGTTACTGTTGCAAAAAAAATCCAGATACTTAAGTATCCACTTCAAATATTTTGTGCATATATTATATATGTATATACACACATATATATTATATATATGTACAAACACACACATTTAGGAATGATATGCACTAAGATTATGAAAGTATAGCTACATTCCTTTTCTTTTTCATTTGATTTGATTTTATTTTTTTGAGACGGATTTTTGCTCTTGTCGCCCAGGCTGTAGTGCAGCGGCACGATCTCGGCTCACTGCAACCTCCGCCTCCAGGGTTCAAGCGAATCTCCTGCCTCAGCCTCCCAAGTAGCTGGGATTACAGGTGCCCGGCACCACGCCCAGCTAATTTTTTGCATTTTTAGTAGAGACGGGGTTTCGCCACCTTGGGCAGGCTGGTCTCGAACTCCTGACCTCAAGTGAGCCACCCGCCTCGGCCTCCCAAAGTGCTCGGATTACAGCCATAAGCCACCATGCCCGGCCGACATTTCGTATTAAAATACTGATATAATTCTGAACTAAATGGAAAATACCCACTGCACCAAGTCTCTCATGTGTAATTCTATCTCTTTCCTTGGGACCCCCTTGGACCTCCCTATAGTAAAGCAACTAAATGGTTAAGAGCCTGGGATCCTTCTCCATTGTCCTTTCTGTACAGTGGGTGCCTGTGTTGTACTACTTCTTATATATTTTGAAAATCACTTCTGCACATATGTTTTGGGTCCCTGTACATGACATGTTTAAGGAAGCCCTATAATCCAAACAGCAATACTTTGTAGTGTTGAAGCTGCATGGTCAAGAAGGCTATAAAACTAGCCAACCAGCAGCAAGCAGGCAAAAACCAAACCTACATAATTTTGGTTATGAATACATGTTCTACAAAATGCCTGGACATTTTCCTCCTAAAGAAATAAGGTAAAGGTACTGTAGACTTCATGAAAGAAATTCAGGTAGATTCTACTTCCAAAACTGTTGGAAAAAGTGACTTTCAGCATGAAGTTAATGTGGGACAAAAAATATAGCAGGCACACTTTGCCATGGTGCATCTTCCATCTATAAAAATGAAAAAAAAAAAGTTTTCATTCTACATTTGCCAAGTTCGATGTGAAATAAACCAGGCCATCTAAGCAATAACATTTACTTTGTTTTCTAGACTGCTGATGCTAGGCAAAAAATTTCTCTTTGTTACAAAGTTCAAATTCCAAATAAAGTCCAGGGATGGGGAATTCAGGAGTCTCCAGAGGAAATGTTTAAAATTAGAATCATCTTAGAAATATGTTAGACACAAAATATGACAGTAATTGTTTTCTTTTTATCTTTAACTTTTGTGTTTTTATTTTCTGATTTGTCAATATTTTCATTGTAAATTTTAGTGTACACTTTCCAATTTAAATCATAGTTTATACATTATTAAACAAGAATACTAATGATATTCATTCACTCTTTGATTCTACATATATTTATTGATTCTGCTTTGGAGTTTTACTTGGCTTGTTAGAATAGTCTTCCAACTTTAGAGACAAGTGCATTTAATAAGGAATCAGTAATTACATTGAACAACCATATGTTGTGCCCAGTCTTTTGTCACATAGTAAGTAGTCAGTAATTCAATTAAGTGGTTTGTCATTTATCAGTGATTTTTTTGTCTAAGCATTTTATATATATATATATATAAATATATATATATTTATTATACTTTAAGTTCTAGGGTACACGTGCGCAACGTGCAGGTTTGTTATATATGTATACATGTGCCATGTTCGTGTGCTGCACCCATTAACTCGTCATTTACATTAGGTATATCTCCTAGTGCTATCCCTCCCCCCTCCCCCCACCCCAAAACAGGCCTAGGTGTGTGATGTTCCCCTTCCTGTGTCCAAGTGTTCTCATTGTTCAATTCCAACCTATGAGTGAGAACATACGGTGTTTAGTTTTTTGTCCTTGCGATAGTTTGCTGAGAATGATGGTTTCCAGCTTCATCCATGTCCCTACAAAGGACATGAACTCATCATTTTTTATGGCTGCATAGTATTTCATGGTGTATATGTGCCACATTTTCTTAATCCAGTCTATCATTGTTGGACATTTGGGTTGGTTCCAAGTCTTTGCTATTGTGAGTAGTGCCCCAATAAACGTACATGTGCATGTGTCTTTATAGCAGCAAGATTTATATTCCTTTGGGTATATACCCCGTAATGGGATGGCTGGGTCAAATTGTATTTCTAGTTCTAGATCCCTGAGGAATCACCACACTGACTTCCACAATGGTTGAACTCATTTACAGTCCCACCAACAGTGTTAAAGTGTTCCTATTTCTCCACATCCTCTCCAGCACCTGTTGTTTCCTGACTTTTTAATGATCTCCATTCTAAATGGTGTGAGATGATATCTCATTGTAGTGTTGATTTGCATTTCTCTGATGGCCAGTGATGATGAGCATTTTTTCATGTGTCTGTTGGCTGCATAAATGTCTTCTTTTGAGAAGTCTCTGTTCATATCCTTCACCCACTTGTTGATGGAGTTGTTTGATTTTTTCTTGTAAATTTATTTAAGTTCATTGTAGATTCCGGATATTAGCCCTTTGTCAGATGAGTAGGTTGCAAAAATTTTCTCCCATTCTTTAGGTTGCCTGTTCACTCTGATGGTAGTTTCTTTTGCTGTGCAGAAGCTCTCTAGTTTAATTAGATCCCATTTGTCAATTTTGGCTTTTGTTGCCATTGCTTTTGGTGTTTTAGATATGAAGTCCTTGCCCATGCCTATGTCCTGAATGGTATTGCCTAGCTTTTCTTCTAGGGTTTTTATGGTTTTAGGTCTAACGTTTAAGTCTTTAATCCATCTTGAATTAATTTTTGTATAAGGTGTAAGGAAGGGATCCAGTTTCAGCTTTCTACATATGGCTAGCCAGTTTTCCCAGCACCATTTATTAAATAGGGAATCCTTTCCCCATTGCTTGTTTTTGTCAGCTTTGTCAAAGATCAGATAGTTGTAGATATGCAGCATTATTTCTGAGGGCTCTGTTCTGTTCCATGGATCTATATCTCTGTTTTGGTACCAGTACCATGCTGTTTTGGTTACTGTAGCCTTGTAGTATAGTTTGAAGTCAGGTAGTGTGATGCCTCCAGCTTTGTTCTTTTGGCTTAGGATTGACTTGGTGATGCGGGCTCTTTTTTGGTTCCATATGAACTTTAAAGTAGTTTTTTCCAATTCTGTGAAGAAAGTCATTGGTAGCTTGATGGGGATGGCATTGAATCTATAAATTACCTTGGGCAGTATGGCCATTTTCACGATATTGATTCTTCCTACCCAGGAGCATGGAATGTTCTTCCATTCGTTTGTATCCTCTTTTATTTCATTGAGCAGTGGTTTGTAGTTCTCCTTGAAGAGGTGTTTCACATCCCTTGTAAGTTGGATTCCTAGGTATTTTATTCTCTTTGAAAAAATTGTGAATGGGAGTTCACTCATGATTTGGCTCTCTGTTTGTCTGTTATTGGTGTATAAGAATACTTGTGATTTTTGCACATTGATTTTGTATCCTGAGACTTTGCTGAAGTTGCCTATCAGCTTAAGGAGATTTTGGGCTGAGACAATGGGATGTTCTAGATATACAATCATGTCATCTGCAAACAGGGACAATTTGACTTCCTCTTTTCCTAATTGAATACCCTTTATTTCCTTCTCCTGCCTAATTGCCCTGGCCAGAACTTCCAACACTATGTTGAATAGGAGTGGTGAGAGAGGGCATCCTTGTCTTGTGCCAGTTTTCAAAGGGAATGCTTCCAGTTTTTGCCCATTCAGTATGATATTGGCTGTGGGTTTGTCATAGATAACTCTTATTATTTTGAGATATGTCCCATCGATACCTAATTTATTGAGAGTTTTTAGCATGAAGGGCTGTTGAATTTTGTCAAAGGCCTTTTTTGCATCTATTGAGATAATCATGTGGTTTTTGTCTTTGGTTCTGTTTATATGCTGGATTACGTTTATTGATTTGCGTATGTTGAACCAGGCTTGCATCCCAGGGATGAAGCGCACTTGATCATGGTCGATAAGCTTCTTGATGTGCTGCTGGATTGGGTTTGCCAGTATTTTATTGAGGATTTTTGCATGGATGATCATCAGGGATATTGGTCTAAAATTCTCTCTTCTTGTTGTGTCTCTGCCAGGCTTTGTTATCAGAATGATGCTGGCCTCATAAAATGAGTTAGGGAGGATTCCCTCTTTTTCTATTGATTGGAATAGTTTCAGAAGGGATGGTACCAGCTCCTCCTTGTACCTCTGGTAGAATTCGGCTGTGAATCCGTCTGGTCCTGGACTTTTTTTGGTTGGTAAGCTATTAATTATTGCCTCAATTTCAGATCCTGTTATTAGTCTATTCAGAGATTCAACTTCTTCCTGGTTTAGTCTTTGGAGGGGTGTATGTGTCAAGGAATTTATCATTTATCGGTGATTTTTAAACAAGAGTTAGTGAGTTTTAATCATGATTTAGAGGCCCTAAAGAACTTTACTGACAATTATAATGAGTAAAGCAAATGATGATAGTGGTATAATTTTGTGGTTAAGCACAGGAGCTCTGAAGGTTAAAAAAAACAACAATAAACAAACAGAAATTCCTTAGATTTAATCATGACTGACAGAGTGACTAACTTACTAACCTATGACCATGTACCAATTATTTTAACCTCTCTATGTCTCAGTTTCCTTAGCTATGAACTGGGGTATAGATAAAATAGAATAATGTATGTGTGTGACATATAAATAAATAAATAACATTATTAGTAGTCATAGTACTAGTAATTGTTATTATAAACTATAAAGACAGATCTTCTGAGAGTTATGAAAGCAAATTTTTTATTAGATGAGATAAAAACTTAGTTTAACAACCAGAATATAATCTCAACTCTAGGATATTTTTCACCAATTTGGAAGAACAATTAACTTTTTGTTCTAATCACTTCCTCTTATCACTATCAGTGAGAGAGGGATTCCCACTTTAGATAAATGGGAATGCCCAAACACAACACCCAACATTGGAGAGATGAGATCAACAGCAGTTTGTTAGTCACATATATTCACCGCCCAGGGGAGGAAGACACCACACTTCCTGCAGAGCCACATGGCGGTTGCACTCAGGAACAGGATGAACAGCCAAGGGCTGTTTTGTAGTATCAAGAGGGTGAGATGCCCTCTGGTTTGTGCAGGAGGATGTGATTGACTTGTTTGAGTAATTCCTTAGACTGGCAACGAATTGAAACCCACTACTCAGGAATAAGCAGGAACTGTGCCTAGTCCCCTTGATAAGGAGGATTGTTTGCCTAGGAGTCCTCATCTGTGGGAAGACAGTACAGAGAGGACTTGCAATTAGGCCAGAAAAGGCCTTTCTGATTGCACCAGATGTCAAGGCAGCACATAACATTGGGCTTTAATTTTGGCTCTATTATACATCACATCTCTTCTCAATATAGTCTTTATTCTAAATAAAGAGTTTTTTTTTTTTTTTTTAAGAAAACCTTAGAGATACTCAGTTAAGTTGACTCAGTGTTGTTAGGTTCAGGAGTTTTGAAGATCTGCTGAGATCACTCCTCTAGGCATTGCTAAGCCTGACTTATGGGATGGAAGACTTCATCCACAGTTATGTCAACATGCTTTGGAGTGAGATGGAGACTTGGCCGTTGACTAGATATATTGGGGTGTGGTAAGGTAACTGGGTCAGAAAACCCAGGTTCACAGATAGGCAAATACTCTGCTTGCACTCTGATTAATTCAGATCACCTATCTTCTGGGTAATTACATGGTTACATGATCAATATTTATATCAGGACACAGAGAAGGAAACAATAGACGCCAAAACCTACTAGAGAGTGGAGTGTGGGAGGAGGGTGAGGATTGCAGAACTACCTATCGAGTACTATGCTGACTACCTGGGTGACAAAACTATCTGTACATCAAACCCCTACAGCACACAATTTACCCATGTAACAAACCTGAACATATATCCCCTGGACCTAAAATGAAGATCGGAAAGAATATATAAATATATAAATATTTGTGTATGTATATTCTTATATATATAGTCTCTATATAGATATTCCTCTATATATTATATATAGTATAAATATTCTTATATATTATATGTTATTTATATATTCTTATATAATTTCTTTATATGTAAAAAAGAATATATATTAACTATATATAAATAATATATTATATATAAATAAAGAATACATATATTTTTCCAATCTTTAACTAAATATTTATATATATATACAATTTTGTGGTTTACAGACTGGCTCTACCTCATTGGCTTCTCAGCCAGCTATATCTAGATGGCAGAAGAGCAAAGAACTAATTGCTTTCTCCATTTTGTTATCTCATGACTTTAAAAATGTGCTTTCCCATAGGGAATATTCTCTGCTTCAGTGAGTCAAAGGTTGGGTGTCCTCATTATACTGTTATTTAGGGAGACGTCCAAAACTAACCATACTTTTCCTAATGACCAGTACATTGTAGTTGTTTCTTTTATCAAGTATTTCCATTTTTAAAGGATGAAATGTTTTGAATGGCCAAGATATCACTGGGTGTTCATTTTTCTTGTGTAAGTATTGTTTCTCCTGGGTATATAAATATGGTGAGATTTTTAGCTTGTCCTAGAGTTCTTGAAAAACACAGTGTTTACATCTTAAGTATGAACACTAATTCTCCAGTCCTCAGAAACTCTCCTGAAAACTTCTTTCAAGAGATCAACACAGAGCAGCTCAGTGTGCATGTGTGCAGAGGCCATGCCTCATAATTTAAAAGCCAATGGGTTATATTCTTTCTCTTCTTTCTACTGCTCTCAAGATTAGGCTTTGGGAGTTTATATTTTTATTAGTATATCCATAAAAGATTTTGTAGGAGACATGAAGAAAAGAAAAAATTAAAAACCATTTATTTTACTATCTTAGCAACCCTGGTTTACAAAAAATGTAAGAAGAGAAAATTTAAAATGAGAAATGATGGATTATTGTGGAATTCAGTTATATGTTCTAACCCTGCATCATAAATATATGATAGAGCTAGCTCTATGGTACTCTGTTATTTATAAAGTGGTACATGGCAGATAAGAAGGGGTAAGAATGTATATAGTGTTTTATTTTCAGATTGACTTAAATTAATTGATACTAAAATTAATTAAATAATATTTCACACTAATATAATCACTAGCACTAAAAATGTGTTGTGCTACATATACAACATTAGTTGTAGACTCTAGTTAAATATATATTATTTTACTTAACTTCAAAAATTTTGGTGTTATTTGACTAGGTATGCAACCTAATTTCTTTGACTCTCAATTATAATTCAAGTGAGGGACTGTAGGATTCTATGAATTAACAAATAACCCAAAATGGCATATTTTAAGAGCTAAAATAATAGGAGCCAAGCTAAATATTGTTTTCTAGCTTATAAATGCAATAGGATTTCAGATAAATATTCAAGAAAGGCCTCAATGAAAAATAGTAAAACATCCTGGAATTTGAATGCTGTAACTTAATCTTTGTATCAATCATAGAGTAATCAGGGAAACAAAGAATTTTGAGTATTTACAACACAGGGGCTTTAATGTAGAGATTGATTCCATGGGTGATGGGATATCTGAGAAATTAAACAGGTGATGGCAAGGTAATCAAAGTTGGACAATAGCAAGAAGGCATTACCATGTATAGGCCAAAGACATAAAGGAAGGAAGGGCAATTAATGTTGCTCAGGACCAGGGACACCTGGTGAAAGATGGAATCATAACAAGGAGCAGGAGCTGGGGTTGATAGCCACTATGGAGTCACCACCAGAGGCACAAAAGGAGAAATAGTCTGGATTCTCCCTTCCTTGCCTTCCAATCTCTGATTCCGCTCCCTATTTGTCAAACCCCTTTAGAAACCAGCTTATATGGGAGCTAGAAATATGCCCTGAAAGAGCCAGCACTCCTCTTCCTCTACTCCATCTTCTCTCCCCTTCCAAATCCCACAATACAGAGGAGAGCAGGAGAAGAACAAAAAAATGAACCTAATGACAAAGGTCTTAGGACTGGAACTAGCATAATTGCTAAATTTTCATTCTCAAAAATCTAGTGTTCTCATCAGCACATAAAATGCCTAATTGTGAACTTTTCATCAGAAAATTATATAGCAATATTATGTACATTTTTCTAGAAATAGCTGGAAAAAATTTTTCAAGCTGTATTGTCTTGAGGAAAATATTGTGAGTTATGTCATCTTCTGGGTGCTTGATGCAGGTCTGTACATTGTAATAGTGTTATATCATCCTAGTAGTTGGGAGAGGAGTGCACTGTAATATTCTTTATTAAGTCTATTAAGTCTTTTGCTTTATAAAGCTCAATTATTTTCATACAAAGTAAATATAATAATTTTTTAATTAAACATGCATCTTGACCATGACCCATTGCCTCTGAAATGCATGAAATTCATCAGTTTATTTCTGAAACACTAACCTCTTCACTTGACAGATATCTATCTATCTATTTATCTATCTATCTATCAATCATCTATCTATATATATCTATCGAGATAAAGCTCTCCATCTTTCTATATATTGTAAGACTCGTTTATTGAGATTCTTAAAAATTCTTTTTCATTGGGCCTAAAATGCTAAAAAGGATTTCTTTAGATCCAGTATGGAGCATTTGATGTCCTTTCACTCAATTTCTTCTCTTAACTGCAGAATATTATTTCACTGAATCTTTTACTTAACAAGATGTTTCATAATAGTTCTATAAATTAGATTACATCTATACGTCCCTTTGCTGGACTCCTCTGATTTGTGTTTTGTACTCTGCTTATATCAGAAATGCCATGTTGGGAAGCTTAAGTAGAAAAAGAGCTTGAAAGAAGAATGCCACCAGTGAAAATGTTGAGAAGCTGTGTAATACAATGGAGAAAGAAAGTACAAACTCTAGGCTGGGAGTGAGGAAGCCCACATCAGGTGACACAGTCTGGAAGCTTAAGCAAGTCACATATTTTCTCTTAGTTTCAGTTTCCTTATTTATAAAATAAAAAGAATGGAATATAGAAGACTGAGTTGACATATTTTATCAATTACCTACACATACTGAATAAAATATAACCAAGGACAATCTTATAGAACAAAACTGGAAATACTCAGGAATCAGAACTCAAAGCCTGAGTGATAAGTAGTGCTGAGTCAGTGGTCGCCCGTGAGGTTGTACGACTTAGACATTGTGTGCAGGCTGGGGGCAGTTTCTTAAAGCTGTAAAGGAGCCTCATTATAAAGACAGGGCCTCAAAGGATTTCTTCTCTGAAAAACAGGGACTAGAAAAACTCCACTCATAGTTCAGGATCTACAGGAAACTTCTACTAGAGCCCTAAGTAGAAATAATATATACATAAAATATCAGAAACCCAATTGTGACTCTTGAGTATATTCAAGATTGGTATTCATACTACTCCTGTGATACAGGAAGCCCATGAAGATAATTTAAATCAGAAACTTGTTTGGAACCAGTAACATTCCTAGGGCCCCATGGATGTACCCAGACTGCTACAAATAACAATAAAACTAACAAACAAATGACAATACTCTACCATGAGGGAGAGTCATAAGATGTTACAACCAGAAGAATCATAGCTCCAAAAATGGTAAATAATATAAAAAATACAAAAAGTAAGAATTACATAGTGCTGTTTTTACTGTATCCCATAAGATTTTATGTTGTATTTTCATTTCCATTTGTCTCAGTATTTAAAAAATTCCTCTTTAAGTTTTGTTTTTTGCCCAATAATTCTTCAAGAATTATTTAGTTTAACTATTTAGTTTCCACCTACTTGTAAATTTTCCCATTTTCTCACTCTTATTCATTACAAGTTTCATTTCATTGTGATCTGAAAATACACTTGAAATTGTTTTTGTCTTAAATTTGTTAAGACTTGTTTGTGGCCTGTCATGTGATCAATCCCAGAGAATGTGCTGTGCGCACCTGAGAAGAATGTGTGTTCTGCTGTTAAATGGAATGTTATGTGTATATCTGCAGTTCCATTTGGTTTATATTTGTTTCCAAGGCAGTTGTTTATTAATTTTCTGTCTTAATGTTCTATCCATTATTGAAAGTAGGTTATTGACCAGGCATGGTGGCTTATGCCTGTAATCCCAGCACTTTGGGGACTGAGGTGCCTCGATCCTTTGAGCTCAGGAGTTTGAGACCAGTCTGAGCAACACTGTGAAACCCTTGGGAGGCTGAGGCGGGCAGATCATGAGGTCAGGAGTTTGAAACCAGCCTGGCCAAGATGGTGAAACCCCGTCTCTACTAAAAATACAAAAATTAGCTGGGCTTGGTGGTGGGCGCCTGTAATCTCGCTACTCTGGAGGCTGAGGCAGGAGAATCGCTTGAAACCAGGAGGCAGAGGTTGCAGTGAGCCGAGATCGCACCACTGCACTCTAGACTGGGTGACAGAGCAAGACTCCATCTAAAAACAAGCAAAAAACAAACAAAAAAATCAGCCAGTCATGGAGGCACACAACTGTAATCTCAGCTACTTGAGAGGCTGAAATGGGAAGATCACTTGAGCCTCACAGGTTGAGGCTGCAGTGACCCATGTTTACACCACTGCACTCCAGCCTGGGTGACAAAGCGAGATCCCGGTTTTTTAAAAAAGTGGGGTATTAGAGTCTCCTACTATTTGGTATTACTTTTATTTTCTCCATTCAGATAAGTCAATATTTGTTTTATATATTTAGATGATCTGGGTTTGGATGCATATTTATCTTTTTTTTTTTTTTTTTTTGAGACGGAGTCTCGCTCTGTAGCCCAGGCTGGACTGCAGTGGTGCGATCTCGGCTCACTGCAAGCTCCACCTCCCAGGTTCACGCCATTCTCCTGCCTCAGCCTCCCTAGTAGCTGGGCCTACAGGCACCCGCCATCACGCCCGGCTAAATTTTTCGTATCTTTAGTAGAGACGGGGTTTCACCGTCTTAGCCAGGATGGACTCGATTTCCTGACCTCATGATCTGCCCTTCCCCGCCTCCCAAAGTGCTGGGATTACAGGCTTGAGCCACCACGCCCGGCCGGATGCATATATATCTTTACTTGGTAACATCTTCCTGTTGAATCAATACTTTTATCATTATATAATGATCTTCATTCCTAGAGACAGATTAAAGTCTATTTTGTCTAGTATGACTATAGCCACTTTACTTTCTTTTGGCTACCATTTGTGTCAAACATCTTTGTCCATCCCTTCATTTTCAGGCTATGTGTGTGAAATCTAAAGTGAGACTTGTGGACAGCAAATTGTCAGGTCTAATTTTTAAAAATCCATTCAACCACTCTAAGTCTTTTGCCTAAGGAGTTGAATCTATTTACATTTAAAGAATTATTGAAAGGTGAGGACTTACTACTATAAGTCAAAAATAATTTTCTGTTTTGCTATTGTTTCATTTTCCACTAACTTTCTTGCTGCCTTCCTTCGTTATTTGATAATTTTTTGTAATGATTTTATTTCATTTTTTGCTTTTTGTATTTTCAGTATCTATTATAGGCTTTTTCTTTGTAGTTTCCATAGGCTTGCATAAAATATCTAGTAGTTATAATCATCTACTTTAAGTTGACAACAACTTGACTTCAATTGCATATAATACTATACTTTTAATGCCCCTTCACATGTTGCTTTCTTGTAGTTAGAGTATAATCCATTTTATATTGTGTATTCATTAAGAAATTTTTATAAATATAGTTATTCTTAATGGGTGATGATTCAGTATAATTCAAGTGGGGTAAAAACCATTTCTCCTTCATAATGGACTCAAAGAATGAATGGCTGGGTTTAGCTAAATACATACCAACCAGGGGATTACATGTGGAAATAACACTCAAGAGCATTTGCCTGGTTGGGAGGCAGGTTATAAGATTCAGTAGGGGAGAATTGTAAATTACCAGTAGTCTTTGCCTAATTACAGAACCACTCTAGGGTGATGGAGTAGGATGGAGCTATTGTTCACATAATGGCATGAATTCTCAATTCTCCAGTCAAAAAAACTGTCTCAACTCTTTCATTTACTTTGTAGTCTCTATCAGATGCATCTTCCTGAAAACCTTCAAAGTGAATAATTGGTTATTTTATTAATAATATTACCCAAATTGGTAAGGAAGGTGAACATGCAGAAAGATGATTATGAGGTCATGTCTACGAGCTACTAACCTACAAAACAAATAGTCTTTTGAATGCTATGCAGATGGGTTTATAGTCTTGGTAACATCAGATAGGAGAAGTTTTCCCTAAGCTCCAAACTCAAATGTTGGACACGTTAGTCCTAAAGTGTAGTGAATCTGTGAACTATAGCTGTCTAAGTGCAAATAGCTATAACCAGCATTATGTAGAAGTTAAATAAAACGTTATTTTCAACAAGTGGTTTCAAGACTCTGAAAAACCTCCATGTACCCATCAAACTCTCCCATCACTGGAATATCTGATTGCTGAGATTGTACTATTAAAGATTCATTTTGTGGTTTGAGTTCCTTCACTGCCAAAATGCAAAAAGTCTTCAGGAAGTGAATTCATTAAGCATCATCAGTTATTAAAATCTTAATAGGAATGAGAGTGCAGGACCAGCTCTATACAGGCATACCTTATTTGATTGTGCTTTACTTTATTGCACTTTGCAGATATTGCATTTTTAACAAATTGAAGGTTTGTGGTAACCCTGGGTGGAGCAAGACTATTGGCAAAATTTTTCTAACAGCACATGCTTACTCTGTCTCTATGTCACATTTTCATAATTCTTGCAATATGTCAGACGTTATATGTGCTATGGTTAACTTTGATCAATGATCTTTGATGTTACTATTGTAGTTGTTTTGGGGTACCACAAAGCACACTCATAAGAAAACAGTGAAATTAATCAATAAATGTTGTGTGTTCTAACTACTCCACTAACTGGCCACTTCCCCATCTCTTGCCCTCTCTTCGTGCCTCTCTATTCCATGACACACAAGAATATTGAAATTAAGCCAATTAATAATTCTACAATGGCCTCTAAAGTTCAAGTGCAAGGAAGAGTTGCATATACTTCCTTAAATCAAAACCTATAAATGGTTAAACTTAGGGAGGGGAGCAAGTCAAAAGCTGAGACAGGCAAAAGCTAACCCTCTTGACCAAACAACCAGGCTATGAATACAAATGAAAACTTCTTGAAGAAAATTAAAAGTGCTATTCCAGAGAACACATGAATGATAAGAAAGCAAAACAGCCTTATTGCTGATATGGATGAAGTTTTAGTGGTCTTGAGGTAGGAAGCAGGTCTCAACTCTGGAGGTGGGGCTTGGACACTGGACCAAACTGAGGACTAGCTAAAACAGGACAAGGTAGAAGAAGCTTTCCATAAGACATATGCCCCAGTATGCCTTTTCAGTTTACCATTGCTGGGGATACACCTGGAAGTTACCACCACTTTCCATGGCAACAATACAATGACCCAAAAGTCACCACCATTTCTCTAGAAATTTCTGCATAACCTTCCCCTTAATTTGCATATAATTAAAAGTGGGTATAAATATGACTGCAGAACAACCTTTGAGTTTCTACTCTAGGCACACTGCCTATGGGGTAGCCCTTCTCTGCAAGGAGCAGTACCTCTGCTACTGTTGTACACTGCAGCGTCAATAAAAGTTGCTAACACCACCAGGGCTCACCCTTGCATTCTTTCCTGGGTGATGCTAAGAACCCTCCCAGGCTAAGTGACAGTTTGGGGCTTACCTGTCCTGCATCAGTATGGATAGAAGATCACACCAGCTACAATACTGTCTTAAGCCAAAGGCTAATGCACAGCAAGACCCTAACTCTTCAATCCTATGAAGCCTGGGAGAGTTGAAGAAGCTGCAGAAGAAACACTGGACGCTAGCAAAGATTGGTTCATGAGGTTTAAGGAAAGACACCATCCCCAAAATATGAAAGTACAAAGTGAAGCAGCAAGTACTGATGGAGAAGCTGCAGTAAGTTATATAGAAGATCTAGCTATGGTAGTTAATTAAGGTGGCTACACCAAACAAGAGATTTTTAATGTAAACAAAACAACATTCTACGGAAGAAGATATCATGTAGGACTTCTGTAGCTACAGAGGAGAACTCAGTGCTTGGCCTGAAAGCTTTAAAGGACAGGCTGACTTTCTTGTTAGGGGTTAATGCAGCTGGTGACTTCATTTGAAGCCAAAGCTCATTCCATTCCAAAAACCATTCCAAAAATCCTAGGGCCCTTAAGAATTATACTAAATCTACTCTGCCTGTGCTCTATAAATAGAAAAACAAAGCCTGGATGACAGCATATCAGTTTAGAGCATAGTTTAATGAGTATTTTAAGTCCACTTTTGAGACCTGCTGCTCATGAAAAAAAGGTTTCTTTCAAAATATTACTGCTCATTGACAATGTTCTGGGTCACCCAATAGCTCTGATGGAGATGTACAAGGAGATTAATGTTGTTTTCATCAGTGGTAACACAGCGTTCAGACTTCAGCCCATGGATCAAGGAGTAATTTTAATTTCCAAGTCTTATTATTTAAGAAATAATTTTGTAAGTCTGTAGCTCCCATACATAGTGATTACTGTGATGCATCTGGGCAAAATGCAACAAAAACCTTCTGGAAAGAATTCATCATTCTAGATGCTATTAAGAACATCCATGGTTCTTGATAGGAGTTCAAATTATCAACATTAATAGGAGTTTGGAAGAAGTTGATTCCAAACCTCATGGATGACTTTGAAAGGTTCAAGACTTTAGTGGAGAAAGTAACTGCAGATGGAGTGGAAATAGCAAGAGAACTAGCATTAGAAATAGAGCACGAAGATGTAACTGAAATGCTGCAATTTCGTGACAAAATTCAAATGGATGAGGAGTTGTTTATTGATATGGAATCTCCTCCTGGTGAAAATGCTGTGAACATTGTAGGAATGATGACAAAGAATTTAGAATATTGCATAAGCTTAATTGATAAAGCAGCAGCAGAATTTGAGAGGATTGCCTCCAATTTTGAAAAGCTTTATTGTAGGTGAAATGCTCTCAAACAATATCGTATGCTACAGATAAATCTTTCATGAAAGGAAGCATCAATCAATGGAGAAAACTTCATTGTTGTCTTATTTTAAGAAATTGCCATAGCCACCCCAACCTTCAGCAACTTCCATTCTGATTAGTCAGCAGCAATCAACACTGAGGCAAGATTCTCCATCAGCAAAATATTACGATTCACTGAAGGCTTAGACGATCATTAGCATTTTTTAGTAATAAAGTATTTTTAAATCAAGGTATGTACATTGGTTTTGTTAGACATAATGCTATTGCCCACTTACTAGACTACAGTATGGTGTAAACCTAAGTTTTATATGGATTGAGAAGCCAAAAAATTCTTGTGACTTGCTTTATTGTGATATTAACTTTATTGCAGTGGTTTGGAACTGAACCTGTGATATCTCTGAGGTGTGGCAATATTATACTTATAGAAATGATCAATTTTATGGTCTTTAAAACTTAGGTATCCTATGTACTCAATAATTTCATTATTTAAAAGAAATCTTGCTGAAAATTCATTTTAGGGTTTTATGTATCGAGAACTCAGATAATATTTACATGTTTTAATCTGGCTTCAATATTCCTTTAGATTATTTGTTAATGAGGCAAATACTGGAAATACTAAAAAAATACACACGAATGTGGTTAGTCCTAGAGTTGCACACACATGCAAGATGCATTCCTGTGTTTACAGCAATTAAAGTTCATAGCAATTACTTTTAGTAAAGATTTTTTTTGCCTTTCATTACAAATTTGATTAGGTTGAACAAGTGAAAGTCATAGATAATCTACCTTTCTTAAATAGTTTGAGATTTAATGCTTACATTCTGCAAATATAACATATTTGAAAGCAAAAATCATCTTAAAATATATTTACCTGAACTTACTTTAGTATTAAGTTTAGCTTTAAATTAAAATTTTAGTTTGATTTAAGCATTATTCCCCATTCAAAATTAAAATATCTTATAGGAGATAGAACACCTTAAAACATATAATTGAGTTGAAAACAGAAAAAAATAAAGAAGAAAATTATGTATAATATCCTCACTGAAAAAAAAAATCAGTTAGCATTTTGCAGTACCAGTTTGTGTTCTTCTAGCTTTTTCTCATATGCATATATATAAAAACATAGCTACAATCAAAGAGTAAACTGAAATTTTATATTAATTCTTCACTGAATCTCCTAAGAAGAGCAATTTTTCATGTTTTACTTGGGCTTTGTATCTGTAATTTTAATTAATAACAAAATATTGCCATGAATTTCTTAAAAATTCCCCTCTGGTTTTAATATATAGTATTTAAATGCCAACTTTCAATTTATAAATGGTGATGTGGTTATGTTCATGAATGTACCTTTTGTACAAATCTATGGTAGATTTTTAAGAAATAAAATTGAGTCAGAAAAAATGTGAGCATCTTTTAAATCTCTTGATACATATTGTCAATTTTCTTTACAAAAGTTTAATTTTACCAACTTAGGCACAGTAATGTTTAAGAACTGTCACCATATTACCAGTGTTCATTAAGTATAGTTTACTCTTTTTCTGATCACCATCATTATCAGTAATCTCTGGGAACAAAGGGTTAAAAGGTCAAGAACCTCTGAAGAAATTCTGGAACTTAATGATAGAGAAATATTTTTTACCATTCCTTCCTTCCTTTTTCCTTCTTTCTTTTATTTCCTTTTCTCTTTTCTTTTTTGTGGCAATAAAGGATTGTAATTTCTCCTTTCCTTATCTGAGGTGAATGAAATGTGATTAATCTATTAAAGAAATGTCTTGCTACCAAATCTGTCAGTCAAAGCTGAAGTAACCTCCATTTAAAAGTCCACCCTCTAGAAAATCAGTTTTTTTCATTATTGTTCTTATCAATGTGCTTTGAATTGCAGTACCATTAAAAATATAATCTATGTTTACTAAGTGAGTCTATTGGTCTGCAGGCAGTTTTCTGTAAGCATATACCCAGGATTCTGTCTGTTGACCATAGTTTGCTGATTGAGCCAGATTCTAACTGAATTTCTCAGTATGGTACTGTCATTGTGTCATAACAGAGCTACTGCTACTTGGTTGTTGCTTTTAGAAGGGCTAACACATGCCATTAGCAGCTTCTGATCACTAATTGGGATTTCTTCTCCTAATCTTTAGAGTTTATTTCTTTTCCCTTAGGACACTAGATTTCTTTATCTCTACTTTCTGCCCTTTCTTGAAGAAATGCTTGCTTTTCCTTTCCTTTTTTTTTTTTTTTTTTTTAATTAGCAGACAGCTGGCCTCTGCTACTCCTTTCCCTGTATTCCAACCCCAGATCCATCATTTACTAATGGCATAACCTATGCAAGGTTAAGTTTTTCATTTAGGTTTCCCAATCTATAAAATAGAAATTATGTTATCTATTACATAGAGTTGTTGTGAGTGGAGAAGTTCTGCATCTTATTCTCTAAATTCATGCAAGAATTTAACTCTATTTTCTATAAATCATATTAATTTCTCACTCTAAGCCTCACTGCCTGGCAGGTAGTGAATCTCAACCCAGTTATTATTGGACCCACTCAGGCCAGAACTGCAAAGGCTTCCATATTGTCTGGAAAATGGGGAAGGCAGAATAGACCACTAAGTCTTCAAGATCTCGTTGGTATGTCTGACATCCTCTATGTATAAACCAACACTGATGCCTGGAACACAGCAGCCCTCTAGTTTCGTGCCAAGCTTATGATCCAGTAATCTTTGGCAAGCTAGGGACCAGTACCTGCAGTCATCTTAGACGTAACCCAGAGCTATTTCTCCTCCTTGTGGCTTCTGCCCTGGACAAGGTCCCTTTGTGTCCAGAATTGGTGGGTTCTTGGTCTCACTGACTTCAAGAATGAAGCCACGGACCCTCACGGTGAGTGTTACAGCTCTTAAGGTGGCGCGTCTGGAGTTTGTTCCTTCTGATGTTCGGATGTGTTCGGAGTTTCTTCCTTCTGGTGGGTTTGTGGTCTCGCTGGCTCAGGAGTGAAGCTGCAGACCTTCCGCGGTGAGTGTTACAGCTCTTAAGGCCGCGCGTCTGGAGTTGCTCCTTCCTTCCGGTGGGTTTGTGGTCTGGCTGGCTTCAGGAGTGAAGCTGCAGACCTTCGCGGTGAGCTGCAGACCAGCACATGTTTCCTGACTTTTTAATGATCGCCATTCTAACTGGTGTGAGATGGTATCTCACTGTGGTTTTGATTTGCGTTTCTCTGATGGCCAGTGATGATGAGCATTTTTTCGTGCGTTTTTTGGCTACATAAAGGCACTGTGGACCCAAAAAGTGAGGAGCAGCAATATTTATTGCAAAGAGCAAAAGAACAAAGCTTCCACAGTGTGGAAGGGGACCCGAGCGGGTTGCCACTGCTGGCTCAGGCAGCTTGCTTTTATTCTCTTATCTGGCCCCACCCACATCCTGCTGATTGGTAGAGCTGAGTGGTCTGTTTTGACAGGGCGCTGATCAGTGCGTTTACAATCCCTGAGCTAGACACAAAGGTTCTCCACATCCCCACCAGAGTAGCTAGATACAGAGTGTTGACACAAAGGTTCTCCAAGTCCCCACCAGAGTAGCTAGATAAGAGTGTCCATTGGTGCATTCACAAACCCTGAGCTAGACACAGGGTGCTGATTGGTGTGTTTACAAACCTTGAGCTAGATACAGAGTGCCGATTGGTGTATTTACAATCCCTTAGCTAGACATAAAGGTTCTCCACCTCCCCAGTAGACTCAGGAGACCAGCTGGCTTCACCCAGTGGATCCCGCATTGGGGCTGCAGGTGGAGCTGCCTGCCAGTCCCGCGCCATGCGCCCGCACTTCTTAGCCCTTGGGTGGTCGATGGCTCAGCACTGGGCTCCGTGGAGCAGGGGGTGGTGCTCATCGGGGAGGCTCAGCTGCACAGGAGCCCACGGAGGCGGGGGAGGCTCAGGCATGGCGGGCTGCAGGTCCCAAGCCCTGCCCTGCAGGAAGGCAACTAAGGCCTGGCGAGAAATTGAGCAGAGCAGCTGCTGGCCCAGATGCTAAGCCCCTCACTGCCTGGGCCTGCGGGGCTAGCTGGCTGCTCCCAGTGCAGGGCCCGTGGAGCCCACATGCACCCGGAACTCGCACTGGCCCACAAGCACTGCTAGCAGCCCCGGTTCCCGCCCGCGCCTCTCCCTCCACACCTCCCTGCAAGCTGAGGGAGCTGGCTCCGGCCTTGGCCAGCCCAGAAAGGGGCTCCCACAGTGCAGCGATGGACTGAAGGGCTCCTCAAGCCTGGCCAGAGCGGGCGCCAAGGCTGAGGAGGCGCTGAGAGCAAGCGAGGGCTGTGAGGGCTGCCAGCACGCTGTGACCTCTCACCTTGGTCCCTTTGCTTGGGAACTACTGACCCCTCTCTACTGTCTAATCCAGGGAACACGTGTATGTTTAGAATGTTGAATTCCTATTATGTCTGCAAGAAGATTTTTACTCCCAAATCTTTTTGAAATCATAGCTTAAAGACTATTTTTTAAAATGGGTTCAGCTTTTTAGAAACAAATCTTGAGTCTTGTTGGCTTTCTTTCCTTACTACTCTTCCCTGAAGAAATGACACACACAATTTGCTAAATTTATGAGTGAGGGCTATAGTTTGGCTGTTTGTTCCCTCCAAACCTCATGTTTTGTTTATTCTTTTTTTGACTTGACCTTTTTTTTTAAATTTTATTATTATTATACTTTAAGTTTTAGGGTACATGTGCACAATGTGCAGGTTTGTTACATATGTATACCTGTGCCATGTTCGTGTGTGGCACCCATTAACTCGTCATTTAGCATTAGGTATACCTCCTAATGCTATCCCTCCCCTTCCCCCACCCCACAACAGTCCCCGGTGTGTGATGTTCCCCTTCCTGTGTCCATGTGTTCTCATTGTTCAATTCCCACCTATGAGTGAGAACATGCGGTGTTTGGTTTTTTGTCCTTGCAATAGTTTGCTGAGAATGATGATTTCTAGCTTCATCCATGTCCCTACAAGGGACATGAACTCATCCTTTTTATGGCTGCATAGTATTCCATGGTGTATATGTGCCACATTTTCTTAATCCAGTCTATCATTGTTGGACATTTGGGTTGGTTCCAAGTCTTTGTATTGTGAATTGTGCCGCAATAAACATACGTGTGCATGTGTCTATAGCAGCATGATTTATAATCCTTTGGGTATATACCCAGTAATGGGATTGCTGGGTCAAATGGTATTTCTAGTTCTAGATCCCTGAGGAATCACCACACTGTCTTCCACAATGGTTGAACTAGTTTACAGTCCCACCAACAGTGTAAAAGTGTTCCTATTTCTCCACATCCTCTCCAGCACATGTTTCCTGACTTTTTAATGATTGCCATTCTAACTGGTGTGAGATGGTATCTCACTGTGGTTTTGATTTGCGTTTCTCTGATGGCCAGTGATGATGAGCATTTTTTCGTGTGTTTTTTGGCTACATAAATGTCTTCTTTTGAGAAGTGTCTGTTCATATCCTTCTGCCACTTTTTGATGGGGTTGTTTGTTTTTTTCTTGTAAATTTGTTTGAGTTCATTGTAGATTCTGGATATTAGCCCTTTGTCAGATGAGTAGGTTCCAAAAATTTTCCCCCATTCTGTAGGTTGCCTGTTCACTCTTATGTTGGTTTCTTTTGCTGTGCAGAAGCTCTTTAGTTTAATTAGATCCCATTTGTCAATTTTGGCTTTTGTTGCCATTGCTTTTGATGTTTTAGACATGAAGTCCTTGCCCATGCCTATGTCCTGAATGATACTGCCTAGCTTTTCTTCTAGGGTTTTTATGGTTTTAGGTCTAACATTTAAGTCTTTAATCCATCTTGAATTAATTTTTGTATAAAGTGTAAGGAAGGGATCCAGTTTCAGCTTTCTACATATGGCTAGCCAGTTTTCCCAGCACCATTTATTAAATAGGGAATCATTTCCCCATTGCTTGTTTTTGTCAGGTTTGTCAAAGATCAGATAGTTGTAGATATGCGGGATTATTTCTGAGGGCTCTGTTCTGTTCCATTGGTCTATATCTCTGTTTTGGTACCCGTACCATGCTGTTTTGGTTACTGTAGCCTTGTGGTATAGTGTGAGGGAAGTTCCGGCCAGGGCAATAAGGCAGGAGAAGTAAATAAAGGGCATTCAATTAGGAAAAGAGGAAGTCAAATTGTCCCTGTTTGCAGATGACATGATTGTATATCTAGAAAACCCCATTGTCTCAGCCCAAAATCTCCTTAAGCTGATAAGCAACTTCAACAAAGTCTCAGGATACAAAATCAATGTGCAAAAATCACAAGCATTCTTTTACACCAATAACAGACAAACAGAGAGCCAAATCATGAGTGAACTCCCATTCACAATTGCTTCAAAGAGAATAAAATACCTAGGAATCCAACTTACAAGGGATGTGAAGGACCTCTTCAAGGAGAAATACAAACCACTGGTCAATGAAATAAAAGAGGATAGAAACAAATGGAAGAACATTGCATGCTCATGGGTAGGAAGAATCAATATCGTGAAAATGGCCATACTGCCCAAGGTAATTTATAGATTCAATGCCATCCCCATCAAGCTACCAATGATTTTCTTCACAGAATTGGAAAAAACTACTTTAAAGTTCATATGGAACCAAAAAAGAGCCCACATTGCCAAGTCAATCCTAAGCCAAAAGAACAAAGCTGGAGGCAAAGATCATGTTAAAAATTAATTCCCAGTGTGATGATTTTGGAGGAGGGACCTAATAGAGGTGTTTGGGTCACAAGGATGGATCCCTCATGAATAAGTTAATGCCTTCCCTGGGAGATGGAGGGAGTGAGTTCTCACTCCGTTAATTTCCATGAGAGCTGGTTGTTAAAAAGAGCTGGGGACTTCCCCTCTCTCTCGCTTCCTCTCTTGCCATTTAACACAGCCAGCTCCCCTTCACCTTCTCTACGAATGGAAGCATCCTGAGGCTCTTAACAGAGGCCCAATTTTGTACTTTTTCAGATACCATAATTGTGAACCAAATAAACTTTTTTTTTCTTTATAAATTGCCCAGCTTAGGTATTCTTTTATAGCAACACAAAGTGGACTAAGACAGTGAGTGAGTAAAAAGACACAGGAACAAATACAAGGAGAACCCATTCAATTATTAATAATCTCAAAATATTATCTGGCCAAATGGGGATTTAATAAGATTTCTCCTCCTTTCTTTCTCCTCTTTGCATTTTCTATTTTTTGCTTCTTCTGTTGCCTGCTTGTTAGCTAACAAAAAAACTGATAGAAGTGCAAAATGGTCTTTTATCACCCTTGCAAGCCAATCATAATGCTCATTTAATTATAAGCAAATAACTGACTCATCACAGTGTATCCGGACTTCGGCTTTTTCTTTCCTGTCACTTATCAATTACTGAAAATTCAGGATGCCATCAAAATAGGTGTTTGTTCATGTTTTTTTAGAAACCAGAGATCCTGGGTATCTAGCCCCTGGGAAGTTGAGGTTTTCTGTGTTAAACCGCTACATGTTTTCTCAGGATGAATTGACCAAAAGGTTCAGTGTAGTACACACTTTCGCTCTGTGGGCACTTAGCAAATACTTATTAACTAATTGGCTACAATTCCTCGTCTACTGGTGGGAAAATGGGGAGGTAAAATAAATTAGCTAGACCTCCATGCTTCCTTAGTCACCCAAAGGAAGAGTTATTAGTGGCTACATACAGTGACTAAAAATAGACATCTGGTCAGGAAAATCTGAAGAGAGAGAGACTATCGGGGCTGCTTTTGGTAAACAGTTACACAGGATACTTCACAAGATACGTGAAGAGAGTCTTTGAGGTAAGTTTTTTTTCTGAATTATCAGAAAAAGTCCTTATTAACAACAGAGAGGTCATTGAAATCTAAATCATTAGTTTAAAATGTGATGCCAGAGAACTTTCTCTTTTCTTCCTTAGCAAATGAACAGGAGGTACCCCATGAGGTAGCCAATCTTATTTTATAGAACTTTAAAGCAATATTCAAGGAGCAATGGTCAATGCTTATTTTTTGTTTGTTTGACAATGCTAATAAAGCTATCTCTAGTAAAAATAAAAATATAGCTAAACATAAGGTTACTTCGATTTCTCTTAGAGCCTAGACTTTTTGTTATTTTAGAATATACATTATAAGTACACTATAGAATACATATTTCTATAGTGTATAGTATAGTGTATTTATACTATAAATATATATAATATATTTATATATTATATATAAATGTATATAAAATATATACATTATCAATACACATTAGAAATACACTATAAATACATTTGTATTTATAGTTTCGGGATAGAAAGTCTTTTCCTAAGATGAGGCTCTTGCCCTGATGCCTTTAGCCAACATTTGGGGTTCTAGCCAAAGCTCTCAGAAAAGCTGACAGCCTGATTTATCCCTATAGGGTATTAGTCACCCTATAAAACTTCAGAACTCTGTGTATCTGCTATACAAAAACATCTCTTCTATCTTAGAGAGAAAAGTGGCCCCTTTCACTTAAAAAAAATCAAAAGTCAAACTGAGACAAAGTAAACCTTCATGTGTGAAAGATCACCTTAAAAATGATTTGAAAATGGCGGGCCTTCTGAGTTCCACATGCATGTGTAACCCATAAATCATATGCACTTTATTTCAGTTCATTTTAGCTTTTACAACAACCAGAAGAGCTGTTCTGGGGTCACTAACTGCTTTCTGCAAACTACAGCTGATCAACAGTACTAATCAAATGAAGAGGGACAGGAAGCATAGAGGGGACGTCACTTGGAGGAGGGGTGAGCAGGGTGACTAAAATCTCCACATTTCTACAGTTTGAGGAAATGTTTCATGCCAATGCATGCTTTATGTCAATCAAACATATAAAAGTTACTGTGGCTGCATAAGGCCATAAAGATGCACTTTTAAACTCTTAAAAATAAGGTACCATAATTACATCTTATAGAACTGTGCGTCCCTTGAGTCTCTTTGCTGTTTTTAAGATACCCATGGTGAATGAGGTAAAGGAAAAGGGAGGGAGTAGATACAGAAATCCTTTGAATTCTGTGTGCAGAAAAATGCAAAATCTGGACAATTTTCATGCAGGATCTCTCTCTCTCTCTCTCACTGATTTATTAACTTTAATAACTGTGGGATTTCTCTCAACTTTGGGTTTGAGAACTGAAGTCATTACCATTTAAGATTTTTTTTTTTTTCCTGAAGTAATCTCTGGTGGTGTCAGTCATCTGGGAAAGTGAAAGAACTTTGTTTCTTTTTATTTCTTTCTTTTAACCCCTAAGGTTCATCCTAGAAGTTTCTGCTTGAAATTGAATTTTGTGTACTCCCTGTTACAATATCTGTTCGGCAGTAAATAAACTTAGACATCAGAAATTTTTGTCATTGAAGTTTCTACTGTTATTGAACAGCTCTGAGGGTCTCATTTCAGATAAATAAGTTCATTAGAGCTAGAGCTCAGCAGAGATTAAGTTGTGGGGAGAAAGATATTGCATCAGCCTTTGTGGTTGAGAGTCAAGTGATCTGGAAGTGGTGAGACAGTGTCCTCTTTCTGATGCAGAAGGATTATATGCTTGCCTTGCTCTGTTTTGTGGCTTCTGACTCTCTACTCATCTTAAGTTTGTCCAAAGTTTCATTAGGCAAGAACAATGACCTAGTCTCAAGAGTTTATGGAGAAAGTATTGGTATTGTCTATAACTAGTGATGTGTACAAGATTCTTTCTTCTGTTAGTTTCATTTGTATTTCATGTAAAAAGCTGAATTAGACTAGATGATTACAAAACTACTTTGAACAAAACTTCAGGTTCTAGTTGAAGACAAATGTCTGGGGAGGCCCAGTGGTGTGGGCTCTGTTGACAGATCACTATACTGCTGCAGATGTGATGCTTCATGTGATTCCAAACGTGTCTCTCAGCGGGACAGAGTTCTCAGTCTGAGCATGTAGTGAATATGCTTAATCAGCATCTACCAATTCTTCAAGAGAGGGCCTGGCTATGGGGCACCATTGGTCTGATGCTACTGCTAAGAAAGGCCTTGGAAGTTGTACTGTGATCTCTAAGCCATAAGAGATATACACGATTCAACTAGATGTCACTTGTATGGTCCTGTTAAGTTAAAAAAAAATTAAATTAAAATTTAAAAAACCTGAAAAGTGTATTTAAATTTAAAAATCAAATAAACAACCTTCTCTGAGTTCACTAGAGATGAAGACTACATCCCTAGTGAGGCCTACAAGACCAATTTAAGGAGTTCAGTTATGAAGCAGTTCCTGCTACAGACCCATCAGTGTCACCATCAAGAATCTAGTAGCATTTCTGGTCATCATACAACTCCAACTGGATAAGAAGGAACTCCCTAAAATTTGCTTGGTAAAATATAATGTTTTATTAGCAGGCTGGCATCTTTGTAAAGTATAAAAATTCTTAAAAGAATCAAATCCACAGTATTAACATTTTCTGCTAAAGAATATGCACATATTTAATAACTTACATATTAAAATACATAATATAATTTTACCTATTAAACAGGTCCGTTTTTAAAAAATTTACATTTAGAATGAATAGTTGGGTAATTACTTTAGACTTGTGATTTTAGGTTGAAATCTTATTAAATTTATGTACAGTGTTAGAACATTTAGGAGAAAGTCTCATTATATTTATAAGTTTAAATTATTACATATATGAGTCCTGTCAGCATTTGGGAAAGTTTTGTGTAAGTCAACTAATTGAGCTGTTCTCTGAATTCAAATATATTAAGTGTATATATGCCATTTAACATATTTTTAAAAATTCTATTAACCAAATTTCTTTAAACAGTAAACATAAAGTCTCTTAAAAGTGACTGCTGAATATTTACTGGATTTCTAAATAATAAGATTGTAACGTAAACTTAGAAACTTAGGAAAGAGCTAGGTTTTGGATTTGTAACTTTAATAATGCAAACAATAATTTTAAAACAAAAGAAAATTTCACAAAGGTATTTTTTGGTTTTGCTGTTTTTTAGTGCACAAAACCTCCTAAAGAAAACTAAGAACACTTCACATTTGACTTTTAATATAGCTTGAACTAACTTAAAACTGAATGCTGACGGTTTCACT
This sequence comes from Homo sapiens, assembly GCF_000001405.40. NCBI lineage: Eukaryota > Metazoa > Chordata > Mammalia > Primates > Hominidae > Homo > Homo sapiens. Next base: position 84,580,501 of record NC_000006.12, on the reverse strand, counting down.
CTCCCTCAAAGAAAAATAAGTATTTTGTAAATCTCCTCCATGGAAATTACAGTTCTACTTTAAAGCAGAAACCCCTTTGTCCTTCCCAAAAGGTCAAACAGGCTGTATGGCTATAAAATATATATTAGCCAGGTAGCTGCTATTGAGAAACATTATTCTTCCAAAACCTCTGTGGCTTAAACAACAACAAATAATTTGTATTTACTGACATAGTGAGCAATTCTCTGGAGCTGGGAGGTGGAGTGGGGAGAGCTTTCCTCCAAGTCATATTTAGAACCCAGGTGGTTTCACCTGTAGCTAAGTTGTCAGGGTCATGCACGTCCAAGATCATGGTGGATGAAAAAGAGATTGTGGTACAGGTTTTGAAAGCCAAGTCTAGAAGGACATGCACCACCCCCTGCTTTCCCTTCATTGGCCAGAGTTGACCACATGGTCAGGAAATGAGCTACCCATGTATCCAGGAGGAACAAAGAAATCGTTTGCTGTACTTGTAGCATTGTGTCTGCCATACTTTACAAGTTAATTTGTTTTCCCAAAACAAAGCCATGATATAAATGTATTATTTTCATAGAAAATACTGATTGTGATTTGAGTGAAAGTAGATATTTCCACAATAATGTATGTAACTGAATAAGAATGCGAGCAGTAAATTTCATCTTCTTATCTTGGGGTTTTAAAGTTTTTAAAAGTGTTGGCCATTGTATTAGTTTGTTTTCACACTATTGATAAAGACATGCCTGAGACTGGGAATAAAAAAGAGGTTTAAATGGACTTATAGTTCCACATAGCTGGGGAGGCCTCACAATAATGATGGAAGGCAAGGAGGAGCAAGTCACATCTTACATGGATGGCGGCAGGCAAAAAGAGAATGTACCAGCAGCAGAAATGCCAGATGCTTATAAAACTATCATATCTCATAAGAAATCACTCTCTAGCACAAGTACAGTATGGGGGAAACTGTCCCCCCATGATTCAATTATCTCCACCTGGCCCTGCCCTTAACACAAGGTGATTATTACAATTCAACATGAGATTTGGGTAGGGACACAGAGCCAAAACATATCAGTCATGTTAACACAGCAACAAGTGAAGGGGAGGCTTGGCAGTTATTAGTTAATGCAGGTATTTAGAAAGACACATGGCCAAACTGGATAATTTGGGTTGTGGACCCCCCTGAAATATCGTCTTGAGTTATCTCTATCACCTAAATTAAACAGACAATTGCTGTATTATCTTTGCACTTTGTGTTCAGTAATCATAGGATAGAGAGAGTAAAGAATGTCTTAAATTCCAGTACACATTTGGAGCTATTTTTCTAATAAATCATTTAGGATTGATTCAACTATTTCACTCCAATAGAAACTATTTCTTTGAAATGGAAGCTGTTGGGTATTTTTTGTTTTTAAAAAGGGGGAAACAATTTAGTTACATGTACAGAATTAATCATTTATTATTTTTTCAATAATGCTATTTATCTCATGAATGATGTACTTATTTGTTGGTTATTTTAAGCCATGGAAAGTTTTTCTTGACCTTTCAATAGTTATAATAATAAACATGCAGTAAGCACTTACTATATGCAATTAAGCACATGTTTTATTTTGGCATACATTTTCATAAATTATTTCTAAACCAAATTAATAGTCTGAATAAGTCAAACCCAATTCTATTTTCTGTCTGACTTATATTCAAAAAACTTTTACATATAGTTAAATGTTTATTTATTCACTCACTGAAAAAGCATTTCACGTGTGATTACTGGGTATTAAATCCAGTAATGGTCAATGTGAGAAAGCAAGAAAAGTAGTCCTTATTCTTGAGAGGCTTAGTTTCAGAAAATCTCAGAACTAGAGGATCAAAACTAAAAAGCCCCATTTGTAGTCCCAAATTACCCATTATTCCATAGTGTTGACTGGCATTGAAAATACTTAATTTCCAGTTCAAATTTGGGATAACTTAGCATTAACTTTGGAAACATAATTTTAAGCAAGTTAGTTGACCAAATTGTGTCCAGGAACATTCAAAATAAGCAGAACAAAACTTAAAAATTCTCACTGGGAAAAAATTGTTTCTAGTTTTCTCATAAGAATTTCCACATTGCCAAAACACATTGCAATAAACAACTCCTACAACTTTCAAGAATCCATTCACTTGGGCTATTTTTCTCATATAAAAGTTATTTGTGCTTTGTGTTTCAAAATATATTCTTTCCAGTATAATTTTAAAGACAAAAATCATTCTGCATTTATTGCTATATGCTGAAAACACAAAAGTGTTATAGAATAAGTTGGCAATGTCCTCTGAAAGAACTACAGTTATAAATAACTTCATGATAGGGATACGTTCTGAGAAATGTGTTAGGTAATTTGATTACGTGAAAATCATAGTGTACTTACAGAAAGCTAGATGGTATAGCCTACTACACACCTAGGCTACATGGTACAGCCTATTGCTCCTAGGCTACACAGTATAGCCTATTGCTTCTAAACCACAAACCTGTACAGCATTTACTCTACTGAATACTGTAGGCAATTGTAACACAATGGTAAGCATTTGTATACTGAAACATAGAAAATGTACAGTAAAAATACAGGATTAAAAATATCATGGGACTACCATCATGTACATGGTCCATCATTGATCAAAACATTGTCATGTGGAACATGACTGTATTATAACAATTATGCCTGGCTACTACTCACGACAATTTACAAATTAGTAGATTATTTTCCAGGAATAATGATTTTGTTATAAACCTAATGGTTGGTAATGTCAAGAGGGCCCAATAAATTCAAGCATTGATTTTCCAAATTCATGACAATGATAAGTAAAACTTTGAAAAAGAAAATTAAGGCTGGGCGCAGTGGCTCACACCTGTAATCCCAGCACTTTGGGAGGCCGAGGCAGGCAGATCACGAGGTCAGGAGATCGAGACCATCCTGGCTAACATGGTGAAACCCCGTTTCTACTAAAAATACAAAAAATTAGCCGGGCGCCCGTAGTCCCAGTTACTAGAGAGGCTGAGGCAGGAGAATGGCGTGAACCCAGGAGGCGGAGCTTGCAGTGAGCGGAGATCTTGCCACTGCAGTCAAGCCTGAGCGAAAGAGCTCTCAAAAAAAAAAAAAAGAAAAGAAAAGAAAAGAAAAGAAAAATTAAAAAATACATAGGTTGACTCAAATATAAAACCAATATCACTGCGGATCAGAAATGGAACAATGTACCAAGTATGGAGCAGATAAGCCAAGAAATTTCAACCAGTGTTGACTAGGGGAGTTTAACCAATGTTGGCTAAAAGGAACCAAAACTGCTTCAAGTAAGAGAAGGACAGAGCCCAGTCCACTGATTGAAGCCAGGGCCTGGAAGCGCAGAGCATAAGCCACGGCCCCTTCCCCAACTCTGTTTCATGAAAGGACATAGAAAAAAAAAAGCCAATTACTGTTTGGAGCTATCTATGGCTTAGAACAGTCCCAGGCAGTGAAAGGTCAACACATATTAGACATCATCCTATAAACAGGAATTGAACTAAATGGCCTACTAGCTTGGTTACTCAGTCTGCTATATCTCCAATGTTACCATGGGCCAAAAGCCTGGACATGCCACCACAAGATCTGATTCTGGACAGGTCTCTAGAGAGGCCAATGGAGGTGGAGAAATATTAGTAGGGAAAAAGGGAAACACATAATAACAAGGAATGCTTCACCAGGAATATGTTAAAATTATGTACCCTATATATACCATTGAGCTCTATAAAACAAAACAGAATCATAAGGAGATGTTGACAAATTCATAGATGTAGAAATTTTAATATTTTTTGCTTTGTAGCACACATATGTCACATCAAGATATCTAGAATATTTGCTAATTCCTCATCACTGGGTTCAATCAGCATGATGTCATCAGTATAGATGATCAGCATAATGTCCTGCATGATAGATGATGCCATAGAGATGGACAGATTATGAAAAACAGTAAAAAACTGGCATGGCTCTTAGATGAAACTGCGGAGGGTGCTGCTGTGCCTGGTAGTTGAAAGTAAAGGGTGTCTGGTAGAATTTTTTAATAAATAAAGAGAAAAAAATTTCTCTAAATCAGTTTCTGCAAACCAAGTACCACAGCAAGGGTTGATTCTATTCAGCAGAAGACTGCATCTGGAACAGCAGCTGTAATTGGAATTACATCTTGATTAACCTTATGATAACCCATGTCATGCTCCAAGGTCCTCCTGTTTCCTACAAAGCCAAATAGGCTAGCTTAATGAAGATGTAATAAGAATTGCAAACTCTGCATTTTTAAAATTTTTGATAGTGCATTAACTTCCTCAGACATGTGGTGTTGATTTATTTACTTTTGTTATTTTGATAGAGAATGGCAGCTTTAGAGGCTTCTGCTTGGACCTTCTACCAGAATAGCCATTTCTCTGCACATCTAGCAACTAATATGGGCATTCTACAGGTAGCTGGGTATGTCTACTCCAGTTATGCATTCAGGCATGGAGGAAACAACCTTGGTCTGGATTTGGGACCTCTGGACAGACCCAGGCCAAAAATTCATTTGTTATTTCACCTTTTGACTATTGGACCACCATGTGATTTGTGACCCCTAGGAATTAGCAACAGTTCAGAGCCAGTATCCAGTATTCACTGAAAGTCTGAAAATGTACATTTTTTCAAAGACAAGTTACCTTGGTAAACAGCTACAGCTCACTTTGAGAAAGGCTAGGAGGAATAGTCTTGGTATAAATTTTTGGAAATGTAACTGAATTCTTCCTCAAGAAGACCCTGCCCTTTCTTCATCCAAAAGGGTCTGGCTCAGGCCTGAGAATTAAGTGAGATCATGGTTTTCCACTATGGTGATACAGAACAGGTTTCTATTTACCAGACTTAGAGTCTTTGCCACTTATTAACATCCTATAAGACTTGTACAGGCTGCCTATCTATTTCAATCAAAGGGACACCATGACCAGTTAACCACAGGAAATCTCTGTGTGAGTCAAACTATTCTAATTGTTTCTCCAGCCCTAGTACCCATTAGAGTAACCACACACACTTTGTTTCCGGTGGTTAATTGCTGCTGACATCATTGAAGAAAAGATTCAGTTATCCCCAAACAATTCAGGGAGACTTTTCAATGTCAACACCTGCTACTGTCATCCATAACCTGCACAGAAGTGTCACTATAGGGCCTTTCAAGGATGCTGGTGCTGTTTCCTAATGTACTTTTCAAAGTTTAGGTGAAAGGAATGCCTACTGGACCCACTAGAAAACAGAATTAAGCGGGGATGACCTTGTTACATCTAATATATCCATATTATTTCTAGCACTCTGCAACAGAAATGTTATAGAGAGCTGTTTTGCCTCTTTATGCTATCTATGGTTTTCTTTCTTTATAGTTTGTTAAGGAAGTTGTAGTATCTCACCCTTTATTTACTTAATATAGGCAATCATTTAATATAGCCAATCAACCCATCTGTTAGATACTAGGTCTGAAAACAGGGTAAGGTGATATGAGTTCTTGAGGATAATCCACTTCCCCTTGCAGGAAAATTAGTCTAGTGGGTGTTGTTGATACTCTTTAGATAAGAGTAGGTTAATGGCCTCAGGGGAGCAAAGGCAGCTCATAGTAACAAGGGATGCCAGTGGGATATGTGATTCAGTGATTCAAGTTACACAGCTTCACCAATATCTATCTACTCAAATGTCCCAAAATCAATCCTCAGAGTTTCACTCTATCTGAATCAATGCCATAACTTTAATATAAGAGGCATAGGAAGGTTGTAAATTCATTCAGTGTTGTGATTCGGTGACCTATGGTAGAAGGCCTTCGTTTTTAGAAATTTCAGCCATACAGCTCCAGGAAATAAGGATTCTCTCATATCATTTATAGAAGTTGTCTAGTTTTTCTGTTTGTGGTTTAAACTGTAAATTCAGTCACCAAGCTTGTCTTTTTATTTTGCATGTTCTACAGTGCAGTCATAAGTAGCCAGTCCAATGCACAGCCCTACATTTTTTTAATCCATATTTTATTTAAATGCTACATGGTTTCTCAAATCCTAAACTTCTTTAGTGATTCAACTTTGACAACTAGTGAAGAAAGTTTTTAATGTAACAGTTTTATAATACATACACAACAAGTACACAAATTATAAGCAATCATTTTGATGAACTTTCACAAAATGAGCACACTCTTGTAATCAATACCCAGGTCAAGAAACAGGACATTATCAAAACACCAGAAGCCAGTCGTGCCCTGCTTTAGTCAATAAAACATTCCAAAATAAAAACTATCTTCATTTTTAAACCTATAGGCTAGTTTTACCTATTTTTAAACTCTTTGTAAATTAAGTATACAGATTATTTTTTAATTTTCATTTTTATTTTAGATTCAGGGGTACATTTGCATGTTTGTTACAAGGGCATATAACGTATGGCTGAGGATTGGCTTCCACTGGTCCCATCACCCACATAATGAACATAGTACCTACTAGGAAATTTTTCAGCCCTTGTACCTCCTGCCTCCATCCTCCCTTTTGGAGTTCCAGTGTCTATGGTTCCCATCATTATGTCCATGTGTACCTAAAATTTAGCTTCCACTTATAAGTGAGATAATGTGATATTTGTTTTTCTGTTTCTGCATTAATTCGCTTAGGATAATAGCCTCCAGCTGTATTCATTTTGCTGCAAAGGACATGATTTCATTTTTTTGTGGCTGTGTGGTATTCCATCATGTACATGTACCACATTTTCTTTATACAGTCAACTGTTGAGGGGCACCTAGGTTAATTCCATGTCTTTGCTATTGTGAATAGAAGTATGCACATTTTAAAATCACCTTTATAGTCCTAGAATAAACACTTGTTTGATTTCCTAATTTTTTATTACTTTTGAATTTATGTTCATGAGAAAGACTGGTTTCTAGTTTCCCTATATTTTATTGTCCTTTTGAAGTTTTGGCATCACGTAAGAGGCATAGGAAGGCTTGGCATCATGGTCATGCTGTACTTACAAAATTAATTGGGAAATACTTCTGCTCTCTTTCTATTATCTCAAAGAATTTGGATCAGACTAACATTATTTCTTCCTGAAATATCTGGAAGAGCTTATCAGTGAAGCAATCTAATCCTGGAGTTTTCTTTGTAAGAAGATTTTTGTTAACAGCTTTAATAAACTGGAAACATATAAGGTATAATAAATTTCTGTCACCACAACAAATTACCACAAATTTGGTGACTTTAAACAACAGAAAATTTATTCTTTCATAGTTTTAGAGACCAGAAGCTTTCAAAATCAATGTGTCTTCATGGTCACACTTCTTCCAAAGACTTCAGGGGTCAGTCTTTGTCATTGGATTTTGGGTTTACTCAGATAATCCAAGATGATTTCATCTTGAAAGCCTTAATTTAACTGTATCTATAAAGAACCTATTTCCAAATAAGGTCACACTCACAGATTCTAAGTACACATATCTTTTGGGAGAGGCCAGCATTTAACCCACTACATAAGGCTAATCAGATTCTTCTACTTATAAATAAATATATATATATACACACATAATTTTTTAAAAAAATTTCTGCATTTCAAGATATCAAGCAAATAATTTTACAATTTTGACTCTATTCTTAGAGTTTTAGTAAGTTTTGTTTTCTAATGGAAACTTCTATTTTGGCTTAGAGTTCAAAATATATTGATAGAAAAACGTTTATTATTATCTTTTTAATGTCTATACAGTCCATACTAATGTTCCCTTCCTCTTTCTGTTGATGGTAATTTGTTTTTCCTCTCTTTTTCTTTTATTAGTCTTGCTAGAGGTTTATCAATTGTATTTATCTCTTCAATGAACCAACTATTGTCTTCAATGATTTTCTCTTCTAAATTCTTTCTGTTTTATTGATTTATATTCTTATCTATTATTTCCTTCTCTTGTTATTTAACTTTTCTGTTCTTTTTCTAACTTCTTGAGATAAAGCATAAATTATTATTTTTGATCTTTTAGAATCTTCTACTATATGCACTTAAGGCTATATATTTTCCTTAAACAACTCATTTGATACCATTCTCCCACTTTCAGTATTACATATATTAATCATCTTTGATTTCAAAACATTTTAAATTTGCGTTGCCATTTATTTTTGGATCCATGTGTTATTTAGAAATACATTATTCAATACCCAAGATAGCAGGGATTTCCTAGTTTTTTAAAATTATCTACGTATAGCTTGATTCCATTATGTTCAGAGAACATACTCTGAATGATTTTAGTCCTTTGAATTTGTTGAGGTTTGCTTTATAACCAAATATTGAATCTATTTTGACAAATGTTCCATGTGTACTGAAAATAGCATATATATTTTATTGTTGAGTGTAGTGTTGTATGTATATAAATTAGATCAAGTTTCTTATTATTCAAATCATATATCTCTACTGACTTTTTATCTGCTTGTTTTATTAGCTATTGAAGGAAGTATGTCAAAGTCCTAGCAAGGAATATGTATTTAAAAACTTTTCTTTTCAGTTTTCTTTATTTTTTCATGTCTTTCTTTTACATCTATATTACTTATTCATAGAGGTTTAAAATTCTCAAGTGGAATGATTTCCTTATCATTATATAATATAAACATCCCTTTTATGTTAAGTAAATGTTCTTGCCTTAAAGCATACTGTATCCAAGATCAGCATAATTTTACATAATTTTTTATGAGTGTGTTTATGATATACATGTTTTCATTCATTCATTTACTTTCAACTGTACTAGCTCATAAGCATCATACAGCTTTTGATAATTCAATATAATAATCTCTATTATTATTTCAACTCAATTTATATTTAACGTAATTATATATTTTTATTTATTGTAGGCTTTTCCTTTATCATTTATTCATCTACCTTATACATACATACGCATAGGCACATAATAATTGTAGATATTTATGGGATGCAGTGTGATGTTTTGATACATGTATACATTATCTAAAATTCAAGTCAGAGTATTTAGCATATCCATTGCCTCATACATTACTTTTCATGTTCTTTTTCTTCTCAGTTCTTGCATTATTTGAATGAATAATATATTTTTATTATACCATTTTTCTTTTCTCAACCTTATAGTTATATGTTTTTTAGTCTTGTTTTAGTGATTTCCATAGAAGTTACAACATGCATTTTGACTTACTGTGGTCTATTATAAATTATTATTTCTACCACTTCCCTGATAATGTGAGAATTTCAGAATAATTGAATTCCATTTATTTTCATCCTCGCCTCTTGCATTCTTATTGACATGCATTTTAGTTCAGCAGACACCTCAGACCCCACAGGCCATTATTATTATTGGTGGAGCCAATATTTAGTCAATATTTATTTAAAATTTTTATTGCTCTTTACTCTTTTTGAAGTTTTCTGTTTTACTCTCAGATAACCTTCCTGTTCTTTAAAAATTCCCTTTATTGTCTATTTTAGTGCATGTTTACTAGTGACAAATTATTTTTGTTCATTTGAATATTTTTCACTTTCATTATTGAATGATACTTGTTGTGAATATAGAATTCTAAATTAAAGGTTATTTTCTTTCAGTATTTTAAGAATGTCAGTATCTTTTATCTTTATTCTTTTCTATGAGATCAGTTCTCAGTTTATTATTGCTCCTTTGGAGGTAAATCAGTAGACCAGGAAAAGATCGCCCTTCAGTGTGACTGGGCATCATCCAATTCATTGAGGGCCCAAATAGAACAAAAGGTGGGAGGAAGGTAAATTTGCTCCCTCTGCTTCAGCTGGGACATCCTCTTCTTTTGCCTCAAACATTGGCACTCCTGGTTCTCTGGCCTTTGGTCTTGGACTGAAGCTACACCACTGGCTCCCCTTGACTTCCAGCTTGTGGACAGCAGATTGTGGAATTTTTCAGTCTCCATAAACATATGAGCCAATCCCTCATAATAAATCTACTTACCTACCTATCTGTCTATCATCTATCTATCTATCTATCATCTATCCACCTATCTATCCATATATCATCTATCTATCATCTATCTATCTATCTATCTATCTATCTATCTATCTATCTATCTATCATCTATCTATCCATCTATCTATCTTATCAGTTCTGGTGGGAAAAAAAAAAAACAACTCTGGCTAGTCCAGAAGATTATGTGTCTTTTTTTTTCTGGTTGCTTTAAAAAATATTTTCTCTGTAACTTTTGTTTTTAGCAGTATTATTACAGTTGATCTAATATAATTTTATATACTCATGCTTGATTTATCTTGTTTGGGGTTCACTGAGTTTCTAGAATCTGTGAGTTGGGAGACTTCATTGGTTTTAGAAAATTACTGGCCATTATCTCTTCAAATCTTACTTCCTCCCTGTCCTTCCTATCCTTTCCTTTTGGAACTCCAATTTTATATATGTTAGACCATGTTGTCTTATTGCACTATTCTTTTCTGTGTTTTATTATTTTCCCTGTGTACTTCAATTTGGATAATTTTTATTAAGCTCTTTTCCAGTTTACCAATCCTCCTTCTGCTGCATGTAATCTGTTGCTAACACCATCTAATTTTTTCTTAATTTAGATATTGCATTTTCCAATTCTAGAATGTCCATTTAATTTTTGTATATCTATATTTTTGTTCTTTAGTTACTTTTATCTTTCCATTCATTTTTTTTGTCCCATGTTTCCTTCTATTTTCTTGAACATGATAATAATAGTTATTTTGAAGTCCTTGTCAGATAACTCCAATTCTTAGATCATCTTTAGTTTAGTTATTACTGTTTGTTTGCTCTCTCTCTCTTTTTTTTTTTTTTTTTTTTTTGGTTATGAGGTCCTGTTTTTGTAACAAGTTTCTTTATTCTTTTTGAATGCCAGTGGTATATCTGCAAAATTGTAGACATCTTAGCTAATAGATTCACCCATTTGATCCTGGCATATCTACTGGTGTCTGATTCCCTCTATAAATCAGGGATTGTGTAAGTCAAGGCTGAATTGAAGATGTGGTACTAATCAGTCTACCCTTAACTAATCAGAAAACTGAATGTTCCTGACTGTTCAGTTTTCAACTCAGAGCTGGATGGATCCTAAACCATAATTATTAGCTTGCAAGACTTTTGAAATCTCTGCTCTGCTTTGCAGATGCTTTTCACTTTGACAAATATACTGAAGAGAGCAATTGTATTTGAGTTTGAAACCTCCCAAATTCCTTCTGGGTTCCTTGTCAATATGCCATATATTAAGATAGTATTGCTACTTAGTAAGCATAGCATTCTTATGGATTCTGCTTGTAATTTTGAGGTTTCTTCACATTTCTGTCAGTTGGCAACCTGCTAATTCTTCTAATGGAGCCAACAGAGGGTGCTATAAATCTAGGGAAGCAAGTGCTATGAACAAATCAAGAGAAGAGTATGTTATACAACTAGAGGGAGTGGGCAATACTGGAGGAGGATAAGGAACTTGTTTATTCCTGTTTGCTTTATGTGAACTTCCTGTTTGCTTCTCATTCCTGCTTATAACATCTCAGGTTCACTTCTTGACACCAACTATGGCAGTTCATTTCAGTCACAATAGTTGAATCTAGCTTGCAGTTTTTCAATTCTTAGAAGAACTAGCCTGCTTGTGCCCCCTCAGAGACACCAGAACCAGCCAGCTGCCACCCTTTTCTCAGACATTGGGGTTACAGGCTCAAGGGTACCTTCCTTCAAACTCAGAGACATTAGCACCAACTGAGTAGCATTCCTTTCTCAGAGGTCCAAATTTTGATGTCCTGGGGTCACTCCTCTAAGCGTTTACATCTTATAAATTCTAATCTCTTCTGTTTAGTACCCCCAAGTCTTGGGTGTAGTAGGTGCTATTTTTTAAAAAAAAAATATTATAAGTTTGCAACTTATAATTGTATAAATGTATGGGGTACAAAATGATGTTATAATTTATGAACACAATGTGGAAACATTAAATAAGCTAGTTAACACAATCATCACCTCAAATACTAAACATTTTTGTGGTGGGAGCATTTAAAATTTACATTCTTAGTAATTTTAAAATACACAATAAATATTATTAACTATATTCACTATGCTGTGCAATGGATCTAAAAATAAAATATATTTCTCCCGTCTAGTTGAGATTTTGCACCCTTTGACCAGCATCTCCCCATTCCTTCCTTCCTCGAACCTTTGCAACTACCATTCTATCCTCTGTGTCTATGAGTTCACTTGTTTTACATTCCCGCTATTGTTACCTTTACCATGCACTAGTGCTCTATTTTTTGTCTTTCAGATCTTCAATTCATAGTGTATGTATACTTTTGTTAAAACAATTGGTATGGGTTCTGTTTCCTGACTTTACTCTAATATGGCACATTTATGGATTTGCAGACAAAATGATTGTGTACGTAGAAAAATCCGAGCGATCAATAGGAAAGCTGCTATTATTATTAAATGATTTAGCACAGTCACAAGATATCAGGTCAAAATACAAAAATTATTTTATTTTTATATACTAGTATTGAAAAAAATGGAAAGAAAAATGCATGTGTAGCAGCATCAAAAAACCCAAAATACTCAGGCATACATTTACCAAACTATATGAAAGTCTGTGCACTGAAAGTTACAGAACATTACTAAGAGAAACGAAATGCCTAAATACATGGAGACATATACCTTGGTGGTTTTAAAATATGTCTACAAATTTGTTGATATTCCTCCCTTGCAGAGTTGAATTCTATTTCCTCTTCCTTTGGATGTGGGCTATATTTGTGAGAATCATGCCATGACCATGAGGACACTCAAGTAGCCCTATTGAGAGGTCTACATGGTGAAGAACTAATGTCTCCTGCCAAGAGCCAGTGAGGAATTGGAGGGCTCTTGTCAACAGCCACCGATGTGCATGGTAACAATTCCTTAGCCCCAGTCAAGCCTTTAGGTGACTTCATCCCCAGCTGCCATCTTGATTACAACCTCATGAGAGACTCTGAGCCAGAACCATCCCTCAAAGCCACTCCCAAATTCTCAAGCCACAGAAAACATGAGGTGATAAATCCTCGTTATTTCAAACCACTAAATTTTGGGGCAGTTATCTACACAGCAGTAAATAACCAATACTCATGTTCATGGATTAAAAGTCTCAATAAGTTAAAGTATCGATTCTCCCCAAATTGATCTTTAGGGTCAATCCCAATCACAATCCGTTAAAAAGCTAAAGACATGTTTTTTTTTTTTTGTAGAAATAAAGCTGATTTTAAAATTTATTTGGAGATGACAATAACCTAGAATATGAAAAAAAGCAAAGTTGGAAGATTTTTCACTACCTGATTTGAAGACATTTGATAAAGCTATTATAATGAAGACAGTGATGGGGATATAAGAATACAGATAAAACTTAACGGAACAGATGGAGTCAAAAAATACATACACACATATATTTTACCAAGATGATTTAAAAAGGAGGAATATATAATATTTTCCAAAAATGAAAATGGAACACCTAGATTTCCATATGGAAATAAAATTAAAACAAGTCTCAATCCTTATCTCATACCAAGTAGAAAAATTTACTTGAAAGCAATCATAGACCTAAACATAAAAACTAAAATTCTTAAACTTTTATTTTGGGCAGGCAAAGGTTTTTTGTTGTTGTTGTTTGTTTGTTTTAACATATCATACCACAATTATGCATCTAGATGTTTACCCAAAAGAAATAAAAACAGATATACACACAAGGAGTTTTATACAATGTTAATATCAATTTTATTAATAATAGTTCAAAGTAGAAGCAATCCAATTGTCCTTCAACATTTAAGGACATTTAACAACATAAAAGATGTTGAGTAAATAAATGGATAAATAAATATGGAAGAATATACTATGTTTATTAAATAGAATGCTCAATAATGTAAATATATTAATTTTCCTAGAGTTGATCTTCAGATTCAACAAAATCTCAACATATAAGTAATAATGTAGACTTCTCACTTTGAAAGTTAAATATATGATTATGATATCTACTGGCATTAGAAAGGCAGTTTGTACAGATTTTGAATGACTATTGAGGAGGTGGGTTTTCTTGCTGAACAAGAAATGAAGACCTCTGAGCTTAGATTTACATCTTGCTGCTCAGGTAATGACTAGTGAGCTAATTCAACAATTGTAGCATAATTTGTGATCAGTGGCTAATTATTATGAACAAATTAGTTGTGCAACAGCCCACGCTAGTTACTAAACTGGCAAATTAAATTCTAGCAGGGCTAGAAATGATGCATTTCCAAAAGTCTGAAACACAGGTGCTCCAACTAGTTTGCCTTTTACTTACTGGTGAATTACTTGTAGCATATACAATATAATAATTATACTGATTGTTTATGACAAGGTGGGAGGATGAAAACTTTGGATTTTCACTGTATTGTATTTAAGGAGACCTCTTGGAAAAGACAACCTTCCTAAAGATGAAAATAGTTATGGGACATTTGAAGACTATGACAATTATTAAAATGCTAGCATAATTTTCTTTCTTTCTTTCCTTCCTTCCTTCCTTCCTTCCTTCCTTCCTTCCTTCCTTCCTTCCTTCCTTCCTTCCTTCCTTTCTTTCTTTTTCTCTTTCTTTCTTTTTTTCTTTCTCTCTCTCTCTTTCCTTCCTTCCTTCCTTCCTTTCTTTTTTCTTTTTTCTTTTTTTTTTTGAGACAGGAGTCTTGCTTTGTCACCCAGCCTGGAGTGCAGTGGCGCGATCTCAGCTCACTGCAACCTCCGCCTCCTGGGTTCAAGCGATTCTCCTGCCTCAGCCTTCCAAGTAGCTGGGATTACAGACGTGCGCCATGTCTCTTTCTTCTCTTTCTTTCTTTCTCTTTCTTTCTTTCTTTCTTTCTTTCTTTCTTTCTTTCTTTCTTTCTCTTTCTTTTTTCTTTCTTCCTTTTTGCTTCTTTCTTTTTCTTTCTCTCTCTCTTTCCCTTCCTCCCTCCCTCCTTCCCTCCCTCCCTCCCTCCCTCCCTCCCTCCCTCCCTCCCTCCCTCCCTTCCTTCCTTCCTTCCTTCCCTCCTTCCTTTTCTTCCCTAATTTTTCTTTCTTTACCCATCACCTAAATGTAAGTATTCACCAGGATTTATCTTTAATACTTTTATTTTCTCAATCTATACCCCTTCCTAGATGATCCTATTCATCCTCTTGCCTTCAACTTTTGCCTATATCATGATAACTTTCCAAACTGTTTCTGACATAGACATTGCTTGGAAATCAAATTGCCTACTAAAAATTTCCACTTAAATGTCCTATTAGTTGTCAAATTCGACATGTCCTAAACAACTCAATATCTATTCCCTTCTCCCCCAATGACTTCACCCAATTTTCTTCAACATAATCGGCAATTCAACATCCACCCAGTCTCCCAAACCTGGAAAGCAAAGATATTTCTAGTCTATTTTCTCCCTCCCTGGTCATGTCCAATTAAACATTAAATCTTATCTATCTCATCTCTCAGATATCTCTTAAATATAACTCTTCCTGGTCATTTTGATTGCCACTGTCTTACTTCTGAGTCTTTCCATCTCTGGCATGGACTTTGGTGTTAAAATCTTCTCCCTCTCCCATCTTTTCTTATCTGTTAGGCGAATTGTCTTACTAAAATGCAAATCTGATCCTTCTCTACTTTCAGTGCTGCTATTTTCCTCATTATCCATGTCCAAGCTCAAGCTCCTTACATCCTCATCTGGCCATGAGTGTCTCTCTAGCAGTATTGATTTTTTCTCTGTTTTTTTTTTTAATTTTTAATTTTTGAGGGTACATAGCAGGTGTATATATTTATGGAGTACATGTCATATTTTGATACAGTCTTACCATGCGTAATAATCACATCAGGGTAAATGAGGTATGAATCACCTAAAGCACTTATCATTTTTTGTGTTACCAATAATACAATTATACTCTTTTGGTTATCTTAAAATGTATAATAAATTATTGTTGATTATAGTCACTCTGTGGTGCTATCAAATATGTAATCTTATTCATTCTAACTAGATTTTTGTGCCCATTAAACATGCCCACTCCCCTCCACCACCCAACTATCCTTCCTTCCCAGCTTCTGATAACCATCATTCTACTATCTATCTCCATGAGTTCAGATGCTTTAATTTTTAGCTCCCATAAATAAGTGAGAATAAGTGTAGTTTGTCTCATTGTGCCTGGCTTATTTCATTTAACATAATGACCTCCAGTTCCATCTGTGTTGCTGCAGATGACAGGATCTCATTCTTTTTTACAGCTGAATAGAATTGTGTATATGTACCACATTTTCTTTATCCATTCATCTGCTGAGTTGCTTCCCAATCTTGGCTATCGTGAATAGTGCTGCAATAAACATAGGAGTGCAGCTATCTCTTCAATATACTTATTTTCTGTCTGTTGGGTATATATCTAGCAGTGGGATTGCTGGATCATATGTGATATGGTTTGGATCTGTGTTCCCACCCAAATCTCATATTCACTTGTAATCCTCAGTGTTGGAGGTGGGGCCTCATGGGCAGTGATTGGATCATGGGGGTGGATCCTTCATGAATGGTCTAGCATCATCCCCTCAGTGCTGCTCTTGTGATAATGAGTGAGTTATCATGAGATCCAGTTGTTTAAAAATGTGTAGCATACACCTTCCTGCCACCTGTTGGTCCTGCTCCTGTCATATAAGATGTTTTCTCCCACTTTGCCTTCTGCCATGAGTAAAAGCTCCCTGAGGCCTCCCCAGAAGCAGATGCTGCCATGCTTCCTGTACAGCCTATAGAAGCGTGAGCCAATTAAACCTCTTTTCTTTATAAATTACCTAGAGTCTCAGGTATTTCTTTATAGCAGTGCAAGAATGGACTAATACAATATGGTAGCTCTATCTTTAGTTTTTTGAGGAACACAGACAGTTCCCCATAAAGGTTGTACTACTTTATATTCCTACCAGCAGTGTACGACGGTTCCTTTTCCTCCACATCCTTGCCAGCATTTGTTATTGCCTGCCTTTTGAATAAAAGCCATTTTAACTGGGGTGAGATATCTCATTGTAGTTTGGATTTGCATTTCTCTGATGATCAACAATATTGAGCATCTTTTCATACACTTTTTGCCATTTATATGTCTTCTTTTGAGAAATATCTATTCATATCTTTTGCCCATTTTAAAATTATAATATTAGATTTCTTTCCTATTGAGCTGCTTGAGCTTCTATATATTCTAGTTATTAACCCTTGTCAGATGGATAGTTTGCAATATTTTCTTCCATTTTGCTGGTTCTATTCACTTTGTTAATTGTTTCCTTTACTGTGCAGAAGCTTTTTATCTTAATGTGATCCCATTTGTACACTTTTACTTTAGTTGCCTGTGCTTGTGGAGTATTACTCAAGAAATGTTTGTCCAGTCCAGTGTCCCAGAGAGTTTCCCCAATGTTTTCTTTTAGTAGTTTCATAGTTTGAGGTCTTACATTTAGGTCTCCAATCAATTTTTACTTGTTTGGTGTTTTTTGTATATGGCCAGAGATAGGAGTCTAGTTTCATTCTCATACATATGGATATAAGTTTTCCCAGTACCATTTATGAAAGAAATTTTTCCCAGTGAATATTCTTGGCACCTTTGTCAAAAAGGAGTTCAATGTAGATGTATGAGTTTGTTTCCAGGTTCTCTATTCTGTTTCACTGTCTATGTGTCTGTTTTTAAACCCAGTATTTTGTTGTTTTGATTACTATAACTCTGTAGTATAATTTGAAGTCAAGTAGTGTGATTCTTCCAATTTAATTCTTTTGCTAAGGCTAGTTTTGGCTATTCTGCATCTTTTGCAGTTCCATATAAATGTTAGGATTTTTTTCTATTTCTATAAAGAATGTCATTAGTATTTTGACAGGCTTGCATTGAATCTATAGATTGCTTTGGGTAGCATGAATATTTTAATAATATTGATTCTTCTAATCCATCAACATGGAATGTCTTTTCATTTTTTTGTACGCTTCCATTTCTTTCATCACTGTTTTACAGTTTTCTTTTTTTAATATTTAATTTTAATTTTGTGGGTATATAGATATATATATTTATGGGGTACATGAGATGTTTTGATATAGACATGAAATGTGTAATAATCATATCATGTAAAATGGGGTATCTGTTCCCTCAAGCATTTATCCTTTGTGTGACAAACAACCCCATTATACTTTAAGTTATTTTAAAACGTACAATTAAATTATTATTGACTATAGTAACCCTGTTGTGGTATCAAATACAAGGTCTTATTCATTCTTCCTATATTTTTATATGCTTTAGCCATCCCCACCTCTCCACCACCACCCACCCACTATTCTTCCCAGTCTCTAATAACCGCCCTTCTACTCTCTACCACCACACATTCAATTGTTTTGACTTTTAGATCCCACAAATAAGTGAGAACACGTGATGTTTGTCTTTCTGTGCCTGCTTTATTTCACTTAGTATCATGACCTCCAGTTCTATCCAGGTTGTTGCAAATGACAGCATCTCATTCTTTTTTTATGACTGAATAGTACTCCATTGTCTGTAAGTACCACATTTTCTTTATCCATTTATCCGTTGATGGATTTTATAGTTTTAATTGTAGAGATCTTTCACTTTTTTTGGATAAGAAGTGAAATCCTAGGTATTTTATTTTATTTGTAGCTATTGTAAATCAGATTACTTTCTTGATTTTTTTGCAGATTGCTTGCTCTCCAGCAACATTGAGCTGTTTCTTCCATGAGCTTGCTATGTTGTTTGGGTCCCTCTGCCTGTATATATAATATTTCTTTTTCCTACTGTGCTTTTCCCCCACTTTCCATCCAATCAACTCCTACCTGTATATACTTTAAAACAGCTTCTGGGCAGCTCCTCCCTGACAGCACCAATAGGTAGTTTTTTTGTTCAGCCACTTATCATCTCCATACTTCTATTATTACTGTTATCATAATGACTAATAATTACTTTTTACATTCAGCCTCAGACACTATATTGCAAATACCTTGAGGACAGGAGCCTGCCTTATATACTATTTTCTAGTATCTATCACAGTGCCTAGTACAGAGTAGGAACTCTAAAATATTTATTAAGTTGAACTAATTCTATGTAGATCTCTAGCAAGAGCATGATATTTCATAAATGATTAATAGATGAAATTGACTGATTAATTCAACAAAAGTTTACCGACATGTGGTGTGTGCCAACTGTGCTGGCTTCTGAGGACACAGAGTAAATGAGAATCATAGTTCTTGCCTGCATGGCGCATAGTCTCCAGGTCCTATCAGTGTCATCCTTGCCACCCTGCCAAGACCTTGGCTTCCTGCTCTCCAGGTTGTCCTGATTTCTCTCTTCCCTGATTCTTGTGGTTTGTTTGTATTTTTTGCTAATCTGAATTCCTCACGAACACCTTCCATCACCTGTTCACTGATCCATGACCTGTTCTTTCGACTGAATTGCATTTTAAAGGTCCCTGGCTTGACTTTGCTGGTCCTAATGCTGACTGCCGTGAAATGACCTCCGTCCCAAGTGACTATCATTCATTTTTTTCCCTAAAAAATACAATGTACCTACAGTGTTAACGCAAATAAGCCCCATGTCATATTAACAGATATGGTAACTTCAAGACCAGTAGACCAGAAATAGCCTGCCTCTTGTTATCTTATGCAGTCATGTGCACCATATTGGAATATTTCTTTCCTCAAAGGTGGGAACTGAGTCAGAGGCCATCTGTGTGGCCCTTGTTCACCAGTCCTGAGCGGCCAATAATTAATTTAGGCTGAATGTAATTACTCCCTTGTTAACGGTAGTTTTTCTGCACTTTCCTCAGTCAGCTCTGGAGACACACCATTGAGAGTGATGTATAACTCCTGGCACAGAATGAAATCTGAGCCCTGTGAAAAGACACAGGGAGAATCTGCTCTGTGCCTTGCTAATGGACTCAACACTCTTATCTAAAGTGCATTGGTGAGGTGTTCTTAAAGAAGATGCAGCAGCCCAGGCTGCAAAGAAGAAACAGAACAGCTTCACTTTTCTTTGACTTTGAATCCTATTACCTCCATATGCATATTAAAACAATTTACACCACTCTAAAGTGTAAATTGAAAGAGGTGTGTTTGTTCAAGAAACGGAAGAGCCTAAAGGAGAGGCTAGTTTTAGTAAACCGGTATTTTTTTTATTAGAAGTTATAAAACCAAATAATTGAAAGTATTTCAACATACATTTTTTAAATGATGAGAAATCATTCAGCTACTCTGCTACCAATCACATTTGTATATTTTTTGACTTTTTGTACGTTATTTGTATATGGATTTTATAAAATGGGCTTTTTTTTTCTTTCTTTTTTTTTTTTTTTTTGAGACGGAGTCTTGCTCTATTGCCCAGGCTGGTGTGCAATGGCGCGATCTCAGCTCACTGCAACCTCTGCCTCCCGGGTACAAGCCATTCTCCTGCCTCAGCCTCCCAGAGAGCTGGGACTACAGGCATGCAGAAATGGGCATTTTTTAAGACAAAAATTGACAGTGTTTCATAGCATTCATTCCCTGGACTGTAAAGGCATATTATAAAGGAAAGCGGAAAGGGGAAGGAAGTTGGAGAAGGAGAGAGGAAGGGAGACAGATAAAGATAAAAGATGGAGGAAGAAACAAAAAAAGGAAGAGAGGGAAGGAGGGAGGGAGGGAGGGAGGGGGGAAGATAATTTTTACCATGTACCAAAGTTAGGAAAAATGAAATCCTCCTGCCCCACCCTGCTACACAAACGTCTACATTAGGACCATGGACGCTTGGACAACCAGGTCAATCCCTCCTCTCCTGAAGATGGTTGGAGGCACTCTTTCGGACTTTCAAATAGTCCTTGTAGGTTCACCTCATCTTTGCCCATGTATCTGTGGGGCATTTCTCACAGAGATCTAAACAAGGGTAAAAAGGCCTAGCTAGTATGAGGTCCTGGTTCTCTTTTTCATAAAGAGTTATAAGAAATACAAGTTTTTCATTAAACTATCATGAATTGATTAGAAGGATTCCAACAAGGGATTTGGACTTTTTCCACACAGTGTAACTGCTGAAAGTTATTTCTGCCTAAAGTGAAGCTGTTTTAAAACATATTCTGGAGCTAAGGTCTTGCTTGTGTTAATGCCCTCCAGCCTAAGGCCACCAGGTACACCACTGGAGTTGCATAGGCTGTTTTTTGACTTGTTGCAGTGAGGAAGAGCATACACTAAGGAAATGGTGGGCCTCTCAGCAAGAAGGTGTTAGACGGCCGGGCGCGGTGGCTCACGCCTGTAATCCCAGCACTTTGGGAGGCCGAGGCGGGCGGATCACGAGGTCAGGAGATCGAGACCATCCCGGCTAAAAACGGTGAAACCCCGTCTCTACTAAAAATACAAAAAAAAAAAATTAGCCGGGCGTAGTGGCGGGCGCCTGTAGTCCCAGCTACTTGGGAGGCTGAGGCAGGAGAATGGCGTGAACCCGGGAGGCGGAGCTTGCAGTGAGCCGAGATCCCGCCACTGCACTCCAGCCTGGGCGACAGAGCGAGACTCCGTCTCAAAAAAAAAAAAAAAAAAAAAAAAGAAGGTGTTAGACATTACCAGAGTATTTGGGCTTGTGTTAGGTGACTTGGAGAAGAGTTCTTGGAGGCAGGACTTTGCTTTGAATTGGATGAATAATGTCAGAAAGTTGGTATAATCCTATAGTTAAGCATCTTAGTAAGTTTGATCTAGTGCAGGGAAGACTAGAGAGGACAAGGGTATAACTGGCGAAGAAGCAGTATCCACTCATGTGGTACAGATAGGGGGATACTTGGTCACTTTTGAGGTTTGAAACTATTCATGTCTTTTTTTCTGTGTTCAGACAAGACCAAGGAGTGGTCTTGTTTTTGTATTTATTCACTATAGACACAGTGTATCTTACAGGATGTTGGTATTTTTGATACTGTTTACGTACAACAGGAAAAAGGCAAGGCTTAGCTGCAAATGCCAGGCCAAATTCAAAATTTCAGGGACCATTTTTTCTTTTTCACTTGGAAGCCAGAATTCACTGAAGTAAAGGCAAAATGATAGAATTTTGGTTTATAATTTAAAGGTTAAAATAAACATGCATCTTTATTCTCATTTTTCAAAGGCATATAAAGGGAATATAAATTTAAAAGTGAAAAGGAGGTGGAATAAACTAGATAAGCTAGTTATCTTGAGATATATCTAACTTAAACATTTTAAAAAGTAATCATTATCTAATTTTTTAGGACATGCTTAGAATGATTTTGTATATTCACATTTTTGTATTGTTATTACATTTTTAACCTATGGTGATTTATTAAGCTGGCAGGTTTTGTTTTGTTTTGTTTTCAATAAATTTCCTGAAAAAAAGTCAGGGCCATATGAAAATACCTTTGTGTAAATATTGCAGTTATAATTAGACTTGAAACACATCTACTGAAAATACAAGAGAATCTTAGTTAGCATAAAGAATTTTAAGTGAGACAGAGCTTGTCATATTATACTAGGATTTAGGGCAGGTCTCCCTAGTGAAGTCTGGGTCAAAACTTGAACATAAAGTTGAGAACTTAGAAAATCAGAGAGTATTTATCTGTAATACATAAAAGCTAGTAACTAGAAAAATATTTTTCCTTTGAAATTATCCCCCAAAGGGCCTTACTTTTCAACTTCAATTTGCTGGTATAGACTTGGCCTTAGTTTTGTAAATTAAAAAATGTTTGAAAGGTAGTTAGAGACTAGAACAGTGATAAGACATAAACCATAAAAGTAAAGCAAATTTAAAAACCCAAGTGAATACTGTGAATACTTCTAGACTAAACTGATCAAGTGAATGAGTTTGGAACATATTTGATATTACATTTAAAATAGACATGTTACTTCTTAAATGTTTAAATTTGAGGTAGAAGGAGTTCCTCAAAGATTCCTAAAATTACTTAAGGTTCCATGAATAGGAAAAAAAATGTTATTCCTGAGAATTTTGCTGAAGTCCTTGACAATGGATGGTCAGAAAATATTTCTAAACTCTTTCTAAATAATTTCATTTTTGAACTTGGCAAATTACTTCATCGTTGTGGAACAAGAAAATATTGTTTCTTGTGTATTGAAATCTCCCTTCATATGACAATTCTACAATTCTTCTGCAGTAAATTTAGTCCTCTTTAGGGACATTTTACTTCAAAAATTACCTCAAACATGAACTGCCTACCATAGACTATTTTCACCTGAAGACCATGGTCCTTCACAAAAAGGTAGTTCGCTTTAGTAGGTTGAGGAGGAACTGACATTTAGTCTTTAAAAATGATCATGAAAAGGAGGCTGACTTAAATCAAGTTAAGCTGTTTTGGCACAAATTTCTAGTGTGTTCCTTTGTAGACTTTCCCAGGCCTGAGTGGAAAATAAATAGGACATTGTGGTAACCCTGGCAGAAAAGCTGTTTTCAAGATTTCTGCACGCTGTACAAATGCTGTTGGCAGAGAAGGTTGTGTGTACATTTATGTAATTGTGACACATAAATAAAGAAAAGTAGATGGGTATGATACTATATACCATCAGAATGATTTTACTTTCATTTTAAAGGGAACTCTAAAGCCATAGAGTAAACTGTTACAGATATAAAACACAGGAACACATAGACATCTCCATGATCCCAAATTTGAGAAAACATTCAAGTTAGTGAATCTAAGTGCCATTTCGAATCCAGATTGGCTACATTTCATCTGAAATTTTTCTTGGAGTCCAGGAATGGTGCTTTCTAATCTTGTTGAGATTACAGAGCCTTCTCATAGCTTTTTAAACTATGGTTACAGCTCTATAAGGGTGATGAGTGAGGAGGGCGGGCCCTCAGGTGATGGAAATGTTCTATTTCAAGAACCATTAATAATGCCTTTGAAAATCTGTGGTTATTTGAAACAGATAAAAATTATTTTTTTAAATTTAACAAGCCCTTACATTGTGCCAATCACTCTTTTAAGCATTTTGTAAATATTAAGTCACTTACTAATCATAACATTCATGCTATTCATGACAACCCTATATTTCCCCATTTTATATATGGAGAGAAACTGAGGCACAGCTAAGTATTTTGTCCAAAGTTATGTGGCTCATAAATGTTGGAGTCAGAATTCATGCCCAGGCATTCTGGCTCGAAAATCAGAACTCTTAACTATTATGGTATGCACACCGGGTTTACCATTTGTGCATCAATTCTGCATCAGGTAGTTAGACTGCTCAGGAGCTAGAGTGCACCAAGCAGAGTAGGCATTTCCTTACATTTTAGTTAAATGAAAAAAAAATGAATGACTTATTGAGAATGATATATGTTGAGAATGAAAACTTATAATATATTAGGAATTCCTCCCAATCCTTATGTTGTTCCCTTTCTTGCAATGTTTCTTTGTATTTCAGGTAAAATCAAATCCCTATTAGGATAAATGATTGAGTGTTCCTGTAAAGAATTGTTCCCCTGGTTCAAGCAACCAGATTTCATTCCCAGATGATCAAAAATGGACTTGATGAAATGGAAAAGCACTGATAGAAACAGGTATGTGGAAGAGTATATTTCAAACACTTTTATAATAGTATCTGGAAAGACTAGAAGAGGAATGTGTCATTAATGATGCTGAAACATTGCGGATGGAAGTTATAGATTAAGTTTCAGTTGGTCTATGTTCTAGACTCTTGCATGGTAAATGACTATACCTATCTGACATTTGGCTGAGGAAATTGTCCACTAGAGGTTGGGGCAACTCTACCTATTTGAGTTAATGGCTGACACACAGTAGGACTTGATAAACATAAATAAAGGAACTTAGTACCATATATGATATATAATACGTGTTCAATAAATGGAAGAACATTTTCATTATTCTTTTTTAAATTCTCAGATATTTGGGTTTAATAAAACTAATTTTTAAGTGAATGGGGAAAACTGGATTTTCATAACGAAATAATTAAAACCCATTTTATTCATTTACTTAACTTCAAGGAGATTGTGAATAAGATGTTCATATATTATTTTGAAATTATACCTTTAAAGATTTACTCTGAAGAGTAAAGTCCCAGGCTTCCAAGGTAAACCAGAAAATACCTTGAAAGTGCTGCTATATGAAATGAAAATGTTCTTCTATCTCATGGAACTTCTTTCTGAACCCAAAGGCAGAGATAGTGATTTTGTAATCTAAAAACAGGACAACATTAGTAGGAAAGGTTTTCCCATCTCCTTTCAGTGTGGATAGTATTGTGGACAGTGGCAGTGGAACTGCATAAATGGAGAAGTTATGTCTCAGGAGCCAAAAGAAGAAGGTTCTAGAGAATTATGTGCCTAAGTGCCCACATAGATTCTTCCTTAAGAAGACAACAAATGGCATCTTTAGTCCTTTATGCAATAAATCGCCTTGATAATAATTTGAAAGTAACTCTGATTGTATCACCTCTCCATGTCAATATTCTTATCACTGTTTGGCTAAACTCAGAAATCTTCAAGACTCCAGGGCCTGGCGTGATCTGGCCCCAATCTCCCTTTCTTCTTCATCACTCATCATGTTGCCCAGGCACTCTGCTCCAGCCTGTCTGAAGATCTCTCAGTTTCTTAATTCAAGGATGCGGTCTCTTGTCTTAGGGAACTTCTCAGTATTGCTTCTGACTTGAACACTGTCCCACTTCTCTTATGGCTCATTTTCACTTCTATTCATGACTCACATTTATAATTCTAGCTCATATTTCTCCTCAGAACTTGTGACCCGTATATGGAAGTGCTGCGTCAACTTCTGCACTTGAATTCTTTCAAATGATTTTACACTCAGCCAGTTCAATGCTCAGCTCATGATCATTCCCTTTAAACCTAATCCTCTTCCAATGCACATATCTCAGAGCAAGTTCACTTTTCCATCCAGTTGGGCAAGTCAAAAATTTAGGACTCATTTTGCCCCCTTCTTTTCCTTCACCATTTCCCATATCTAATCTATAACCAATATGTTTGACTTTACCCTCTATGTATCTCTTGAGTCCACTCCTTTCTTGTTTGAGACTCCGTGGTTGATAACTCATATATCACATAGCTATTTTATTTTTAGAGCAACCTAGATTTTCCCATATTCCAAATTGTTAAGGTCAAAGATTTCTTAAACATGATAAAATTCTGTACCAATTCCCACATGTTCTATGTAGCTCATATAATCATTTTCCTTTTGTCTTAATATTTTGCATCATTCACATTGAAAATGACTATTTCATAGGAAACAAATGATGGCTACTTTCCCAGACATTTTCCAAATGTTTTGCAATCACTGTTGGGTCAACTGCTTACTCTGTGAATCTGTGCAGAATCACTAATGATAAGGTTAGAGGCCACAGAGAGCCTCAGTGAGAGGGCAGCATTTGAATATTCAGTGTCACTGAAGCAGGAGTTTTCTAATCTTATAAAAATATGATGATAGGATCATTAAAATTCTCACTGCAGTCATATCTAGTTAAGATGCATTACTTTCAAATGAGAATCTTTTTCTAACAGGACAACAATGACAACCAAACTTCTTCCAACTGATTTACCTACTATTAAAACCCAATGTCAGGAAAGAAAGTCACTCCTACACTGGAGAAATTCTAGATCTTCAAGAAAGCAGATAAATATCTCTGGAGTCAAAGATGGATAAATCTCAGGACCTAGGGGTAATATTTAAGAAGGGAGCACCTTATAAGGATAAACCCAGCCACTTAAGTAAAACATGGAAACTCCAGAGGAAAGGCACAGGGAGTCCCCAGGGCTATATTTCCCTCTCTTTACCTTTTTGCTCAAGGACTGCTGGACCTCTTAGTCATAGCTCTCTTGACTGCCCTTTCAATGGAGAGGTCAACCTGGTGAAAACATTCCCTGGCAAGTTTTCATCACTGCTCACCCATTCTACTCCTCTCCTCTTGAGGATCATACTTTTTATTCCAGAAACGTCTGGCCATTCTGCTGAGCACAGGTAAGAAATGCCATCCAACTGGTCTAAAGTAATTGGTCAGAAGGAAACTGGAAAATGGACTCTTGTTTCTAGCAGGCAGCTGTGTCAAACACTGAGGAAACTATCCCCTCTCAATAGCTAATTTTTTTTTTTCTTATCTCACTCTGGGTATCTGTGTTCAAGTAGGTGCTGTCCAAACCTACAGACTGGGCCTTAACATGATACCAATGACTTAGACATTCTTATTCCACTTTAAAAAGTGTGAGTCTTTGAAATGATAGGTACATTTCAACGTATAGTTAGTTTCTTCTAAGGCCTGCATTTATGACATGGGGCCTAAAGCCTGGATTACTAAGAAATCTCCAATCAGCTTCAAAATCTACCCTATAATGTTTCCCAGATTGCTCATCCCAAAATTTGATATTCATCATGCAATGGTCCACTCAAGAAGTTTTAATGGTTACACGTGACTTACACAATAAAATCTATACTCTTCCCTTTAATAAATTTTTACCACAATTTACATTCATTCTGACTTTCCAACATCATATCCCAGTACTTCCCAGTGCAAATTATTTTACCTACCTGAAAAGCAGTCTATTCATCATCATTGTTCATTCATTCATTCAGCAGGCATTTATTAAGCACCTATTATGGTTCAGGCATCATTCCGGGCACTGAGAAGTACAGCTCTGAACAACATAAATGAAGTTCATGACCTTAAGGAGTGTATACTCTAGTGGAGAGAAGCAGACATTAAACAAGCAAAGAAATATTTAATGGGGCAGGTGGTGGTAAGGGCTATATGATAAATAAATCACTGAGAGACCTAGAGACCCGAGTGGTGTCTTCCATAGGAGAGTCCGGTAAGTTCCCGAGGAGGTGACACTTCAACAGAGACCAGAAGAAGTTGGGCACGGTGGCTCACGCCTATAATCCCAGCACTTTGGGAGGCTAAGGCAAGTGGATCACCTGAGGTCAGGCGTTCGAGACCAGCCTGACCAACATGGCGAAACCCCGTCTCTACTAAAAGTACAAAAAATTTGCCAGGCGTGATACCGGGCACCTGTAATCCCAGCTATTCGAGAGGCTGAGGCAGGAGAATTGCTTTAACATGGAGGTTGCAGTGAGCCGAGTTCACGCCACTGCACTCCAGCCTCGGCAACAAGAGCAAAACTCTGTCAAAACAAAAACAGGCCGGGCGCGGTGGCTCACGCTTGTAATCCCAGCACTTTGGGAGGCCGAGGCGGGCGGATCACGAGGTCAGGAGATCGAGACCATCCTGGCTAACACGGTGAAACCCCGTCTCTACTAAAAAAATACAAAAAAATTAGCCGGGCGTGATGGCGGGCGCCTGTAGTCCCAGCTACTCGGGAGGCTGAGGCAGGAGAATGGCGTGAACCCGGGAGGCGGAGCTTGCAGTGAGCCGAGATTGCGCCACTGCACTCCCGCCTGGGCCACAGAGCGAGATTCCGTCTCAAAAAAAAAACAAAAACAAAAACAAAACAAAACAAAACACCAGAGACCAGAAGAAAGTGAGGTTGCAGGCCATGTGGGCAGACAGGTGTGGAGTTTTCCAGGCTGATGCAACAGCACATGCTGAGGCCTTGCAGTAGGAATGTGCTCATTGTATTCGAGGGGAGCAAGGAGGCCAGTGTGAGCAGCTGGGGCAGAGTAACAAGAATGAAGTGATAGAAGATGAGTGAAGAAACAATGGGGGGGATGTAAGCTCAGGTGGGACCAATGAGGCCATGGTAAGGATCTAGGCTGCTCTGATGAAGGAGATAGAAAGCCATGTGAGGATTTGAGTAAAAAAAGAGAACACATCCTGATGTTCATTCTAAAATGATCTTCTGGTTCAGTGTGAGAGTACCCTATAAGAGGTTTGAGGGTAAAAGTAAAGGAACCAATTACGAGGTGATTGTAATAATCCCAACAAAAAGCAATGGTGGTGGCTCAGGATGGTGGCAGTCGGGGAGATGAGAAGTGGTCAGATTCTGGATATATTTTGAAAGAGGAGAGGGCAGGATTGTTGATGGGTTCAATGCAGGATAAGGGAGAAAAAGAGAAGATAGGCACGTTCAATGCAGGATAAGGGAGAAAAAGAGAAGATAGGCACAACTTTAAGATTCTTTTATCTGAGCAACTGAAAGAATGGAATTTCTATTAAATGATCTGGGGAGTAATTTTTAGAGGTGGGAGGTAGGAAATCAAAAGTTCAGTTTAGTATATATATTGTATAGCTTTGAGATGCTATTAGACGCACAAAGAAAGATGTTAAATAAGCAATTGGCCATGATCACACCAGTGCACTCCAGCCTGGATGACAGAGCAAGACCCAACCTCCAAATAAATAAATAAATAAATGGAATTGGGTATCCAAGTCAGGGGGGTATTCTGGGTTGGCAGGAAAAATTAGGGACTTTCGGTATATAAATGACATTTAAATCAGTGGACCTGCATGGCATCACCTAGGATATCAGGATATATAAAGTACCGAAGAGAAGAGATCTGAAGATTCAGCCTTTAGAAGTCAAGGAGAGAAAGAAGAACCAGGAGACTGAGACTGGGAAACCAGTTAAATAAGAGGACAACCACCCTCCTTCTTGCCTTAGCTCACTCCAGTCTGTCTACCAGAAATGTTCAGAAATGTAGTCCTTAATCTTCTCCATTTGTTTACATCTTACCAATTTCTCATAGTTTAGCACTTAATTCTGTGCTGTGTGACTTCTCATCTTAAGTTTAATTTTATTATTTAACTTTTGTTTATGTTTTAGCTCTTTCTGGATGTATCATTTTGTCTTAATCAATCAATACACTTTTTATACCCAATGCTATTCTTTAATTTTGTTACTTGACTCCTCTCTGTGTCTAGGCAGGTCAGTCCTTCTATAACATCCCACCTATCCTGAACCCCAAGTGTAAATAGTCAAGAAAATCATTGGTAACACCAGCCTATTGACAGACGACAAAAGAAACTGGGAGTGTTGGGGTCTGGGATTCAATTCTGATGTGGCTCTAGTAACTGGAGATATAAAAATGTTTGGCCGTTATGCTATGGTACAAACTAGGTGGCACTTAAGATCATTAATCAAGCCAAATCAATAGAGAAATGTGTCAAGCAAATTATTTCACACGGAAACAAATGTATGAAAAGCAATTCCTGCCTTCATGGAGTTCATTCTCCAAAACAAGCAAATAAAGCAGGAAGAAAGCATGGGGGCAGAGGGGTTGTAGGGGGAGGGAGAGCATCAGGAAGAATGGCTAATGGATAGTGGGCACATACCTAGGTGATGGCATGATCTGTGCAACAAACCACCATGTCACACATTTACCTATGTAACGAACCTGCACATCCTACACATGTACCCCGGAAATTAAAAGTTAAGGGAAAAAAAGAAAAAAGAAAACTGACTCTGATTGTCACTCTGTGGAAATAAGGAGGCAGGGATGCTCCTCTGCTGACCAGGCACTGCCCTTCAAAGACCAGGGACAGCCTGCAGGTGGCAACCTTTGCAGGTCTGCTTTCCTTCTCTCCCCAGCAACACGCCACCATTATGTGGAGTTTAATTCTGGTTTGAGTTAATAACGCAGGGAGAACTATTTTACACATTTGGTCTCTCTGGTAGATGACATTAGTACAAACATTAAAATGATGCTTCCCATGTGGGCAAAAATGTGGAAAAAAGAGAACCCTCATACACTCTTGGTGGGGATGTAAATTAGTACAATCACTAAGGAGAACAGGTGGGAGGTTCCTCAAAAAACTAAAAATAGAGCTAACATATGATTCAGCCATTCCACTTCTAGGTATATACCCAAAAGTAAGGAAATCAGTATATCTAAGGGATATCTGCACTCCCGTGTTTATTGTAGCACTATTCACAATAGCCAAACTCTGGAAGCAATCTAAGTGTCCATCAACAGACAAACGGATAAAGAAAATGTGGTACACTCACAGAATAGAGTACTATGCAGCCATAAAAAGAACCATACTCTGTCATTTTCAACAACATGGATGGAACTGGGGGTCATTATATTAAGCGAAATAAGCCAGGTACAGAAAAACAAACTTCATATATTCTCACTTATCTGTAGGAGCTACAAATTAAACAATTGAACTCATGGAGATAGAGAGTAGAATGATAGTTACCAGAGGCAGGGTAGGATAGCCAAGGGTGGGCCTGGGAAGGGGGAGGATGGAAAAAGGGCACAAAAAAATAGGAAGAACAAATAAGACCTAGTATTTGCTAGCACAACAAGGTGACTATAGTAAAAAGTAATTTAATTGTTTGTTTAAAAATAACTAAAAGAGTATAATTGTATTATTTGAAACACAAAGGATAAATGCTTGAGGTAATACCCTATTTACCCTGATGTGATTATTACATATTGCATGCCTGTATTAATGTATCTCATGTAATCCATAAACATATATATCTACCATGTACCCACAAAAATTAAAAATAAAAATTAGTGATGCTGTTCCCCAAGACTGGCATTTTAGAAGAAAGAGTGATTTTGAATCTGTGCTTGTGATAACTACAAATGTACTAATCATAGTACATATGATCACAGAATACAGGTGTGAATCTGACGCCCTTTTTTTTTTTTTTCATTAAGCAATGGCCCTGGTATTGCCAATAGGAAGCAAAATGACTTGAGCTAGTTTCATTCAGAACAGCCAGGTGGGCATGTTTTCTAAGAACAGGAATTAGCTATGATGAATGATCAGATTAAGCTTTTAAGTAGCAAAAGACAAGGCTTGTTTCTTTGGCTTAAAGCTAATGGCTTAAATGCCCTTTTTTTAAAAAAATCGATACTCAGATTAAAGTTACCCAGTGGAAAGAAAAATTAGGCCAGGTGCCGTGGCTCACGCCTGCAATCCCAACACTTTGGAAGTACGAGGAGGACAGATAACCTGAGGTCAGGAGTTCGAGACCAACCTGGCCAACATGGTGAAACCCCATCTCTACTAAAAATTCAAAAATTAGCAGAGTGTGGTGGCACGTGCCCTGTAATTTTTGTAGTCCCAGCTACTCAGAAAGTTCAGGCAAGAGAATCACTTGAGCCTGGGAGGTGGAGTGCAGTGAGCAAGGTCGTGTCACTGCACTCCAGCCTGGGCAACAGAGAGAACTTCTGTCTCAAAAAAAAAAAGAAAAGAAAAAAATTAATAATGATTTTTTAAAAATCAGATAATGTTGCTCTGTGGAGTTAATGTTATCTCACAATTAATCCAACTTCTCTAAGTCACAAATGAAGCAGGTAAAAAGTTGAGAGATTAAAGCAAAATTTCCATTCAACAATGGTTTTACAGGTTGCAATACTGGTAAATAATCCCTTATGTAAGAAAAATACAATGAGAGATAGTAGACTGTAATTACCAATCAATATTCCTGTAAAACCAAATTCTAGACAATATTATCAAAAACTTAGTTAATTTAATAATTATCTTCCATAGTAAAAAGGAGTAATTTATTTACGCTTATTGCTATAAACTTTATTCCACGGAATTGTAACCTGATTTCAATAGGGTAGTCAAATTCAGGGTGCTTTTTAGTTAATAAAAACTGCAAACCCAGAATGGCATTAAAATATCACTATTTTAATTTTCTAATCTTCCTTTATCTTCTTCATGAGAGCTACAGACACCAGATTAATCAACTTGTTTATGGGTAATGCCTTACTTTGTTTGTTTTTTTCCCTTGAATTTTTTTATTTAAATAAGTCTTTGTCTTAAAAGAGTATATCATCAGTCAAAATAATGCTAACACTTCTGAAAATATTTTCATTTTCTGACATGCACCGAGGTGCCATAAAGTAGTGTTGACAACTCCATCTTTAGCATTCCACAAATCTTACAGAGATATATCATCAGAAAACCACACAGTCTATATCTGGGCTCTGACAAAACTGAAACATGGCCTGCCAGCCACAGATAAGGTTTTGAAATGTTAGTCACTGAAAAGGTGATAACAGAAAGAAGGATCAAATGCATGTACACCTTCACCTTTGGACGCCTGCGGTTTTGAGCCGTGCCACTTTGGTAAAAGATATTGCCATTTGGCCTCTTGGCAAAATCAGTGGATATACCGAGTGTGATACAACATGAAAACACATGATGAACTTGGAGTTAAGTGTGTTGGAATTAAGAGGTGCTAAGAAGCAATGACACAGCATCTTTAGCAAATAGGAGAGTGAGAGGCTCAGGGTAGGAGCAGCTTGGGACAGAGCTGGAGGGATCAAAGCAACATGCCATCGTGCAGCTGCCAGCAGTGGCACAAATGGAAACTAGGAAACACTTCAGAGAAAGTGGAAACTTCTTCCTCATCATCTTCATCTTCATTGTCTTCTATTTTAGTCACTAAGTGTTGTGGGATTTCATGCTGTTCTCAATTTTATATGGAAATTTTAATAGATAGAAGGGGACAAAAACTCATTAGACTAGACCTGGACATGAAATACTAAACCAAAGGATTTTTTGTTTAGAAAAGACTCTTTTAAAAAATATAACCAGAATAATCACAAATATTACCTTTAAGATAGAATTTATAATCATTCACTTCTTAATGATTCCTCCTCCATGCCATCTATTTTCAAACAAAGCTGAGTTTATGGCCATCATACGAGATTACATTCCCGTGCAGTTGCAGTATTTCTTCTATAATGATTTATTTAAAAGGGCTTCACCATGATAGCTCTCCAACTTTGTTCCTTCCTGTGTATCACTGTTCAGGGTCAAAAGCTGGGAAAAGGGCTGGTCCCTAAGGCCTAACATATTTCACCAGTGGAGACTCTGGCTTTTCACTTCTCTTTCTCTCCTCATCACTTTATGCTTAAAGAAGAACAGATGTGGAAACGTTTAGAAAAAGACTAATTGAATTTCACATAACACAATTTAGCATTGTTTGAGGAAGTACCTAAATCAACAGCACATTTTCCAAAGTCCCAGACTCGCCTAATTAGAACACCAAACGTGTGACTAATTGGCCACACTTCCACCAAAGGCTCTGCTGCAGATGAGCTGTCGCCGGTTCCCCTCGCCCCAGCTGAGGCTGGCGGTCTGGCTATGAGGCAAAGTGGTTGCTCTAAATGAGCTGGGCAGAGCATAATGGAGAAAGGAACTTGGAGAACAAATCCACATGAAGCAGGAGAGGAACTGGAATGTGTACGCTGCGGCAGCATCCAGAAAATTACCAGGAGATTATCAGTACATAAATTAAGAGATACTTGGGGCTCTGTAATTGGGACCATTAATAGCCTGCTCTTTATCATTTCAGCTTCATGGTCTTAGAACTTGACATCTAATTAAAATATAGTCTGATATCACCAGCAAAGGCTCCACTTAACCCAACCCTTCAACACTGGCAGATCTGTTTTTTGCATGCAACAGGAGGCTTTCTTTTTTTCTCACTTTATTTCCTGATGGTGTGCAGGAAAGTGTGTGGGGAAGAAGGAGCACAATTAGAGGAAAGAGAGAAGAGATTCTGGGGTTGTTTCTATTGTAAAACTCTGAACATTTTGCTTTAGGGAGTCTATATTCCCTGCTTTGTCCCCTAAGTATAAAACCCATGGAACTGGAAGTGACTTTAAAAGTCATTTGGTGCAACTTTTGCATTTTATAGATGAGGATTCTGGGGCCAAGAGAGGTAAAGTAATTTGCCTAGGGCCACACATCTCTTTGGTGACCAATTTAGGATGAGAAATCAAATGTATGACACTCCATATCTAGTGCAATTTATACCTCCTCTTTTGTGCTTGAGCTGATGTTAAGAGAGTAACATTATGTTTCACAATTACCTAATGATGTGCCTCTTCAATCCCAATCTTTTATTATTATTATTATACTTTAAAGTCTGGGATACATGTGCAGAACGCGCAGGTTTGTTACATAGGTATACATGTGCCATGGTGGTTTGCTGCACCCATCAACCCATCATCTACATTAGGTATTTCTCCTAATGCTATCCCTCCCCTAGGCCCCCACTCTGCAACAGGCCCCAGTGTGTGATGTTCCCCTCCCTGTGTCCATGTGTTCTCATTGTTCAATTCCTACTTATAAGTGAGAATATGCAGTGTTTGGTTTTCTGTTCCTGTGTTAGTTTGTTGAGAATGATGGTTTCCAGCTTCATCCATGTCCCTGCAAAGGACATGTACTCATTGCTTTTTATGGCTGCATGTATTCCATGGTGTATATGTGCTACATTTTCTCTATCCAGTCTATCATTGATGGGTATTTGGGTTGGTTCCAAGTCTTTGTTATTGTGAATAGTGCTGCAATAAACATAGGTGTGCATGTGTCTTTATAGTAGAATAATTTCTAATCCTTTGGGTATACACACAGTAATGGGATTGCTGGGTCAAAAGTTATTTCTGGTTCTAGAACCTTGAGGAATCGCCACACTGTCCTCCACAATGGTTGAACTAATTTACATTCCCATCATCCGTGTAAAAGCGTTCCTGTTTCTCTAAATCCTCTCCAGCATCTGTTGTTTCCTGACTTTTTAATGATCATCATTCTAACTGGCATGAGATGGTATCTCATTATGGTTTTGCTTTGCATTTCTCTAATGACCAGTGATGATGAGCTTTTTTCATATATTTGTTGGCTGCATAAACATCTTCTTTTGAGAAGTGTCTGTTCATATCCTTTGCCTACTTTTTGATGGGGTTGTTTGATTTTTTCTTGTAAATTTATTTAAGTTCCTTATAGATTCTGGATATTAGCACTTTGTCAGATGGATAGATTGCAAACATTTTCTCCCATTCTGTAGGTTGCCTGTTCACTCTGATGGTAGTTTCCTTTGCTGTGCAGGAGCTCTTTAGTTTAATTAGATCCCATTTGTCAATTTTGGCTTTTGTTGCCATTGCTTTTGGTGTTTTAGTCATGAAGTCTTTACCCATGCCTGTCCTGAATGGTATTGCCTAGGTTTTCTTCTAGGGTTTTTATGGTTTTAGTTCTTATGTTTAAGTCTTTAATCCATCTTGAGTTAATTTTTGTATAAGGTTTAAGGAAGGGGTCCAGTTTCAGTTTTCTGCATATGGCTAGCCAGTTTTCCCAGCACCATTGATTAAATATGGAATCCTTTCCCCATTGCTTTTTTTGTCAGGTTTGTCAAAGATCAGATGGTTGTAGATGTGTGACATTATTTCTGAGGCCTCTTTTCTGTTCCACTGGTCTATATATATGTTTTGGTACCAGTACCTTGCTGTTTTGGTTACTGTAGCCTTGTACTATAGTTTGAAGTCAGGTAGCGTGATTTTTCCAGCTTTGTTCTTTTTGCTTAGGATTGTCTTGGCTATATGGGCTCTTTTTCGCTTCCATATGAAATTTAAACTAGTTTTTTTCTAGTTTTGTGAAGAAAGTCAATGGTAGTTTGATGGGGATAGCATTGAATCTGTAAGTTACTTTGGGCAGTATGAACATTTTCATGACACTGATTCTTCCTATCCATGAGCATGGAATGCTTTTCCATTTGTTTGTGTCCTCTCTTATTTTCTTGAGTGGTGGTTTGAGTTTCTCCTTGAAGAGGTCCTTCACATCCCTTATAAGTTGTATTCCTAGGTATTTTATTCTCTTTGTAGCAATTGTGAATGGGAGTTCACTCATGATTTGGCTCTCTGTTTGTCTATTATTGGTGTGTAGGAATGCTTGTGAATTTTGCACATTGATGTTTGTATCCTAAGACTTTGCTGAAGTTGCTTATCATCTTAAGGAGATTTGGGGCTGACACGATGGGGTTTTCTAAATATACAATAATGTAATCTTCAAACAGAGACAATTTGACTTCCTCTCTTCCTATTTGAATATCCTTTATTTCTTTCTCTTGCCTGATTGCCCTGGCCACAACTTCCAATACTATATTGAATAGGAGTAGTGAGAGAGGGCATCCTTGTCTTGTGCCAGTTTTCAAAGAGAATGCTTCCAGCTTTTGCCCATTCAGTATGATATTGGCTGTGGGTTTGTCATAAATAGCTCTTATTATTTTGATATATGTTTTATCAATACCTAGTTTATTTTTTGCATTTGCCAAGGAGTGTTTTACTTCCAATAATGTGGTCAATTTTAGAATAAGTGCAACGTGGTGCTGAGAAGAATGTATATTCTGCTGATTTGGGGTGGAGAGTTCTATAGCTGTCTATTAGGTTCGTTTGATCTAGAGCTGAGTTCAAGTCCTGAATATCCTTGTTAATTTTCTGTCTCGTTGATCTGTCTAATATTGACAGTGGGGTGTTAAAGTTTCCCACTGTTATTGTGTGGGAGTCTAAGTCTCTTTGTAGGTCTCTACGAACTTGCTTTATGAATCTGGGTGCTTCTATATTGGGTGCATATATATTTAGGATAGTTAACTCTTCTTGTTGCATTGATCCCTTTACAATTATTTAATGCCCTTCTTTGTCTTTTTTGATCTTTTTTGGTTTAAAGTCTGTTTTATTAGAGACTAGGATTGCAACCCCTGCTTTTTTTGCTTTCCATTTGCTTGGTAAATCTTCCTCCATCCCTTTATTTTGAGCCTATCTGTGTCTTTGTACATGAGATGGGTCTCCTGAATACAGCACACTGATGGGTCTTGACTCTTTATCCAATTTGCCAGTCTGTGTCTTTTAATTTGGGCATTTAGCCTGTTTACATTTAAAGTTAATATTGTTATATGTGAATTTGATCCTGTCATTTTGATGCTAGCTGGTTGTTTTGCCCATTAGTCTATGCAGTTTCTTCATAGTGTTGATGTTCTTTACAATTTGGTATGTTTTTGCAGTGGCTGGTACCAGTTGTTCCTTTCCATGTTTTGAGCTTCCTTCAGGAGCTCCTGTAAGGCAGGCCTGGTGGTGACAAAATATCTCAGCATTTGCTTGTCTGTAAAGGATTTTATTTCTCCTTCGCTTATGAAGCTTAGTCTGGCTGGATATGAAATTCTGGGTTGAAAATTCTTTTCTTTAAGAATGTTGAATTTTGGCCCCCACTCTCTTCTGGTTTGTAAGGTTTCTGCAGAGAGATCCACTGTTAGTCTGATGGGTTTCCCTTTGTGGGTAACCCAACCTTTCTATCTGGCTGCGCTTAATATTTTTTCCTTCATTTCAACCTTGGTGAATCTGATGATTATGTGTCTTGGGGTTGCTCTTCTCAAGGAGTATCTTTGTGGCATTCTCTGTATTTCCTGAATTTGAATGTTGGCCTGTGTTGCTAGGTTGGGGAATTTCTCCTGGATAATATCCTGAAGAGTGTTTTCCAGCTTGATTCCATTCTCCCTGTCACTTTCAGGTACACCAATCAAATGTGGGTTTGGTCTTTTTACATAGTTCCATGTTTCTTGGAGGCTTTGCTCATTCCTTTTCATTCTTTCTTCTCTAATCTTGTCTTCACATTTTATTTCATTTAGTTGATCTTCAATCTCTGATATCCTTTCTTCTGCTTGATCAATTCATCTATTGATACTTGTGTATGCTTCACGAAGTTCTTGTGCTGTGCTTTTCAGCTCCATCAGGTCATTTATGTTCTTCTCTAAACTGTTTATTCTAGTTAGCAATTCCTCTAACCCTTTTTCAAGGTTCTTAGCTTCTTTGCATTGGGTTAGAACATGCTCCTTTAGCTCAGAGGACTTTGTTATTGCCCACCTTCTGAAGCCTGCTTCTGTCAATTCATCAAACTCATTCTCCATCCAGTTTTGTTCCGTTGCTGGCGAGGAGTTATGATCCTTTGGAGGAGAAGAGGCATTCTGGTTTTTGGAATTTTCAGCCTGTTCGCACTGGTTTTTCCTCATCTTCAGGGATTTATCTACCTTTGGTTTTTGATGTTGGTGACCTTCAGATGGGGTTTTTGTGTGGACATCCTTCTTGTTGATGTTGATTCTACTCCTTTCTGTTTGTTTGTTTTCCTTCTATCACTCAGCCCCCTCTGCTGCAGGTCTGCTGGAGTTTGCTGGAGGTCCACTCCAGACCCTGTTTTCCCAGGTATCACCAGCTGAGGCTGCACAACAGCAAAGATTGCTGCTTGTTCCTTCCTCTGGAAGCTTCGTCCCGGAGGAGCACCTGCCAAATGCCAGCCAGAGCTCTCCTGTATGAGGTGTCTGTCGACCCCTGCTGGGAGGTGTCTCCCAGTCAGGAGGCACGGGGGTCAGGGACTCACTTGAGAGGACAGTCTGTCCCTTAGCAGAGCTCGAGCACTGTGCTGGGAGATCTGCTGCTCTCTTCAGAGCTGGCAGGCAGGAATGTTTAAGTCTGCCGAAGCTGCACCCACAGCCGCCCCTTCCCCCAGTTGCTCTGTCCCAGGAGTTTTATCTATAAGCCCCTGACTGGGGCTGCTGCCTTTCTTTTGGAGATACCCTGCCCAGAAAGGAAGAATCTAGAGAGCCAGTCCGGCTATAGTGGCTTTGCCAAACTGGGGTGGGCTGTGCCCAGTTCAAACTTCCTGGTGGCTTTGTTTACACTGTGAGAGGAAAACCACCTACTCAAGCCTCGGTAATGATGGATGCACCTGCCCCCACCAAGCTCAAATGTCTCAGGTCAACTTCAGACTGCT
Organism: Homo sapiens; assembly: GCF_000001405.40. Taxonomy (NCBI): domain Eukaryota; kingdom Metazoa; phylum Chordata; class Mammalia; order Primates; family Hominidae; genus Homo; species Homo sapiens. Next base: position 84,541,094 of record NC_000006.12, on the reverse strand, counting down.
GTGCTGGCTGCGAGAATTTCAAGCCGGTGGATCTTAGCTTGCTGGGCTCTGTGGGGATGGGATTTGCTGAGCCAGACCACTTGGCTCCCTGGCTTCAACCCCCTTTCCAGGTGAGTGAACGATTCTGTCTCCCTGGCATTCCAGGTGCCACTGGAGTATGAAAAAAAGCTCCTGAAGCTAGCTTGGTGTCTGTCCAAATGGCTGTCCAATTTTGTGCTTGAAACCCAGGGCTCTGGTGGTGTAGGCACCCGAGGGAATCTCCTGGTCTGTGGGTTGTGAAGACTGTGTGAAAAGCATAGCATCTAGGCCAGAATGCACTGTCCCTCACAGCACAATCCCTCATGGCACCGTCCCTCATGGCTTCCCTTGGCTAGGGGAGGGAGTTTCCCAACCCCCTGTGCTTCCCAGGTGAGGCGATGTCCCACCCTGCTTCAGCTTGCCGTCCGTGGGCTGTACCCACTGTCTAACCAGTCCTAATGAAATGAGCCAGGTACCTCAGTTGGATGCAGAAATCACCTGCCTTCTGCGTTGATCTCACTGGGAGCTGCAGACCAGAGCTCATCCTATTCAGCCATCTTGCCAGCCACCTGAATCCCAATCTTTTAAACAACAAAATAACCTGTTATGTAATAAATATATTTGAGAAACTTGTACAATATTCTAATTTGTTAGTGTAGGTCCTGGCTTCTAGTTTGCATCCATTGGGGGACTCCACCTGTTAGGGTAATTGACTACCTAAATACCTGGGTATTTGCCTTAATTAAATCTTTTTATTTTCTTTTTCTGTCTGATGTGAAATGATAGTGAATTTATTTTTCTTTAATAGAAATGTGTTTCTGAAAGAGCCAACTGTTTCTCTATACTCAAGCTAAATAGAAAGTTCTTTCATATTGATTTTGGCTGTCAAATTTGTTTTATGCTCATTATAAAAACTAATCTGATTATAAAGTATAAACCATAATTAGAAAAATCAGCATTCCATGGAGGTTCACTGATCATCAATGTGTATTACCTTGAAAGAATTTTTAAGCCCTCATTTGCCACCCAGGATGTGATTTTTATACTCCTTTTTTCACAGTTGGTTATTGAAAGCTCAGGGAATAAAAAGTAATGTAGCACCTTCACAAGAAAAATATGATTATTAGGGAAAACACAAAATTTTATTTGATAATTTGCTACTTAAAATAACCCTTACTCTTATGTTTCTCAGAGAATAAAGGCAACCTAGAGTTGAATATACTTACTTAGAAGTGATCTCTTACTTCCACATCCACTGAAAACAAAGCCATAGAACTCCTCTTTCTTAAGTTTTAGTCAAAATTTTAGAAAACTAGGAACTAAGTTAATAAAATAAATTAAGATCAGATGTTGGCAAAACATTTCATGCACTAACAATCTGGTCAGTTTCCTGTTGATAAATAGCTTGGTTCAGACAGAAGAACACTGTCCTGGGATTACTTTTTTTCCTTGATGAGAGTGTGCAAAGAAGAGTGATTTTGTGACACTGAGGTGTGTCACTGAGGGACTGATCAGATAACAACACGAGGTGAAGTTGTTTTGACTTTTTCACAATAAAAGTTTAATCAGTTGTGTGATTTAGCCAAATAGGTTAAGAAGTAAATCTATCATTAAGGGAAAATCAGCCTTGGGGAAAGTTCCTTAAACTCCATTTGCTTCAGACTGTAAGCACAAATGAACAAATGGACTGTGGCATGACTGTGTGTCAGCATAGTGGGTTTCAGCCATTTCTCTTCTTCCCTCTGCGTTCACCACAGCCAAATGGGCTGTTGGGTGGTCAGAATTTGTCATGAAGATAGACAGCCACTGGGAAACAGCACTGATCGCTCTCAGGCTGTGATCCAGTGCTTTGCTTTACGTGCAGAGCAGTGTTCAGTGTCACTGTGGGTAACATGGCAGCAATCATTTCTTTCATTTAAAATTATCTCATTGAGATAAACTGAGAACACCTAAATGTTAGAAAAGTGTTTTGACCTCTTGAAAAGAAAGACCATTTCAATGCAGGCATTTATTGATATATTTCCCCATCAAGCAGAAGTGGTCAGTACCTATCTTTAATGTTGTTGAAGTAGGTTGATTTTAAAATCATTTTTAGGCATTATACAAGCTGCTTGACTAAACAGGGTCACTTTTAATTCAGAAGTACAAGCAGAAAATAAGAATAAAAACAAGAAACTATGGTAACATGAATCAAACTAGATTTTTATAAGTTTCAAGGAAGATATACCTACCTTCTACTTAGACTGTTTTGATATTTCCACTTATTTCACTGTTTTCAGGTATTATGATTATTTCACTTATTATTTATTTTTCACTTATTTTCTTGGGTTTTTGGAATCATTTACAAAGAGGTTTATTAAATAACAGGGTTTCTAAAGTCAAGACTTGGCAGATCTTCTCTTGAAAAATCAGAATATCTTAAAAGGAATTCCAAATTGATGGAGAAAGAACAGAATATTGGGTACTTTAAACCACATAACCATGTATTTGTACTATTCATTGTCTTACTTGTAACATGACTTTTAGCAGATTAAATAACAAGAAAAAACAGTAAATGATAAAATTTGGATACAGAAGAACACTACCAATTACTTTTGATTCCCTAAGTATTTTTCTGAACACTTAAATGAGGAGACTGGATTCTAGTCTCAGATGACTACTAATTAGATGGCTAACCTTGGGTAAAGCATTTCGTTTCTCAGGATTTCACTTTCCTCTCTGAACGATGAGCGGCTGAGACTAGAAAGATTAGTTGTTCTTAGCCTTACTTGTGTATTAGAATCACATAAGAAGCTTAAGAAATACTGATGTCCAGGCCCCACTTCCAATCAATAAAATCAAGGCCTATTTTTAAAGGGCCAGGACTTGGTATTGTTTTTTAAAGTTCTGAAGCTGATTCTAATGTGCAGCAATGTTGAGATGCAGATGGATGCTCTATAATAGCACTTGCAGTGCTATAAAACCATCTGTGGCAAACTCAATACGTTTTAGTGATAAAAAATGTTTGGAGTGATTTTTATCCATCGTATTTAGCTAATAATCCAAAGTCACATTTTAAAGAACTACAGCAAGTCCTGAAAATTAATCACTGAGAAGTATGCTCCTCAAATAATATGTAAACCCTTTACATTTTTAATGAATTATCTGGTTTATAAAATAAGTTGAAGTGACACTATTGGGCCAAACATGTAAAACAAACACTTTTTTATTGAGAGTGTGTCAACAGAACACCAAATGGTCAGATGAAAATGCAGGAAAAAACTGAATGTTCTATGTGTAAGATGTGTAACTGGACTTCTTTTTCTTCAAGTCTGTTTCTCCTCCCATTTTCCTTACCCTTACCTACCAGATTCTGTACACTTTCTTGTAATTCTTCATTTCTTTCAAAGAATGTACCTCTTTTTGTCGGAGTAACAGGAAAAAGACATCGCGCAAATACACCTTTTAATAGAAACGCACATTTCCCTTTGTTTACTTATATCCAGAGATCTCAAAATATACATCTGAAAGTTTTATATTAAAGCAAGTATTCTTAATTAAAGCTCTGGTCTCTTCTGAACTATGAAGACTAGACCAGACCAAGGACTGCCACATCATTTTTCTCCTCATTATCACCTCGTTAAGATCCCAGAACATGCCTCAGAGGCAGGGGGTTGAGACACGCAGCTTAACAAGGTGATAATGAGGAGAAAATGTCTCCAGTCTATTTGGGGCACAGCCCATGCCAGGTAGAATGATAGCAGACCAGGCTGGATGAGAGCAGGACACACTAGTTACTAAAATGTTTTTCTCTGAAAGTTTTGGCTATTTTAACATAAATTCTGGGTTTTTTTTCCCATTGATGAACTGAGATGAAAAAAATGATGACTTGCACCTAAGACTTTGACATAGAGACTGCAAGTAGCTTCCCAATATTCATTTGTTTATCCTGAGAAGTATGGACCTTGACACATAGATGGCGTTGCCATCTAGTTAAACTGGATTCTCTAATATTCCATGATCTAGAAGTGCCATGTGACTCTGCTTTGGCCAATGATATTTAAATGGAAGTATTTCTGCTAACTCCTAAAAGTGTCTTAAATGAAGGGAATTGCCTTTTCTTCACCTATTTTCTCCTTTCTGCTGACTGCAAAGTAGATATGCAAACTGGAGCTCAGGCAGCCATCTTGGACCATGAAGTGGTAAAACATAAAGATGAAAGGAATCTAGGCCTTTGTTACCATGTAGGTATTACACTATAGCAGCCTGGACAGCCTCCCTCTGGATTCTCTTACCTGAGAGAGGGACTATCCTGTTTAAGCCAATAGTTTTTGTTGCTGTTGGTACTGATAAATGACCTGAATCCAATACTACTACACATATTTTTAAAAAATTAACTGCTTTTCTGATGTTGTTTTAAATCTAATCCAAGGTGTACATCTCTCATCCTTAATTTTTCAGGTGTCAAATCCAGAGCACCTGGGAACAGTGGTGTGCTGGAGCTAGCTCACACAATCTCACAAAAGCCCATTTTTAAATGCAGGATTTTTCAAACCAATTGTTAAACACAGTCATTATTAAAACTTATATAAAATTTTAACTTTATAAATTATATTAAAATCAAAGGTAGTAAACCATTAAAAATTACCATTTCCTAATGATTTTACTTTTTTCTATGATCTTGAATTTATATCATACCAGGATGCTGGGAATATTATCTAATGGGGCTTTAGTGTACATTTCTTCACAATTCTGTTTAACAGCATAACAAGGGCAGCTTTAAATCAGTCATAGTGGGAGCATTTCCACCATGAAAATTGGCTATGCTACAAATCTGGGCTTGATGTTTGTTTTGTTCATTTTTTAGGCTTAAGAAAGTGATATGGAGAATGAGTTAATAAATCAAGTTACACTAAAAGTGAGTAATGGCTAGTGATGAAGTGAAAAGATGTTTCAATTTAATGAATAGTAATTTTTATGGAAGACAGAATAGTTTGACAATACGCTTTCTGTCAGATTTAATGAAAATAATTTTATTGGGTAAAGATTAGGATGCAACTTCATTTGTCAAATCATGGTTGAATTGCAATCACAGGTTGGCCACAGAACAGGAGCTCAGCAAAAATTAATAAAAGCATTCTGTGAGAATCAATTGGCTATGGAATTTCTAATGAAAATATTGCATTTTCATTATTTATAAATCATATAGTACACACACTTTAAATCAGTAAAATTTATAATAAACTTACGTAATGACATATATGTAGGCATACATGTATTTTTTTTCCAGAGAACCAGTTAAAAATTTACCAGCACACCACTGTCCAAGATCATCTGCTATTTATCCACTTTCTGCAGCCCATTCAATTGATTATTAAATCCTCTACATTTTGGTTCAGAAATGCTATTTGAATCATATATTTCTATCTACCTCATAGGTAATGTTGTAGGTTAGGTATTCATTTTCACTCTGGCTGCTCCCACTTTTATCTCCACCATTACTCTCAGTTCATATGCCACACCATCTCCATAAGGGTCCTTCAACAAGGTGGGTGTGGTACTGCCACTTCCCTGCTTAAAATCACTCAGTGGCTTTCAATGACTTAGAGGATAATACTTCAGCTGCTTGTCATGGCTCAAGCTACTGACACATCCCTTCAGTCATTCTGAACTCCTTGCTCTTCTCTTCCTTTATTCTACCATCAAGTGAGGGGGATTCAATACCATGAGACAGGGTGGCAAGAAAAGTGAGGGAGTTACCTTCAACTGAGGAAATTCTTTGAGAGGAATGCAGCTGCGAACCATCTGCAGTCAACATTCTCAGCACCTGGGAAAATGACGCATGCCCTGAAATAAGAGAGAATCTGGGGAGATGCACCACAGTGTTAACTACAGATAGTCTAAAGGAGATTGATGGTTTCATATCAAAGGACCAGAGGTTTCTCAACTATCCCCTTCTCCCTTTTTGAGTGTCTCCCTTCCCTCTGTCAATGTGAGATGATATTATTCTCTGATAAGTGTTTGAGATCCTATAGCACAGAGTTCCTTTCCCAAGTAATATAGAAAGATCCTAGGAAAGGTCTTAGACCAGCTCACAGAAATGTCCATGTCTTAATGTGATTGCAGAGCAGTAGAATTTTTCCTAGATACCTGATGTCTAGCTGCAAAATTGCTGAGAAAATTATCAGAATAAGAATCCTTTGAGTTAGGAATGTTATCTATTGATATTGGCATTCACTAAGATGTCTATCTATCTTCATTGATAGATTTCACATGTTGCTGCTGAGTGGTTAAGAGCTCTGTGAGAGATTGTCTCAAAGATGGTCACCAACAGTTCTTCCCATCTCTTAAACACATCCTGCTACTCCCATCAAGACATGAAATCTATTCCACTTCCCCTTGAATTTCAGTTGGACTTGTTTTGAGCACTAGAAAATAGCAGGAGTGATGCTCTGCCTCTTCAAGGGCACCTGCCTGGAAGCTTCCACAGTCACTCTTTTGGGACCCAGTCACTACTCTGTGAGGAGCTGATCTAGGCTACTGGAAGGAGAGAGGTCAAGTGGGGGAGAACTGAGATGCTAGGCCAACAACCAGGACCCCTTTCAGTCAGTCAGTGTATGGCCATCTTGTATGCTCCAATCCAACCTGAGCACCCACATGGCTGCAGCTACATAAAGAACTGCAGTTGATGCTGTGTGGAGCCGAAGAAAAACTCAGCTGAACCCAGCCAACATACAGAATCTTATACAATGACAAATCATTTTAAAATAGCTTATTGAGGTATATTTTACATACCACACAATTCACCCATCTAAATATATAATTAAATGGTTTTTAGTAAACCATTACATTCACAGAGTTATGTACCCATCAGCACGATCTAATTTTAAAACAACAATTTTATTCTCCAAAAAAGAAACTCCATGCACATTAGCACTCACTCCCCATTTTTATCCATCCCCCAGCCCTTGGCAACCACTAACCTACATATACTCTGAATAGATTCTGGACATATAATTTAAAATAATTATGTAACATTTAGTTATTTATGACTGGTTTCTATCACTTAGCATAATGTTTTAATTTTTTTTTTTTTTTTTTGAGACAGAGTCTTGCTCTGCCACTCAGGTTGGAGTGCAGTGTTGCGATCATAGCTCACTGAAGCCTCAAACTCCTGGGCTCAAGAAAATCTCTTGCCTCAATTTCTTGAGTAGCTAGGCCAATATGTGTGTGCCACCATGCTCAGCTAATGACCTCAAGTGATCCTCCTGCCTCAGCCTCCCAAAGCCCTGGGATTATATGTGTCAGCCAAAATGCTTGGCATATTATGTTCTTGAGATCCATTTTTGTTGAAGCAAGTATAAGTACTTCTTTTATTTTAATACTTAATAATACTCTATTCTACAGATAGACCACAATTTATTTAGCCATTCATTAGTTGATGGACATTTTTATTGTTTCCACCTTTCTACTATTATAAAAAATACTTCTATGAACATTCATGTACAAAATTTTGCATGACAAATATTTTAATTTATTTTGAGTATATATCCAGGAGTAGAATTGTTGGATCATATGGTAACTTTATGTTTAACATTTTGAAAAAATGCCAGTTTCTTAAAGTAGCTTTACCATTTTATATTCCCCCCATCAATGTATGAGTGTACTAATTTCTCCATATCCTTGTTAACAATTTTTTTTACTTGTTCTTTTGATTATAGTAAACTTAGTGAGTGTGAAGTGGTATCTAATTTTGGTTTCAAATTGCATTTTTCTAATGGCTACTGACATTGAGCATCTACTCAATGTTTATTAGCCATTTGTATATTTTCTTTGAAGAATTATGTATTCAGATACTTTCCCCATTTTTTTCAGCTGGACTATTTGTTTCTGTATTGTTGAGTTGTAAAAGTTCTTTATATAGTCTGAATACAAGTTTCTTATCAGAAATATAATTTGAAAATATTTTCTTCTATTCCATGGATTACCTTTTCATTCTCTAGATGGTTTCGTTAGAAGCACAAAAGTTTTAAATTTTGAACTACAGCTTACAATATATAGCTTAGCTCATCAGAGTCTGCTTCAGATTTATACTGCCTTAGTTCTAGTGAAATATAGAAACTTTACTCTCATATAGCTATGTTCCCTCCTCCTCCATTTTCTAAGCTATTCATTCTTATACCTATTATGTTTACATTTTATAAACTCAGCAATATGTTGATATAGTTATTACTTTATATAATCTTACATCTTTTAAAGCAGCTGACAGAAAGAACAAGTATGTATTTAGAAAGTCTGCTATATTAACTTTTATTTGCCCTTTCTGGTTCTCTTTGTTTCTTTCTGTGGATTTTGGTTACCATCTAATACCATTTCTTTGCTCCAACACAGCTTTGCTCCCACCTGCCTCCTTTGTGTTGTTATTGTCAAGTATATTACATTTCTATATGTTATTGGCCCAACAATAAAATTATATGCATATTGTTTAATGCAATTATGATTTAAATCAGTTAAAAGAAGACATGAAATATGCAGTTATGTTGTCTCTCACAATTACATACATAATTACTTTTATTAGCACTCTTTGTTTTTTCATATAGGTGTATATTACTGCCTGGTGTCACTTGCTTTCAGCCTGAATAACATCTGTAAGTATTTCTTGTAAGGGAAGTCTGCTAGCAATGAATTATCTTAGTATTGTTTAACTTTGAATATTTTTATTTCACTGTTCTATTTTAAAGGCCTTTTGCTTTATATAAGATGTTTAGTTGGCATTCTTTTTCTTTCAATGCTTAGAATATGTCATTTCACTTCCTCTGGCCTGCGTTGCTTTCATTGAGAAGTCAGCTCTTATTCTCACTGACATTCTCTGATATGTGAAGCATTGTTTTTCTCTTGCTACTTTTAAGATGTTATTTTTATCTTTGATTTTAAACATTTTTGTTATGATTTTTCTGTGTGTGGATCTCTTTGCTTTTAACTTGTTAAGAGTTCATTTATCTTCTTGGTTGTATAGACCAGTGTTTTTCATCAAATTTTGGAAGTTTTCAGCCATTATTCCTTTAAATAATGTTTCTATCCCTTTCTCTCTCTCTGTTTCTGGTACTCCTATTAAATGTATGTTTGTGTGCTTAATGTTGCTCCACAATTTTCTGAGTTCTGTTCATTGTTTTCATTCATTTTTTTCTCTCAGTTTCAGCTTCCATAATCTCTGTTGACTTACCTTTAAGTTTGCTGATTCTTTCTTCTGCCAGCTCAAATCTGTTGTTAGGCCCCACTAGTAAATTACTCACTTTATTTTACTTTTCAACTCAAGAATTTTCATTTTGTTCTTTTTATAATTTCTATCTTTTTATTGCTATTCTCTATTTATGAGACATCATCATACCTTCCTTTTGCTCTTTAATCAAGATCTTGTTTGTTTCTTCAAACATATTTATAACAGCTGCTTTGAAGTCTTCGTCTTCTAAGTTCACTATCTAGGGCCCCTTAAGAGTACTTTCTATTACCTGTTGTTTATTTTCCCTGAGTATGGGTGACACTTTACTACATCTTTGAATGTCTCATAATTTTTATTGAAAACTGGATATAAATCTGGATACTGAGTCTCCCCATCCCCACCAGGGTCATTATTATTCACTTGGTCATTTTGGTTATTTGTTTAAAAACTTAGCTGAACTAATTCTGTGCAGCCTATTATTTTCCTGATCTTTTCTTTCTTTTATTTTTATCTTTTATCTTGGCTACTTAGAGATTGCCCCTGAGTTGGCATAAGCCACTTATTGTTAAGTGATTATGCTTACGCCCCTCAGCGAATTAGAATTTTACCCTTTACCACTATGTATGTGTATGGCTTGGAGGCTGCTATTAAAGTTCAGGGAGTTTATATATTTTTCCCTATTCAGCCAGAGATTAGTAGCTTGAACATTTTCTTCCTTAGAATTTTTGAGAATGTGCAGTCATGAGCATACATACATTCTTCCAAAGTGCCAGAAATTACTGTGATTTAAAAAAAATCTGACTTTTTATTAGTCATGTCATATCACAGTAGTTTATTGTTTGATCTGTGTTCAATCAGAAGTTGTGTTTAAGCCCCTCACACCATGAGGCTTCCACCCTGTGTGAATGGGTCTGTGTGGAGGCTGGGGAATGTTTTAAAATGTGTACTACATCCTGCTGGATTGGTCCTGTGAGAGTGCACCCTATCACACGCACAAAGTCTTCCCAAGCCTCATACTAGAATGTGAACCCACAAGGGCTCTTCATTACTGTCACTCAAATTCTCTGGTCCTCTCTTTAAATTTTATGGTGCTCTGACATTTTGATTTTATCAAGAAACTAACAGCCTCCTCTTATTTGCTCACCACCAAAATCTCTGTTGTTTTTGACATTGCCCTTAGGCATGGAGTTCTCCATGCTCTGTTCTAAATAAAAGTCATTCCTTTTGGCAGAACTGTAGGAATCTTTGTCCATATAGCCTTTCTTTTCCTCTGGGCAGAACTCCTGTACCACTATACTAAAGCTGGTGGTAAATATCTTCTTTTCCCACAGTGGCCCTCTCACTGAACAAGTGGCCACTGGCAGACCTTTGTCTTCTTGGCTCATCCTTCCTTGGCATGGAATCTTATATGCAAACTGGGCTGGAAGCAATTTTGAGCCCTAGTATTTTTGATTTGCTGTACATGGAGTAGAGCTTCTGCCTTACAAGTGATCACTGGATAGGGGAGAGGAGAGTCCATCTTCTTGGGTGCATTTGACTGGACTAGAGTGTCTGCAATATAGGGCTGGGTTGGCATATGAGAAACACCAGCAGCTCACCCTTATCAGGGTGAAAACTACCTCAAACTGGAAGTGAGGATACAGAGAGGGAGCCCCTGTATTTTTGGTAACTTCTGTATGGAGTAGAGTCCCTGGGATAGAGTTTGGAGAAAAAAGAACTGGGGAGGGGTAAGAAAACAGGTCATGGCTCAAATGTCACAGACTCTCATTATTCCTACTGAGCTTTAGTAGAGTTTCTTTAATAAAGATTTCTCCATTTGCTATATGCCCTTGGAATAATTTCCAGATGCTTTAAATGATTATTTTTATAACTATCATTCTAAGCTCTTTATTCTGCCATTCTAGAAGTTCCATACAAATCATTTTTTTAAGCCACCAAGTTTTCAGGTAGCTTGTCGTGCAGCAATAGACAACTGAACCAGACTCTAAACCCAGATAGAGCTACATGGAAATCCCAGCTCTACTACTAGTTGTGATTTTGGACAAGTTTTCTGAACTAACTGAACTTCTGTTTTCCTGTGTATAAAATGAGGTAATTCTTACTACATACTTTGCAAGGAATAATTGAAATAATGTTTATAAGGCATCTGATAGCATAAATCAATTACTTAGTAAATGGTAGGGTGTTAGCAGTACTAATAGTAAAGGTAACAAGGAGTATAAAAACTCACAAGAAGGATAAATCTAGACAACTGACAAGTTAGTTGCTATACATGCAGAAGTGTATCATGTTCTATGATTTACAGAAGAACTTAAAAGAGAGGCAAGAACTGGAGAAACAGACTTGAGAGGTCATTGCTTTCTGAGAAAAGAAGAATTGTAATTAAATATAATTCACCAAAAAAAACTTTTATAGAGAGAATACAGCAGATGCAAAACTTTTGGAAACGAATTCAACCAGAGAGCAGGAATGAGTAGAGGAATGCTAAAATGACAACAAAAGGAAAGTTCAGATAATTTGAAGAGTCAAGAGAATACAGGCACTTTGAAGCCCAAGGCAGAAAAAGCATTGAAAAGGTGCTTATGTGGGAGGAAAAAGATGATGAGAAAAGATCACTGGAATCTTTTGAACACACACTTCTCATAGAGGGGTGATGGTAGAAGCTAATTGCTAGAAGTAATTGAGAAGTATGGAAGCAGGGGTGGTGGAAAGACCTAGAAGTATTAGCCACTTGAAAGAGGAGCCCGAAGGATACTTCCTCTTGTTTTGTTTTTGTGTGTTTGGTTTTTAGGGTGAGGATGTGCTTTTATAAAGAGGGAAATTAGAGTGTTTAGGGGTAGAAGATGCAAAAAGAGGGTGCTGTCACTCACTTTCTCTGGTGATAAAGGGTAGTAAAGCTAGCACAAGGGATGGGACTGTTGCCACAGGTGGAAGGTCAGTCTGCTATAGGGCTTTGAGGAGTGATGCATATGAAAACACTATATTAATACATAGCTGTTCGGGGTAGAAAGGAGAGAGGAGCTACATCACATACTCTCAGGCCTTCCTGAAAAATATAAGACAAAACCATACGCAAAGACACTCAGGAAAGTGAACATCTGATTTAATAGGGAGGCAGAGCTTGGGAAAATGTATAAAGAAAATGTCGGAAATGTAATGAGTCAAATGTTAACAATTGTTTCCCCGGTGGTAGGATTATCAAAAATTCGTATCATGGTCTTCTCCTTTTCATCCTTCCCCTCCTCTCCCTTCTTCTTTGTAAACTCCATATTTTCTATAATGTGGAAGAATAATGGCATGGAAAGAAAAATTTTATTTAATGGTTACTTTAATTGATTAGAATAAGGTACTAAAAACACACACAGTTGTAAATTCTTGCAGAAGGGTAAACTTGTTCTAAAGATAAAATCTTGTCATGGGCTGCATTTTTATGCCAATCATGCTTCTTTCAAAACTCTGACTTTGATTGACAGCAACAGGTGGTGAAGCAAAACATTTGCTCACTTTTGAAATGACAAATCAAGGGGTATATATTGGCAATTTTACAGGTTGGTATTATATTAAGATAAGCTAAGAGTATTCTAGCAAGTATGGCAAAATCTTCAGAGTATCTTTGTTAATGTCAAGGTTACTAAGAATAGATTAGTATTCAAATAGGAAGTCATGGGTATCTATCTTTTGACAAAGTAATCTTAGAATAAAAATATGTGTATAAAGTAAGGTGAGTCAAATGGTTCAGAGAGAAAAGAGAATGGGGAATCTAGATTAATTGCCTTCAGATTAACAAACAGCAGTCTATCAGGGACTCTCAGATGATGTGGCTGATTTTGATTATTACCTCTTTCCCTCGTTCCTGCCAGGCCCTCTGTCAGCACCCTCTGTAAGACTAGTCAAAAGCCCATCAGATATAATCAACTTATATCAATTTTATAATCAATAATACAAAGCATTTGTGGGGTTTTATGTGTTTCATTTGTTTGTTTTCAGGTTTATAGAGTGCCACTATACCAGATATTGAACAGAATTTGTAGACAAATTTAAGAAATGACTAATCTGGATTGGCAAATATTCATTGGATGACTAAATAGGTATTTGGGGACCAAGTTGGCATAAACGAGGTTTAAGAAGTTGAGGTTAATCAACAATGGGAAAAGATAAAAAACAAAGACTGGGGAGGCAAGAGTGGGGTCAGAAAAGTCAGGCATCTGGGGGTGGGATAGGGTATGGGACAGAGTGAGGAAGAAGCAAAAGGAATAATAATTCAGGTAAGTTTTGGACAACCACAGCCAGGCTCGCAGAGATTCTTTTCTTGTAACTCAAAGTTATTCCATGTCACAAAGGGGACATCTGGCAATGAAGACTTCTAATACCTGGATTTATTCTGTTTCCCCCACTTCTCACTCCTGACGAGCTGTTCAGTTAGCAGTTTAGCAGTTCCGACTACAATCTGACTCAAATATTTTTAACAATCTTTACAATTTTGTTATCACGTCTACTTAACTACTTCTAAAAGTAGTTATGGTGAGAGAAACCTCTGTGGCTTACAGTCTTGGACCTAGTGACTCTATTTGCATTATCTGAAGAAATTAAAAATGTTCATTTGGACAAAAGGTAAATAACAAAAGAACAAATATTTGTGTCAGGGAAAAATGAGGCAGAAACAGCCACTTAAGTTTAATTGCTCTCATAGCACCAGTTTGACCATCAATGGAGGTATGGGAAGAAGAAATATAGTTGAAGTAGATACCAAGGCCAACTTCCTTGGGGACTTTCCTCTTTTACTCCCCATAGACAGGGCCTATAGACAGATGAGAAACTGCCAACTACCCTATATTTGGCAATTAAACAGGGTGTTGAAAAAGTACCAAAACCAGATTTGCTACCTGTTCAAGAGAAACTGTAATTCAAAGACATTTCTAGCAAACAACCCCAAATTCCTGCTTGATAAAAAAAGGTACTTCTCCAAAATTATCTGATCTTGACTCAGGTCTACTCCTGAACTCATTCATTTACTTCCTGTTAGTGGTTTCTGGTGTAATTCCGTTGTAGTCTGAGAGCTGACATTGTATGACTTCTATTCTTTTAAATTTGTTAAGGTGTAGTTTATAGCTTAGGATGTGGTCTATCTTGGGAAATGTTTCATGTGAGCTTGAGAAGAATATGTAATCTGCTTTTGTTGGATGAAGTAGCCTATGGCTGTCAATTATATCTTGTTGATTGGTGGTGCCGTTGAGTTCAACTGTGTCTTATTGATTTTCTGCCTGCTGGATCTGTTCATTTTTAATGGAGGGTGTTAAAGTCTCCAATTGTAACAGTAGATTCACCTATTTCTCCCTACAGTCTATACGTTTTTGTCTCATTTTTAAATGATCTGTTATTATTCATTCATTTACTCAACAAATATTAGTTTCTTTTGTGAGCCAGCACCAATCTAGATGCTGGGATACAAGGGTAAACAAAACAGACAAGATCTTTCTCTCTTGCAGCAGCTTGTGGGTCTAGTGGAGGGATTTAAACAATGAACATGTAAAACAGAATTTCCTATTCCAATGCTGACTGTTCCCCTGAAAGGCTATCATCAGGCCAGCTATTAGACAGTTTTCCTCTGGAAAGGAAAAACATGTAGATTGCCCAGCCAGTGCACAAGCGTCAAACTTAATATTGGAACAAGTTTAATTCAGCTGATGATGCAAGTGATCAAAAGGTGACCCAGTAAGAGGAGAGCAAGTGCTGTCTCTCTTACTCAAGTCATTGATAACGTGCTTCTGTTTAAAACAGTCAGTCCCAGCTGCTCTGTGTGGCTTCCAGGATTCTTCATGGTTCTGGCCCTGCCTACCTCACTAATCTTATTTCCCACCACTGTTACTTGGCTCCTGTGCTCCATGGTTGAACACACTTTATTACTGCATATTTTGTTCTCTCTGCCTGAAGTGCAACCCCCTGATATTGCTTGTATGAAAAATTCACATTCATAAATGAGGACCCTTCCTTAGTGCTACCTTCTTTATGACTTTTTCTCTGACCTTTTTACACATTAATGACTAGCCCCTTTATGCCGCCATGGTCCTTGTATTACTTATCACAATTGTTCACTTCTCCCAACAAGACTGTACCCTCTGGAGGTAAGAATTTATAGTATTCACTTTATGTTGCCCCAAGGGTCTAGATCACTGCTTAGGACTAAATGGGCATAACAATTATTTATTGAATAAACAAATGGATGAATTAACTAATTAATGAACAAATGAAGGAATCCTGGGTAGGATTTTAAATGAAGACAAGAAATTGGCAAATAATTCTATATGAATCAGTCAGCAAATTAATCTTATTGTTTATATCGTATGTTGTATATATATGTGTGTGTATGTACTACATATATACATTATATATGTATATGTGTGTATGTACTACATATATACATTATATATATGTATATGTGTGTATGTACTACATATATACATTATATATATATGTATATGTGTGTATATATAGTGTTCAACATCAAGGAAACTTATAGAAGCATCAAATAAATGGTCCTTTACCTCCTGGACTATCCAATGTACAGAATTTAAGAAAACAAGACTAATAAAAAATAGGAAGTGACACAAATAAATGGAACATCAACTCACAAACCCAACCCAATTTCTGCAGACAGATCTGCAGGCTAGAAGAGTAATTTTGAAGATGGCCATGTCTATAATGAGGTAAAGAAATCTCAGACAGGCTTTTAAAAGGTTATTCCTGTTAAGTCAAGATAAAAGTGTATTTTAGAGGTAAGATAAACAGCATAAGTAAAGGTAGGTGGAAAGGGAATAAGTCTACAATAGAACTGGCCTGATAATCCACAATTGCCCGTTGGAATACAAATCTCTTGATAAAGGATGATCCCAGGGGCTGCTACAGTGACTTCAGTGGCTTTCAGGGTCACATGGAATGAACTCAGCTGGCTGCAAAGTGTTTCAAGGGTGATGCTGAAATGAATCTGACCTGCCTCCAAAAGTCAATCAGATACCTAAGTCAAAGTCGAGTCATGCTTGTGAGTCAAACCAGGGCAGTGTAGTGTCAAAGTGCATGGAACAGGCATAGTCACCATTCTACTTGTTAACAACACAAGGGCTTAACCACGCTAATTTAGGATGGTTTTTGACAGAAAGCCCTTTCCAGATCTGCATATGTGTTATATACTTATCTCGGGCTAAGTATGTGTTTACTCTTCTTCTTAGCTTCATTGAACAATGAAGATCTATTTTTAAAGAAAATTAGCGATTTATAATGAGAAAGTTTTCCCACAAAAGTTCCTCTTGGATAGAAAGAGGAAATAAATATTGACTTTGTGCTCCTCTTGTGCCAGGAATATTTGAGTTTCAAAACCATCCTAGAATGTGATATCATTAGACCCACTTTACAGATGAAGAAACCGAAACTCAAAGTAGTGACTTCCTCAAAGGTTCATATGCTAGGATTCAAACCTTGGGCCTTGTGACTCCAATGCTCAGACTCTTCCCACTGAACCTCCATTACAACTGTTGCTCACAGAAAACACACAACCCCCATCACACACGTGCACATGCACGCACGCGCTGTTTTAAGATGTACCAATTGTGCACTTCTCAAATCTAAGAAAACTCATTTTCTGTTTTATGGTCTTAATATTTAATAGGGAGAAAGAACTTTTTGAAAGCTCTAGCTAGAGGTTTAAATACATTCAAAAATAAATGCCTGAGAATTTGGAGCTAAGCAAGGGAGTAAAATGCTCTAATCTTCCACCTAGTGAAAGGTCAGGACAAAGTAAGATAAAGAAAACAAACTCTATACAAATGTACAACACAGAGCTGCCTGCATAGTAAGATTAGAGCTCCAAACAGGGTCTGTCTGGCCCCGAGTATCTTTCTCTCTTACCTGTTAAGGTATGTAGGTCCATATCAGTAAAAACTTCCCTCGGTTAGACATTTCCCCAAGAAGCCTATGTTAAAGTGTTCAGATCGTTTATTACAGTTATTTCAAATATAACTCCAGACATGTGTATTTGACTAGAGGCTGGAGAAGGTGAGAAGTGGAAGTTCTAATGGGGAACCACAGTGCTGAGAGAGACCAATCATGCCTCAGTGTGGGACCCTGGGTTGCTAAAGAAAGGAAACTGGCTACACCATTGAGTATAAAACTCAACACAAAATATTCGTTAATTCTCTCAGGGGATTCCATTTAAGTGGAGACAAAGATTACAGGAGTTAAACACATGTGTGTTAGGGTCAGAACTCACCACATGCAAAACAAGGCTATCCTATAAGGTGGTGAGCTCCTTGACACTGGAAATATTTGGGGAGGTTGGATACACCCATGGAAGGGATGTCATGGGAGACTGGAGTAGCTGTGTTTAGAGTCCCTTCCAATTACAAAATGCTGGGAGGATTCTATAAATAATTTTGCTAGATTTCAGAGATTCCTGGTACCATTTTATTGTCATTTTCATTCATTCATTCATTTAGTCCACAAACATTCATTTAATTATTAAATGCACAATTGGGGAAACTCTATTATCTGATCTAGGGTTTATCTATAATATGCATACAGAATCATATATGGTACTAATTCTATGGATAGTTCTTTGTGAATAAA